>NC_000009.12:136951656-137643186 GCF_000001405.40 Homo sapiens
TGCCCCAGCTGTCCTCACCAGGTTGCCTGGGTGCTCTGCAGGCCCCAGCCTCCCTCCTCGCCTGCTCGGGCCACCTCCACCCCGGCCTCATGGCCACAGGGCCCCTCCCTGGTCCTGTTCTTGCTCCAGGGCCACGGCCCACGCTGCGGTTCAGGCATGTGTGGAGCCAGGCAGGGTGGGGGTAGGGGGGCGGCTGGCAGGCCCAGGCCCTGCAGGGGGAATGCCCGGGTTTGGCCACAGCTGGGCCCTGTCCCTTATGGCTGCGGCAGGTCACGCTGTCTGCCTGGGACGCAACATTCTGTGACAGGGAGGAAGGCTGGGGCAGGCTGCGTGGGGCCTCTGAACCCCCAGCATGGGGCACTTGGAAGGGGGCTGAAGGGGGCAGGGCCTCAGAAATGAGAAGAAGAGGTGGAAGGTGGACCTGGGGGCCCCTCCTACCCCACCTGGCTGGAACCCAAGAGACCGCAGGTGGGTGGGTGGGACCTGAGGAGAGCCCACACCAAGCCTGCCCTGGGCACCACCTCTCCTGCCAGTCCTGAGGAGGGAGGCAGAGGGGCACACCCCCTTGGGAGGGGCACCTGCTGGGTATGTGCATGAAGAGGTGGGTCTCTGGGTCACCTGCCCATGGCCACTTCCTTCTCTCTGTCCCTGTGGGCCCAGCAGCTGCCAGGATGAGGCTGCTGTGTGGCCTGTGGCTGTGGCTCTCCTTGCTGAAAGTCCTGCAGGCCCAGACCCCAACCCCCCTGCCACTCCCGCCCCCGATGCAGAGCTTCCAAGGAAACCAGGTACAGGGGTTTTGACGGAAGGAGAAGCAGCCGGCTGGGTCTGAGTGCAGGGAGAGGCTGGTGGCTGAGCAGGCCTGGGGATGCTGCCCAGAGAGCCAGGACCAGCCGTGCTTCCAGGAGCCCCCAGGCGGGCCCCTGACCTCCAGCAGAGGAGGGCCCAGCGCAGACCTTCCTGGCACCCATTCCCTGCCGTCAGCCCAGCCCATCGCTCCCTCTGTGCGTGAGGGGAAACAGGCTCGGGAAGGCCGCACAGCCACTGGCCAGGGTCACCATGTCCCTGCCAGACCCAGAGTAGGCTCTGGTTCTTGCCAGTGTCCCTGGCGCCGGCCCAGCCAGGAGCACTGCTCTGTGAGGGGTCCAGAAGCTGCCAGGGAGGGCGGGAGGGGGCTCCTGACCCTGCCCACTGCCACCCCTGCCCACCGCCGCCCCTGCCCACCACCGCCTCTGTAGTTCCAGGGGGAATGGTTCGTCCTGGGCCTGGCGGGCAACAGCTTCAGGCCGGAGCACAGGGCGCTGCTGAACGCTTTCACCGCAACTTTTGAGCTAAGTGATGATGGCCGCTTTGAGGTGTGGAATGCGATGACTCGGTGAGTGGCTGTCCCTGCCGTTCCAAGCGGGTGAGGAGGATCCCGGGCCTGGGTCCCAGCCGCCAGTGGCTCAGGTGCGCCATGGGCCCTGTCCCAGCACAGGCAGCTTCATGACTCTGCCTGCCAATGACCAAACCCAGCTGGGGAGTATACAAAAAAGTGTGGGCAGCTGGGCGCGCTGGCTCACACCTGTAATCCTAGCACTTCGGGGGCCGGGTGCGCTGGCTCACACCTGTAATCCCAGCACTTCCGGGGCTGGGCGCGCTGGCTCACACCTGTAATCCCAGGACTTCAGGGGCCGGGCGCGCTGGCTCACACCTGTAATCCTAGCACTTTGGGGGCCGGGCGCGGTCGCGCACACCTGTAATCCTAGCACTTTGGGGGCCGGGCGCGGTGGCGCACACCTGTAATCCCAGCACTTTAGGGGCCGGGCGCAGTGGCGCACACCTGTAATCCCAGTACTTCAGGAGGCAGAGGCAGAAGGATCACTTGAACTCAGGAGTTTGAGACCAGCCTGAGCAACATAGTTAGACACCATCTCCACTCATGACGCTTGGCCACTCCCGCCGTGGGTCCCTCTGAATAAGTGGCTGAAATCTCCTGAGGGGCCCACCTCAGCATGGACCTGCCAGCTTCCGGAGCCTTCCGCCTCCACCTGTCCCCTCCTACAGAGGCCAGCACTGTGACACATGGTCTTATGTGCTGATACCGGCAGCCCAGCCTGGGCAGTTCACTGTGGACCACGGTGTGGGTAAGCCAGTCACAGGAGGGAGGGACGGGGTGCTGGCCCACAGGGATGTGACGTCTGTGCCGCCTCAGAGCCCGGGGCGGACAGAGAGGAGACCCGGGTGGTGGACAGCGACTACACCCAGTTCGCCCTGATGCTGTCCCGCAGACACACGAGCAGGCTGGCCGTCCTCAGGATCAGCCTGCTGGGTGAGCCTCCCACCCCGTCCTGGGCCCGTGTGTGGCCCTGGAGGCACCTCCTTCCAGGCTTTGGGTCAGACCCTGCCTCCCCACCCCGCCTGGAGTGACTTGGGGGTACAGATAGTTCAATCTCCCACCTACCCAGCCCCCAACCCCCTGCCAAGTGCACAGACCCATGCTGGGCTCCCTGGGCTGCAGGCAGGAGCTGGTTGCTGCCTCCCGGGACGCTGGACCAGTTCATCTGCCTGGGCAGAGCTCAGGGCCTCTCGGATGACAACATCGTCTTCCCAGATGTGACTGGTAACATGGTTCACCTGCAGGCATGCTGGGCAGTAGGCACGGGGCCCGCAGGAATGAGTTTGGTTGACCCTAGAGGAGCTGGACCCAGTGTCTACCCAGGGAGCTCAGCCCCAGCCTGCGCTCAGGGGTCTCCAGGCTCCTGGGTCCCTGTGCTCAACCCAGGCTCTGAGCCACCTCCTGCCGCCCCGGGTCCCCTGTCCTGGGCCACCTCCTCCCACCCCGGGTCTCCTGTCCCGGGCCACCTCCTCCCGCCCCAGGTCCCCTGTCCCGGGCCACCTCCCCCTGCCCCTCCCGCCCCAGGTCCCCTGTCCCGGCCCACCTCCTCCCACCCCGGGTCTCCTGTCCTGGGCTACCTCCTCCCACCCCAGGTCCCCTGTCCCGGGCCATCTCCTCCCTCTGGGTCCCCTGTCCTGGGCCACCTCCTCCCCTCACCCATCCCTGCTCACAAGGAGCTTGGACTCATCCCAGGAGGTGCCCTGGACCTCAGCAGCCTGCCCTGGGTGGCAGCCCCAGCCTGACCACTCAGACAGCCGCGGCCCCCAAGGCCTGACTCTTCTTGTGGGAGGGCGAGGTCAGCCTGAGTCCCTCCTCTTCCTGGAGGGATGCCCACCGTGCCCTTCTGATTCCCGCCTCTGGTCCTTTACATGTGCATAACCACATGCACACACACTCACGCATGAGCAAACGTGTACAGACTGGCACATGCCTCCACATGCGAACACCCACTTACACACACGCCACTCACACTGGCACACATGCTGTCTACCCGTGCACAGGCACACGTGCTGGTCTGCACACACCTGCACACACCTGCACACTCGCTATGCCAGGCCTCCTGGGTCTGCAGTGAGTCTGGGGGCCCATGGGGACAGGGACAGGTGAGGGGCTTCCTGAGGACCTGGGGCTGTTGGGAGCCGCTGTGGGCCACATCTTCTGCCCCTTCTCAGCCTCCCTCACCCCAGCCCCTTCCCCTAGACCCACTGCTGGTCCCCTTTCTCCCTCCTGCTTCTCACCTGAAGCCACCTGCCCCTCCTTTGTGCCCTCCCTTGCTTCCTCCTGGGCTCTGTCCCCTGCTCCCCCTTTGTCCTCCATCCCGACTCCATCTCCCCCACCAGGCTGGTCACCCCAGGCCAGCGTCTGTTGAAGGATGAAGCAGCTCCTGTCCGGCCCAGCCCTGCCTCACAGCTGTGCGAGCTCTGCCCTCCTCAGCTCTCAAACCTGAATAAATGCACCAAGCCCAGAGCCCCAGAGTGTGACCACTATGACCTTGGGTTGGGCAAAGAGACAGGAGCAAGGCGACCGCTGACCCTGCAGGGCTGCAACAGCTCCTTCTCTGGGCACACTATGGCCCCCCAGCCGGCTGTCTCTGGCCAGTGTGTGTGACTCTGTCAGTGAGGGCATGCACATGTATGTTCATGCATGAGTCTTTGCCCATGGTTGCAGGTTGTACAAGGTCGTTCCCAGGCCAAGGCCCCTCCATCCCTGCCCCTTGGGCCCTTGGCTGTGGGAGTTCGCAGGCTCTTCTCCACCTCCACCCTGGTCAGCACTCGGGGCTGCCATACCAGATGCAGCCGGGCTGGAGCTTGCCCCGGAAACACTCAGACCCCGAGCTGTCCCAGGCAGCGGCTGTTCTGTCAGGGAAGCTGGCCTGGAGCTACCAGGGTCCCAGAACAGGAGGAGGCCCTGGTGCAGATGCCCCAGGCCTGGGAGAGGGGAGGCGGTGACAAGCAGCCTCGGGCTGGAGCCTGCTGGGCACAGAGACACAAAGGGTCTGAGGTCACAACCCAGACACCCACTCCCAGCCTGAGCCCCCCAACCCTGACTGTACACCCCTGCAAGATGTCTGTATTCGGACGCCCACCCCCACCGGCCAGCCAGAGCAACTCATTTCTCAGCCCTCCGATGTCTGTGTCCATCTCAGCCCCCACTGTCCTCCGGGCAGGGAGAGCAGGACACCACCCAGGGCGGCCATGGACCCTAGTGGTCTCTGGCCTTGCTAGAGAGTAAAGAGCATCCAGAGACCCCCAACCTGGTGCCTAACCTTCACCCACCAGGAGCACCCCGCTACTCAGAAGCATGGCCCTTGTTTAGAATCCTTCTGCCATCATGTGCACCTCCTGCTGGGCAGGCTGTACAGGATCCAAGCAGATTCTGGAACTGGAAGACGGACAGAGACAGCAGACAGACTGGAATTCCTCCCTGCCCTGACGGCCCCAACGAGATGGATCCCCATGATCAAGTCAAACGACACCAGCTGTGGTGCTTACTGCAGCCACAATTCAACCTTTTCTGTGTGTCTGACTCCCCAACACACAACTCCCACAAGGGCAGGCACAGGCCTGCTTTGTCCATCACTCTATCCCACATTCCAACATGGCGCCTGACACAGAGAAAGCTGCTGAAGGATGGATGGATGGATGGATGGATGGATGATGGGTGCATGGATGGATGGATGGATGGTTAGATAATGGTTGCGTGGGTGGATGGATGGACAGATGAGCAGATGAATGGATAAATGGAAGGATGGGTAGATGGGTGGGTGGATGGATGGGTAGATTAATGGATAAATGGATGGATGAAGGGCTGGGTGGACGGATGATGGATAGATGTTTGGATGATGGATGGGTGGATAGACGGTTAGATGGATAGATGGATGGTTGGATATTGGGTGGATGGATGGATGGGTAGATGGATGGATGGTTGGATGATGGGTAGATGGTGGATGGTTGGATATTGGGTGGGTGGGTGGATGGCTGGTTGGATGATGGGTGGATGGATGGATAGATGGTTGGATGATGGGTAGATGGTGGATGGTTGGATATTGGGTGGGTGGGTGGATGGATGGTTGGATGATGGGTGGGTGGATGGATGGTTGGATATTGGGTGGATGGATGGTTGGATGATGGGTGGGTGGATGGATGGTTGGATATTGGGTGGATGGATGGTTGGATGATGGGTGGGTGGATGGATGGTTGGATGATGGGTGGGTGGGTGGATGGATGGATGATGGGTGGGTGGATGGATGGATGGTTGGATGATGGGTGGGTGGGTGGATGGTTGGATAATGGGTGGGTGGGTGGATGGATGGTTGGAGATGGGTGGGTGGATGGATGGTTGGATGATGGGTGGGTGGATGGATGGTTGGATGATGGGTCGGTGGATGGATGGTTGGATGATGGGTGGGTGGATGGATGGTTGGATGGTGGGTGGGTGGATGGATGGTTGGATGATGGGTGGGTGGGTGGATGGTTGGATGATGGGTGGGTGGGTGGATGGATGGTTGGATGATGGGTGGGTGGATGGATGGTTGGATGACGGGTGGGTGGATGGATGGTTGGATGATGGGTGGGTGGGTGGATGGATGGTTGGATGATGGGTAGGTGGGTGGATGGATGGATGAAGGGTGGGTGGATGGATAGTTGGATGGATGATGCTTTTTTGCTCTTTTTTTCTTGTGCCCTAGATGGGGAGGCTGAGGTTAAAAGCAGCAAGTTTGGTTGTGTCTGGATTGGGAGATATTCTATACTGTGTGGTTGTGAGGACACAAGCCTGGGTGTCAGAAATCCTGGACCACAGCCTGGCATATATTGGATTTAACCCTAGGAAGGTTGAGAGTGAAGGTGGCTGTCTTTTGGCAGAAAGGGCTTGTTGGGTGTTCTTTCCTGAACGCGTCAAGGAGGTGTCCCTCAACCCTGGGGTGGGGGTCAGACACAAGGTCCCCCAGAGCAATGGCCTCACTCTCTACTCTCTTAGTCCTTTCCCTCATCCCTCCTCCTACTGGGCCACGGTGTCCCCATGGGTGAGACTCACTCTACAGGGCCAGGACTTGGGCCTTCACCAGCCTGGGGCCTGGGCCACGCCCTCACCCGATGCCTGGCTGCAGCAGGGGATGGCTTCTGCATGGGGTCCAGGCACAGGACCTAGGCCAAAAGAGAGGAGTGGCCTAAAGAGGCTCAGCTTGAGAAGAGAGCCCTGCCCTGCCCCTGACAATCTAAGAGAGACTCCGCAGGCCACCTTCTCCCTCTTGACCTGGCACAGCCTTTGCCAGCGGAAATTCTTTTCAGTCCCTCTGCACAGATGGGGAAACTGTGAGGTTCAGGAAGGCTGGCTGGTCACTTGGCAGGGTCACCTTGCCCCTGCCAGCTTCCCTCCCCCAAGGCAGGGAACATAACCCCGGCTGCAAGATCATGACCACCATGTGCTGGTGGGAGCCACCGCCTTCCTGGCACCCAGCTGTACCCTCCAGTGGTGACCAGCTCCCCGGACAAAGGCACAAGCAGAGACTAAGACTCCCTGGCGGTGCCCTCCTCCTCCCTGGCGGTGCCTCTGCAAAGCCCAGCGCACTCCCCTTCCCTCCGTATCAGCTCCTGGCTGGGGAGACAGGAGATGCTGCCTAGGCCTGCATTCCTTCCCAGCTCTTATGGGGAGGGCGGGCTTCAGGCCTGGCTGGATCCAGGGCCCCAGCCACCCCCTTCTGTGTCACTGGCCCTGGCCGGAGTGGCTGTGCAGTCCCATTGGCCCACTTCACTCCCACCTGGGTTGCAGATGGTCTCTCTCCCAGAAGTCCTCAGTCCTGGGTGGAGGCTGTGTTCCCCCATCAGTGGTCAGGGGACCCCTCCACACAGCCCTCCCTCTCTTGGACTCCAGCTACCACAGCCCCCCTCATCCCATCTTTCCTGGGGTGATACAACTCTCTCTGGCCCTGGTGGTAGCGGGCCCTGTGTGAACCTCCTCCCCGCAAGTCCCCCAGGGGCACCAGCCCTTCCTGGCTGAAGACCCTTTCCCCATGTCTGCACCAGGGGACGGGGCTGGGAGCTGGCGGCGTGGAGCCGAGGCCAGGAGAGGCCAGGCAGGTGGTCCAGGCATGTCTGCCGGCATGTGAGCCCAGAGGCCTGGGGCTGGACACAGACCAGAGAGGGAGCCCGCCTGCCCACCTGTCTGCTTGCTGGAGTCAAGCCAGGCTGGCCCAGTGGGGTGGGGTGTCCTGCTGGCCCCTACCCCCATGCCCCAAGCACGGCAGCCCAGGCCCCTGTGGGTGGCCAGATTGAATCTCTTTACCCTGGCCTGAATCTCTTTACATCTGGGCCTGCTGGGTCTGGGAACAGCCTGTGCCTGCCCCTCCCACAGAACAGGGTCAGCGGGGTTGGGAAGCAGGTAAGTTCTGGTGGGTGGAGGGGCTGGACCCAGGGCTGGCTTCCGTGCCTCCAGTGGCCACCACCACCTCCCGGATCAGCCCCTGCGGTGGCAGAGGGGGCCTTTCCCCGAAGGCCAGCTGTGGTCCCTCTCAGCCTTGTCCAGGGCCCACCACAGCCACACAGAGCCTGTGCCTGCGACGGTGACCACAGGAGACTGTGACAGTGACGGTGACCACAGACAGGCCACCCAGGGCTCAGGCTGGGTATGGTGGGCTCTGGTGGGAAGCAGCTCCCGCACGGCTCACGGTGGGGAGGGTCCCTTCCGGTCCTCACCCCGCGATACCCCTTCGCAGAGCTCATGCCCCCTCGGGGCACTCTACCCACCGGGTACCTTCCCTGGGCTGCCCCACAGGTCAAGCGCTCCACCCACGCCCTCTCAGACACCAAGAGGCAGCCTGGGAGGGGCTGGGCAGGCGGGAATGGAATTTTCGGGTCTGGGCCAGGCTGTCCACAGGCCCAGGAGGGGGACCAGGCCCAGCTCCTCTTCACACTTCTCAGACCTGGGGCGACCGGAGGCTCCTGGGTATCCACCCCAGCACCCCAGACCAGGAAAGTGAGGCACAGGTGGTAGAAGACCTGCCAGAGCCGCCCAGCACCTGGGCCCACACTGCTTTCCCAGGATCAGGCTGCAGAGCCCCTGGGCGGAGTGGGAAGCACAGGGTCCCCTTAGCGTTGTTCTGTCTTTGTGGGTCCTGGGCCTGCTCCCGTGCAGACCTTCATCTGAGGGCGTGTAGTGTGTGGTGGGGAGGTGGACACAGCTGTGCCCTGACCTCAAGAGTGGCCTGACCTGGGTGCGGGGCTGGGTCTGTGTCCAAAAACAGACACAAAAGGCCACACATTATGTGATTCCATTTATGAAGTTCTAGAACAGGCCAAGCTCCTCTCCACTATTAGAAATCAGGTCTGTGGCTGCTGCGTCCGGGGTGGGGACACTGTGGGGTGGGGTGGAATGTTCTGTGGCCAGGGGTGAGGGTGCTACCTGCAGCTGGGTGGCGGGGGGGTAGAATGTTCTGTGGCCAGGGGTGAGGGTGCTGCCTGCAGCTGGGAGGGGTAGAATGTTCTGTGGCCAGGGGTGAGGGTGCTGCCTGCAGCTGGGGGCGGGGGTTGAATGTTCTATGGCCAGGGTGAGGGTACAGCCTGCAGCTGCGGGGTGGGTAGAATGTTCTGTGGCCGGGGGCGAGGGTGCTGCCTGCAGTTGGTGGGGGTAGAATGTTCTGTGGCCGGGGGCGAGGGTGCTGCCTGCAGTGGGTGGGGGTAGAATGTTCTGTGGTCAGGGGTGAGGGTGCTGCCTGCAGCTGGGGGGGTGTGGAATGTTGGAATGTTCTGTGTTGGGGATCGGAGCGCTGCCTGCAGCTGGCAGGAGGTGGAGGGGGTCTGGAATGTTCCACGTCAGGATCAGGTTTTGCTCACGTGGGTGTTCATCGAGGTGTGCGACTCAGGTGCCCGTATTGCTGTGAGACGGCTCCCACGGTGGGACATGGTGATGCCACGCTGGATGCCCCCACGTGCACCTCTTGCCGTGTGTGGGTGAAACTCCTCCCGCTGAGTGCTGGGCTCCCGGGTCTGGGTCTGGGGGTGCAGCACACGTTCATGTTCGCATTCTCAGAACACCCACTGACCCTCTCCCACCAGGCAGAGCCCACCCTCCCTGCCTTCATGTCTGCAGGGCCTGGCGCGGAGCACGAGGCCGCTGGGCACTGACTATGGAGCTCAGAGCTGTGTTGGTGGACCAGGCATCCCGTGAGGCCACGGATGGTGGCCGTGGATCTACCCTGCCTGGCCCACTTCTCCTCCACACTCCCCTTCACAGCGCATGACTAGGCAGCCAGGGCCCTGAGCCCTGCAGGAGGAGTTGAGGGGTACACACCAGGACTGGAAAGCCTGGGGCTGTTGCACAGAGATGAGCGGGGAGGCCAGGCTCCTCAGGAACTCGAGTGGAAGCCCCACCCACCAGGGCCTGCAGGGACAGGGCTGCGAGGGGACTGCCTGCAGGGCTGCTGGGAATGGGACCTGGAGCCTTGGCTGAGCAGGGCGGGGGCTCCTGCTGGCTCCTGAGCCCAGGGCCGCCCAGCTCAGCTGGGCCCAGCACTCCCTGTCCCTCAGGCCCTGCCTGATCCGGTCTCTTTATCTTGGCCGAGAGCAGCGCCCTCCCGGCCACCATCTGGGCCTGCTGGGCCAGGACCAGCTGCCTGGGGCTTTCCAGCGCTGCCTCTGCATGTTTTCTGCAGGAGGAAGAAGGAGGGTTGGGGGCAGAGTCATCCAGGGACTGAGTGGGCGGCATGGGGGGCCAGACCTGTGGTGCAGAGCTGAGCTGGAGACCCCCTCAGACCCTAGGCCCTGCTACCTTTCCCCCGGTCCCTGGGAAGCACGTTTTCCCAGTAACCTCCTGGCGTGAGAAACTTGGCCCCGGCTCGCCGATTCCCCGAGACTCACCCCACGTGCCCCATACATACAATGCGGGGACTCGGGGCTCCTGGCAGGACGGCCCACAGAGTCAGGACAGCCACCAGGGCCCCCACACAGGGGGACAGGTGGGCTGAGGGGCCCCTCTCTAATCCTAGGGTGTGGGGAGGATCTGGCCTCCCAGTCCCCAGGGCCCCTCTGCTGGAAACGGGGTGCTATGATATGAACGTGTCCCTAGATTTCACATGTTGACATTTCATCCCCAAATCCACTTTTTTTTGTTTTTAAGACAAGGTCTAGCTCAGTCGCCCAGGCTGGAGCAGAGTGGCGCAACCTCTGCTGACTGCAGCCTCGACCTCCCTGGCTCAAGCGATCCTCCCACTTCAGCCTCTCAAGTAGCTGGGACCGAAGGTGCGCCACCACGTCTGGCTAATTTTTAAGTTTTTTGTAGAGATGGGGTTTCTCCATGTTGGCCAACTGGTCTCGAACTCCTGGGCTCAAGTGATCCTCCTGCCTTGGCCTCCCAAACTGCTAGGATTACAGGCGTGAACCACCTTGCCCGGCCCTCAAATTCACATGTTGGTTGGAGGTGGGGCCTCTGGGAGGTGATTAGGGTTAGATAAGGTCCTCAGGGTTGGGCCCATGGTGGACTTGGTGGCTTTATGAGAAAAGAGAGACCTCAGCTGGCAGCTCTTGCCCTCTGCCACACTGCAACTTGGCCCCTTGACGTTGGACTTCTCAGCCTCCTGAACTGTAAGAAATAAATTTACTTTCTTTGTACATTTCCAATGTCAGGTATTCAGTTATAGCCACAGAAAGCTGACTAAGACGAAGGGGGTGAAGTTTGTGGGGGGCTTGTGCAGGGGCAGCCCAGGGTCCTCAGAGCCAACCCCAGGCAGCTCCACCCACCCCAGGGGCTCTCCTGAGGTGGGCCATTGGGGGAGCCACCTCCTAGTGTCCTCTTGGCAAACCAGAACTAGGAGTGGGCTGGGGCTGTGGGATCTCAAAGAAGGAGTGGCTGTGGGTACAGTCACCATGGTGAGGGAGCAGCAGCTGCCCAGGATGTATCAGGGAGGTTGAAACATTGTCTCCATCTCTGTGCACCGCCTGCCTAGGCGTACACATGCCAGATACATGTGAACACACAGAGGCACACACGTGTGCACACAGGCACACACAGGCACACGTGTACACACACAGGCACTCACAGGCACACCCATGCATGCACACACGCACACACGTGCACAGGTACACACATGCACACAGGCACACACAGGCACATATACACACACGCGCGCATGCACACAGGGCCTTTGCTCTGTGATACAGTCTCCCTTGTTTCTTCTGAAACATCTCCCAAGGGATGTGGACGTGTGGGCCCCGTTGGAGAGGAATGCTGGTGGAAAAAGCTATTTTGTTTTGCAGGAAATTGTCTTATTTCTTAGGTTTGTGTGGATTAACTGGGATTTGGGTTTTTTCCATCCAGCCAGCAACTGTGCACTTCAGTGGTGATCAGAGCGGGTCCCTGGCTCTGTCCCCACGGGGACTCTGCCCTGGGAGGGGGCTCAGGGTTGTAGGGATCCTCAGGCCGGACCCCGAGTTGGCTGGGAGGATGCCGATGAGCGTCTTGCCCCGTCCCTGCCTGACTCGGGACACAGAGCCCAGGGCCTGGGAGTGCTCAGGGCAGGAGACGCGGCAGATGCCAGCATGAGGACGGCCCAGCCTGGCAGACAGATGTCAGACAGAGGAAGAGGAGGCAGTCCACATGCCAGTGGGGCCAGAGGCCAGCACAGAGCACCCTTCCCATGGGGTCTGAGTCCTTGTGGGATGAAAGAACCCCACACTGGATGGTGAAGCCGGCGGGTCCTTCCGCATTCAAGGCAGGCGTCCTCTTTCTGTCGATGGGGCCCCAGGCCTGCCCTGGAGCCATCGCTGACCTCCCAAACCAGGAAAGGCCACGAGCCCAGGAGATGGGGCCGGCTGGGGGCAGGGAGGAGGAGAGGGCTGGGCTCTAAGGCCGGGCTGAGGATGTGGGCCTGGGGTCTGGGGGTTGCTGTTCCGGAGCCAGCGGAAGCCCCTGGATGAGGGGAGAACAGACTCCACCGCTGGGCGGCAAGGCGAGGCACGGGGTGGGTGGGCTGCAGGGCTGGGGCTGGGGGTCAGCTCAGGGAGCAGCAAGCAGGCTCGGGGAACCCCTTCAGAGGCACCTGGGAGTTGGGGGAGGGGGCCCATCTCATACCCACACTGTCCTGTGACCCTTCCAGGGGGGACCATCCCAGGCCTGGCAGGGGAGAGGGAGCACCGTGCCCACCCTGGCCCTGGAGGTGGTTCTGGGGCTTGGGGTAGTTTCTCTTCTGCTCTCCCCCTCCCCTCAGGCTGGACAGCGCCGGGGTTCAGCCCCCTGTGACCGTGGGGCACCCTGGGCAGACGCTCGCTGACCAGGGGCCCTGCAGGCCTGGCGCTGACCTCAGACGGGCAGGGGGTCTGTGAACCCAACGATTGCTGCCTTGGGCAGCTGTAGGCGTGGCAGTGCCCCAGGGTTCAGCACCTGCCTGACCACACGGCATCAAAGCCGCCTGTCCTCCCCAGCCCCCGCACAACCTGCCACTCCCTGCTCGGCAGAGGAAGGAGACTCGGGCCACACCCAGGGAGGGACCTCCTCTGGCTCGACATGGAAACCTAGGCTGTAGCTCCCTGCTTCCCCGGCTGTGTTTGTGTGGCCTGGTGGCTGAATCTGCACAGAGAGCAGGACGCCAGGTGCGCTCCCGGGAAGCTGTCCTAGAGAGGGGCCGGACCGCACACCTGGCGCTGGAAGCCTCCATGACTGGATGTTTGCAAGAAACAGAAAGAAACTTCTGTCCAGTCTCAGCCACAGGCACGCCAGGTCCTCTGCTGCCTTGCCGCAAGCTCGGGGGTTTCAGTGAGACCCTCTCCCACTCCCACGGCCTCGAGTGGACCAGGTAGCCCTGGTGTTGCTCCCTGGGTGCTCTTGACCCCCCAAGGCGGCTACAGGAAGGAGAAAGGCCTATCTTGAAAGGACTGGAAAACAGTGCGTCAGTATTTTAAAAATTAAGCTACACCATCATAGGACCTGGCTATTGCCTTCCTGGGTATTTACCCAAAAGAGATATAGCACACACCCACGCACGATGCGTGTGCCCACGGCGGCTTTATCTGTAATGGCCCCAAACTGGAAACACCCCCAGGTCCACCCACAGGTGAAGGAGAACAAATCGTGATGTATCTGTGCAACGCGACACTGCCCAGCAGTGAACGAAGGAGCTACTGATGCTCTCAACAACCTGCAAGCCCCAAAATAACCGCGTGGGGCAGAGGGCGGAGGGCGGAGGGCGGAGGGCGGAGGGCGTCAGGCAGCGAGAAAGGTGGTGCACGTGGACTGGACGCGAAGCCCCAGAAAGCCAGGCTCATCTCCAGCGACGGAAACACAGCAGTGGCCTGGGGGCAGGGGAGGTGGTGGAAAGAGGAGGGAGGGAGGGACTCCAGGGGGGCTCAGGGAATCTTTAGGGCGACCAACACAGCTGCCCCCTGATTGCAATGATAGTTTCGTGGGTGTGTGCGTCAAACCATATCGCAGAGGCCGGGCGCGGTGGCTCACGCCTGTAATCCCAGCGCTTTGGGAGGCAGAGGCGGGCGGATCACCTGAGGTCGGGAGTTCAAGACCAGCCTGGCCAACATGGAGAAACCCCGTCTCTACTAAAAGATACAAAAATTAGCCAGGTGTGGTGGCGGGTATCTGTAGTCCCAGCTACTCAGGAGGCTGAGGCAGGAGAATCACTTGAACCCAGGAGGCGGAGGTTGCGGTGAGCCCAGATCCCACCACTGCACTCCAGCCTGGCGACAAGAGCAAAACTCCATCTCAAAAAAAAAAAAAAAAAAACCATTTCGCAGAGAAGGACGCAGAAGCCAATGGAAAAGCTGCCAGTAGCTGCAGCTGGCCTGATGTGAGCCACAAAACCGGATGTGACAGTAGGGTGTGAGCCAAAGTGTAAAACACCTGAGGTCCACACGGATGTCAGTGAAGGGCTGTGCCCACCCATGGGAGAGCAGAGACAAATGATCTCGGTGCAGCAAAGTTGCAAATGTGTGTGGATTCCCCTTCCGGGGGAGGTGAGGGCCACACACAGGGACTTCATCCAGAGAGGACAGTTCAAAAAGAAAAAGACGGAGAGGTGCAGGGTTAGGGTGGGGGAACCTCAGCCAGGTGACCAAGGTCAACATGGGCAGTGAAGGTCGCGCTGATGGTGTCCCCCATGTGATGTGGTGGGAGGAAGCCCCGCCCCCATTCTCTTCCTCCCGACCATCACCGGATTCAGCGTGAGAAACTCAGCAGACGGAGCCCAACTGAGGGACGCCCCACAAACACCCGAGCAGCGCCCCTCAAGGCTGCTGAGGTCATCAAGGACCGGGAAAAGCTGAGAAACGTCACTCAGGAGGAGCCCGTGGAAGAGAGACAGAATGTCACGTGGTGTCCTGGAGAGAAAGGGACCTTCAGTAACTAAGGGAATCTGGAGAAAGCCTGGATGTCAGCTGACTCGACGTCCCAACACTGGCTCACTGATTGTGACAAAGGGACCATGAGAATTAGGACGCCAGCGAGAGGGAAACTGGGGGAGGGGCACGCAGGAACTCCCTGATCTGTCTTCACATTTTTTTTCTGTAAATATAAAACATTCTACACTGGGTGCAGTGGCTCATGCCTGTAATCCCAGCACTTTGGGAGGCTGAGGCAGGCAGATCACCTGAGGTCAGCAGTTTGAGACCATCCTGGCCAACATAGAGAAACCACGTCTCTACTAAAAATACAAAAATTAGCCAGGCATGGTGGCAGGTGCCTGTAATCCCAGCTACTCAAGAGGCTGAGGCAGGGGAATCACTTGAACCCGGGAGGGGAGGTTGCAGTGAGCTGAGATCGCACCACTGCGCTCCAGCCTGGGCAACACAGCAAGACTCCGTCTCTCTCTCTCTCTCTCTCTCTCTCTCTCTCTCTCTCTCTCTCTCTATATATATATATATATATATATATATATATATATATATATATATTTCTAAAGTAACTGTTTTTTTTTTTTAATTTTTATTTATTTATTTATTTTTGAGACAGAGTTTTGCTCTTGTTGCCCAGGCTGGAGTGCAATGGTGCGATTTTGGCTCACTGCAACCTCTGCCTCCTGGGTTCAAGCGATTCTCCTGCCTCAGCCTCCCGAGTAGCTGGGATTACAGGCACCCGCCATCTATGTCCGGCTAATTTGTGTATTTTAGTAGAGACGGGGTTTCACCATGTTGGCCAGGCTGGTCTTGAACTCCTGACCTCATGTGATCCACCTGCCTTGGCTTCCCAAAGTGCTGGGATTACAGGCGTGAACCACTGCGCCCGGCCCTATGTTAGTTTTTTATAGTTTTAAACTATATTAGTTTTTTCCAAGAGTCAGCTTTTGACTTGGATCTTCCTATTACATCTTTGTTTCTGTTTGTTTTTGTTTGTTTGTTTTTTGAGAGAGTCTCACTCTGTCACCCAAGTTGGAGTGTAGTGGCTCGATCTCGGCTCACTGCAAGCTCCACCTCCCGGGTTCACGCCATTCTCCTGCCTCAGCCTCCCAAGTAGCTGGGACTACAGGCGTCTACCACCCCTGAACCCGGAAGTTGCAGTGAGCCAAGATCATGCCACTGCACTCCAGCCTGGGCGACAGTGGAAGATACTATATCCAAAAAATAATAATAATAATAAAAGTTTACATTCAATAAATAAAATTTTTAAAAGGATATTTACATCAGTGTAGTATGTGAAGTAAACAAGAAAAAGATAAAACTCACTTTTTAAGTAAAAACAATGAGTCATGTTCTTGAAGTATGTTGTAATCTTTAAATATCAGAAAATTAAGGGAAGTTAATTTTTATTATTACTATTATTTTTTTTTGAGACACAGTCTTGCTGTCGCCTAGGCTGGAGTGCAGTGGTACGCTCTCCGCTCACTGCAAGCTCTGCCTCCCAGGTTCACGTCATTCTCCTGCCTCAGCCTCCCGAGTAGCTGGGACTACAGGTGTCCGCCACCACGCCCAGCTAATTTTTTGTATTTTTAGTAGAGACGGGGTTTCACCATGTTAGCCAGGATGGTCTCAATCTCCTGACCTCGTGATGTGCCTGTCTCAGCCTCCCAAAGTGCTGAGATTACAGGCATGAGCCACCGCACCCGGCCCCTATTACATCTTTGTTTCTATTTGTTTAATTCTCGGTCTGGTGAGGGTCAGCCCCCACCAAGGGTCCTGGCAGTTTCCCTTCTAGGCTCGCCCCTCCCCTGCCCACGCCCCGGCAGCCCTCACCCCAGCGTGGCTGGGCGGGTGGGGGAGGGGCTTCTTCCTGGGAGGGAGGGGCCCCTGAGCCCCCTGCACACCAGCCGGGCCCCATCTGTGACCTCTTTGCCACGCCTCTAATACCGCTCGCTTGCTCAGAGGGCACATGGCCGGGGGGTCCTTGGGAGTCTGTGCAAAGCCTTAGTCACATGGAGGGACCTGAGGGAGGCTGGATGTGGAGGAGACAGTGAGAGAAGGTGAGGTCCCCGTGTCATGTCACCCACCACCTGCCGGCCACCAGGTTCCTGCCTGGGACAGCTGAGCCCTGACAGCCCTCGGCGAGGAGGCCCGGGCTCTCTAGCAACCTGGCTGCAGCTCCTGACACAGGCTGGGCTGCCCTTGGCCCAGGGCCCTCCAGAGATAACCCAAGTGCCCTGTGAGCAGGCCTGAGGGAGGGTGGGTAGCCCAGGACAGGGCACCTGGGGGTGAGGCAGAGACCAAAGACCCACAAGATGCTCCCCAATGCAGGCTGAGCTCCAGGGAGCTGCTGGGATCCTGGAAGAGGACAGAGGCCCCCCAAGGCCTTAGAGGAACCCAGAGACTGCTGGGCCCAGTGGGAGGTGTCTGGACCCTCCAGCCTGCGCCCACGTCCTCTGGCCCACCTGCCCATCGTGCCTCTGCCAACGGGCCCAGAGCTGACGCACCCCCACAGCCCAGCGCCCGGGTCACCAAGTCCTGAACTCAGAAATGCACATATTCCCTGGGACCCCTGAGAATTGGGCTGTGGCCAGGCCAAGGCCAAGGTCCTCTGGGGAAGCCCCAGCTAAGGTCAGCAGCGGCCTCCCAGGGTCAGCCATCCCCAGGGGCCTCATTACAGGACCAGGGTGGTAAGAAGTCCGCAGCCCCGCACAGCAGCTGTCGAGGGGAGGCAGATGGGCTGAGGGCCCTGGGGGAGTGGGGCCAAGACCTGCTGCACCCAGGAGAGAGGAGGCTTGGAGGACAGGGGTGGGGCTGCATCTGGGAGGTCCTGGCCCAGACTGGACCCGTGGGCAGAGCAGGGTGGGTGCCAGCAGCCTCAGCACAGACACACTCCGTCCCACCCACCACCAGCGCTCTGGAGCCTGCCCCGGGCCAGGGAACAGCTTGGCCTGATCCTGCTGACGCCTCAGGGCAGGACAGGGCAGGGAGGCTCCAGGCGGCCACCCATGCTGGGCACACAGTGGACTCTCGCACGGTGTCTTCTGCCGTCACACCCTGACCCAGGGCTGGCCGGGAGCCTTCGGGGCGACAGCTCCGAGGATGGACGTAGGGGTACGAGGGCAGGGACCCGGGCTTTGGGAATCAGAGCTGAGGCCTGGGGCCTCCCTGGGAGCTGGTGGTCTCTGCGGGTGCCCACCCTCAGCCCACATTTCCACCCCGCTTCCCCTCCCAAGGTTGAGACCAGGGAATGGTGGGCACCAGTGGAAGGCACGCTCCTCAATCTTTGCTGGGCTGAGTCCAAGGAGGGCCCCCTGCCTCCCCAGCCCAGCCTCCCTCTGCCCTGCCTCGCCCCTTAGCCCCGCTGCTGAGGAGGGAGAGGGGCAAAATCTCACCCTTCCTGCACTTGGAGAAAAAGAGGTTGCTTGTCCTGGGGTGGGGGCCAGCAGGGGACCTCGTTACTAGGGGGTCCCAGCCCAGACCCTCACCCACCCCCTTCCCCACCCCCATCCTCACCCCCTGCCAGGCCAGCTGCTGCCCCAGAGTCCTGCCCCCTGCAGCCCTGTGTGGAGCCCTGGGACTCCTGTGGGTGGGCCTCACCCTGCTGGGGACGGTCCAGCCACAGCGCCAGGGCCCCCAGAGGGGCCTGAACTTGCCTTTCCACAAGATCTGTCTCCAGCCTGGCCTCAGAAAGGAGCGGGTGAGTGGCCTCCAGGATGGGGAAGGAGGAAGGAGGGTGCAGCTGGGCCGATGGGCCTGACTGCCACAGTGAGCATGGCCCTCATGGCCCTGGAGAACCCTGCCAGGTGGGAAGAGCTCACGCCCTCTGTGCAGGTGGAGAAAGTGAGGCTCAGGAAGGCTGCCCACCCACTGGCCAGGGTCACCCATCCCTGTCAGATCCGGACTCCTGCCAGAGTCACGGGTGCCAGCCCAGCCTGGAACCCCTGCCTGGGGAGGGGGTCCTGGCCCTGCCCACTGCCAGCCCCTGCAGTTCTGGGGGAGTGGTGCGTCCTGGGGCTGGCGGTCAACACTTTCAGGCCGGAGCGCAGGTCCCAATTCAGGATGTTGGTGGCAGCCGTGGTCATGTCCAGCCTGCTCACCTGAGGCTGGGTGCCCAGAGCCCCTGCCGGGTGATGGGACTGCCCGGGGAGGGGAGACGGAGGGCTGTGGGGTGGAGACCCTTCATACAGACAGGCAGGTGGGTGGACCCCGTGGGTGGAAGGAGGCAGCGCCTGCCTTGAGGGAGCTCACCCACACCCTCAGCACAGCTGTGGGGCCCCTGCTTCTCCCCCGGGGCCTGCAGTTTGGAGGAGGAGCCTGTCCTGAGACCCAGGGGCAGGGGAAGATCAGGGCAGGGTGCAGGGCCCAGGGACATGGTGGCTGTGGCTGGGACATCCCAATTCCATGCATCCAGTGAGAACTTCCACGGGGAGGGGACGTGGTCAGAGGCGGGGACAGGCAGGCTGCCAGGAAGAGCAGCCTCAGGAAGAGTGGGGAGCAGGACCCTCCGGGAGGCCAGGAAGCCTCCCCTCCCCAGCTCATCCGACCTGCCCCTCCCCAAAGCCTTCACCCCAGCCTCTCCCCACCACAACCTCCTCCCACAGGGACCCACCCTGCAAACGCTGGGCCAGGACCCCTGTCCCGGAGAAGCAGCCAGCTCAGAACCCCCTTGGAGGCCGGGAGGGTGAGTCTTCCCTGCCTGACACCCCAAGAAAGGCCCAGAACTGCCCCAGGTTAAGGTCACTCCACATCTGTAATCCCAGCATTTAGGGAGGCCGAGGCAGGAGGATCAACTGGGGCCAAGAGTTCGGGACCAGGCTGGGCAACATGGGGAGAGCCCATCTCTACAAAAATAAAATTGAAAAATTAGCTGGGTGTGGTGGTGCATGCCTGTAGTCCCAGCTACTTGGGAGGCTAAGGAGGGAGGATTGCTTGGGCCCAGGAGGCTGCATTGAGCTGTGACCGTGCCACTGCACTCCAGCCTGGGCGACAAAGCAAGACCCTGACTCGAAAAACATAAATAAATTAAAATGGACACTCCAGGGAAGGTCTTGGTGTGGCCCCAGAGGGGGCATGATCAGCAGCCTGTCCCCAGCAGTAGGGTCCTGAGCCCTGCCTGACCCGCCTGCTCCGTGCAGAAGTGGGGTTGGAAAATGACGAGATGGAGGCTACGCCGAGACCAAGCGCCAGGAGAAGGGACCCAGGCCAAGCTGCTCGGTGAGGCCCTGAGCACGGCGGGAAGGGGCCATGCAGGACCCCCTGAGGGCTGGGCTGGGGAGGGAGGGGTCTCCCCAGGGCTCACCCCCCTTCTTGGCACAGGGCAGGGGAAGGAGCTGGATTTAGACCTGAGGGAGAAATTTATCAGATTTGACCAGATCCTGGGCATCAGCCTTGACCACATTCCCTTCCTGCCCCAGACTGGCCCCGGCAGGCCTTGGGGGTGTGGGGTAGGCAAGCAGAGACCACACTGATGCGGGGAGGTTGGCCCAGAGCCCTGCAGGCCAAAGCCTGGGGCCGGGCAGCAGTGTCCGCCGAGGAGAGGGTGTCTGGTGCCTGAATGACACAACCTGAGAGGCACCAGCCCCAATCCTGTCCGTGCAGCCCAGCGGGGAGGACTGCCCAGGAGACCATAGGGGTCCGGAGGTCAAGGCCAGGTGCCAGAGGGTCCTGGCAGGACCCGGGGTCACTGGAGGCACCCCACGTACACGGCAGGCGGAGGGGACGGCAGTGCCGGAGGAGGGGCTGCAGGGAAGCCCTTGTCAGCCCCCATTTCTGACCCAAGGGCCTTGGCCGGGAAGGCCAAGCTTGAGGCAAGAGGGTTCTGAGCTGGAAGAGGCCAGGCCCCCCAGACGCAGGGGCCCCGTGGGAAGAGGGAGGCCATGAGCTGAGGCCACAGCAGCTGAGGCTCTGAGAGCTGAGAGTGAGCTGGGGCCCTGCCGGAGCCTCGCTACCAACTGCTCCAGGTGTGGGGGACACTGCGGGGCCCAAACCTGGACACACCTGCGGCCTGGAGTGTCCCCCCCACCCAACCCAGGGCCTCTGAGGGTCTCTGCCCAAGCTCCTGGGTCCCCTGTACTGGGCCACCTGCAGCTCCCAAGGCAGCCCTGGGGGCAGGCAGGAGCCCCCGGGTCAGAGGTCGTGCGACCCTGGCCTTGGACCCTTGGGCCTCTGACCAGCACTCCTGCCTCACAGAAGAGCCCGTGGTGAGCCACGAGTGTGACTGCCAGGGGTCCTGGGGGTCCCGGGCCACTCTGGGATCCACGAGGCCCTCCTTCCTCCTGGCCCTGGCACCCCCTCCACCCCTCTCTCTCCTGCAGGTCTCTGCTTCTCCCTCCTCTCACTCTAGCCCCTCCGTGATTCTCTGCCTGGGCCGGCCACCCTCTGTCCTGAGGACGCTGGAGCCTGGCCCGGCCCTTGGCAGCCCCACCCTCACCGCCCATCCCAGCCTCGCTGGTGCCCCCTCCACGTGGGAGGCTCAGCCACACCTGCCCCCACGACCCCATCAGAAATAAACAGTCTGTGCCAGGAGAAGCCGGATCCGACTGTCCTTGAGCACTGGGTGATGGGTGGGCAGGGCCTCGGGGAGCAGCCCAGGTTCCAGGCCCAGGAGGAGCTGAGCTCGGACATTTGTCCTCATCTAACCCCCAGTGGCTGCCTCCCTCCCAGCTGGGTGCTCTCCTGGCCCGTCCCACGCTCTCTGGTGAACAGAGCCAGATTCATCCTCAAACATAGGCCACCCTCCATGGCGCCCAGCAGAAACTGCCCTAGGCTGGAGGGCTGGGACCGTGGGGTGACAGAGGCTGCGGAGGCCTGTGACCAAGGGTCCCTGCCCAGCTCCACAGCACCTGGCAGCCCTTGCCCCTGCTAGGAGCGCCCTTTCCTCACCGCTGGCTCTTCTCAGATCTGTGGCCCCATCCCCCTGGGTTGCCTCAAAGGAACCCCAGAGTGAGAGGCAGGAGCCCCCATCTCAGGGGCGTGGGCCCAGGCTCCCTGTGTGCCACCCCACGTTCCCCCGATGGGAGGCAGGAGTCCCTGAAGATCCAGGCCCAGCCCTGACCGGGGGTGGGCACAGAGGTGGGGAGCAGCCTCTGGGATCGGGTCTCCACCTGTGCCCTGCCGGAGCCAGCCCCTGCGCTGAATGGTACTTCCGGCTTCTGGTCTCTGTGGGGAGCGGTGCCCAGCCTGGTGCTACAGTGACCCAGGGGTCCTTAGGCGAGGCCCTCCCAGGCTTGGCCCCTGCCCAGACCCTGCCCTCCTGGGGAGCTCCCGCCCAGCCCCTAAATGGGTGAGGTGGGGACACTTTAGCCCTGACCTTCCATGGCCGAGCTGGGCGCTTCCTGAAGCCAGACTGGGCCTCAGAGGTCCACTGCACCGGGATCCTGGAGCTGAGCTTCTCGAGGCCAGGGGTGTGGGTGTGGTGTCGGGTGTGGGTGCGGGTGTGGTGTTGGGGGTTGGGCCGCCCCCTCCTCCCGGCCCTGCTACCTTTGGGATGCGGCAGCCTCTGACCAGCCTGCTGGACCCCACATTGGACAGATCGTTCAGCACCCCCAAATTGCCATCTGTCCCCCACAGACAGCCAGCCTAGCCCTGGCTCCAAAGCTGCAGAATTGGCTGAGGCTTGGCCATAACCGTCTTTGGACCCCATGGCCAGCAATGCACATATGAGCCTCAAGTCCCAGGGACATATCTGCTCCCCTATCCTCTGGCTTGTCCCGGGCTGCCCTGTCCTCTGCGCCGTCCCCGGCTGCTGGGCGGGCCTGACCTCCAGGGTGGTGCTGGGAGAGGTGGCCAGAGGCAGCCAGAAAGGGTGAGCGGAGAGGTGGCCGTCCCCCATGTCAGTGAACACCCAAACAGACAGGCACAGAGAGGAGGGCTGGGTGAAGAGTGGGTCCCATGTGCTTTGAGCAGCTCAGAGATGCCCTGAGGAGGGGCTGTCCCACGTGGCCCGTCCACTCAGGCCTCCTTCAATCACAGAGCAGCTCCCTTGACGCAGGGAGGCCTTGGGGAGAATTTCTTGCCCCTAGAGGAGCCCTGAGCTGCCCCCACCGCACCCGGCCCTGGTCTCCCCGGCTACAATCTCAGGGGTGCTCCTGCTCTGCCCCTGACTTGTCCAGAACACTCCACAGCGTCTCAGTGATCCCGGGCACTGCCCTTCCCTATGGAAGATCCTCAGCGGGGCAGCTCTGGCAGGAGTGAGCCTCTGGGGCCGTGAGGCTTGGGTACCTCTGAAAGGTGGGGTGTAGAGGCTGCCCCTCCCCAGTCCCAGGCTGGGGGAGTTGATCCCAGGCTGCAGGTGGGTGGGGCTCACGAGGTCCCCATGAGTTTATTTGAGGCTGGTGGACACTCAGTCGAGCTCAGCTCCCACCAGTCACTGGGACAGCCTCGGCCCTCAAGGGCAAACCATTGGTGGGGATGCTGGACAGGGTCATCACTGCCCCCGGAGGATGCTGGCCGGGGCCCCAGGGTGGAGACAGCTTCCCTCCAGGAAAAGGTTGGGGTCAGTTCTGGGAGCTTAGGCCCAGGCCACCAGGCTTGTCCATGACCTGCCTGGGCCGCAGGCAGGGGGATGGCCTTGGTGACCTCTTAGGGTGGAGGCCAAGTCTTTGCATTTTGTGACTCAAAGAGACTGGTTCCCAGAGAGCAGGGTGGGGCGGCCAGCCTTCTTCCTGCCCAGCCCTCCGCCAGGCTCCACTAAGGTCCTGCCTGGCAGCCAAGCTCAGAGCAAAGGGAAGGGCACAGAGAGTGTGCAGGGTGGTCCTTGTCCCTGCCCAAGCTGCAAGAGGCTCTGCGAAGGTCCCTCCTGCCCCTGTCCACCTTGCACAGTCCTAGCCGGGGGAGGAGGGGAGAAATCTGGCGTGCCAGGAGC
The DNA here is from genome assembly GCF_000001405.40 of Homo sapiens. Taxonomy (NCBI): domain Eukaryota; kingdom Metazoa; phylum Chordata; class Mammalia; order Primates; family Hominidae; genus Homo; species Homo sapiens. Next base: position 136,975,226 of record NC_000009.12, read on the forward strand.
TGGCAACTGCCCAGCCCTTCCTGGATGTGGTGAGAGATGAATCTCCAGCCCTCGGGTGGGCCCAGGTGCACCCATGAATCAGGGCTCGTGGGCAGCTCCCACTCACTGGTCCTCACTCAGCCGTGTCTGGGGAGTGTCTCTGACCACCTGCTGGCCATCTTGACCACAGGGACTGAGGAGTCCGTCCTGAACCGAAGCATGATCCTGTTAGCTCTTCCAGCTCTCCAGGCGCCAACGACCATATGGTCTCGGTAACGACTGGTCAGGGAGGAGAAGGGACATGGGACCTGCTGGGCTTTCTGCAGCCCACTAGAAAATGGGGAAGAGGAGGGGCTTGGTCCCTGTTCCAGGCACTGGGTTTGAGGGCTGGACACCCGAGATCCCTGGGAACCCCTCTGGCTATGGGAGGACCCGGCCCCATCAGACTTCAGAGTCCCTCCCTGGCAGGTGACCCAGGCCTGCCCAGACGGAAGCCATTCAGACCCAGAGCCACGTGTCCTGGGTCTCCCTGCCCCGGGCCACCCGCCACCACACCCCAGAGCTTGCTCACCACCGGGAGGCGCTCTTGTCCTGGACCAGCCTAGCCTGGGTTGGGACCTCCAGCCAGGCCAGTCAGCGAGCCACCAGCCCCACCAGAGTGGAATGACAGCCAGGACTCAGCTGGCAGCGGGCAGGAGGCCAGTCTTGTGGTGATATCCCAGCCGCAACTCTCTTCCTGCCCCTCCCCTGTCCTGACGGCAGCCCCCAGCTCTGTAGCTGAGCCAGGCTTGCGGGCCACGCGGGGTCCCGGGTTTAGGCACCCCACCCCTATCTGTTCCAACAGACTCTCCCTCTCAGCCCATGGCACAGATGGCATCTGAGCTAGCAGCACGCTGCTGCTTCAGGCAGGGGTTGATAGGAGGTCCAGGTGGAGGAGTGGGTTCTCAGGACTGCCTTGGCCCCCCTGCACCGCTGCCCTCCTTCTCCCTGCCTCTCAGGTGCCTCCCGGCTCCCTGGGACTCACTCCCTCACCTTGGCCTCTGCCTGGGATGCTACCCGGCCACCCCCACCAGCCCTGACACCAGTGCTGCCCACTAGCCCCTGCTGCTACATAGGCATGCGCCTCCCCCAGTCTGGGCTCCTTGACCCCCGGGCACTGGGGAAGGGGAACAAGGAAGCAGTCCACACCAGCCCACTCCCAGGGCTCGTGCGCCCCCAGCAAGGGATGGGCCACAGAATCCAGGAAGAAGACGGGCTCCGGCCCCCAGTGGTCGCCAGCAGCCCCGTAGAAGCTCACCACCCCACCCCATCCGACTCACTCCTGCTCTCATGTACATTTCCCAGCTCCCCACCCGGGCTCACCTTCAGACCAGCGGCAGCGCTCACCCACCACGCCTGCCAGGGAAGCTCAGTCCCAACAGAATCCAGAGAGGGCCCACCACATGTGCCTGCCTGTGACGGCCTGTGACAGGGCCCCAGCCAGGGCCAACGAGCTGGAGGGGCCCAAGGAGCTGGGTGCAGCGCTGGGGTAACAGGACAGCCCCACGGGGTGCTCCCGAGTCTGGACCAGACTCGGGGTGGGGAGGCCCAGACTCGGCGGGGGGCAGACTTGGGGTGGGGGGATTGCTGGGGGAAGTTGGGGCCTCTGGCAAGGGATAGGGCCTGTGCTCAAGCCCAAAGGTGCCCCAGGCTGAAATGGGCACCCAGGGGTCACTATCAGAGCCCCAACAGCTGGCCATGGGGGAAGCCATGCCCAGCAAACCTGGCCCTCGGGACCCTGCGGGCCAGATCAAGTTTCTCTACCTTGGCCTGAGCTTCTCATCAACACTTCACTTGCTGGGCGTTTCAGGACCAAACTCTCAGGGTGGAAGTGGGGCTTGTGTCCCCTTCTGGGGTGGCAGGGCTCGGAAAGGGAATGATGGTAGGGGCTGTGAGATGTGGGTCCTGGCCCCCAGTGGGAAGTCACCAGAGGCCTCGGAGGCGGGCATGGCTGAGGAACACAGCCCCTGCCCTATCAGGGCCGCTGGGTTGGTGGGCCCTGCCAGCAGGAGGAGGGTGGGCAAGGTCCCTGCCAGCTCTGTCTCTGGGACCAGTGGGCAGGGGCCTCTGCCTCACCCCCACGCTGCCTCAGCTGGGGCAGCAGGCCCAGGCCTCTTGCATAAGCGCCCTGTGGGGGACGAGGCTGCAGCTGTGCCTGGCCACCCCATCCCCCAGCATCACGAGTGTTCAGTGGGCTGTCCCCGGGCCCTGGGTGGAGGCCAAGCCTGGCCCATAAATAGGGGTCTCCTCAGTGCCCTCCGCTCCTCCTGCACACCTCCCTCGCTCTCCCACACCACTGGCACCAGGCCCCGGACACCCGCTCTGCTGCAGGAGAATGGCTACTCATCACACACTGTGGATGGGACTGGCCCTGCTGGGGGTGCTGGGCGACCTGCAGGCAGCACCGGAGGCCCAGGTCTCCGTGCAGCCCAACTTCCAGCAGGACAAGGTGAGGGGCTTTCCTGCGTCATCCCCAAGGGCTACAGGACCCTGTCAGGGGAAGGGCACTTTCCGGCTGGGTCTTCCCCCTGGGAGGAGTGAGCGAAGTCCCGCAGTGCCGGGCAGTGCCGGCCAGGGACTGAGCGGGCGCGCAGGAAGGAGGCTGGGTAGCCGCCCGAGGAGGCTGCCCGCGAGAAGCCCTCCCTGGGCACCGCGTCCCGTCTCCCCTGATGGGCCACGCAGACACCGGGCCACACACGCGCCCACGCCAGCCAGACACGTCCACCCCTGTGGGCACGCGACCCCCAGAGGACACACGAGCGCACGTTCCACACCTGGGTGCCAGGACACGGGCGGGTGGGGCACAGGGATGGCGACAAACACTCCGTGCGCGGTGGGGGTTGGGAGGGACGCGCACCGCACAGACAGCCGGCGACGCGCGCTCTCGCCCGGGAGCTGCTCGGGGAAGCGCCGGAGCGCGGGTCCCCGCGCCGCGCGCCCCTCCCTGGCGTCGAGGAGAACCCCAGCGGTCCGCAGAGCTGAGCCGAAGACCCGCCCCGATCCCCGCCAGGAATGCGACGTCCTCTGCCGCCCGCTGTATGGGCCAGGCGCTCAGCCAGGGCACAGAATCGGGACCGGGGGCGGAGGGGCCGAAGCTGGCTGGTGGGCGGCGTGCGAGGGTGAGGGACTGTCCTCGGGAGGGGCGTGGCCAGACGGGGGTGCTGGGTGTCAGGGGCGTGGCCAGCTTCTGGGGCTGAGGCGTGAGGGGCGGGGCCATCTCCGGGGGAGGGGGAAGTGGGGCGTGGTCATCTCCTGGGGCGGGGCGTGAGGGGCGGGGCCACCTCCCGGGGCGGGGCGGGGGCCTGATGGGCGTGGTCAGCTCCTGGGGCGGGGACGTGAGGGGCGGGGTCAGCTCCTAGGGGGGCATGGGGCGTGAGGGGCGCGGTCAGTTCCCTGGTTGTGGACATGAAGGGCGGGGCCAGCTCTTGGGGCGGGGTCGTGAGGGGCGTGGTCAGCTCCTGGGGCGGGGATGTGAGGGGCGGGGTCATCTCCTGGGGCGGGGATGTGAGGGGCGTGGTCAGCTCCTGGGGCGGAGATGTGAGGGGCGGGGTCATCTCCTGGGGCGGGGATTGAGGGGCGGGGGTCAGTTCCTGGGGCGGGGCGTGAGGGGCGTGGCTGCTCGGGGGATTGGGCGTGGGGGCGGGGCCGGGTTGGAGACCGGAGGAGTAGACGGCAGAGGCGCCCCCGCAGGTAGGCGCAGGTGGGTCCGGAGGGTCCTGGCCGACGCGGGTGGGGGTCGCTCGCCGCAGTTCCTGGGGCGCTGGTTCAGCGCGGGCCTCGCCTCCAACTCGAGCTGGCTCCGGGAGAAGAAGGCGGCGTTGTCCATGTGCAAGTCTGTGGTGGCCCCTGCCACGGATGGTGGCCTCAACCTGACCTCCACCTTCCTCAGGTGGGACAGCGGGCAGGTGGGTTTCTGGGACGGAGAGGTCCAGGGACACCCTCGGGCCTAACCCCTGACCCTGAGGTCACCCACCTACAGGAAAAACCAGTGTGAGACCCGAACCATGCTGCTGCAGCCCGCGGGGTCCCTCGGCTCCTACAGCTACCGGAGTCCCCGTGAGTGGGGCCTCCACCGGCCCCCTGGGCCCAGCCTGGGGGCGACACTTGCCGGGACGACTCTGGGCCAGCCCCCTGCCGCGGAGATCCATGGGGTGGGAGGTGATGGCTGCCCCACCAGCGTCAGAGGCAAAGGCCAGGCCTGGGCGTGACTACCCATGCACAAGTGTTAGGGACAGAGAGACCCTTCCTCCAGGGGGTTGGATCCTCTCTGGAGCCCACCATTGTCTTGTCAGGCCCCTTCCCTGCCCTCTGGAGTTTTCCCCACATAAGCAGCCCCCCAAGGCCCCTCCATATGCCTCCTCCCAATTCTCCTCCCCAGGACCCAGGGGTTTCCTCACTCCCACCTGGGGAATGGCTCCCACGGGGAAACCTCTTCACTTCCGGTTCTGGCAGCGACTTCTGCGGCTGCACCAGGAATCCTGGTTTTCTGAGCCTGGCTCCCCCAGATTCTGGTTTGGGGACAGGGTTCACAGGCTGTGCAGGCGAGAGCAGGGCACTGGCTGGAGAGCAGCCGGGTGGGGGAGCATCCCGGGCCAGCCGAGGGGCTGAGTGCCCCCAAAGCCCACAGGTGCACCCCTTCCCTGAAGCAGAGGTGAGGTTTGGGGGGCTGAGTCCCCGACAGGGTTGTCTCTTGGGTTCCCAGACTGGGGCAGCACCTACTCCGTGTCAGTGGTGGAGACCGACTACGACCAGTACGCGCTGCTGTACAGCCAGGGCAGCAAGGGCCCTGGCGAGGACTTCCGCATGGCCACCCTCTACAGTACGTGCCCCGTGGACGCCGCCCACACGCAGGCCTGACCAGAGGGGGCTCCCCAAGACCCAGGGCAGGGCACACAGCATCCCCCCCGCTGAGGCCAGCTCCGTCTCCACCCTGTCCCAGGCCGAACCCAGACCCCCAGGGCTGAGTTAAAGGAGAAATTCACCGCCTTCTGCAAGGCCCAGGGCTTCACAGAGGATACCATTGTCTTCCTGCCCCAAACCGGTGAGGGGTCCTAATCTGATGGGGAGAGGATCAAGGTCAGATTAGAGGCAGGCAGGCAGTCTCCTGACTGGGGGAGGCAGAGGGGAGGAGGTGGCCCCGCCCTGCTCGAGGCCTGGGCCAGGGACAGAGGGGGTGAGTGTTCAAGTCAGAACCTCCCTCCCGCAGCCCCTTCATGAGGAGCCCCCTCCATGGGGGACATGGAGACCAGGCGCCCACTCTGTGCCAGGCCCCAGCAGCTCCCAGGATGTGGGGCTTCAGCCTGGTGGGGGGCATAGGGTAGAGGGTGCCCATGGGGGATACAGGGGAACCAACCATACTGGGCTCAGGCACAGCCTCCTAGGGGTGGACAGCCTGCTCTTGGCAGAGGTGGAGAAAGACCCTCTCTTTGTTTCCAGTGCCCAGGGAGAGGTGGGAGGTGATGGGGGATCTGTGCAGTTTGGGGGCTCAGTCAAGACGAGCTCTGCGTTACGGGAGGAACAGGAAGCCCAGTGGGAAAATTGGCCTAAGTCTGGGGTTCTGACGACAGCCCCTGGCTTCTTTCTTGGCAGATAAGTGCATGACGGAACAATAGGTGAGCCACTCCATTCATTCATTCATTCATTCATTCATTCATTCATTCAACACACATCCACCCAACCCACTCTGCGATGGGATGGATCAGGGCCCCAGGACAGCCTGGTGCTGCAGACCCATCCTTCCCGATGGCTGCAGTCCAGGGCCGGGCGGGAGACACTGGGGCTGCCCACATTGATGGGTGCACAGGTGTGAGGCTCAGAAGGAAAACCTGTCCCAGTGGCTGGAACAGGGCTGACTCCTGAAGGCTCATGGTTGGGGGGTGCAGGTGCGAGGCCCCAGGCAGACAAGGCCAAGGGGCTATACCACAGGGACCACCTGGCAGCAAGGGTGTCTGGCTCCTGGGCTAGGAGGAAACCAGGGTGGGGGAGACAGGATGGGAGGGAACAGGGGATGGAAGGGGAGGGCCAAGGACGCTACATGGATGCCGTGGGACAGCTCGGAGAGCAGGCTCAGGGCGGATTCACCCACCACCCCCAGGAGGGAGGCCTAGGCTGGAGCTGGAGTCTGTGGACCCTGGGGCTGGGAAGGGTGGAGTCTGTAGACCCTGGGGCAGCGGGGATCCAAGCCCCAGGGATGGATCTTGCTCTCTCAGCGGGGCTCAGTGGGGCTGGGGGCAGAGAAAAGTCCCCGTAGCCCGCACCTGCTCCATCGACTGGAGTGGAGGTGGGCTGGGGTAGACTGCAGTCCTCCATCCTAGCCTTTCGGTCACACCCCTCAGGACTCCCCAGGGCTGAAGCTGGGATCCCGGCCAGCCAGGTGACCCCCACGCTCTGGATGTCTCTGCTCTGTTCCTTCCCCGAGCCCCTGCCCCGGCTCCCCGCCAAAGCAACCCTGCCCACTCAGGCTTCATCCTGCACAATAAACTCCGGAAGCAAGTCAGTAGAGCTGGCTCCTGGCTGTCTGCGCTGTCATCACCCGTCCTGGGCCTGGCCCTGGCCACCCGGACCTCCCCCTCTAAAATCTCAGCCTGACGTCAACAAAGGAACAGGCCCTCTAGTGTTTGCTCCCAGTGGGGTCTTGAGTCAGGACAGCTAGGAGGGGGTGTCCCTCACTGTCTCCCACCCACCCCACACAGTCGTGTGCCCCTGCCCCACAGCCCCACACGTCGAGCCATACCCCCTCAGCTGCCACTGCCACCAGGCCGGTGCTGAGCTGGGGGTCAGTGACTCAGCTAATCCCTTAGGCAGGTGCCCTGCACCCCCAACGCCACCCTGTCACCCCCTCAGCAGTAAAGGCCTGAGGCTCGAGGCCCCAGAGGAGCTTTGGACCTGTTGGGTATCTTGAGGTGTGGGATTAACGCACTGAGATTGGGCAGAGATAAGGGTTTCAGGGGACAAAAAGAAACATTTGTTTGAAACATGCCAGAGTGTCTCCACCCCGCATCAGGACAGACTGACAGAGTGGGCTGGGGACAGGCTACCCCATATCCCTTCTGGCTCCCTGTGCGCCCCCTGCCCTCTGACCTGGGCCTCCAGATCACAGCCTTGTCCACTCACCAGAGCCCTGGCACCACGGCCACACCATGCCCGGCCAGTGCCCTGCCCAACCCTGCTCCCTTCCAGATTCCCACCCAGGCAGCCATTCTCAGGTACACAATGTGCAGGACTCACTGTGACCTGCCCACCAGGCCCCCCCGAGGCAGACCCTGCAGAGGCACCAAGCATTTTGAGGCTCGGAGGTGAGGGTGAGCTTCTGGGTGGCCTTCCCGGAGAAGGGGGCTTAGGGCTGTGCCTGAGCTCAAGGTAGGGGGGATTCCAACATCCCAGAGGGGCTGCAGAAGGCCGAAGAGGCAGGATGGGTGAGCTGCAGGCCCCCTAGCCCAGAGGCCCGTCAGAACTACCCTCAGCTGCCAGGCATCCGGCCCCACCCCGGAGGAAAGGCAACGGATGGCTGGGGTTGGGTGGAGGGAGCCAGGCCAGAGCGCTGCAGGGTGCAACTTGATCAGAAGCCTGTCACAGTGGGTGCAGTCCCAGGCCAGCCGCCCCAGGGCACCTCAGGGGCGTAAAGCCTACAGAGGAGCCACCTCAGCTCTGCCCTGCTCCCGTGTCCGGAGGAGATGCCATCTTGCTGCATGATGCTTCGGGCTCTGCTGATCAGTTCCCTCCTTGCCCTGCTCTGGGCATCCCCAGGCCAGGCCCAGGTCCCCATCCAGGCCAACTTTGATGCCAGCCAGGTGTGCCCAGCCCTGTTTCCTCCTCATCTCCAATGAGTCCTCCCGGCTTTGGTGCTGCACCCCGGGTCCCTGTCCACACCCTCTTTGATCCAGGCTCAGCAGGGCTAGGGGCAGGGGAAACCCCCACCTCACCCGCTCCGTCTGACTGGAGTAGGGGTTGGCTGGGGAAGACTGCAGCCTCCATCCTACCTTTTCAGTTGCATCCCCCAACAATCCCCAGGGCCCAAAATAGGGACAAGTTGGTTGCCTGTGCCTCACTGTCCCCCACCCACCCCACAAAGACCTGTGACCTTGCCACAGCCCCACCCATCCAGCCGTACCCCCTGGGTGCCAGCTGCAGACAGGCCGGTGCTGGGCTGGTGGGGGCCAGTTGCTCATGTACTGAGGCCCCCCTCCCTCAGTTCTGCATCGGGGTCGAGATGTGTACAGCAGCCCCTGCCGTGGCCAGGAAGCAGCTGTGTCGGGGCAGAATGTGGTGGGCTCAGGCCCAGGGCACAGGGGCGGCCTCCCAGCCTTCCCTGCACTTGCCCTGCAGTTCCAGGGCACCTGGTACATGGTCGGGGTGGTGTCAGATGACCAGGACTTCCTGGACTCCAAGGACACCATGAAGATGGCTGTGGTCTTAGTGACCCCCTTGGGGAATGGTGACCTGGCCCTCAAGTTTGGATACCCCACGTAAGTGACCACACGAGCCCATCAGACTCAGCCTCAGAGGATGGCCAGCATGAGGCCACATGAAGGTCCAGAGGGACCATGGTGTCCCCAGCACATTGAGGTCAGACCACGGGTCCTCGACGGCTCTGTGCGGCAGAGCCCCAGATGGCAGCCACACGGAGTCCAGAGGGACCCAGGCCCTGGAGGAAGCACTGCCTGAGGCCTGGTGTTGAGAAAAGTGTCTGCATGTCTGTGTCTGTGTGTGTATCACTGTATGTGGCTGTGTCTCTGTGTATGTGTGTCTATTTCTGCATGTGTGTGTGTCTGTGTGTGCGTGTGTATGCATGTGTGTCTTTGTAGATGTGTACCTCTGAGTGTGTATGTGTGTATCACTGTATGCGTCTGTGTGTCTGTGTGTCTGTGTATCTGTGTCTGGCTGTGTGTGTCTATCTCTGTGTGTGTCTTGTGTGCGTGTCTATGTGTGTGTCTGTCAGTGTGTCTGTGTCTGTGTCTATCTCCGTGTGTGTGCATGTGTGTATGTGTGTGTCTTCTGTGTGTCTGTGTCTGGAAGGGGGACCTGGAGGCCCTGCATTCTAGGCTGTGTGCCTGTGAACAGGTACTTAATACCCACCCCACCCCCAGCAGGAGTGTCCCCACCTCTAAGGTCATCCTAAAGTCCCATGTCCTCTAAGGATTGTGAGGGTGAACAGGGGACCCTGGGCTCAGAGACAGCAAGGTAGGCTCTAGGCCTGGGCGCTGGGCAGGGGTGGCCACTCAGGGGATTGGGGCTCTTTCTCCCCAGGCCCCATGGCGGGTGCCAGAAAATGGACACGACCTTCACCGAGGGTGCTGTACCGGGGCAGTTCAGCAACCCAGGTGAGGTGGGGCAGCAGGCAGGGCTGTGGCGTGGGGGCCCTGGAGGCTGCATGGACTGCTGGATTGGCACCTGGGGCCGGGGCGTGAGGGGTGCCACGCTCGGGGGGGAGGTGCCCTGGGCCTGGGGTCAGCGGCTCTCGCTCCTCCAGCCATGGCCCTGAGTGACATCCGAGTGGCCTTCTCCGACTACCAGCACTTTGCCTTGCTGTACTTGGAGATGCGGAAAGGGGGCCTGCGGAACCAGTGGCTGCAGCTCTACGGTGGGCGGGCTGCGGGGCGGAGACCCAGACACCCCCGCTTCGGGTCTGGGATGTCACCCCTGTGCCTGCACCAGCCCTTTCTGCACGCGGAAGGTGGAACCGCTGGCTCCTGGTGTCTGTGGCCGCGGGTCCCGGCCCCTCCCTGCCCCTCTCTCCCTCTCTTCGCCCCTCCAGCCCCTTCCCTTTAGCTTACCCGCCCTCCCCACCTTCAGCTCGAGCGCCCGAGCTGTTTCCCGAAGGCGCCCAGAAGATGCAGCTACTGGCGCCCCAAGTGGGCCTGAGCCCCAGCCAGGGCGTCCTGCTGCCGAAGTCGGGTGAGCGGTGCCGGCAGCCCTGCTGGGAGGGCCAGGCCCCGGGTCACACCCCTGCTGGAAGGGCCAGGCCCTGGTCACTCCACTGATCTCAGATTCGGGACAGAAGTGCCCGGGGCAGACCCAGCCTGTCTGGGTCGGGGGAGGGCGAGACGTTGCCCAGGCCGGTGTTCCCAGGAGGAGATCGCCTTGGGGCAGGTCGGGGGCCTCCGTCCCAGGGAAGGGGGCGCGGGGTGGCGCCTCAGGCTCGATCTCTCTGCAGACCAGTGTGCGGGCGCGCTCTCCCGGGTGAGTAGACCATGGCCATGCGGAGCCGCGGACCATGGGCCCTCCCAGCTCGGTGGGCTGCACCGCGGGGCCCTCTACCTTCGGGGCAGCTAGGGACGACAGCGGGGGTGATGGGGCACCCGGGCGGATCCGAGCCGCAGCAGCCTGGGGAACCGCGGGGCTGCGCGTCGGGAGGGGGCGGAGGCAGGGGACGCCGCCCACCTGCTCCTTGTTTTGCAGTGAGGGGTCCAGCCCCTGAGTGCCCGCAGGGGTCAGCTGCTCCGTGCGCCCAGCCCTGCCCAAAGAGCCCCCTCCCTCCACACCCTGGCCCCAAGCGCAATAAACACCCTGAATGCCTGTGGCGCTGTGCGTTTCTTGGGGGCAGGGAGGGGTGGCGGGGGGGCGGCCAGGTACATGGGCGCCCTGGGGGAGGGGCCGGGTCACCCCCTGTTGCCCCTCTGGGTAGGCGTTAGCCCAGGAGGGACCGAGCCTCGGCTCCGTGGCAGGGAGGTTCCTCAGGACGGGCCCCAGCCCCAGCTCTGGGACTTTTCTACCTCCGCACGGACCCAGACCCCCAGACTGGGGGCGCCGGGAGGGCGGGACACGGACACCACGCGGCGCGCGCCCCAGGCTTCAGCGGACACCGCCGCGCGACGTGGCCTTCCGGGTCCTCCCAAGCGGCTGCCCCAGTCAGTGTCGGCGGCTTCCATCCCCAGGCGCCCCTCCGGGTCCCCCAGCTCCCCAGCCCCTGACTCCTGGCTCCAGGACCCGCCCCAGAGGCCTGGCTGTTCCGGAGACCAACGAAGCGCTCCCAACTCTGACCCAGGGCCTGTCCACGGAGAGTGGAGGGCGAGGAGGACAGGAGGAGCCGCATAAAACTCTGCCCTGCCTGGAGTCTATGTAGGACAGTGTTGTCTTTTACAGACAAGTCTCGAAGAATTTGAAGGAAAATAGCCTACTAGCTGTAATGTACCTAGTTCAGCAAAATAATAATAAAAATACTGGTTGCAAATCTGTGAATATTTGGATAGTGTTTAATCTGGGTGATGGGTCTACGGGGTGCAGTATGCTCTGATTTCTCCTTCTCAGTTGGTCAGAGTTTTGTTTGTTTGTTTTTTTGAGATGGAGTCTCGCTCTGTCGCCCAAGCTGGAGTGCAGTGGTGCGATCTCGGCTCACTGCAAGCTCCACCTGCCAGGTTCAAGTGATTCTTCTGCCTCAGCCTCCCAAGTAGCTGGGATTACAGGTGATCGCCACCACGCCCTGCTAATTTTTGTATTTTTAGTAGAGACAGGTTTTGCCATGTTGGCCAGGCTGGTCTCAAACTCCTGACCTCAAGCGATCCACCCACCTTGGCCTCCCAAAGTGCTGGGATTACGGGCGTGAGCCACTGGGCCCAGCCCAGAAAATTTGTTATTAAAAAACACCACTCGGGCCGGGCCCAGCACTTTGGGAAGCTGAGGCGGGCGGATCATGAGGTCAGGATATCGAGACCATCCTGGCTGACACGGTGAAACCCCGTCTCTACTAAAAATACAAAAAATCAGCCGGGTGTGGTGGCGGGCGCCTGTAGTCCCAGCTACTCGGGAGGCTGAGGCAGGAGAATGGCGTGAACCTGGGAGACGGAGCTTGCAGTGAGCCAAGATTGTGCCACTGCACTCCAGCCTGGGCCACAGAGCGAGACTCTGCCTCAGAAAAAAAACAAAACAAAACAAAAAAACACCACTCGGCGGAGCACAGTGGCTCTGCATCCCCCCTGCATTCCCAGGAAGATTCCGAGCCGGGAAATGCAGGTTGCCCTCCACAGCCTCAGGGATGCCCTTTCCTTCCTTCCAGGGTGGGGCAGCCTCTGGGGGTGGCTGTGGGTCCAGCTGTGGTCAGCCCCCAATCCCTTGCAGACGCATCGAGTCCCTCACCTCCCACGCTCAGCCCTTTCTCCACCTAGAAGCCCAGGGGATGGATTCACAAGATGTGTCAGATCAGGCCCCCCTGCTCAGCACCCCACAGTGGGTCCCATTGCACTGAGAGTAAAGGCCTAAGTCTTTTTTTTTGGAACGAAGTTTCGCTCTTGTTGCTCAGGCTGGAGTGCAGTGGCGCGATCTTGGCTCACTGCAACCTCTGCCTCCCGGGTTCAAGCGATTCTCCTGCCTCAGCCTCCTGAGTAGCTGGGATTATAGGTGCCCGCCACCACGCCCAGCTAATTTTTGTATATTTAGTAGAGACGGGGTTTCACCATGTTGACCAGGTTGGTCTTGAACTTCTGACCTCAGGTGATCCACCCACCTCGGCCTCCCAAAGTGCTGGGATTACAGCCGTGAACCGCCATGCCCGGCCTCAGGCCTAAGTCTTGATGGTGGCCAACAAGGTCTTCTCTTTTAGGCTTTCCTTTGACCCACCATCCACTCCCCTCCCTCCGTCCTGCTGCCAGCCCCTCACGTGTCTCAGGGCCTTTGCCCAGGTCACCCCTGCCTGGACTGCCCTTCTCCCAGTGCCACTCAGTGCACTCACTCCCGTCTCTGAAGTCTTGCTCAAATACCTCCCTTGGTTGTTGACCTCTGCTACCCCAAAACTTGACTGGCCCCCACTCCCCTAGAGCTCGTTCTCCGGACCTTTTGCTCCTCTTTTTGGCCCAGCTTCCAGGTGCTCTATGCCTTGGGAAAGGTCAGCCCTTTCCCTCCCCTGTTCTGCCTCCATCACCGACTTCAAGTGTGTGCGTGGGGACTTTGTAATCCCTCTCCTTCTGCTTGCAAAGCTCCACTAACCTTATATCTCATACACTGTATTAATGTATCCTACATTAAAGAAAATTGCTCCCATGGCTGGGTGCAGTGGCTCATGCCTGTAATCTCAGAGCTTTGAGAGGCCGAGGCAGGCGGATCACCTGAGGTAGGAGGTCGGGAGTTCGAGACCAGCCTGACCAACATGGAGAAACCCTGTCTCTACTAAAAAATACAAAAATTAGCCAGGTGTGGTGGTGGGCATCTGTAGTCCCAGCTACTCGGGAGGCTGAGGCAGGAGAATCGCTTGAACCTGGAAGGCAGAGGTTGCGGTGAGCCGAGATCGCACCACTGCACTCCAGCCTGGGCGACAGAGCGAAACTCCGTCTCAAAAAAAAAAAAAAAAAAAAAGTATAAAAAAGTATCTCAGAGAAGGACGTGGTGGAAGCCAGTGGAAAAGCTGCTGCCAGTAGATGAAGCTGGCCCGATGTGAGCCACGAAACAGAACATGACACCAGGGTGTGAGCCAAAGTGTAAAATAAACACCTGAGGTCCACACGGACCCAGCCTGAGGCTAGTTAAATGAAGGTTTTGCAGTTTTCTCGTCATGTTTTGGAACTAATCTTTGTTTCTGGTCTTGTGTCAGTTCCTACAGCTGCCACAAATTATCACAAACTTGTAGCTTGAAGCCAGAGTTCAAAATCAGTTTAATAGGGTCGAGGTATCAGCCGGGCTGTGCTCCCTCCGAGGGCTCTAGGGGAGAAACCTTCCTTGCCTCTTCTAGCTTCTTTGTCTTCTTTTTTTGTTGTTGTTGAGACAGAGTCTTGCTCTGATGTCCAGGCCAGAGTACTATGGCGCGATCAGATCACTGAAGCCTTGAACTCCTGGGCTCAAGCAGTCCTCCTGCCTCAGCCTCCTAAGTAGCTGGGACTACAGGCATGCATCGCTATGCCTGGCTAATGTTTTCTTTTTAGAGATGGGTCTTGCTGTCTTGCTCAGGCTGGCCTTGAACTCCTGGCCTCAAGCAGTCCTCCCACTCTGAACTCCCAAAGCACTGGGATTGCAGGCATGAGCCACTGGGCCTGGCCTCTTCTGGTGGGATACCCTACCTTGTTTCCACCTGAGTGACCCTCTCCTGGCAGAGAGAGAGCCGGACACACTCCATTTTAGTTTCTTCACCTGCGGCCCCCTTTCACCTTCCTCCCTGAAGGCATAGCTAGTGTAAACTGACTCAAAGCACGTCCAGGAATGCACCTACTGATAAGACATTGAGGCAAGCTGCACCAGCAGCTCCTGGGGACACGCGTGGTGGATGGCACCCAAAACCCCTGCATTTATCTCTTTGTGATAGTTTAAGCCTCTGCACCTGGAACTGTTTATTTTTTGTAACTGCATTTGTAACCAATTAATTTTTTTAACTTTTTGCCAGTTCTGCTTCCGTAAAAATTGCTTCAGCTAAAATCCCCCCTCCCCTATTTAGACCACGGTATAAAAACAAAACTAGCCCCTTCCTCGGGGCCGAGAGAATTTTGAGCGTTAGCTGCCTCTCAGTCGCGGCTAATAACGGACTCTTTAATTTGTCTCAAAGTGTGGCGTTTCTGTATAACTCGCTTGGTCACAACACTGGCTTCTGATAGCAGCCTGTAATCCTTGGCTTGTGGGCTGCATCGCTCCAGTTCCTCCCTCCATGCCATGCTGCCTTCTTTTCTGTCTCAAAGCTTCCTCTGCCTCACTTTTAAAAGGCCCTTGAGATGGCACTGAGGGCCTCCCTGGGCAATCCAGGATAATCACCCCATCTCAAGGGAATATCTGCAAACACTCCTTTCTTTTCTTTCCTTTTTTTGGGGGGAAGGGGAGACAGGATCTCACTCTGTTGCCCAGGCTGGAATGCAGTGCCCAGCATCTTCCATAGACAATAGCATTCACAGGTCCCAGGGATTAGGGCCTGATATCTGGGGCCTGCTACAGCCAGCATCTCAGAGTTCACATGACAAAGAAGAGGCCCCCCAGTCCTCTCCAAATCTGCCCCACCCCAGTCATCTTGGGGATGAATCTCCCCTTTCCACTCTTCCCAAATGCCAGGGCCATCCTTGATTGTTCTTTGTCTCCTCCTCCCTCCACCTCCAGTCCGAGCCCATGGTCCACCCCTCTCCTCTGCAGCCCCCGTCCTCTCTCCTCACAGCACAGAATACGGACTTCACACACATAAGTCAGACGTGCCACTTCCCATCCACCCCTGCTTAAACCTCCAACAGCCACCACCCCCCATTCATTCATTCACAATGTTTATTCAGTGTCTGTATGTGCCAGCCATTGTGTAAGCGCTGAAGAGACGGATACACTGGCAGGTAAAACAGACAGAAATCCCTGCCCTCATGGACCTCCTGGGGTGATGGACAATAAGCAGGGTAAATAAGTGTATTGGTGGTCACTTACTGCAGAGTGACAGGTTACCCCAAATGCAGCTGCTTAACCAGCAGGCATGCATTATCTCCCAGTGTCAGCCAGGCAGGACTCTGGGCCTTTGACACAAAGTTTCAGGAGGCTGTGGTCAAGCTGCCGGCCGATGATGTGGTCTCATGGGAAGGCTCAGCTGGGGCGTCAGCTTCCCGGTTCCCTTGCTGGCCATGGTCATCCCCTTAGGGCTGCCTCATGTCACACCCAGCAATTCAAGAGCAATTTTGTCCTATTCTAGTTGCCAGAAGCAAGTCATTAATAAAGTCCAGCCCAAGGGGAGGGGAGTGCAGAAAAGTCTAAACCCAGGAGGGTATAACAGGGAGCTAGCTGCCAGAATAAAGCAAGCCAAAGTGTACTTTCTACAGTGAGAAGTGTGAAAAATAGGGAAATGACAGGAGAGAGGGATGTGAGAGCTGGGCAGCATGCTGCAATGTCAGAACAACACCAGGGAAGGTCTCACTAAAGTGACTTTTGAGTAAAGACCTGAAGGAAGCATGTGAGTCTGGGGAAAGGATGTGCCAGGCAGAAACAGCAGCATGTGCAGAGGCCCAGGGGGCAGGAGCCAGGACTGGGAGTGAACTGGGAAGCAGGAGGAGGTGAGGCAGGCTTGCTGTGGGAGCACTCCGATATGGAAGCGTAGCTTACAGACCCACTGGCCCTCCCCACAGCACCATGCTGCCAACCTGGCCTTCTTGCCGAGCCTTGAACAGAACCATTATTTATGTGGCCAGGCCTCCGCCTGGGATCTCCCTGTCCCTGGTGGGAGCCATCCTCTTCCTCCTGCCCTCATAGCACCCGCTGCAGTTTCTCCTGGCGCTTGGCCCTGCCTGAGAGTGTGGTGTCTCTCCTATTGGATCCTAGAAGCTCCAGGGAGTCAGAGACCTTGTCTGTTGATCGATATCCAGGCCTAGGACAACAGGCACGTAGGAGGAGCTGGAGGAATACCATGCGCGGGACAGAGAGCGCAGAAGCCTTCTTCCCTGGAGATCGCTCTGTACTGTGACTTCTTTTTTTGTTTGTTTGAGACAGAGTCTCGCTCTGTTGCCCAGGCTGGAATGCAGTGGCGCGATCTCGGCTCACTGCAACCTCCACCTCCCTGGTTCAAGCAATTCCCCTGCCTCACAGGCGTGCGCCACCACACCTGGCTAATTTTTTTGTATTTTTAGTAGAGACGGGGTTTCACCATGTTGGCCAGACTGGTCTCGAACTCCTGACCTCAGGCAATCTGCCCGCCTCGGCCTCCCAAAGTGCTGGGATTACAGGCGTGAGTCACCTTGCCGGACCAACCGTAACTTCTTACGATTAGAGTTAGGAAGCTTCCGGTTTGTGTGTGAAGACGATGGAAGGGCGGGGCTCCAGGATGTATCCGCAGAGCCACGGAGGGAACCTGGACTCGGCTGGACTTGGAGCCGGGGCGGGGGCGGGAGGGGGCGAGGTTCGAGTGGGGCTGCTCGCGGGCGCGAGGGCCAGAGCCCGGGATCGCGCCGTGGAGCCCACGACCGGCGAGGCCAGCGCTGGGGGCAGGGCCTCTGGATCCCTGACCCAGGACGCCCTGCTCCGGCCCGCCCCGCGCACTAAACTCGGCCTCTAGTCGCCTGAAGCCCGCGCGGGTACCGGGTCCGCGCGGCCCGGCCTGTGCCTTTAGCCCCGCCCCGAATCCCCCCACCCTCATAACCCCGCCCCTAACCCCGCCTCCACACACAGACCCCGCCCCCAACCAGACTCCGCCCCGCGCAAGCTCCCTAAGCCCGCGACTGGCCTGCACCCGGCTCCGGAAGTCGTTCTTCCGCGCAGGAGCCCTGAGCCCGCACAGCCCCGCCCCTCCCGGCGCCCAAGCCCCGCCCCGCCGGGTTCCCGCTCGCCCGGCGCCATGGATCCGCTGTCGCCGCCGCTCTGCACGCTGCCGCCGGGCCCCGAGCCGCCCCGCTTCGTGTGCTACTGCGAAGGGGAGGAAAGCGGGGAGGGGGACCGCGGCGGCTTCAACCTCTAGTGAGTGGGGGTCCGCGGGGAGGTAGGGGTGCAGGGAGCTCCGCGGGCGGCCCCGCCTGACAGGCCTTCTCCCCCAGCGTGACCGACGCCGCGGAGCTTTGGAGCACCTGCTTCACGCCGGACAGCCTGGCGGCCCTCGTGGGTAACTGGGCGGGTCTGGGAGCCGCCACACCCCTCCTTGCAGTGCAGATCGTCTATGGGGCGACAGACATCTGGGATTCCCCAGAAGGCTCTGACACCCTCTGCCCGCCCTGTAGCTGTAGTCCTCCCATTGGCTAGGGCTCTGGGGTCGGGCAGGTTTCGGGTGCCCCCAGTGGGCCTCGGGTTCCAGGCAGCTCGTGACAAGCCCCTGTGCTCTCTAGAAAGCCCGTTTTGGCCTGAGTGCGGCTGAGGACATCACCCCCCGGTTCAGGTGAGACCCAAGCAGGGAGGAAGGACGGGTGGGGAGGAGGAGGGTCTGCCACAGCTCTCCGCACCTCTCCTCTCCCAGGGCAGCCTGTGAGCAGCAAGCTGTGGCTCTGACTCTGCAGGAGGACAGAGCATCCCTGACGCTTTCAGGGGGGCCCTCGGCACTGGCCTTTGACCTCTCCAAGGTACCAGGCCCAGAGGCAGCCCCCAGGCTGCGGGCGCTGACACTGGGCCTGGCAAAACGCGTGTGGAGCCTGGAGCGGCGACTGGCAGGTAGGATTGGGGGTGGGCACCTCATACCTTCACTGGGGTCCCCTGCTCTTGCCCCCACTCCTGGCACTGAGTGGGGTTCCCATGGGCTTTCCTCCCCAGCTGCAGAAGAGACAGCTGTCAGCCCGAGGAAGAGCCCCCGGCCTGCAGGGCCTCAGCTCTTCTTACCAGGTAAGGCATGTCCGCCTGTGACTCAAGTAGGGCTGTGCTCTTTAACCTGGAACTCAGTTTCCCCCCAAACAAGACTCACGCTCCAGAGAGAATGCCTATCTATTCGGAGAAGGTTGTGGTTGGGATGCTGCCAGGTTCAGGAGCTGCCCCTGTCCTGTTTTCCCCCAGACCCAGATCCCCAGAGAGGTGGCCCTGGACCTGGAGTCAGGAGGCGGTGTCCAGGAGAGTCGCTCATCAACCCCGGGTTCAAGAGGTACCCTCCCACAGCCCCCTTCCTGCGCCCAGGGTCCAATCCTGGACCCCACCCCTTTCTCCACACCATAGTGCCATAGTGACACCCCTCTTCCCTCCCAGTAAGAAACCAGCTGGTGGCGTGGACTTCGATGAGACCTGAAGGTGCAGCACAAGCGTGGCCCCGCGGGGAGTCCGCCTATGAGGGGAGAGGCAGTCTTTGAGGCCCCCATCAGAGACCCCCCGCCACCACCTCCACCTGCCTGTCCTGGGCCAGGACTAACACGGCTCCTCAAATTCCTTCCCTGTCAAATAAACAGCTCCCTTGGTTGGAGGCTCTGGTGGGGCTCTGACTCCTGGCACTGGCCTGGGAAGGGATCAGGGAACACCCCTGGGCCTGTGTTCTGGGTGTAGGGCCACAGGATGTGAACAGATGCTGCAGCCTCTCAGCTCCCTGGAGACTTCCTTGCTGGGCCGGAGGGAGGTGAGCACTCTCAGACCGTCCAGCTATTCCAGCCCTGCCAGCCCAGGAGCTGAGAGGGGCCCAGCCAGGCAGGGCCAGGGCTCCCCAAGGCTTAGAACTTTGTTCCCACCCTCCCAGGCCGCACCCAGGTAGGGCACGGAGCCCCGTGGGAGGATGCAGACAGAAGTCCCGTGTAGACCCTGAGACACTGGAAGTGCCCTGCGGGGAGGGGAGCGCCTGCCCCGGGACAGGATTGAGGAATGTGCCAGCCCCCATCCACCTGGGGCACCCCGCCCCACCCCGGCCTGACTGGTTTGGGAGCCCAGTCCGGTCCTGGAGATCCCTGAGGCCACCGGTTGCAGGAGGCCTGGAGTCTGCGCCTTCTTAGCGTGGAGGATGGGACCGGCCCGACCCCCGGCGCTCCTGCCCCTGTGGTTCTGGGCTATCGGGCTGAGCGTCCCACCCTGGGGTTTGGGGATGGGAAGTGATCCCGAGACCTCTGGCCCTTCAGATGTCAGGACACCCTCACTCCCGACAAAGATGCCTTTATTGGGCGACAGACGCGGGGTGGGGCGCTAGCGGGGGTGCACGGCGGGCCGGTAGGCCGCCAGGATCTCGGCGCTGTGCGGACACGTGTATTTGAACTCTTTCTCCTGCATCGCGCTGTCCAGGTAGCGGCGTACGCCGCGCAGCTCCGCGGGGATGGGCGCCTGGCGGAAGTGCGCGCACACCGTCTGCGGGCAGGATCGCGGGGCGCGGTCAGGACCTGCCGTCCCCCAGGCGCGCCGCGGTCACCCTCCCGCCCGCCCACCTTCCGTGCTCACGTCGACGATGTGCAGCTTGGGCAGGAGGCTGCAGTCGGCCAGCGTGAGCCTGTCGCCGTCCAGGAAGCGGCGGCGGGACTCGCGCAGCTGCGGCTCCCCCGCCAGCTCGTGCTCCAGGGGCGCGCGCAGGTAGCTGTCCAGCCTGGCGAGGGCGCGCAGCAGCTGCTGGTACAGGGCTAGGGGGCAGGCGGCGCGGTGAGGACCAGGCCCAGGGCGCCCTCCCGCCTGGGCACCCGACCCCCTGACCCCGCTTCACCTTCGTCCTGCGCGGGCACCGGGTTCTTGATGAACGCGGAGAACTTGTGGAAAACGTCGTTGCCGGCGGTGTTGGACTCCCTGTAACGAGGCGCCAGGCTGGGGAAGCTGCGGGATGAGGGGGTGGGACTCCATTAGACTGGGGGCAGCCCCGTCCCGGCCCCACAGTACCCCCACAGCGCCTTCCTGGGCTCTGTCTTGCGCGCGTCCTCCCTGGGCCCCCCTCTTTTCCCCTCCCACCCTGCCGGGGCTCTCACTCGGGCGGCCCCAGCGTCTCCTCCAGAAAGTCCTCGATCTGCAGCGTGTCTGTCTTGGCGTCGCTGTCATAGAGCAGGATGGGCAGCTGCGAGCCGGGGGCGAAGTCCTTCAGCACGTCCGGGGACCTGCGGGCAGCAGCGGGGTGGGAGGAGGCCGGCCCACCAGTGTGCGAGGCCAGGCGGGGGTCCACAGGATGGGGCCTCACCTGCGCGTGTCCACCGTGGTGAGGGTGAAAGGTACGCCCTTGAGGAGCAGGACCATGAAGAGCCGCTGGCAGGAGGGGCAGTGACCCACGCTCTCCCCGTCCTCACTCGCCTGGGTGGGTGGAGCGGGGGTGGGGGGTCAGGGCTGGAAGCAGACCCAGGCATCCTGCCGCCAGGCTGGGCGGGACCCGCCTCCCACTGCCAGTGGGATTGGAGGGACGCCAGGGCTCCAGCTTGGTCGGCGCGACTTCCAAGTGCCCAGTGAGGGCCCTTGACTTGGTCCCCAGAACGTGGGGAGGGGGGCAGAGCTGCTGGGAGCCTTGAGGCCTGGGGCAGGCTTGGCCCCTGGAATCTTGTCAGAGCCTGGACAGAGGCCAGGCCCCTGGGCTCAGTCCCCAAAAGCTGGTTGCAGGGGTGGGGTGGGCCTCACAAGCTGTTTTCTGAGTGATTCACACATGAGACTGGGCACTGTGGCCAACAGCACATCAGTCCCCCACCCCAGTCCCCGACCTGAGAGCTGATGGGGCTGCCTGGCCCAGCACCCCCCATCCTGGAACACCGACCGTAAGCTCCACTGTTGGCAGCCTGCTTGGTACCTCCCCACCAAGGAGCTCTCCTCCAGAAGACTGGGCTGGGCCCAGGAGCCAAGGCTGGGAGCAGGACCAGGGCCACTGACCCCTCTCTGGGTGACTCGCTGGGTCCCACTTTACTCAGCCTCTGTAGGGCTGCCTGAGTCCCCCTAGCCACCCACAGGAAGGGGCTCAGACATTACTGGGAGGCCCACCCCACAGCCTGCCACAGAAAGCAAAGCCCAGAAAAGCGCTTCCTCCCAGACACCCTCCCCGCAGCTGAGTCCGCCCTGCACCTTGACAAACAGCTGGAGCTTGGTCTCCGCCATGGTGGGAGCTGCCGCGGTCAGGCGCGGGTGGGGACCTGGGGAGCTCTTTAAGTCTCCCTGTGCGCCCCGCCCTCCCTGGCCGAGGGGCCCGCCCCGTGGAGCCACCTAGGCGGGCAGATGAAGCTGCCCAGCGCGCAGAACCAGCTGCCTGAGCAACGCCAGCCCGGCCCCGGGGTGTCTGAGCCTGAGGGTGTGACCTCAGGGTGGCGGAATGGTGTGGGGGGCTGCCCTGGACTTGAGTCTGGTGTGCACGGAGATCCGCCCACCCGGTACTGAGTGTGCTGGGAGCCAGCGTGGTGGGTGGAGACCAGGGGGCAGGGCATAGGGAGAGCCTACAGGCCAGAAGGGTGCAGGGGGTGTCACCTGGGAAGGGGGCGGCTCTGGGTCAGGACCACCTCCACCGTGAACCCAGCTCAGACCCTGCCCTATGGCTCTCCCTTCCGCAAATACCCCTTGTCAGGGCTCCCAGCCCAGAAAGCCAGTGGGTGTGGGTGAGCAGGAGAAATGGCCTGCCCAGCCTGGCTTCAGTTCCCCATCTGCAGCACCAGGGCATCGGGAGGGTGATAAGCCCACCTGGGGGAGCCGCCCCTTCCCAGCTACGGAGCAGTCAGGCAGGGCCCTCCCCGCTCAGGGCAGGGCTCAAATTCCAGACCTGCCCGCAACAGGGCGGGGAGGCCAGCCTGGCTTTGGTGTTTGGCCGGCAGTGCAGGTCTCCACCCCACCTCCCATCCCTCCCACTGGCGCTCAGCGCAGGTTTCTTACCCCCAACCCCTTAACCTTTAAAAAGAAGCAGCAGGAGAGGGGTTAGAAGCCACAGCCTGCGTGGCTGGAAGAAAGAGGCCAGGGGAGGGTGGTGGTCCACAGGTGTGAGCCTGCGCTGAGCCTCCTGGCGTGATTGGAACCCACAGTTCAGTCTGGCCCTTTGGGGTCGCCAACTGTGCCTTCCTCCCACCTGGCCCTGACGCTTTAGGGTGCAGCCCCAGGGAGGTACACCGAGGGGAGATTCCACCCAGAGACCTGGGGTGCCCACAGGATTGGCCTGGCCACACCTCCCCCAGGCGGTGTGGTGCCTCACCAGCCTGGACAGGGCAGCTGAGGTGGCACTGCTCTCCTGCTCACCTTCTCCCCAGGGCCTTGGTACGGGCCCCTCATCCGTCCCCGGTGGAACACACTCCAGTGCTGCCCCAGTCAGCCCAGCCTGATGCTTCTCTGGATACCACGCCAGTCGGGGCTCCTGGACACAGAGCCTTGGAAATACCATGTGGCTGCCCCATCCTTTGGTGTCCTGAACCTCAATTTCCCTCCATCCGGCCTCCACCTCGATTCCAAGCCCTAGTATTTCAGCTCTTTCTGGACACTGTGGTTATAGCTCCGCTTGCTGGTTTCCCACATCCCTGGCAGGCAAATGGCCAACCACAGAGAAGCCCCAGGCCCCCAGCCCCCTCTGCTGCCCCGGCATCCTGTGTCTTTAACACCGACAGACGCACCCTCACAAACCCACAGGAAAAATGACGGCACGGACAGAGGCCGTGAACCGGTGGCTCAGAAGGAAAAAGAAAACAAGACACAGGAAGACCATTCACCTCACGCCCGTCTCAAGAAACAAACCAACAAGACTCGGTTCACCGCTGCAGCGGCCCCACTGCGTTCTGTGGGCGTGGGCTGTGGACTGTGGAGCGGCAGTGGCCATCCAACACCCCCCTGTGCCCTCGCCACCTGGGAATCAGCCCGGTGGCTTCCTTTTTTTTTTATGGTTTAATCAATTCATTTATTTACTAGAAACAGGGTCCTGCCATGTTGCCCAGGCTGGTCTCCACCTCATGGGCTCAAGTGACCCACCTGCCTTGGTCTCCCACAGTGCTGGAACTACAGGCGCGAGCTGCCACACCCGGCCGGTTTCCCTGTGAAGGGCAAGTGAGTGCTGGCTGCCCCACTGCGTGGCGTGGCGTGGCGTGGCGTGGCTCCGTGGCACGGCCACCACCCTGTCTATGGGAGACTCCAGTTGTGTCCAGGGAGAAGGACGGAAAAGGTGACTCCATGCATGCCCACTGCAGGGAGGGCCTGAGATTAGGTAAATGGCGTGGCTTGTGTCCCCTTAAATTTAAATTCTTAGGCTGGAGTCCTAACCCCTAGTGCCTCAGAATGTGACCTTATATGGGCCGGGCACGGTGACTCATGCCTGTAATCCCAGCAGTCTGGGAGGCCGAGGGGGGTGGATCACCTGAGGTCAGGAGTTTGAGACCAGCCTGACCAACATGGTGAAACCCCGTCTCTACTAAAAATACAAAAATTAGCCAGGCATAGTGGCAGGCACCTGTAATCCCAGCTACTCGGGAAGCTGAGGCAGGAGAAGTGCTTGAACCCGGGAGACAGAGTTGCAGTGAGCAGAGATAGTGCCACTGCATTCCAGCCTGGGCAACAGAGCAAGACTCCATCTTGGAAAAAAAATAAAGAATGTGACCTTATGTGGAAACAGGGGCTTTTTAACATTTTTTTTGAGACAGAGTCTTGCTCTGTTGCCCAGGCTGGAATGCAGTGGTGCAATCTCGGCTCACTGCAACTTCTGCCTCCTGGGTTCAAGCAATTCTACTTTCTCAGCCTCTGGAGTAGCTGGGATTACAGGTACACGTCACCACGCTGAGCTTTTTTTTTTTTTCCTTGTATTTGTAGTAGAGACAGGGTTTCACCATGTTGATCAGGCTGGTCTCGAACTCCTGACCTCAGAAGATCTACCCACCTTGGCCTCCCAAAATGCTGGGAATACAGGTGTGAGCCACCGCACCCGGCTGAAATAGGGTCTTTATAGAAGTTATCAAGTTAAAATGTGGTGAGTAGGATGTGCCCTGATCCAATATGACTGATGTCAGTATAGAAAGGCGAGTTTGGACACAGATGCACAGGGAGGGCCGCAGGCAGAAATCAGGGTGGCACATCTGTAAGCCTGGGAGCCAAGCGGATGCTCTCCAAGGCCCTTGGGAGGAAGCAGCCCTGCCCAAGCCTAGGTGCTATGTCTGACCTCCAGACTGCTAGGCAGTGAGCTTCTGTTTTTTTTGTTTTTTTTTTTTAATGAGATGCAGTCTTGCTCTGTCGCCCAGGCTGGAGTGCAGTGGCACAATCTCGGCTCACTGCAAGTTCTGCCTCCCCAGGTTCACGCCATTCTCCTGTCTCAGCCTCCCAAGTAGCTGGGACTACAGGCGCCCGCTACCACACCTGGCTAATTTTTGTATTTTTAGTAGAGACGGGGTTTCACTGCGTTAGCCAGGATGGTCTCGATCTCCTGACCTCGTGATCCGCTCGCCTCGGCCTCCCAAAGTGCTGGGATTACAGGCGTGAGCTCCCGCGCCCCGCGGTGTTGTTGTTTTAAGATGGAGTCTCACTGTCACCCAGGCTGGAGTGCAATGGCTCAATCTCGGCTCATTGCAACCCGCGCCTCACCGGCTGAAGCGATTCTCCTGCCCCAGCCTCCCGAGTAGCTGGGATTACAGGCGCCCACCACCACGCCTGGCTAATTTTTGTATTTTTAGTAGAGACGGGGTTTCACCATGTTGGTCAGGCTGGTCTCAAACTCCTGACCTCAAGTGATCCGCCCACCTCGGCCTCCCAAAGTCAGTTTCTGTTGTTTTAAACCCCTCACTTTGTGGTCCTTTGCATGGCAGCGCCAGCAAGCTAATAAGTAAAGCAGGGAGAAGCCAGGAAATGGAAGAAAATCAGCATTAGGATCTGTCATTCTGAGTCTCTACTTGAACAGAGCTGAAAAAAGACGCAAGGAGCTGTCTGTGGGATGACCCCTGACAGGCAGAAACAGGCTTTCAGTTTTGCTTCCTGTCTGTCCACACTGTTTGCATTTTCTACCACATTTTTGTAATACCACATTTTCTACCACAATTTCATAATGTTTTGAAGTAAGAACAGTATCACAGCCACTAACCTTAACTAGACCCTGGTCCCCGAGGCCACGGGGTTATCCCTAAACCTCCCGTCCCCTGCAGCCCCTGCTCCTGATTCATAGAGCCAGCGTTAGAGGGGCCCAAGCTGAGGTCCCGAGGCTGCTGCTCTGGGACTGACTGACTGGTGGGTTAGAACTCTCTCCCTCCCCAACACCCCTCCCTGTAGGCCCCTTCCAAGGGGCTCTTTTTTTTTTTTTTTTTTTTTTTTTTTGAGACAGGGTTTCACTCTGTCACCCAGGCTGGAGTGCAATGGCGCAGTCATAGCTCACTGCAGCCTCCACCTCCTGGGCTCCAGTGATCCTCCTGCCTCCGCCTGCACAGGGCCACACCCCAGTGACATTTGAGCAGCTCTGTTCTGAAGGGAGACACACACCTGTTTGGGGGGCCGGAGGGCTGGGGGCATTGGGGTATTGGTGCAAACTTGTGCAGAGATTTATCTGCTCTGTGCATGGAGAGAGCCTAGAAGCAGTGAGACCTCGGGAGCGGTGAGACCTCGGGGGCGGCGAGACATCGGGGGCGGCGTGACCTCGGGGGCGGCGAGACCTCGGGGGCGGCGGGACCTCGGGGGCGGCGGGACCTCGGGGGCAGCGAGACCTCGGGAGCAGTGTGCAGACCAGAGCTCAGATTCTGGTCCCAAAGCCCATCTTCCCTAAAAGGAACCAGGGTTCTGCTAGGGACTGAATGTGTCCTCCCCAAAATTTGTGTGTTGAAACCCTGGCCCCTAGGCCAGGCACATGGCTCACGCCTGTAATCCCAGCACTTTGGGAGGCCGAGGTGAGTGGATCACCTGAGGTTGGGAGTTCCAGACCAGCCAGACCAAAATGGGGAAACCCTGTCTCTACTAAAAATGCAAAATTAGCCGGGCGTGGTGGCACATGCCTGTAATCCCAGCTACTCGGGAGGCTAAGGCAGGAGAATCGCTTGAACCTGGGAGGCAAAGTTTCCGGTGAGCCGAGATCACTCCATTGCACTCCAGCCTGGGTGACAAAGCGAGACTCTGTCTCAAAAAAAAAAAAAAAAACAAAACAAAACCCTGTCTCCTGCAAGGTGATGGTGTTAAGAAGTGGGGTTGGCTGGGCGCGGTGGCTCAAGCCTGTAATCCCAGCACCTTGGGAGGCCGAGGCAGGCGGATCACAAGGTCAGGAGATCGAGACCATCCTGGCTAACATGGTGAAACCCCATCTCTACTAAAAATACAAAAAATTAGCCGGGCGTGGTGTCAGGCGCCTGTAGTCCCAGCTACTCAGGAGGCTGAGGCAGGAGAATGGCATGAACCCAGGAGGCGGAGCTTGCAGTGAGCCAAGATTGCGCCACTGCACTCCAGCCTGGTGACAGATCGAGACTCAAAAAAAAAAAAAAAAAAAAGAAGCGGGGTCTTTTGGAGGTGGGTAGGTCATGAAGGTGACACCCTCGAGATGACCAGAATCAGCGCCCTCATAAAAGGGACCCCGGAGAGCTCCCTCGCTCCTCCTGCCAGGTGAGGAGTCAAGGGAAGTCCACAACCCAGAAGAGCCCTCGCCAGAACCCAGCCATGCTGGCGTCCCGACCTCGGACTTCGAGCCTCCAGAGCTGTGAGGCATGAATGCCACCCGTCCAGGGTCCTTTGCACAGCAGTCCTGGTCGGACTGAGACAGGCTCCTTGGAGAGAGGCTGATTCCAGGTGTGGGGCAGGGAAGGCAGGGACGCACTCAAAACACATCAGGAGCTGGTTACGAAGACACAGAAGCCGTGCTGGAGGGGCGCCTGCTGGAGGGGCACCGCTGGCTGGACCTCAGGCCATCTGAGCATAAGACAACAGTGGATTGTGCGTTATGAATGGTTAACGTGATAAATGTTACATAGATTTTACCACCATCAAAAAATTTTAAAAGAGCCAGATGCAGTGGCTCACCCCTGTAATCCCAACACTCTGGGAGGCTGAAGTGGGAGAATCCCTTGAGCTCAGGAGTTGAAGACCAGCCTGGGCAATATAGCAAGACCCTATCTATACAAAAATAAAAATAAAAATTAGTCGTGTGTGGTGGCACATGCCTGTAAGGAGGCTGAGGCAGGAGGATCACTTGAGCCCAGGAGTTGGAGGCTGCAGTGAGCTATGATTGCACCACCACACTCCAGCCTGGGTGACAGAGCAAGACCCTGTCTCAAAATAAGTAATTAAAAGATGACAGTAATGCATGTTAACACATTAATTTTTTTAAACCTGCAAGTCTGTACTGATAGACTTTTTAAAGTGGAGGGGCCCTTGGTGAGAGAGAAATGCCAGCCAGTAGATGCAGAAATGGAATAGAGGCAGGAAATGGCCATTTTGCAGCTGCTGGCCCTGGGTGACGGGGGTCGGGGGGCGCGGCCACGCAGCACCCAGATTGCGTTCCCACATCTAAGGGAGGGAGAACTGGGCCTCAACCAGGCGGCCACATTCAGCATCACCTGCTGAGGGACAGATGGACACCTGGAGGTGACCGACACAGCGTGTCCCAGTGCTGCTCCGGCCAAAAATGTCCAACCTGCATCCAGCCAGGAGGAAATGAAGACACATCCAGAGCTCAGCCTGGGCCTGCGGAGCCTGTCCCCCTGGAAGGGCAAGAACGCCAAGGCTGGGGACGGCTCAGAGGGGCCCCGGGGAAGGCAGCAAGACACAAGGAGTGCCTCGTGGTTGGATCCTGGATTTTTATTTCCTTTTTTTGTTTGTTTGTTTGAGACAGAGTCTCACTCTGTCGCTGAGGCTGGAATGCAGTGGCACAACCTCAGCTCACCGCAACCTCCACCTCCCAGGTTCAAGCGATTCTCCTGCCTCAGCCTCCCGAGTAGCTGGGATTACAGGCATGTGCCACCACACCCGGCTAATTTTGTATTTTCAGTAGAGACAGGGTTTCTCCATATTGGTCAGCCTGGTCTTGAACTCCCAACCTCAAGTGATCCACCCGCCTCGGCCTCTCAAAGTGCTGGGATTACAGGTGTGAGCAACCATGCCCAGCCTTTTCTTTCTTTCTTTTTTTTTTTTTTTTGAGACGGAGTCTCACTCTGTCACCCAGGCTGGAGCGCTGCTCACTGCAACCTCCGCCTCCCAGATTCTAGTGATTCTCCTGCCTCAGTCTCCCATGTAGCTGGGATTACAGGCGCTACAATGCCCAGCTAATTTTGTATATTTAGTAGAGATGGGGTTTCGCCATGTTGGCCAAGCTGAACTCCTGATTTCAGGTGACCTGCCTACCTCAGCCTCTCAAAGTGCTGGGATGACAGGCTTGAGCCACAGCACCTGGCTGATCCTGGTTTTTTGGAAAAACTCTAAAGAGCATGCCTAGGGCCGGGTGCAGTGGCTCACATCTGTCATCCCAGCACTTTGGGAGGCCGAGGCTGGGAGATCACCTGAGGTTGGGAGTTCGAGACCAGCCTGGCCAACATGGTGAAACCCCCATCTCTACTAAAAATACAAAAATTGGTCAGGCACGGTGGCTCACGCCTGCAATCTCAACACTTTGAGAGGCCGAGGCTAGGCGATCACCTGAGGTCAGGAGTTCAAGACCAGCCTGGCCAACATGGTGAAACCCCATCTCTACTAAAAATACAAAAATTGGCTGGGCATGGTGGCACACATCTGTAATCCCAACACTTTGAGAGGCCAAGGCTGGGTGATCACCTGAGGTCAGGAGTTCGAGACTGTGGGCGGCAAGCTACCCAGGCACCAAGGCAAGAGACCGAGGACATGAGCTGTTCCAGTATAATAAAATATAAAACAAGAATAGTTATACCAGATATAGAACTTAGATATGATTATATATGAATATCATTAATCATTAGTTTGTAGCAATTACTTTTTATTCCAATATTATAATAATCCTCGCTCTATAATCATAGCCTAGGAAAAACCAGGCCATACAGAGATAGGAGCTGAGGGGACATAGTGAGGTGTGACCGGAAGACAAGAGTGCGAGCCTTCTGTTATGCCCGGACAGGGCCACCAGAGGGCTCCTTGGTCTAGCGGTGACGCCAGCGTCTGGGAAGACGCCCGTTGCCAGGCGGACCGTGGTCCAGCGGTAGCAAAAGGTGTCAAGGAACAACACCCGCTACTTAGCAGACCAGGAAAGGGAGTCTCCCTGTCCCCGGGGGAGTTTAGAGAAGACTCTGCTCCACCTCTTGTGGAGGGCCTGACATCAGTCAGACCTGCCCGCAGTTATCCGGAGGCCTAACCGTCTCCTGTGATGCTGTGCTTCAGTGGTCACGCTCCTAGTCCGCCTTCATGTTCCATCCTGTACACCTGGCTCTGCCTTCTAGATAGCAGTAGTCAATTAGTGAAAATACTAATAGTCCCTGATATGCAGAAATAATGGCATAAGCTGTCTTTCTCTCTGTCTCTTCTCTCTCTCTCTGCCTTGGCTGCCAGGCAGGGAAGGGCCCCCGTCCAGTGGACACGTGACCCACGTGACCTTACCTATCATTGGAGATGGCTCACACTCCTTATCCTGCCCCTTCTGCCTTGTATCCAATAAATAACAGTGCAGCCAGACATTCGGGGCCACTACTGGTCTCCACGCATTGGTGTTAGTGGTCCCCCGGGCCCAGCTGTCTTTTATCTCTTTGTCTTGTGTCTTTATTTCTACACTGTCTCGTCACCGCACATGGGGAGAGACCCACCGACCCTGTGGGGCTGGTCCCTACACGAGACCAACCTGGCCAACATGGTGAAACCCCATCTCTACTAAAAATACAAAAATTGGCCAGGCGCGGTGGTTCACACCTGTCATCCCAGCACTTTGGAAGGCTGAGGCTGGGGCAATCACCTGAGGTCAGGAGTTAGAGACCAGCCTGGCCAACATGGTGAAACCTCATCTCTACTAAAAACACACACACACACACAAAAATCAGCCGGGCATGGTGATGCGCGCCTGTAGTCCTAGCTACGCAGGAGGCTGAGGCAGGAGAATGGTGTGAACCCGGGAGGCGGAGCTTGCAGTGAGCCGAGATTGTGCCCCACTCCAGCCTGGGCAAGAGAGTGAGACTCCGTCTCCTCAAACAAATAATAATAAAAAATAAAAAAGGGCATGCCTGGGCCACCGGGGCCCTGAAAAGCCTTGCTGTACCCTTTGTTAACTCTGGGCTACCCTGGCGGCTCTTGGGGGAAGGAGGCTGCAGGGCCGGGGCTGGCAGGTCACAGCTGCTTGCTTTCACATGGGGCAGCACAAAAGTGGGTAGAGCGACGGTGCGTGTGGCAAGATTTCACAGGCGCATCGGCTGAAGATGCGGCGTGCGCTCTGCTATTCTCGCAACTTTCCTGAAAGTTTAAAATGTTCTTTTTGCTGTTGTTTTGAGACAGAGTCTCACTCTGTCATCCAGGCTGGAGTGCAATGGCACGATCTTGGCTCACTGCAGCCTCTACCTGCCAGGTTCAAGTGATTCTTCTGCCTCAGCCTCCCGAGCAGCTGGGAATACAGGCGCCCACCACCACACCCAGCTAATTTTTGTAGTTTTAGTAGAGATGGGGTTTCACCATGTTGGCCAGGCTGGTCTCGAACTCCTGACCTCAGATGATCCACCTGCCTCGGCCTCCCGAAGTGCTGGGATTACAGGCGTGAGCCACCGTGCTCGGCGGAAAATGTTCTGAGGAAGATGCTGGGGGGTGTGTTTGCTTTCAATGCTGCATTACACATCATGAAAATGAAACCTCTAGGGACGATGCCCCCGTGAACTGTGTCAGTCTGTGGGCGGCTGTCCAGGTCCAGCCTGGCCTGGTCCTGCGCGCAGGGTCTCCCTGGGCCTCGGCTGGGCCGTGTTCCTTTCTCGACCTCTTTCTGCCATGATTCAGCCCCTACAGTTGCAGGACGGAGGCTGCTGCGGCCTCCTGCCTTCTGGCGGCTCCCCCACGCATTTCCCTTGGCCGACCACCAAACCCACACCAGCCCCTCCAGTGAGCCACTGTTCCTCTCGGTTCTTCCAGAGTGAACCGCCCCCAGGGCCCAGGACAGCTTCACCCCAGTGACCCAGCCTCTCAGGGACTCCAGCATGGTCATCCCACTGCCTCTCAGGTGGTCACAGTGAGTGCCTCATAGGAACCCAAGTGGATGTGTTGGCCCAGCCCACCCAGTGCCCTCAAGCCCATGGGCCCCTCCCCTGTTGTCCCCCATGTGGCACCAGCCCTCAGTGAGTCCACCCTCTACCCTCCTGAGGAGCCTTGAAACGGCCTAAGGCAAGAGTCTGAACTTGGCCCAGATCACGGGGCGTGAGCTCTGGGGGCCATTCATGCCCCTCCCCCATCTCCTGCCCACAGTGTGCCAGGCTCCACCGCTGATGAGCCTCAAAGCTTCCAGGTCCTGCCTCCCTGGGGCCTTGGCCTGTGCCCTGCCCTCTGGCTGGGATGCCCTTCCCTTAAGGAATCTTCACAGACTTCGGTCTCCTCCTGGAGGTCGCCTCTTCCTGGAAGCCCTCGCTGTCCCTTCCATGACACGGAGACAGCCTAGCCCAGGCTGCTGCAGGCCCCACGTGGGCAGCAAGGGGTGAAGGAGGCTTAGAGAGGGCAGGTGGACGGGAAGATGAAGGCTAAGGGGAAGGGGGCCGGGAGCAACCCCTGAGGGTGGGATGAGGGGGACAGTGAACCATGGTGAACCACCCTGCCTCAGTTTCCCTCCTCCAGACCGACCCAGCCACCCCCTGCCAGCACCTGTGCCTGAGGGGCAGGGCCTTCTGGAGCGCTAACCCACCTGATGCGCCCATCCTCCCCACCCTTCCCAACCCACACACGCAGACCCGCAGACATTTTGTTTATTTATTTAAAACAAACATCTGTGCGCTATGTACAGGCCCGGCTCCCAGGGAGGTGGGCGGGCAGGGGGCCAAGCTGGGTGGGAGAGCGATGGCAGCTGGGGGTTGGGGGGGGTCTGGCCCCTTGCCTGGCCAGCAGGGTCAGCTTCTCCATTCCTGCCACCTGCCAGCTGGCCCAAGCTGATGGCTTCCCGCAGGACAGCCACCTCCCTGCAGGAGAGCAGGGCCAGAGGAGCCTCTTCTCAAAGCAAAATAAATACGGGACTGACCCAGCTCCGCCCACAGCCCGCTCTCGGCATCAGCCTTCATCGTAAGAGAGAAAAGCTGGTTCCGAGGCCGGGCAGGAGAAAGGCCAGCAGTGCCTGGTCCAGCCGGCGTCGCCTTGGGCGGTGAGCAGTGCCAGGCAGGGGCGAGGGGCCGGGCAGACCCCGAGGCTTTAAGGCAAAGCAGGGCAAGGGTGTACGCAGCCCGGGCCGGGTCAGCCTTTGGCACAATTAGGGGCGGCAACCGCAGTGACCACAGGGCATGGCCGAGTACAGGGGCTGGAGGACCAGAAGCCCCTTGGTCCTGAACCTCCACTCCAGGCCCTGGCAGGCACTGGGGGACTTCTGTCCCCATTGTTGAGTCCCTGGCCCAGCTCTGGGTGGTCAGTGGAGCGTGTCCTCCCTGGCCCAGCTCTGGGTGGTCAGCAGAGCGTGTCCGTGTTGAAGGACAGCTGGGCCTGTGCACAGGGGAGGTCAGGCTTATGGGGCATCCTGTGCCACCCCCTGCTGGGGCTGAGGACACTTGTGCTGGCCCGCCCCGGCCCTCCTGCAGGCTGGGCCTGGACGCAGGGTCTCCCCACGAGCTCCCTCTGTGTCTGGGCTCTCCCGGGCCTCCGTCTGCCGAGTCTGGGGGCCACTGAGTCTACATCGGTCCCCTGTTCCCCGGCTCTGGTCCCCTCTGCCCCACCCTTGCTCTGTGCCCCTCAAAGACTCTAGCAAGTCTGGACCATGCAGTTACGTCTCTCCAGGCCTATCTGCAAGTGTCCCTCGCCCACTCTGCCCCCTTGACCTCTGGACAGCAAGCATCCTGGGGCCAGTTCTCCCCCGACCCCACCCGCGGCTGGAGCCACCAGGCAGCCTGGGTCCAGTGGGCAGAGCCCTGGACAGCCATGAGAGCAGCCTGCTCACCCGCTCCTCCTCGAAGCTGATGAGGCCCTCGTCCTCCGTGTCCAGGTCCTCGGGCTCGTCTGCCACAAGTGCCCGGAGCTCCGTGGGGGCAGACCGGGGCCGGAGCAGGCTGAGCAAGCAGCCGAGAGGGGACTGCAGTGCGGATGGCGGCTCCGTCTCCTGCTGCTCCAGGTTGTCACTCTGCTTCTTGGCAAAGTTCACGAACACCTGGTGGGTGGCGCAGGCGTGTGGGGAGGGGGCTGGTCTGGGGTGAGGAGGGGCAGGGCGGGTGAGGGGAGGGGCAGGTGTGGTGCGCAGTGCCCTTGGGGCGCTCACATTGTCCAGTGTGGTCTGGCTGACCGAGTAGTCCTCGATGCCCAGCACGCCAGACACCTGCTCCATCTTGCTGAACACCTGGGCCAGCGAGATGTGCTCCGACTTGAGCTGGTACTGCACCTTTGTGTGGTGCCGCTCCTGCAGGGGGGGAGGTCAGAGGCCTGGCAGCGCCCCCCCACCCCGTAGCGCCCCCTCCACAACCCTGCCCGGGACGGCGCACCTTGAGCATGGCTTCCGGGAAGTTGCGGTTGAAGAACCGCACCACGTCCTTCACACTCTGGCTGCTCTTGGTCCGCACCGTGATCATGTAGCCATCTCCAAACCTGGTGGGACAGGCCGGTGGCCCGGAGCCCTGCGCCGCCCAGCCAGAGCCCCAGCCCCCCAGCCTCCCAGCCCTACAGCCCCCACAGGCACCCCAGGAAGCCCCATAGCCTCCCACAGCCCCCCAACCCCACAGCCCCCACAGCCCTCCAGGCTCCTCCCCTGGCCCCACTGCCCCAGTCCCCCCAGCCCCAGTGCCCCCAGCCCCCCTGGCCCCACAGCCCTCACAGCCCTGCAGCCACCCCCACTCCTGGCCCCGCTGCCTGGCCGCCCCCCCCGGGCCCGCCCCAGCCCACCCCTGGCCCTGCCCCGGCTCACCGGTTCTTCAGGTGCTGGATGCTGCCCAGGCACCGCAGGCGACCGTTCACCATGATGGCCAGCCGCGTGCACAGCGCCTCGCACTCCTCCATGCTGTGGGACATGCACAGGCTGGCACCGGAAGGGGTGCTGTGGGGTGGGGGCACAAAGAGGGGGTGGGGGCGCCCTCACCTGTGTGATGTCAGCACCACTGAACGCCCTGTCTTGATGAGGTCAAGGATGAGGTTCCAGAGGAAGCGCCGGGCCTTGGGGTCCATGCCTGTGGTGGGCTCGTCCTGGGGATGGGTGGCAGGCTCAGCTGCTGCCAGGCCCACACACCCCAGCCTGAACGCTGCCCCTGCCCGTGCTCACCAGGAAGTCAAAGGCCAGGCAGCCACCCCCCACCCACCCAGGACTTACCAGGAAGATGAAGGCTGGGTACCCAATGAGGGCGATGGCCGTGGAGAGCTTCCGCTTGTTGCCGCCGCTGTAGGTGCCAGCCGGCTTGTCTGCGTACTTGGTCAGCTCCAGCTTCTCCAGAGCCCACTTCACCACCTGGCCAGGGAACGCAGGTGTCAGTGGAGGCAGGGCCACCCAGCGTGCTGACTCCCTGCCCCGCCCCACAGATCCTCACCCGGGCCTCGTCCTTCCAGGAGATCCCACGCAGCCGCGTGTACAGCTGCAGGTGCTCCCGGGCCGTGAGCTCGTCGAACAGCGCGTCACACTGCGGGCAGTAGCCGAGGCTCTGCTGCACCTGGAGCAGCTCCTTCAGCACGCTGGGGACACGGCAGCTGTCAGCGCGTGAGGACGCGGCGGCCCCGCCCACCCAGGGCTCCCGCCCCACCTGTGTCCATTGACGAAGGCCTCGCCCCCCGTCGTGCTCTCGTCGCCGGTCAGCATCTTGAAGGTGCTGGTCTTGCCCGCACCGTTGACGCCCAGGAGCCCGAAGCACTCGCCAGGACGCACACCCAGGCACAGGCGGTCAACGGCCAGGATACGGCCAATCTTCCGGGACTTGTAGACCTGGCCAGGAGCCTGCCCACTCAGCGGGGCATCCTGCCCCCACCCTGCCCCTCTGGCCCCACCCCACCCAGACCCTGCCCCACCTCCAGAGCCCAGGGGGCCACGTGCCCCACAGCCCCACCCCATGCAGGCCCCACCCCCAGAGCTCAGGGCCCTGCCCACCCAGGCTCCACCTCCACTGCTGGGGCCCCACCCCCCTGGCCCTGGCCTACCCCACCCAGGCCCCACCCTACATGCCCAGAGCCCACCTTGGTCAGGTTCTCAATCTTGACCATGTCATTGTCGGCGTCTCCCCGGAGCACTCGCTGCCGCTCACTGGCCACGTCCACATCATCCTCCACAGGCTTGGTAGACACAGGCATGCGCCTTGGGGGACAGGGTGGACAGTGTCCAGCAGCTCGCCACCCCCACTGCCCCTCCCTGCCACCAGCCTCGCATCCTCTGGCTGTGGCATGTAAGAAGGGTGGGCAGGCCCCTCTGCTGTCCCCTGCCTCACCCCCTCCTGCCCCATCCCTGCCCCCACCCCCGCCCCTACCCTGCCCCACCCCCGAACCCATCCCTGCTCCCGCCCCGCCCCCGCCCCACCCCGCCCCCCACTCACTGTGGCCGCCGCAGGAAGTTGTACTGGCACATGATGGTCAGGAGGAAGCCCACGACGCCCTCAACCGCCATGGCCACCAGTCCGCGGGTGACAATGTCCCACTCGAACGGGGACTTCATCTTGTCAAACTGGCCTGCGGGGAGACAGCTCAGGGCCTGTGCTCTGGGCCTTGCGGGGCCCCCACCGCCTTCCCCGCCCCACGGGCCCCCTCACCAATCTTGGCGTAGTACTCGTTGATGTACTCGTTGTAGGCCATCTCCATGAGCCCGTGGCCCAGGTTGTAGTTGGGGAAAATGAGGAAGCAGCTTTTCAGGTAACTGTTGACAACCTTCAGGTCCTGCGGGGTGGCCGGGGTCAGGGGCACAGGGGTGGCCGGGGTGAGGGGCACAGCCTCCGCAGGGTCCGCCACCCCCACCATGTCGTCACCGCCCCACCTTGTCGTGCTCGAAGAGCTGTAGCAGGAAGGTGGCCACGGTGGCGGTGATGCCGATGAAGAGATTGATGACAATGAGGAACACGTAGGCGGAGCTGGGGACCTCGAACCAGAAGGAGGCCGGGTACATGATGGGCGTGATGGACCACCTGCGGGCAGGTGGCGGGCAGTGGTCACCAGGCAGCCCCGGTCCCACCTGAGGCCGCTCCCCCCTCCGCTTCCGCTTACCCATAGAGCAGGAAGAGGGAGAGGACGGCAGGGAAGTTGGTGGGCGACGTGTAGGCCGGCAGGTCGAACACAAACAGGATGATGACACAGCAGGTAGCGGGGACCAGGTAGTTGAGCTGCAGGGGTGGGGGCGGCTGGTGAGAGACCCGGGGCAGGGCGGGGATGGGGGATGAGAAGGGCCGGGGCACCCCATGGCCACGCCGGGCGCACCATGTCCCACACGTAGTTCGCCAGCCAGTAGATGATGGGGTTGCAGCCGCTGACAAACTGCAGGTGCTTGGCCTTGGTGGACTTCTCGGCCACGAGGAAGACAACGAAGCTGGCCGGCACGAAGGACATGGCCACGATGATGAAGATGGCGATGACGACATCCGTGCCCTGCAGCCTGGGGCAAGGAAGCCCTCAGTCCTCACGGCCGGGGCTGCAGTGCCCACCTGCCCCACCTCATCCCCCACTGGCCACACTTACAGGTAATCCAGGGAGAGGCTGGCGCTGGTCTTATTCATGGGGTGGTTGGTGACGGTGATGCCTGCACACGGCGGGGCGGGGGCGGCAGCTTCAGGCCCCAGCTCCTCCCCGCCCCGGCCCCAGCTCCTCCCCGCCCCGCCCCGCCCTGCCTATGTCAGCTCACCGTAAGCCGCCGGGTTGCCCTTGCTCTTGGGCAGGTTGGCACGCAGGATGGCGTTGTTGAGGCTGTTGAGGTAGGTGGGCATGCTGTGATAGCCCTTGTTGTTGTAGAAAACCTGCAGAAGGAAGAGGACACAGAAAGGCCCCAGGACCTCAGACCTGGGTCCCTGCAGACCTCGGGCGGCGCTACACACAGCGGGGCCCAGGCCCGCAGCCTCGCTCACCTGGGCAGCCCTGCGCACCGCGATCTTCCGCACCATGGGTGGGGCCCTGGTGCCAAATGAGGCTGGGATGGACTTCAGGACGTTTCCAAAGGTGATGGCCCCATACCTGGGCAGGCAGGTGGGAGGGGCGGTGAGGCTAGGCAGGCAGTGAGGCTAGAGGGGCAGGAGTTGAGACTAGGTGGCTGGTGGCCGGCCACCCTCACCCACAGCCTCCCCACCCAGCTCACCGGTGCAGTCGGAAGCGGTCGGAGGTGAAGAGCAGGTACTCAGAGACATTGTGGCCGGTGATGTCGGTCAGGATGTCGCCTGTGACCACCCGCATCTGGGGCGGGTGCCCGCCCACACTGCTGGGGCAGGAGAAGCCGGTGCCCTGCGCAGAGCAGGTGCAGCGGACGGGCTCCCGTACCAGGCGCGGCAGGGAGGGTGCCGACGTCCACATTTCTGTGGGCACAGCATGGTGCGGTGAGAAGGACCCCTCACTGCCCCTGCCCCCCCAGCAGGCCCCCTGAACCACTACCTGGCCCAGCGGTGGGCGGCAGGGAGACGTTCCAGGCCTGCAGGTCCTCATCCGGGGACGCTGGCGAGTCAGATGGGGCGGGCGAGGGTGGGGGTGGCACGAAATTGGACAGTGGCAGCCCCTGTGTGAAGGACTCCAGACACATGCTGTCGAAGAACCGAGCCGCCAGCAGGCGCGACTCCCCGCTGCTCAGGTTCAACGTGGGCCCCAGCGAGCCGTTGGCGGGAGACTTGAGCACGCAGGTGGCACCCACCCCCGACGGCAGCCGGAACGTGCTCACGAGCTGCTGGGGGCTGGCGTCGGGCGATAGCCGCAGCCTGCGGGCACCGACAGTGTGAGGTGGGGCTGCCAGTCTCCGCCCCTCGCCAGCCCCGCCCCCTCGCCCGCCTGGCCCACCAAGGCTGTCCCCGCCCCTTCACTCGCCCCACCCACCAAGGCTGCCCCCGCTGGAGGCCTCACCGGTACTCGCGGCGCTCCTCGTTGGCGTAGGGGATGAAATTGCCACGGGGCTGGGTGTAGTTGTGGTACTGGGAAGGTGACAGGACCAGCGGGGGCAGATCACCTGGCAGGGCGAGCAGGGAGGCCTGAGCAGGTTCTGCCCTCTGGCCAGCGGCCCCCAAGCCTCGGTCCCCTTCCCCCAACCCCAAGGGATCCACGCCTGGGGTCTGGGACCCGAGGAGACAGGACTCCCGGATGAACCCCGGTGCGTGCCCAGCCTCAGGTGTGGGGTGAGGCCCAGAGTCAGGAAGCTCAGGAGTGGGCATCATCAGGGCTCCCAGCGGGCGGTGGGGGGAGGCAAGCCCAGCACCCCTGTCCAGCCGGTGGCCTACCAATCTCCGGGACGGACAGGGCCACGGTCATGGCCACGCAGACGAAGAAGGCTGGCAGCAAGATCTGGGAGAAGAGTGCCTTGGAGTTGCGGCGGGCGCAGTGGAAGCGTTTGACCAGCAGCCCGTGGAACTGGCGCACCTTCAGCCACCCGCCGTCCAGCTTGCGGCTGCCCTGGCCGACCCTCGACAGGGCCTCTGCCTCCACCTCTGTGCAGAGAGGTAGAGGCTGAGCAGGTGGTTGCACGCTACCCTCTCCCTACTGGCTGCCCTCATGCCGCTCCCCCGCAACCCTGCTCCCCCTCCCTTGCTGTCCCAGCCTCACCCTGCCACCCCCACCTTGCAGGCTGACATTGTCTGGGTCCTGTGGGTTATCAAAGAGGGGGCGGTAGTCGCCATAGACGTCGGTGTAGCCAGCTCCCTCGTCGCCACGGGCAGAGCCCACAGATGACGCCGACTGCAGCGATGCCTGCGACTGGGTCAGCTCCGAGCACCGGGCCAGATTGCCAGCGTGACCCTCCCCAGACGCCGGGCCCTCCGCCCCAGGGAGCACATCCTTCCTGGACTCCTTCACATCTGCCGCAGTGGAAGGGCCGAGGGGACACTCAGGGCTACTGGCCCCTAGGCCTGCCCAGGACCCCCATCCCCGGTCTTGACCCCAGTTCCCAGGCTCATACACCTGTCCGGGACCTCTGGCCACCAGGACCACCCACCTAGGACCGCAGGCTAACCCCGGGGCGTCCCCTGGCTTCCACCCAGGACCAGGGTGGCGCCCCCAGACACCAGGCAGGAGTGACAGCGCAGGCCCGAGCTGGGGCCTTGTGGGTGGGGTGGGCTGAGCAAGTGGTCCAGGCCCCTCACCGGCCTCACTGTTCTCCAGCGACTGATCCTCCTCCGACACCTTGAGGAACACTTCCTCCAGGGTCGTGTCCATCAGCCCGAAGCTGCTGAGGTGCAGTGCATCCAGGCTGCGCTCCAGGTGCTGCAGGGGCGGTGGAGGGGGAGGCTGCGGCAGGGACGCCCAGGCAGGAGTGCGCCCACCTCCACCACCTGCAACTGCCCCCCGACCCGTGCGCCCTCACACCTGGAAGAGGCGCTCGAAAGCCCCCTTCTTGGCGGCCTCGCTGGGCAGGATGTAGGAGAGCTCCGTGCTTGTGTCTGAGACCAGCAGGCAGGAGGCCACATGCTTGCGGATGAACTGGGACACCTGGAGCTCGGAGCAGCTGCTCAGCGGGGCCCGACCTGGGGGGCTGGATGCCAGCCCTGGCTCTGTGGGGGACGTGGGAGCAGGAAGGAATTCACTCAGGGGCTGGGAGGAGGGACCCCCAATGGGAACCCAAC
The DNA here is from genome assembly GCF_000001405.40 of Homo sapiens. Lineage (NCBI taxonomy): Eukaryota > Metazoa > Chordata > Mammalia > Primates > Hominidae > Homo > Homo sapiens. Next base: position 137,015,170 of record NC_000009.12, read on the forward strand.
TGGGTCAAGATATGGGCATTGGAGAGGAAGAACCAGGCCCCAGCAGGTATCCTGGGCCCAGGGGGTGACGCTGAGGACCCAGCCTCTCCAAGATACGGGCGTTGCAGAGGGCGGGCCAGGCCCCAGCAGGCATCCTGGGCCCAGCGGGTGACGGTGAGGGCCCAGCCTCTCCATTGTGGATTCTCAGGTGGGGGTCCCGGGGAGAAGGTGGCCCGAAGCCAGCTCAGGCAGCTTCAACACAGACCTTGGGGGCCCCCCGGCTCGGCGGGCCGCTTGACCAGCGTGAGGCGGTACCCGTCGCCATAGGTGCCCTTGAGGAAGAGCGGGGAGCCGCAGCACTTGAGCTTCCCATGGGAGATGATGGCAATGCGGTCCCCAAGCAGGTCAGCCTCATCCATGTGGTGGGTGGACAGAAGGATGGTGCGGCCTAGGACAAGGCCAGACCCAGGGTCAGGGGGCAGGGGAGGCGCCGCCCGCACCCCTGCCCACACGGCACCCCACTCACCTGGCTTGTACTTCAGGATGAGGTCCCAGATGGCGCGGCGCGCGTAGGGGTCCACGCCCGCCGTGGGCTCGTCCAGGATGATGGCGCGAGAGCCGCCCACGAAGGCGATGGCCACGGACAGCTTGCGCTTCATGCCACCCGACAATGTCTGCACCAGTGAGTGCCGTTTGTTGGAGAGCTCCAGGTCCTCGATCATCCTGGGACAGGGAGGTGGGGCATGGGGCTGCTGCTATGCAGAGCCCCAGGGCCTCCGCCCACCTGCCCCGCCCCCCGCCCAGCCCACCCACTTGTCCATCTCTCTGCGGATCTCCTCCTGAGCCATGCTCTTGAGCCGTGAGTAGAACCAGAGGTGTTCCTCCACCGTGAGCCGGTCAAAGAGCACATTGTGCTGCGGGCACATGCCCAGGTTCTTGCGGATCTCATCCATCTCCGTGCGGATGTCGTGCCCGTAGATGGTGGCGGAACCCGACGTTGGAGGGAACAGGCCGGTCAGGATGGACCTGGGTAGGTGGGCGGGGTCATGACCCCACGCCCTCTGCAGGGGCCCCACCCTGCCCTGACTAGGACTCCTGCTCTGGTCAGCAGATGCCCACCGCCCTGCCCCTCCGACACTCACATGGTGGTGGTCTTGCCCGCCCCGTTGTGGCCCAAGAAGGAGACCACCTGGTTCTCGTAGAGGTTCAGGCTCAGCTTGTTCAGGGCCAGCTTCTTGTCGTCCTTGTAGACCTTGGTGAGTTTGTCCACGCAGACAACCAGAGGCAGGTGGGTGGGCTCCTCCTCCATGCCACGGGTCTCCTCTGCACCAGGGCTGTGGATCAGCAGGGTGGGGGCGGCGCCAAGGCCACCCAGGACTCTGAACCCAGCGCCCACCCCAGCCACCATTCTGATGCCAGCCTCACCAAAGCGCCGGCTCTCCATGGCACAGGCCTGGTCCTCCTCCATGACACTGAGGCGGGGGGTGCGTGCCCACGGCCAGCTCCACTCCCAGGCTTCTGTCCGCCCACTGCCCAGCCAGTAGGACTTCTGCAGTGGGAAGTACCAGGGCCGGGGCAGCCCGTACATGCCTGGGGGTCGGGGAGGGGAGGGGAGGCTGACCTAGGGCCTGGGGTGACCATCCACCACGTGGGCCACGTGCCCACCCAGGGAGCCACCCGTGCTGCATCCAGGAGTGGACACAGACTGCTGGTCCCCAACCCTGGCTGGGGACCCCTGCCTCTCCCCTGCCCTCCAAGGGCTGGCCAGTACCTGGGTGCACAGCCTCAATGTACCACGTGAGGATGCCATAGACCACGGCGTCCACCATCAGCATGGTGACAGCCAGGAGCAAGTTGAAGTCGTCCCCCTCCACCGGGGACTGGCTGAAGGTGTGCCACTGGATGCCCACGCCGGCCACCTCATACAGCGCGAAGTACTTAGAGCCCAGACCAAAGGCCGTCGTGGACATGAGGGACTGAGAAGGCAGTGGTGTCAGCACGTGGGGTGGCCCGGCACCCCAGCCGCCCGCCTGCCCGCGACCCTCACCGCGATGCACTTCTCGAAGGCCGTGATCTTATCATGCGCCACCTCCTCTCGGATCGCCACGTACATGTAGGGCACGTAGCTCAGGAAGTAGATGATGCCACCGCAGGCCGAGGCCAGCTTGGCCTTGGAGTACAGCACAGACACCAGGAAGCTGGGTGGGCAGGGGCCACGCGCACCGTCATCCACCCGCACGCCCGGCCTCCTGGGCAGGCCCGTGCCAGGGTCCAGGGGGCTCTGAGAGGATGTGGGGTGAGCTTGCTGGGCAAGTGCCTGCCCCAGGTCCCTCCTACCATGGCCCGCGCTCACCAGAACATGATGGTGGCCACCGCGTAGACTGCCAGGAAGAGCCAGATGATGACCACGTGGCTGTGCATAAGCACCTGGCCGTACTTCAGGATGGCGGTGAGTGCTGTCACGGAGATGGACAGCTGCACAAAGCCGGTGATGAACCAGGCCACCCAGTGCACCGCGTTGTTCAGGCCCATGGTCTTCATCACCTGCGGGTGGGCCAGGGGCTTGGGGCAGGCCCCGGGGAGGACGCCGCCCCTCCCTGCCAGCCCGCGCCTCCAGGGAGAGTCCCGGCCCGCGCACCTCCTTGAGCCGGTGCTCCTTCTCCGCCACGATGTGCTGGATGGTCATGGCCACGGAGTAGACCCAGGAGATCACCATGCACAGCGGCATCATGTGCTCAATGACAAACAGGAAGCTGCGGGGAGGCCGCGCTCAGGCGCCACTCAGCCCCAGCCCCAGCCCCAGCCCCGGGCGCCCAGCACTCACTCATCGCGTGTGTAGCAGGGGTAGGGGAACATCTGCACGTAGCTGCCTGGCTCCACCACATCGTGCCCCACAAAAGTGTCGATGATGGCGCGCTCCATCATGTCTGTGGGTGGGGGCAGCCATCAGGTGCCGGGCAGGCCCTCTCGTCCTCACACCTGTCCTCCCCCATGAATCCTCCAGCCGGTCTTCCGGGCCTGCTCCTCACCCTGGATCCAGACGAAGCCGTAGAGGAAGTAGAAGCGGCCGCCAGTATTGGGCCCAGGCCGCCAGTAGGCGCGGCGGATCTCGTTGGTTTTCTCGGTGAAGCTGGAGTTCTGGCGGATCTTGTAGTGCACGTGAGGCGGGAGCGAGCCGTCCTTCCGGGTCTGGAAGATCACACCTGGGGCCGGGAGGTTGGGGCGGGGCCAAGATGCAGGGGCGGGACCAAGGCGTGGTGGGGGGGAAAGCAAGGCACGGGGGCGGGGCCAAGGTGTGGGGGCGGGGACAGGAGGGTCCAGGGAAAGGTGGGACAGGGCTGGGGTGGGGGCCCCAGGGGAAAGGTGGGCAGAAGTGGGGAGGTGCAGGGAGGGGGCGGGTTGTGGGTTGGGGCCGTTTGGAAGGGGCAGGGGTGGGGAGGGGAAGTGGCGGGTGAGGGGGGAAGGCCAGGGCGCGGCCAAGGAGTGGGAGGGCACAGGGGGACGGGTGGGGCTGGGCTGGGGAGGAAGAGGTCTGTGGGGGGCTGGGGCGGGGCGGGGAGGGCAGCTCACTGGCAAAAACAGTGACGTTGTCCTGGTAGGCCTGGTTGAGGGTGTAGTTGACAATGCTCTCCTCGTCGGGGAAGCCCTTGAAGATGTCCACGCTCACCTAGCGGGAGGGGCATCGCTGGAGCCCGCCGTGGGCATGTGCGAGGCAGGGGGTGTCGTGGGTTGGCTCGGAGGCCCCACCGCTCACCTTGGACATGAACTGGATCCAGCCGCAGGCCGCGTTGTCAATGGTATCCAGCTGCTGCAGGAGGGCCATGCCACTGGGCAGCGAGAAGTTGTCCTGTCTCAGGGCCGGCGGCAGCTCATCCAGTGACAGGTTCAGTGCCTCGGGGTGCAGCCGCAGCTCTGCTACATACTTGGGGTGGAGGGGCGGCTCAGAGGGGGACCTGCGCCTGCCGAGCCGGGCAGAGAGGGGCTCCCCACACCACCCACAGCCGCCTCCCTCGCGGGCACCCTTGGCACCTGCTGCAGCCAGCGCAGGTGTTGCTGCAGCCTGCCCTGCTCCAGGAAGCTGCGGATCTCCGCCGAGATGTTGAGCCAGACCTGGGCATAGTGAGTCACGTTGCCCACAAAAGCAAAAGTCTCGTTGGCCTGCAGGGGGTGAGGCAGGGGCATGGAGTTTCTGGACGGACCCCCACCGACTTGGGGGCTCTCACCCCACTCACCTCCCCAGTGGCTGGTCCATTGCCAACAACTAACCCTCCCCACCTTTTTTTTTTTTTTTTTCCTGAGACAGGGTCTCAGTCACCCACGCTGGAGTGCAGTGGTGCAGTCCCAGCTCACTGCAGCCTCCACCTCCCAGGCTCAAGGGATCCTCCCGCCTCAGCCCTCCAAGTAGCTGGGATTACAGGTGCCCACCACCACGCCTGGCTAATTTTGTATTTTTGGTAGAGACGGGCTTCCGCTATGTTGCTCGGGCTTGTCTCAAACTCCTGAGCTCAAGCGATCCTCCCACCATGGCTTCCCAAAGTGCTGGGATTTCAAGCGTGAGTCCCACGCCCGGGCTCTCCACTCCTTTCTGCGGCGCTCAGGTGAAACCTGCTTTGCCCTCCACTCCCAGGGCAGCACGGCCTCCGGACCCCCAACTGCCCAGCTGTGCCCACCAGCTCCTTTGCTGGACCTGTCTCCATGTGTCCCTTAAGCACCCAATGCTCCACCCTCATCTGTCCCACCCTCATCCTAGGGACCCCCTCTACACCCAGGATTGGCCTCGTCCACAGGCCCTCCCCTCCCAGGCCAATGTCCAGCCCTGGCCTCTGCTTGTTCCAGACAGGACCCCTCACCCAGAACCCAAACTGCCCAGCTGCCCGCCCACGAGACACTCTGGAAGGTCTCTGGACACACCCCTCCTCCACCAGCACTGCCCTGGACCGGCCACCCCCAGCCGGAGGACCCTGCCAGAGCAGACTCTCCAGTGCCTTCCCACAGCAGCCCCTGGAGCTCCCGAAAGGAAAAGCGACCCCCTGGTCCCCCACCTGCAGAGCCTGTGTCCCATCCGAAGCTGCACCCCGTACCCCTCCCGTGTCAATTCTGCCGACACCCTCTGCCCAGGGGTCCCAGGCCTGCAGAGACCCCCTCCCACTCTGCCTGTCAAACATGGAGCGTCCCAGACCCGTGCACCTTGAGGATGACGCGGTCGACCTCAGAGCCCGCAGGCGCGTACAGGATTTTGGGGTTGCTGGTCATGAGGTGCACGAGGAGGCCCAGGTTCCGCTGCTCCTTGCTCGTGAAGCCCAGGGAGCTCATGTTGCCCCGCCGCAGCGCCTCGGGTTCAATGGTGCTGGGGTAGGGGACAGGGGGCCGGGCCAGGCCGTTAGGGGGCAGGGCCGCGAGAGTGGGAGGGGCATCGGGATGGGGCAGGACTTCGGGGCACAGGGCAGGGCGCCAAATGAGACCTCCAGAGCCAGAGCCTAGATTCAGGGCTCACGCCCTGCCCCTGGCTGTCCTCCTCACCCCCATTCCCCTGCCGCCCACCTACCGGTTGTTGCCACACAAGATGGGCTGCAGGCCGGCCCAGAGCTGTACGAAGGCTGAGCACTGGCCCTGCAGCGTGTCCGGGGTGGCCAGTGCTGCAGCAGAGGGTGCGCCCTCCTCAGCGGTGGCGTTGGGGCCCATGACTGCCCCTGCCCCAGTGCCATTGGCCGCCCCACCCGCACCACTGGCTGGGGGTCCGGGGGTCCGGCCAGTGCAGGCACCCTGGGGCAGTAGCAGGGCCAGGGCCGACAGGACATCCACATCCTGCAGAACCTTCTGGGCATCCAGCAGGTCCCCCAGAAGCGCCTGCAGCCTCCGTGGGGGTGGCGCCTGTGGCGAGGAGTCCGAGCCGTTGGGGGCATCCAGGCCCAGCTGAGGGGAAACAGGCACGTGGGCAGTGCGGGGTGAGATGGACTGCAGGTGGGTGATAGGTCAGGAGTGGAGCAGGGAGACAGCAGCAGGGAGACACAAGCTAGGGGTGCTGGGAGGGAGTCTGCAGCCTGGGTAACGGGAGCCCAGGACAGGAGCTGGGATGGTGAGCAGGAGTGGGGCACCAGCCATGGTGCCATTGGATACCCACCCACAGGCAGCATCCCACGCACAGCCTGGGCCCAGGAGCCCTGAGCTCTCCAAGCGGTCCCAGCCCCTCCTTCAACTCAGGCAGCAAGCAGCGCAGCGGGCAGTGGGCAGGCAGGGCCTCACCTGCTGGGAGACCTTGGCCACGTCCAGCTGGTTCCGGAGCTCAGCAGACAGCCCAGAGAAGCGCCTGGCACGCGCAGCAGCCTGCCCACTGCAGACAGCATCCCGGTAGCCCTGCAGGGCTCCCTTCTGACTCTCAGGCACAGTGAGGATCCGGCCCAGCTCCCCCGAGCCCGGCGTGCAGGTGAGCTGCTCCAGGAGGGCAGGAGCCAGCAGCAGCTCCTGGGATGGGCACAGGGGTCCGTGGAGCCACGGCAAGGACTTTGTCCCCAACCACTAGGGCCTCAGGCCTCACCCTGCCCCACCCACTGGCTGGCTCTGGGGCTGCCTGGGTCCCACGACATGCCTCTACCCCTCATGCCTGCCATAGACCCCTGGGACCCTCCCCCTCTCCCAGGAGGAGCTCCAAGTCACCAAAGGGGCCCTTTCCTCACCCACGGAGCAGAAGCACCCCCAGAGGCAGGCAGCACTCCAGGCCCATCCCACACATGGATGCCCTCACCTCCATCCGGAACAGGGGATTGCCCCCTAGGCGGCTCCAGGGCTCCTGACCCTTGTGGAGGCCAGACTGTGAATCCAGGGCAGATGAGGGACCAAAGAGCAGGTGGTAGACCTAGGAGGTGTGGGGGAATGGCTCAGATGGGGTGTGGGGGGCGTGGCTCAGATGGTGGGGGCGTGGCTCCGATGGACGTGTGGGGGCGTGGCTTAGATGGTGGGGGCGTGGCTCAGAGAGTGGGGGCGTGGCTCAGATGGTGGGGGCGTGGCTCCGATGTAGGTGTGGGGGCGTGGCTCAGATGGTGGGGGCATGGCTCAGAGAGTGGGGGCGTGGCTCAGATGGTGGGGGCAAGGTTCAGACGGTCTGGGCGTGACTCAGGCTGAGCATCCTGAGGATGGCTCAGCAACCAGGGGGCGTGGCTGGGGCAGAAGGGAGTGGCCAGGGCTGGGAGCTGTCCCTGCCTTACCTCGGGCGGGTCCACACGGGCGGCCAAGAGTGCTTGGGCCGTGCTATTGGGCAGCGACAAGTTTTGCGTCAGGAAACGCCAGAGCTCCTGCGGGTTTCTGGCCACCGAGTCCAGAGAGAAGGAAGACACTGGACAGGCAGGAAGGCGAGGCTGAGAGGCCGCTGCACCTTGGCAAGGTGCCCCCACATGCGCTCGGAGCCGAGCCCAACACCACAGCTCTGCCACTGCAGCCTGTGCGTGGCTGGGAACTCAGTGCAGGTGGAGGGGCCCAGAGTGGATGTGGGCTTCAGCCCAGTGACAGCAGAGCTTTGCCCGCAGCCCTGCCCCCCAACTTCCCTGCACAGGGCACACCTGTGGATCTGTCCAGGTGGCTCCCCGAGGTGCCCGGGCCCGCACTGAGGGCCTCCAGATGCTGGCGTAGGGCCTCGAGCTCTGAGCCCAGGCTGGGCCGCGCTGGGTCAAACAGGTTGCCTTCCTCCACCACGCGGTCCAGGCGCTCAAGCAGCTGCGTGACCCTGCACCATGGCGGATGTCACTCACTGGATGGGCTGGGGAGGGGTGGGTGCTCCGAGGGGCGGGTGGGCACTCACGTGGAGTTGGCGTACTGCAGGAAGCCGAACTCGTCTCGCTGGCCGTCCGGGCACAGCGATTGCATGACAGGCAGGATGCCGGCAGACGTCAGGGGCGCCGCTGTGTAGAAGGCTGGCAGACCCACGGGAGAGGGCAGGGTCGGGGGTGAAAGGGGAGAGAGAGAGAGAGGAATCCAGAAGGGGAGGGAGACAGAGGCCGAGAGGAGAAATTTAGAGAAAGTCAGGAAGGAGAAGCAGCGTTAGGGAGAAGGCGGCACAGAGCCCTGGCCCCAGCTGGGCTACAGGCCAAGCGTTCTGGGGCGAATGACTCCAGCAGGTCAGAGGTCAAAGAGCCACTCACCACCCCTTCTGCCATAACTCCCAGAGCATTCCTTTCCTTTCAGCCAGTGCAGGCCCACATGCCCTGGCACTCTCCCCCCGAAAACGTTTCAGGTGTGGCACTGCCTACAGAGCCCAGGGGAGGACAAAGGACCCCCTCTGGGCAGTGACCTCTGACCTCTGGCCAGCTGGTTAGCAGAGTGAGTGCAAGAGCCTGAAGGAGTATGAAGGGAGAGTAGCCAGGCCGCTCCAGCCCCAGCCCAGGCCAGCCCAGCCTCAGCCCAGACTCAGCCCAGAAGCCGAGGCACCCCAGCCCTAGAAGGCAAGGCCAGGCAGAGAGATGCCGCCTCAGCTTGACCCAGGCACCAGCTGTGCCTTTAGGTGGCCGGGCCTTTCACTCCCTACCACCTCCCACTTCACTGCCTGCCACCCCCCATCTGGAGCCAGCTGTTCCTGAGGCCGGCAGGGGGCCCGGGAGGGCTGTTAATGCAAGCGGGGAGGGCGCTCAAGCCAGGACGGCCCATGGGCCCCCCGCAGCTGCTGCCCAGGCCAGCCAGGAGGAGGTGGCCGCTCACTTACAGACTGCATGCCAGCCGAGGACAAGAGACCATGCGGGGAGGGAGGGGGATCAAAACAGAACAGAGGAGACCAGTGAGTGCCCACATCACCAGGAAGAGGCGTTGGCATCATCATTCGCGGCCACAGGCCAGCCCCGACCTCCACAGCCCAGCCAGGAGGCACGGCCCAGGACCACACAGGGGAGCAGGCACCGCACCTCAGGGACTCCGGGAGCAGGACACCCGTGTGCAGATGTGCACACACAGCGCAGGCGTGCGAGGTGCCGCGCTCCCCCGGCTGTGCCTGGGGCCTCCTGCCGCACTCACCTTCCTTCACGGAGATGGTGGGCTTCTTCTGTCGCAGCCCCAGCAGGATAAAGAACAGCACCAGGGGGATGAAGATCTCGAAGGCCAGGACCCACTGGAAAGGGTGGGCCCAGTGAGGGATAGGACAGACCTGTGCTCGCCTAGGCCCTCCCCAGCCTCCCATAGGGCTGGCCCAGCCCAGACAGGACCACGTGCTCCCTGGGGCCAGGGAAGGTGGGCACAGGCCCTTCGGAACCACTGAAGGTCTGAGCCCCTTCCAGGGCACTGAGGGTAAGGATTGTCTGGCTCAGCAAATCAGGTTTCCCGTCCCCAGCCCACACTGGGCCTACGTGCCCTCTGAGGAGCCTCAGGGCCTACAGGGACAAATCGGCCAGCTTGTGGTCTACTCTGACCCATGTATATCCCAGCTCATCTTCTCCCTCCCCACCTCCAGGGCTACCTGGGCAAAATCTTGGGGACCATCTGAGCCACTAGCCCCGCCTACACTTCCCACACTGCCCCGGGTTCACCTTCCTCCCACTTCCTCCCCACCAATACCGGGGCCTGGGGAGATGAGGAGGCCTGGTTGAGAGGCTTGGCCTGCGCCCAGGGCCCTGAGCCTCGGAGAAGACCTGGTAAGGGGTCTAACAGCCCCAGTCCCTGAAGCAAAGGCACCTTTTTTTTTTTTTTTTTTTGAGACGGAGTCTCACTCTGTCACCCAGGCTGGAGCACAGTGGTGCGATCTCAGCTCACTGCAAGCTCCGTCCCCCAAGTTCACACCATTCTCTTGCCTCAGCCTCTCGAGTAGCTGGGACTACAGGCGCCCGCCACCATGCCCAGCTAATTTTTTGTATTTTTAGTAGAGACGGGGTTTCACCGTGTTAGCCAGGATGGTGTCGATCTCCTGACCTCGTGATCCGCCCACCTGGGCGTGAGCCACCACACCTGGCCCAAAGGCACCTCTTTCTGCCCTGTCCCCTCTCCTGACCCGGGGCAGCCAGTCTTGGGCCTTGGAGCTCAGTTTCCCCAGGTCGGCTCCTGCTAACCCAGGCTGGGCACCAAGGTGAGCCCTAGTGGGACCTGCGTGGAGTGAGAAAGAGGTGCTTTGCTCACTTCACCTGAAAACCAAGGACTTTACCGGTTCTTGTGTCCCAGCCCCCAGCTCAGGGAGGAGGAGGAGCTTGAGCCAGCTACCCTCCAGAGAGCCCTCGGCAGACCAGCCCTCTCTGAGACCCACAGGACAGAGGGGCCCTGCCCTCCCTAGCCCGAGGGCGAGCACCCAGCTCGGAGGCATCCTTTGTCCTCATCCCCATCCCAAAACCCTTCAGAGCCCCCAGTGTGCTGTGTGGCCCGGGCCGAGTCCCCGGTCCCTGGGGTGGGGGCGGCTGCTGTGTTTACTGTGCTTGGACAATAGGGCTTTGTGGCCAGGAACATCATGCTGTGGGTGTCCCATGCCCGCCCCAGCCCGTGCCAGCCTCCACCCGCTCCCTGAGCCAGGACGGAGCCCAGGGTTCGCCAAGGCACTGTGGGCACCAACAGGCACCAGGGCGAGGGTGGCTGCAGGAGTGAGGCAATGTCAGAGGCAGGGGTCACAGCACGGGGCGCCAGCCCCGCCCACACCCGGCCTGCTATGGGCACTGTAACTGCAGCAACAGGCCCGGCTGCCTCCCCCATTGCTATAGCAACGGCCTCGCACGAGCTACTGGGAGGAGGAGGAGAGTCCTGGCTGGCAGGCGGCGGGCGCCACAGCAGCATCTGGTTACAGGCGGCAGCACAGGTCTAGCACGCCCTGGGTGCCCCACACAGGTGCCTCCAGGTGGCCCAACCTCCGTCCCTCGAGACCAGCCCAGTGCCTTCACATCGCCTGGAGGCCTAGATGCCTTCTCTGGGCATGACCCCTCCCTGTAGCTCCCGCCTACTGTGTCGGGGGGAGAACAGGTGAGACCCGAGGGTGGCGCTGCCATCTGCCATCCCAGTGACTTCATGACAGTGACCCTGTCCCTGCACCAAGAGCAGCCTGTAGCCCAAGGGTAGACCCAAGTCCAGCTAACTAAGAGGAGATAGGCCACACTCACAGACAGGGAAACTGAGGCAAAGAGCTTGGAGGAGCCTGCTAGCAGCACAGAGGTCCTTGGCACCCACCCTCCAGACCCTGAGCTCTGCCCAGGGTGGAGCTCTGCCCAGGGTGCACCCCTGCCCCAGCAGGGCGCATGGCACACAGGGCAAACCTCTGTCATCCAAGCTTGGCCCCAAGAGTCCAGCTCTGATGTCCAAGATCCTTCCCAGGAAAGTGGGGACCCAGCAGGAGTGTGCCCAGTGTCCAGCCAGCCCCAGCCCCACATCACAAGCCTGGCAAGGACTCAGCCTCCCTGGGGGAAACAGTTCCCCACCTGCTCCAGCCATGGGCTAAGGACCTCCACTGTGGCCCAGTGGGCCTCTGGGAGCCCTGTAGGGTGGGGACCCAAAAAGGTCCTGGGGGGCAGCCCAAACCAGCAGCTGGGAGTCACTCTTGCGGTCAGGACAGTGCACACCTCCCACCTGCTTGCCAGCTGCCCTCATAGGCCACACTCCCTTCCCTGAGCATTGTCCCCACTGGAACAGGGGCCACCATTCCAGCCTCTGCTCCCAAGCCCAGTGGGGACCTTCCTGACAACCACCCCCGGGGACTAATACTAATGCATGCCACATGCCACATCCCTGTTCCCTTGGCCCTGCTCTGCTGTCCCCAGTGACTCAATGCCAGGGGCTGCAGGCCTGATCCATGGGACCCCACTCAGCCAGCTCCAGGTGCCTGGCCAGGGCATGTACCTAACCCAGGCTCCCCGCCAAGGCCAGGTGCCCAGGGGAATTCTGCCAGCCATGGTGATGATGGCCACCCCAGCTGACTGCAGCCTGGGTTTCCTGCAGTGCATGTTGAAAGATAAACAGGCACGGACTGGTGCAGCCCAAGGGGTCCCGCCCGGGCCCTGGCTGGGCAAGAGGATGTCTGCCTTAGGCCCCCACCTGCTCTGAGCCCTGGCCTGGACAATCCCAAGGGCCTTCAGAAACCTAAGCTGGTCCAGGCCTGTGGCCTGGGAGGTGTCCCTTCCCTTCCCAGGCTGGAGCCAAGCTGGCCAGCTGGGGGTATGGCAGGACACCCATATCCCCAAGCCCCTCGCTCCACGAAGGACTTCTGTCCCTGACAGCCATGTGTCCTGCACCCTCAGGTCCACTGGCTGCCCAGGCAGTGCTGGGAAAGCCGGGGTTCACAGCTCCAAACAGTAGACCCAGCCCCCAGAGCAGGTGGGGGGACCAGGAGGCAACAGAGTGGATCAGGCTCGGGGAGAACTGACCCCAAAGGACAAATGGGTGCAGAGATTCAGGCTGGCCAAGGCTGGCACAAGGACATTCCCAGTGGCGAGAGCATGAGCAAGGGTCACGGATGTGCCAGGAGGGGAGGCGGAGAGATGCCTGGGACCAACCTCTATGGCAGGCCGCGGCCCAAGGGCAGGGGAGGGGTGGACGGAGGGAAGGGACAGGGTCTCCTCCGGGACCCCAGGGAGGCTGGGCCCAAGGACCATGGAGCCTCGCAGCTGAATGGAGCCCCCCAGGCCTGCCTTCTGTCCTGGGAACCAGGGCCTCCCTCGAGCCAGAGTCCTGAGCGCCGCTTGCCCCCCGCCCACAGCGGCCCCAGCGAGCGCGCTGCAGAGGGCGCGGGTGCCGTGACTCAGCCGAGCACCGCGATGTCAGCGGACGCGGGACCGGACTGGACACGACCGAGCCACCTCCCCGGAGGCCGCAGCGCCGGCAGGCGAGGGCAGGGCCCGGCGGGGAGGGGGCTCGGGCCCGCGCCGCCCCCAGCGCCCGCCGGGGTCTGCGCGCGCCCGGCCGTCCGCACGTGCGCGCGGGGAGCGCGCCTCTGGCCGCGGTGCGCGCGGCCTCGGGCTGAGGGCGGGCGCGTGGGGTGGGCTCACCGGGCTCCGGCGTTTGAGCGTCACGTTCTTCCAGAGCAGCAGCTGCAGCTGGTGCAGGAAGCCCATGGCGGGGCCACGCTCCGCCGCCTCAGCGCCGCGGCCCGCTCCTCTGCGCGCCCCGCCGGGCCCCGCAGCCCGCCGCGCCGCTGGGCATCGCCCGCGCGGGGGCGGGGCGCTCGGGCGTCCGGGACCCGATCCGCGCTGGCTCCGCCCCGGCGGCCGCGGCGACAGCGACTCTGCCCGCGCCCCGCCCGCCCCCGCTTAAAGGCGCCGCGCTCCGTCCGCGCCCGCCAGGAGGCGCCCGCCGCCCGCGCCGCGCCCGGGACCGACCCGGGCCCGAGACCCTGCGCGCGCCGCCGCCGGGAAGCCTCCGGGCCGCCCCTCGCCGGGCGTCACGCGACGCGCCCACATCGAATCCGAGACCCCGGCTTAGCCTTCGTAGGCCGGGGGACCCTCGGGCGCTGCGCTCTTCTCCCAGAGGCATCCGGCTGCGCCCACCGCGCTGGCGACTCTGCAGAGGCGCCCCAAGCCTTCACTGTCCCCGGGGCGCGCCGAGCGGACGCTGGCGAGGGGCCAGCTCACCCCCGTAAGGGTCTCCTGTGTGCTTTGTAAACCAGCACTTGGAGTCCAGGTGGTGCCCACCTGGAAGGGAGGCAGGGCGGCCAGGTGGGTCCGTCCCGCGATTCCGAGCAGCCAGCGGAAGGGGGGAAACTCGAGGCCCCAGGAACGCTCGCCGTGAGCGGAGCAGGCAGGGGACCGAGGCGGCCCCTGCTGCACGCGGCTCGTTTTTCTCCCCATATTCGGGCGAGTCTGGTCTCTGCACAGGGAGTTCGGGATCAGGCGGTTCTGCGGCTGTGGCTTGGCACCTGCTGGGGCGCCCCGGGAGGTGGGGCAGTTCCTCCGCGTGGCCTGTAGAGAGCGACAGAGGACAGGCTGACCCCATGGGTGGCTCTGACGGCGCTTCCCAGACTCAGTTTCCCCCCTGTGAATGGGGTGGAGTAGCGCTGTGTGGTGTCCAGTGTCAGGGCGCACATAGAAGGCGCATCCTCAAGTGAATGAAGACCTCCGAGGCCACAGCTCCCCACTCCTCCCAGCTCCTTTGCAGCAGGAAGGTGACCCTGGGCTAGTGAGTGAGGGATCAGCTTCCCACCCCAGCCCGCAGCCTCAAGGCACTTGCTTTTCTCTGCTCAGTCCACAGGGCTGGGTCAGGGCAGGAAGCTACCAGCAGGTCTTTCCCACAAGCCACAGCCATGGGTGAGGGGGGCTTCCTGCCCTCAACCTGCCCACCCCTACCTGGGGTAGGGACAAGCCCTGTGCCCCAGCCCCGGGGGCTTAGCCTGTTGGGGCCCTGGTCAGCACCACCCGTGGGTTGGCCTCTCTCCTCCTCGCCCCACTCTCCACCGTCCACTACAGGGGCTCCCTGGCTGCAGCCGCATCCCCAGTGCCTCCCCAGCACTGGCCACCAGAGGGAGCTACAAGGCACAGGTCAGACCCTGTCACCCCAGACACCCTCCAGCCTGCGGGCCTGGGAGATGGGCGATTTCAGCCTGGCCAGGCCTCTGACGTCCGTTCCCTACTCTTCCCCAACCTTGGCCTGTTTTGGTTTTTGTTTTGAGACAGGGTCTCATTCTGTTGCCCAGGCTGGAGTGCTGTGGTGTGATCACGGCTCACTGAAGCTTCAACCTCCTGGGCTCAAGCCATCCTCTCACCTCAGTATCCCAAGTAGCTGAGACCACAAGCGTGAGCCACCACGCCCTGCTAATTCTTGTATTTTTGGTAGAGATGAGATTTCACTACACTGCCCAGGCTGGTCTCGAACTCCTGGGCTCATCGCCTTGGCCTTTTGGGGGACACAGAAGGCTCTCTGATAAGGGGCCGTCTGGCGGAGGCTGTAGGAACTGGGGTAGCCAGTGGGCAGCCCGGCACAGGGAGGGCTCTCAGGCGGAGGGTGAGCAAAGGCCCAGAAGTCAGGCGACAGGACCCCCCGTGGGGAACAAGCAGCCCCATGGCCGTGGGGGCGACATGTCAGGGGAGGGCAGATGCAGGCTCTGTGGCCCTGCACGGAGGTGACCCATGAGACACTGGCCAGACCCACGAGGCACTGCTCAGATGTTTATTGTCCACCGCCCTCCCTCCCTGAGCCCAGAACAAGCTGGTTTGCTCCCCGTGGTCTCCTGGGCCCCGCCCCAGCCTACACACAGGGACCTCAGAACTATGGACGTGGCAGGGACCCGTGCCTGTGTCTCGGGGACCACAGGGCCTCTGCTACCGAGGAAGCTCGGGGTCCCAGGTTTGGCCCCCACAAACTTCAGGCTGGGGTGCCCCCCAGCCCCAAGGGCCCTGCCTTTCACCCTCTTCCAGCCAGGCCTTCACCCACCCAAGATTTGTTCAGGGTGGGGAGGGTCCTCGGCAGCCTTTCCCCTCCCGTCTGCCGCAGCAGGCACCCGTTACCTCCCTCCCACTCTCACCTCCTCTGCATGCTCCAGTGCCCACCTGCACCCCCCACCCCTGCTTCCTGACCTCTGTGCCCAGCCTCCCGTTAGCCCGCTGCTTGCCGGTAAGGGCCGGATGCCTGGTGGTTTGATTTCGACACCCAGCCCTTCCACCCACACCCACCTCCCCCGGCCAGCGGATCTCAGGCCTGAAACCAACCCTCAAGGTCCTCATAGACTTGGCTGCGGGGTAGGTGTGGGTAGCGGTCACAGATGGCACAGAAACGTTCCCGCCAGTCGGTGAACAGTCGCACGCGGAGCCTGTCACGCCAGGCAAAGAAGCGTTGGTATCGGCTCTCATTCATGCCAGTGAGGAAAGCCGCCAGCTCTCGGGCTGAGCCAAAGTCATCCACATGCACGAAGGCGTCAGCCGGCACGAAGGCCTCATAGGTGGCCCGTGGGGGCCCCAGCACCACTGGCACAGTGCCAGCCACCAGTGCGTTGCGCCAGAATTTCTCCGTAATGTAGTCGCGGTGCTGAGAGTTCTCAAAGGACAGGTAGAAGCGGTACTGGGCCACGGTGGGCACCAGGCAGCTGGCGCACAGTGGCCGTCCATTGGCACGGCCAAAGACATCCACCCGCAGATGAGGCGCCAGCTGCCGGTACAGCCTGGCACGCAGCTGCCGCTCCTGGAAGTTGCTGACCACCCAGGCGGCCACCCTGCTCTTGGCTGGCAGCGGTGGCGAGGGCCCCCAGTGGGGCTCCAGGCGGCCATAGGGCACAAAGATGTCCGAGTCGCGCCGGTAGCTCAGCACCCAGTTGAAGATGCCTCGGAGGTGGCTGAGGCCGTGGGTGTGGCTAGGAGACTCCATGGAGGCCCACACCCAGGGCTGCCCTCGCGGCCGCTGGGCCAGGGGCAGGTGGGACCGCCGGGTCTGCAGCTCGCGGTGGTGGAAGACCACGGCGTCGGCGCTGGCCAGCAGGCTTCGGTTGGCACTCAGGTGGCAGCGGGCGATGCCGTAGCGGGTGCAGGTGTCGCTGGGCAGCTCTGGGGGCTGGTCAGTGAAGGGCCAGTGCCAGACAAGGATGGTGATCGTGGGCTGGGGTGCCGGGGTACCCCGAGGGGCTGACCCCAGCAGCCACAGGAGCCAGAGGGCAGCGAGCAGAGCCACCCCGGCCAGGACCCCCAAGCCTCGCAGCCTCCGGGTGGGGCCGTGCCCTGCAGCAGCACGAGGGAGGGGAGGCTCTGTCACTTGGGCTCAGGGACATCCACACGCCCCACTCAGCGCCAACCCCGTCCTCCCCTCCCATGGGCTCAGGGACACCCACATGCCCCACTCAGCGCCACCCCCGTCCTCCCCTCCCATGGGCTCAGGGACACCGACATGCCCCACTCAGCGCCACCCCCGTCCTCCCCTCCCAGGTTGCCTAGCTGTCCCCAGCTTGGGCCTCCCCGAGGGCCAGACACTCACCAGCATTATTCATCCACAGTCTCCCAGGATCAGTCAGCCAAGAGACCCGAGATTCTCAAATCACGGCAGCCGCCAGAGGTGCCCCTGAAATCACAGCTACGCCCTAGCTCAGCCCCGCCTGGAACTGTGCTCCTTTTATCTCTGCCCAAGGTGAGGGAACTCAGGGGACCTTCCTGCTCCTGCCCCGCCCCTGCCCCCACAACCTTTGGCATCAACCACTGTCCCCACCCCCATCTCGGGGACTTGCTAGTCCTGGGGCTGCTGGGAGGGGTACAGCCACAAGAGGGATGCCAAGCCAGGGCAATATGACGCCCCCACAGCCCACCCCACTGGTCTCCAGAGAGGCCCAGAGATGTCCAGCTGGGCAGGCAGAGGACAGAGAGGCTCGGGCAGGCTTGGCCCAGGGCAGAGAAGGCCCAGGTGCAGGCACCCTGAGCACAGATGGCCCCCCAGCCCCCACCCAGCTACCCAGGCCTGGGCGCTGCAGACAGCGAGTGCACTTCCCCAGAGGGCCAGGTGGCTCCTCCCACGGCAGTATCACCCACTTCCCCCAGCTCACCACCAGCTGGGCCCTGGTCTCCCAGGAGAATCTTACACATTGAAGATGTACTGTGCTCAGCTCTTTGCCGGAAGCTAAAGCTCCCAATTGGGCCATCCCACCCCACTCTGCCACCTCTGCCATCTAGGAACCCAGATGCCCGGAGAGGAGGTCTGTCCTGGGGCCCTTAGTGTCTTCCCACAGGAGCCCAGCGCGTGCCTGCAAGGGCCTGGTCCCGGAATGAACTGTGGATGGAGGCTGCTTTGTCCTTTTCCCCGTCCAGATCCATGCCCATAGACACCGCTGACTATAGGCTGGGCCCAGGGTCCCTTCCTCCAGCCTGCAGCAGAGGGGCTTTCCAGGCTGGAAAGGGAAGGAGTCCTTTTGTCCCTGACGCAAGCGGGTTGGGGGCCAGCACCCGCTCCAGGAAGAGGAAGGGATCCAGCCTGAAGTCCAGACTCCCCGCTCCCTCTAAGCCAGGGCCTGGAGCCTGGAGGCCAGGTTCCTTCTTCTACACCAGCCCACGTTGGGTGCCAGCCAGGCTGGGATGGCCCTGCGGGGTCACCCTGAGCCCCAGCCAACCAACACCCCACTCTCAGCCACAGTGGGAGGCCCCATCAGCCTCTTCACCCAACCACGTTGCCACTCTGCTGCACGGGACCTTGTGTGGTCCCAGGCGTGGCCAGACCCAGACGTCCTGGAGATCTCAATGCAGGTCAGGCTTGGTTTGTTTGTTTGTTTGTTTGTTTGTTTTTTGAGAGGGAGTCTTGCACTATCGCCCAGGCTGTAATCCCAGCATTTTGGGAGGCCAAGGCTTGTGGATCACCTGAAGTCAGGATCAAGTGGTGCGATCTTGGCTCACTGCAACCTCCACCTTCCGGGTTCAAGTGATTCTCCTGTCTCAGCCTCCCAAGTAGCTGGGATTATGGGTGCCTGCCACCACGCCCAGCTAATTTTTGTATTTTTAGTAGAGATGGGGTTTTCCCATGTTGGCCAGGCTGGTCTCAAACTCCTGACTTCAGGTGATCCACAAGTTTCAGCCTCCCAAAGTGTTGGGATTACAGGCATGAGCCACCGCGCCCAGCCAAGTTTGCTTTTTTGTGTGTGGGTTTTTGTTTTTTGTTTTTTGAGACAGGGTCTTGCTCTGTTGCCCAGGCTGGAGTGCAGTGGCGCAGTCACGGTTTGCTGCAGCCTCAACCTCCTGGGCTCAAGCAATGCTCCCACCTCAGCCTCCCAAGGAGCTGGGTCTATGGGTGTGCACTACCATGCCTGGTTAATTTTTTAAAATTTTTTGTAGAGGCAGAGTCTTGTTATGTTGTCCAGGCTAGTTTCAAACTCCTGGCTCAAGCAGTCCTCCCACCTCGGCCTCCCAAAATGCTGGGATGCTGGGAATGAGGACGCGTCTGTCCTGTCAGGTCTTTTGGGGGCTCAGATCGTGTGTCCTGGGAGGAATGGCAACCATGAACTGTTGTCCAGACCTTTGCCCCAGCACCCTCAGAGGGGGCCTGCCTCCCACCACCCCTGTCCCTGTCCTGTTCTACTTTTGGGCCCCAGGGGCTGCTGGCCTCTCCCCGGCCCCACAGTGAGGACAAGGCTGCCTTGGGAGGGGAACCAGGCAGCTGGAGACTGAAGTGGGAGGATCCCACTGTGGGGACAGAGGCAAGACTGGGACAGGGTGGTAGTCAGAGGCCCCCACCCCTGTGGCGCAGTGTAGCCTCTGAGCTGAGCTTTGCTGCGGAACTTGTGCAACGGCTGGAGGGAGGGGGGCTGGAGGGAGGGGGACTTGGAGGGAGGGGGCTTGGGAGGGGGGCTGGAGAGAGGGGGGTTTGGAGGGAGGGGGCTGGAGGGAGGGGAGCTTGGAGGGGAGCTTGGAGGGAGGGGGGTTTGGAGGGAGGGGTGCCTGTGGGCGCCACGGGAAACTGTCAGTGCCTGAGCTGCTTGGCTTAGGGGCTGGCACCAGAGTGGGCAGCTGCCTCCAGCCCCGCCTTTCCAGCCTCCCATGTTTTCGGTGATGACCACAGTGGCACCTGGGCCTTTAATCCCACCCCAGCGTTCCTCCTCTGGCAGGGGGCCCCCGGGGAGCCACACCTTGGCTTCAGCCTCACACCACCCCATCTCTTCTCCTTGAAACAGACACCCGGCGGCAGTTCCTGCAGGAAGGAGGCTGTCCTGCCACGCCTGCGGGTGACCCGGCCTCTGGTGCCAGAGCCTGCCATCCTTCCTGTTTGTGCTGCCAGGCTGGCAGGGTCCCTTGCCACCGACCTCAGCCGCAGCCACAGCCTGCTCCCTCCCTGGGTGGATTTGAAGGAGCCTCCCCCACCCTCCGCCCCTAGCTTGCTCCTTGAGGACCCTGGGCAGGGTGGCTGCCATGGGGCCCAATCGTGCGTGGGAACCTGCGAGCTGGCAAACGGGGCTCGGGGGTTTTGCCCAGAAATGGGTCAGAACGAAAGCCTCTCAGAGGAAAGAAAAGGGCATGAGTCAAAGAGAAAGTCGGGGGGCAGGGGCTCCCCCTCATCTCACCCCACCCAGGCCTCCTGACTCCCTGGGTTTGTGCGGACCCAGGCAGGCAGCCAACCCCAGCTCCGTGGTGTGTGAGCATCGTGATGATCAGGACACAAGCTCTTCCCCGCTGAGCCTTCACTGTGGGCCAGCTTCCCGGTGGATGCCCACTGAAGAGGCCTCAACCCAGTGGGCCCCACTCCAGACCAAGAGCAGACCATTGGCCAGCTGCCCCCTGCAGACAGCGGCACCCGGGGCAGCAGCAAGGTGAGGGGCACCCAGCCCCAGCCCCAGGGGCGTCTCAGGGAGCGGGCTGAGCCTGGCTGTCTTCCTGAGCCCCACCTGCTTCATGGGTTGGCTTGAGCAAGGCAGTCCAGATGCGTGTCTCGAGCGCTCCCTGGCGGCATGCTGCAAAGCTACATGGCTCCGGCAACAAGGAAGACTGCCCTTATTCTCAGTAACAGGTGGAGCTGGGGGCTGGAGAGCCCCTCGGACCTCGCCTTGGGAAAGCTGGGTGGGTGCACGGAGCCTGGCAGGTGGCCAAGGGGACCCCCAAGTGGAGGGATTGGTCGAGGGGCAGCACAGGGTGGTGCAGTGGGTGAGCTCAGCCCCTCCCCTCCAACTCTCATCCCATTGAGCCCCAAGGCGTGGGGGGATCACGTCTGTCCTTGTTCTCCTCCAGGTGGAGCTGCTGGGTGGGGCTCTGGTCCTCCAGGGACCCACTCTGCACCCCAAGTTTTGCCGGGACCCGCTCCTCTGTGTTGTGTGGCTGTAGGGGAGGGCTGCAGCCAGGGACTCTGAACCCGGGGCCGGCCCACCCAGCCACCCAGGGTGGGGAACAAGATCGCCTCCCAGGGCCAGAAGCTGGGGATGTCCTTGCTTCCTAGGATGTTGGCTAGGGGATCACACGCCCCACATTCTGGGTCAAGCATGGTCCTGCCCCAGCATCTTGCTGGGTTGGGGGCATCTCTGCACAGATGAGTGCCACCCCAGCGTCTCCGCCAGGGTCTGGGCATGTCACTCTTGGGCATCTGTGCTCAGGAGGTCACCAGGTGTGGGCAGGGCACCAAGCAGGGAGGTAGCCGAGGCTGGAAGATGCACATCAGTGCCCCGCTGGGCTTCCTCAAGTGGGAACTGGTGGAGGGGGCGCTAGGCTGCCGGGCCAGGGTCAGCAGGCTCAGGCCGGCTCAGGGCTCAGAGTTGAGCCAGAAACCAAGGTGAAATCTGCCTCTTACTGCCGCCAGGGCCCTTGGGACAGGGACAGGAACAGCAGAAGGTAAAGTGGAAAGGAATTGAGTAATGGGCCCCCAGGCAAGGCTGAGCCAGGCCCCAAGCCCAGGATTGGGGTCTCCAGAGTCCCTGGGGGCCCCAGGGCAGCTCACCCACAGCCTGGGGCCTATGGGAGCAAGGGGGCTCCTGATGGGTGGGGGCAGGAGCTTGGACAAAGTTGAAGGCCTTCTGTCTGAATTGGCCAGGGGCCAATGAAAGCCAAAAAGCTGGTGTGGTGGCTTATGCCTGTAATCCCACTTTGGGAGGCCAAGGCGGGTGGATCACCTGAGGTCAGGAGTTCGAGACCAGCCTGGTCAACATGGTGAAACCCCATCTCCACTAAAAATAGCTGGGCGTGGTGGCAGGCACCTGTATGTAATCCCAAATACTCGGGAGGCTGAGGCAGGAGAATCACTTGAACCTGGGAGATGGAGGTTGCAGAGAGCCAAGATCATATCACTGCACTCCAGCCTGGCTGACAGAGTGAGAATCTGTCTCAAAAAAAAAAAAAACAATTCCAAAAAGGCGAGTGGGGAGCAGGGTGCTAGGCTGCATGGGGGCCTATGCCCCCACCGGAGGACCTAGCCCCCTGCCAACCCTTCCCCAGCTCAGGCCCACCAGCTCCCTTCTCACACAGCTGCTCTGGGAGGGAGTCCTTCCTTGCCAATACCTAAGAGAATGGGCAGCAGGGACCCTGAGGACAGGTTGGGGACACCCAGAACAAGAAGAAGATGGGACACACTAGGAGGCTCTTGGGCCCCTGCGTCAGGCCAGCAGGATAGGTGTGTATTGTGACCTGAGGGACTGAACGTGGAGCTCCAGGGGAACCTCCCAGCCAGTGACACGCTGGCCTTGGGCCAGACGCTGCCCTGCGCCCTTGAGTGACGCTCGGGCCTCCCTGCACCCACCCGCTTTCCCTGTGGCTAATGGCTTAGAGTGAAGGATGGTGGGCGTGGGCGTGCCACGTGGGCTCAGCGTCCACCCTGCCCCATGCACGCAGGCACCCATCACACCAGGGCCCACACACAGGCTCCCATCACACCCTGCCCCATCACAGCAGTGCCCAGAGGGACATGGGGCTCCCAGCTGAGGGCCAGCCCAAGGTCACAGGTGAGGAGTGAGAGGTGAGAGGCAAGGGGGCTTCCTGGTCTGGGTGGGCTGTGGCCCCCAAAACATGTTGCTTAGGTCAAGCCAGTCTCCCCCAGCAGGGGTGAACAATTTTCCCCCAGCCTGCCTGGCCCACCCTTTCTCCAGGGACGGTGCCCAGTGGGCCTTATCTTCCCCATGCCAGGTGTGATGGTTAATACTGTCAATTTAATTGGATTGAAGGATACAAAGTATTGATGCTGGGTGTGTCTGAGAGGGTGTTGCCAAAAGAGATTAACACTAGAGTCAGTGGGCTGCGGAAGGCAGACCCACCCTTCATCTGGTGGGCACCATCTAATCAGCTGCCAGCGAATGTCAACCAGAAAAACGTGAAAAGGAGACGACAGGCCTCGCCTCCCAGCCTACATCTTTCTCCTGTGCTGGACGCTTCCTGCCCTCGAACATCGGACTCCAAGTTCAGCTTTGAGACTCGGGCTGGCTCTCCATGCTCCTCAGCTTGCAGACGGCCTATTGTGGGACCTTGTGATCGTGTGAGTTAATACTTAATAAACTCCCCTTCATATATATATGTATTTCTTTTTTTTTTTTTAACACAGTCTTGCTGTCTCTAGGCTGGAGTGCGGTGGTGCAATCTTGGCTCACTGCAACCTCCGCCTCCTGGGTTCAAGCGATTCTCCTGCCTCAGCCTCCAGATAGCTGGGACTACAGGCACACGCTGCCATGCTTGGCTAATTTCTTGTATTTTAGTAGAGACGGGGGTTTTACTGTGTTGCCCAGGCTGGTCTCGAACTCCTGAGCTCGGGCAATCCGCCCGCCTCAGCTTCCCAAAGTGCTGGGATTACAGGCATGAGCCACTGCACCTGGCCCCCCTCTCTCTCTCTCTCTATATATATATATCTCCTATTAGTTCTGTTTCTCTAAGAGAACCTGACTGGCCGTGTGTGGTGACTCACGCCTGTAATCCCAGCACTTTGGGAGACCGAGGTGGGCAGATCATCTGAGGTCGGGAATTCCAGACCAGCCTGGCCAACATGGAGAAACCTCGTCTCTACTAAAAATACAAAATTAGTCAGGTGTGGTGGCGCACACCTGCAATCCCAGCTACTCGGGAGGCTGAGGCAGGAGAATCGCTTGAACCTGAGAGGCGGAGGTTGCAGTGAGCCGAGATCACGCCATTGCACTCCAACCTGGGCAACAAGAGTGAAACTACGTCTCAAAAATAAATAAATAAATAAATAAATAAATAAATAAATAAATAAAAAGAGATCCCTGATTAATAACACGAACACGCCAGGGCTGTCTAGGTGCCTGGACCTCCAGACTCCTAACAACCACTGAGGGGCTTCTGAACCCAGTCCTCCTACGTCCCCAGCATCAGTGGGACAGAGAGTTTCAGCCCCCGCACGCTGACCTGGTACTGGCCTGATCTGGGCACTTTTGACCACATGATTCCCCTTCCTCCCTCGGGGCCTTCTTGCTCCAAATTTAGGAGTGGCCAAGTCCCAGCTCCAGGCGTCCAGGCCCCTCCCATCACACCCCTCACCTGGCCCCCTGGGTCCACCTGGCTCTGCATAGCTGGTATCACACAGGTACCTCTGCCTGCCATCCCTCCTCCGTGTGCTGCAGGGCCTGGCGGCCGTGGTCCCCATGAGAAACCCAGACTCAATGTCTGCATTGTTTTCCTTCTGCCTGGAGGTGGTGGGCACCCACATCCAGGTGCGTGTGGACTATCACCTGCTCCAGCCCTCTTTATCACACAGGATGGGGTCTTCCGGGCCGCAGAGCCAACCCTGGGCTGGCCCAGCCCTACACTACACCCTTCCCCTCTCCCACCTGCGTAGAAGGGTCTGCAGGGGTGAGGCCTGGCTGAGGAGGGTGGGGATGATCCCGTGGCCTCTCCTCCAGCTCCACGGGATGGGAAGGTCCTCCTAATGAGCGAACAGAAAGGCCTCCTCCCTCTGGGGGTGCAAGAGCAGACCCCAGGCCCCCCACTCAGGGGTCCGTCTACCAGGGCCCCAAATGGGAGATGAGGCGGTGGAAGATTAACCCAAGCTGGCAACACAGGCAGAAGCCGCAGGTCTGAAATGGACTTTAATTGGCTTTTGTCTCTAGAATTACCCACCCGTTCCTGCGCTCTACGGTTCTCCATGCCCCCTCCAGTTTGGGGGTCTAAACCGAACAGGAGAGGTGCAGGGGACCAGGAGGTGTCCTGGCACAAAGGTTCGGGGGTCTCCCTGGCAAGGGGTCCCAGGGCCTGGAGCCCGAGGCCCAGCCAAAAGCACACAGCATCAAAACATGTTTTTAGTGGGAAGCTCCAGGCCCTGCCCCTCCCCGGGGGCCTCGAGGTCGGGGAGCAGGTGGGCGTCTGTCTGCCTCCAGGTCATGGCAGTGCAGGCGGTGAGCTGGGGGCCGGCAGGGGCGCGGACAGTGCGGCGTGGTCGAACAGAGGGTTGCGCACCTCCATTTCCCCGGTCTGCGAATGTGGGTGTCAGGCTGGGCAGTGGGTGGGCTGGGGGGATACTTGCTGGGAGGGAACCCCAGGAGATGGTTCGCCCCTCCCTGCACCCTGAGGCACTCACCGGGGCCAGGCCCGGGCACTCGTACACCGTGAAGTCTCCGTCCTCATTCTCCTCATCCGAGGAGGCCGTGTCCAGCTCCTTGGGTGGCTCTTTATGCCTGGGTGGGGGGGGATCGCTGGGTCCTCCCCATGCCCTCGAGGTGCCAGTGGCCCAGTCTGGAAGTGGGCACTCAGCCCACCTCAGCCCTGGGGTGGCAGGGGAGCACAGCCCAGGGTGAAGTTGGCCAGGGGAGGTGAGGGTGCAGGGCGGCGGGGGAGGTGAAGGTTAGCGTGCAGGTGAGGGTGGCAGGGCCTGGGGTAAAGTTGGCCAGGGGAGGTGGAAATGGAGGTGGAGGTGGGGATGGGGGGTGGGTGGGTGGGGGTGGCAGTGCCGGGGCGGCCACTCACCGCTCCAGGCACAGCATCTGTTGCCGTTGGTGCTGGTAGTGGTACATCTCCGCGCTCTGTGCCAGCCGCTGGTCCCCAGGCTGTGGGAAGGAGGAGGCGAGGGTCAGTTGGCGGCCAGAGTTGGGCGGGAGCCTCAGGGCTGAAGGGGGCCACACACCGAGATCCGGGGAGCTGCAGGTGAGCCAGGGGCCTTCGCAGTGGCGTAGTCGGCCTTCTGAGTCAGGCGGATCTCACGCTGCAGCCTGTGGGGAGTGGGGCCTGAGACCTCTGAGCGTGTGGCACCCTCCCTGCCCTGCCCGCGGCCACTGGCTCACCTGCACCAGCAGAGGGAGGCTACGGAGAGGGCGGCTGCACCGGCCACACAGAACGCCAGGATCAGCACTGCAGGAGGGGGCGTGTGAGGGCGGCCTTCTGCAGGGCGCCCTGCTGCCCCTGCCCACCCCCGACCAAGACCTACCAAGGGCGAGGCCGTCGCCTTGCCCTCCCCGGGGCTCCAGGGGCGACATGTGCACCGGGTCGGATGACACAGGGGAGCCCAGGGAGGTGTGGGGCGTGGGCGTGGGGGTTCCTGGAGTGGAGGGGAGGCCCAGCTCCAGCCCCTGCCCCCGTGCCGAGAAGCCCAGGGTGGCTGCGAGAGAGGACAGGTTAGAATGAGAGCACTGGGCTAGGGACAGGGCCGTGGGGCAGGGGAAGCGGGGGTCTCACCAGGCTCCGGGAGCCGCTGTCGGTCCTTGGGTAGGGGCGGAGTTGAGTGTCCAGACTCCTTCCGGGCAAGCTCCTGGGCCAGGAAGTCAATCTCATCTTCCAGTCTGGGCTGGGGCCGGCCCCCGCCTGGGGAGGGTGAGGGGCCATCAGGTGGAGGGGTCCGTCCAGGAGGTAGCCCCAGGCCCGGCCTCCCCGCTTCTGGCAGGTTCCTCCCAGGAGCCTGAGGACTGGGTACACGCCTGGAGGCCCTCTCCCTCCCAGATTGCCATGGTGACAGCGCGGGCGCTTCCTGTGAGGGGCAGTGCTTCCCGGAAAGTGGAGGCAGGGCAAGGGAGGAGGCGCTAGGGAAACGTCCAAAGACCGGGCACGGGGAGGAAGGAGTGGGGTCTCTCGCCCCAACCCATGTCCATAAAGGGCTGGCCAGCACAGCCCCTTCTGCTTCCCCACCTCCAAGCACCTTCTCGGGTAGAGGGGCAGGGACTCCCCAAGGAGTGGGGGGAAGCCGAAGGAAGCCAAGCACCCGGGACCCCTCCCCAGGTCATTGGGAGAACGGGGGCAGCTGTCAGGGGTGGGGCTGGTGGCAGGGCTCCACCGGTACCCACTGTGGGCTGCACAGTCTGGGTGGACGCTCCCAGGTTGGCAGGAGGTGCATCCACACAGACCCTTACAGCCACTTCTCGGTGCTCCTCTCAACACCTCCTCCAGGAAGCCGCTGCTGCTCCCACCCCCAGCACCTCTGAGCAAAGCCCTCACCACACCTGAAGTCACTCAGTGACTGGCCATCCCGACAGATGCGGCTCAGGCTGGCGAGCGGGGCATCCCCAGCACCCAGCCAGTGCTGGCACCCTTCAACATTTGCCAACAGGCGGACAGGACAGTGAGTGGTGGAAAAGAGCAAGCTGCCTGGGGACGGGGAAGTGGGGGCCTGGAGGGCTTCTGGGCAGACCCTGCAGAGCCCAGGCCCGGGGAGAATGGGCCCTTCCTCTCCCGTGGCCATCCCAGCATTTCACATCGTGCAGCCCTTCTCCTGGGAGGGCCTGACTGCCCCAGGCCTGGGCCCACCTCCATTTGGAAAGGATGGGAGGCTTCGTGGAGAGTGAATGAGGATCTCCCAGGCCTTGGACCCAACACCCCACAAGGTCCAGGGGCCCCAAGACCACCTGGCACAGGCCTGGGCATTGAGGCTGCAGGCTGCTGCTTTTTTTTTTTTGAGGCGGAGTCTCGCTCTGCCGCCCAGGCTGGAGTGCAGTGGCGCGATCTCGGCTCACTGCAAGCTCTGCCTCCCGGGTTCACGCCATTCTCCTGCCTTAGCTTCCCGAGTAGCTGGGACTACAGGCGCCCGCCGCCACGCCCGGCTAATTTTGTTTTTGTATTTTTAGTACAGATGGGGTTTCACCGTGTTAGCCAGGATGGTCTCGATCTCCTGACCTTATGATGTGCCCGCCTCGGCCTCCCAAAGTGCTGGGATTACAGGCGTGAGCCACTGCTCCCGGCCTTCTTTTTTTTTTTTTTTTTTTTTGAGACAGAGTCTCGCACTGTCGCCCAGGCTGGAGTGCAGTGGTGAATCGGCTCACTGCAAGCTCCGCCTCCCGGGTTAAAGCAATTCTCCTGCCTCAGCCTCCTGAGTAGCTGGGACTACAGGTGTGTGCCACCACACCCGGCTACTTTGTATTTTTAGTAGAGACGGGGTTTCACCATGTTGGCCAGGCTGGTCTTGAACTCCTGACCTCATGAGATCCAACAGCCTGGGCCTCCCACAGTGCTGGGATTACAGGCATGAGCCACCGCGCCCAGCCGGCCGCTTCTTACAGGGAGAGGTTCATGCAGGGACATCCCCCCATCGACTTCCCCCTTTGCTCTCGTACCTGGAGGCCGGCGCATCCTGGGCACACAGAGCCCTTGCTGGTCCTCCTGGAAGGGCTGAAGGCAGGGCCCACAGGCATGTGCACCAGGAGGACACCTTGCCCGCCTCTTCAGGGCACAGTCCAGGCTCCCGGGACAGGCGGCTACATCTGGGAAGGAAGCAGAAGGCAGGGCCGGCTCACGGCCCCGCAGGGCTCGGCCCCTGCACACGGCAGCGCTGCCCCAGCCACCCGCCCCCGTCACCCCCCGAGCTGGCCGGGCCTGGTTCTGGCCATTGTTCTGGACATGCCCTTCCTCCCTGACGCCAGGGCTCAGAACCCGGAAGCGAACAGTCCTAGGACTTATCAGAACTACCCTGCCCCACCCCTCCCCAGGGTCCACTTCCAGGCCTGATAGAGCCCTCAGCTCAGAAGCTGAGTCTCGCCGTCCAGGCAGTGCTGAGTTCTCCTGGGCAGGGCCGTGCAGCCCCACAAGCCCAGCCTCCGGCCTCAACATGCCCCACAGCAAGCCAGGAACCCCGTCCAGATTGGGAGTCCCAGAGGGAAGGGCCCAGGTCTGTCTCTGGGGAGCAGCAAACGATGCCGCCAGCGACCTCTCCTTCCCGTGCGGCTCTCCCCAGAACCCGGCACTGACAAGTGTGCAGCCTGGAAGGGATGCTGCTCCTCCAGCCTCTGGCTTGTCCCCCAGGCACCGAGGACACCTAAGATGGAGTCTGCTGACCTCACTGGCCTCAGACACAGAACCCAGGCAGGTCACTCCCAAAGCCACCACACCAGGGGCTGCAGTCAGGGGCCAGGTGGCACCCGAGGGCCTCAGGAGGCCGAGGTTGGCAGTGCTGGGGATGGCAGGCCAGGCCCTAGTTCCCTAGTTCCTAACCACACTTTCATCTCGCTGATGAGGGGCCCAGGCCACGGTGCCAGCTGACACATGTGGCTAATCAGTCTTATCCTGGTGCTGGAGAACGGGGCGAGGGGGCAATGGCCCTCTGCCTCAGTTTCCCCTCTGGGATATAGCTGAGTTGCCTCAAAGCTAAGGAATGTCCCCAGTCACAGCAAGCCAGTGGAGCCAGGGGAACCCCAGCAGGGCCATCAACCCTGCCTGGGGAGTCTGCGGTGGCACCTCTGGCTAACCAGGACTCTTCCTCTCTGCCCAGCCCCACACTGCACACTGCAGGCAGGGCCACGGGGGCCACACGGGGCATCATCCTTCTCCAGACCTTGGTTGGCTGGTTTGGTTTCCTTGGTAACCTGACACTCAGGGCCCTCAGGCTGTCCGCCTTCCTTCAAGGCAGTTCCAGCAGCCGCAGTGGCAGGTGGGCACAGGAGCCAACGCCAGGCACCGCACACCCTCCACAACCTGGGGCAGCAGCCTCCAGTATCAGTGGGCCGGGACTTGGGCACGTTAAACATTAAACCTGTGCCAGCAGGTCCACCTGGGCCCACCCGCCAACTTGGCACCTGGGGAGTGAGGCAGTCCCCGCTCCTGTGCTGATACCCCACCGTCCACCACGCCAAAGGCAGGGGCCTGAGGTACAAAGCTGGCTCTAGGGTCTGGGTTCCAGGCCCCTCCTAGCCCTTTTCCCCAGCCCAGGAGCCTCCATCCCCCACTTCCTCCTCCTGAAAAGAGGTCGCAGGAACAAGAGCAGCTGGACGGTGGCTGGCACACCCCCCTCCACCCGCCAACGTCTGGGCTGCCTGAGGGCCCTCCCTTCCAAGCACTGGGCACTGGGAATGGGAGGAGTTGCCTAGGGAGGGCCCTGCCAGGTCTCCCGGTGAGGCAGACACGAAGCTGCAGAGGCCGGTGAACTGAGGACTGGCACCTGCCACCCACCCGGGCTCAGCACAGCAGCTGCAGCCCCGTTTCCTGAATAGGTGGCCTCCGCCTTTCCTGGCTGAGCACACTCTGATTCTCGGAAGCCTCTCCTGTTCATGCCCACCTCCCATCCAGGGGCACTGAGCCCAGGAGGAAGCCGGCCTCACTCTGGCCCCTTGAGGCCACACACACAGAACCAGGCTGCCCAGGACAGCGCCTCAGCTGTGCCACAATCCACTTAACTTCTCCATGCCTCGGATTCCTTGCCTGTAAAACGGGCTCACAGCACCTCTTCTGCAGGGCTGCCAGGAGTACTGTACGAATGCAGTCGCAAAGTCTCCCAGTTCAGTCCCCCCAGAAAAACGTCAGCTTTGCATCCTGGGTTCCTGCAGGGAGCTCTGCTCTCTGGACCCTCAGGACCCATCTGTGCAGGTGAGAGGGTGTCCCAGGACCCTGGGCTTATCACCCTCCTCCGGAGTCCACCTGCAGCCCTCAGTCCCAAAGACAGAATGCCAGTGCCCTCGAGGGCAGGGGATGCAGGCGGAGGCTCTGAGGCTGCAACAGTCTCCCTCCTATTGAAGCTAGAACAGCACCCCGAGCCTGCGCCATAAGTGCCCCCAGAACTTCAGCGCCCACCATGGCGCACAAGGCCGGTGCCCAGCGCCACCCAAGGCGTGAGGACAGGCAGAGCAGCACTGAGGCCCCGACCCCGGGACGCGCACCGGCAGCGAAGCCGGCGGGCACTCAGGGCCAGCCCCACACCCGCAGGAGCCCCGAACACGGAGACACAGAGACGCACACAGGCAGACTCCCGGCGGGCCCGCCCAGAGCCAGATGGCCGCGGCGCGGAGGCCTGAGCCAGACGCGCTCCCGGCGGAAGAAGCCATGAATGTAAGGTACGCCTCTGGGAACCGGCAGAAGCCCCATCCGGCGCGGCCTTTTGGAGGCTCCGCGCTGCGCCCTCCGGCCAGGCCTGTTTATTCCATCGTGGGCGAGGCGGGGCCCCCGCCACCAGCGGACCAGGCCTGCAGGGCCTGCGGGCCTGGGCAGGACGAGGGCGGCGGCGCCCGGCAACCCGGTCCCCGCCCGGCGATCCCGGCCCCGGGGCGCCCCGCGGCCTGCGCCCAGCGCGCTCGCTCACCCGGGTGGCCGGCGGCGGCTCCACGCAGGGCGGCGCCGAGGACGAGGCCGGAGAGCAGCAGCCGCAGCAGCCGCAGGTGCCGCGGGGAGGGCGGAGGCAGCGGCGTCGCCATCCTTCAGCGCCGCCGCCGGGGCAGCATGGCACCGCGAGGCCAGGGGCTCGGCGCGGGCTCCGGGCTCCGCGTCGGGAGCAGCGGAGGCAGCGGGGGAGGACGCAGGAGGAAGAAGAGGCGGATGCCAAGGAGGAGGAGGAGGAAGAGGAAAGGCACGGGCGGCGGCGCTGACGCTGCAGCAAGGATCCGGGATGGAGGCGCCGGCGAGGCGCGCACGCGGAGACTGCGCCTGCGCGCTCCACCTGAGGGGGCGGGAGGGCGGCTCCAGACTGCGCCCCCTCCCCCTGCTCCAGTTCTGGTCCCCTCTCCGGGCCTCGCTGGACCTCTCTCGGCCTCAGGGTGTCTCGGCACCTGCGGTCTCTGGGGCCGGTGCGGTTCCCAGAAGTCCGGCTGGGTTTGGGCCGCGGGTGGGCTTCTCCAGGATGCGCTCCCTTCTGGCCTCTTCCCGGTAGGACTCCGAGCCCCTCACCCGCACCCGCGATGGGGCAGAGGACCTGTGTGGGCCTAGCCTCGCGAGCGCACAGAGACACAGGAGCGCCGGGCGCACGCAGACAGGTGCTCACGAGCTGGGCAGGTGCACAGGAAGGCACAGGTGTGCCCACAGAGGCAGGGGCACCCCCACTCGCGGGAAAAGCAAATACAGGAACACAGAACGGCCCCGGCCCCGACTGCAGCTTTGGCTGGAGCCGCGGCGGCCGCGCTCAGTGAGGCCACCAGGGGGCAAGAGTGATCCGGAGCCACTGAGGACCGGAGCTGGGAGCTGTCCAAGGTGTTCAGGGTCCCCAGGTGACAGCCCTTTAGCTCCCTCAGGACAATGGGCATCTTTTTTTTTTTTTTTCTTTGAGACAGCGTCTCTGTCGCCTAGCCTGGAGTGCAGTGGTGCCATTTCGGCCCACTGCAACCTCCACCTCTCGGGTTCAAGTGATTCTCGTGCCTCTGCCTCCTGAGTAGCTGGGATTACAGGCGCGTGCCACCATGCTGGGCTAATTTTTGTATTCTTAGTACAGACGGGGTTTCACCATGTTGCCTCAGCTGGTCTTGAACTCCTGACCTCAGGTGATACGCCAGCCTCAGCCTCCCAAAGTGCTGGGATTACAGGCGTGAGCCACTGTGCCCAGCTGACAACGGGCATCTCTGATGCCCCCCTTGCACCTCACCTGTTGCCTCCCAAGAGCACGCCCACCCCATCCCACTAGAAACCTCCTTTGACTAGTCATTCAGAGAACAAGAGTGAGACCTCCAACCCGGGGTGTCCCCTTGGTCCTTCCAGTCTCAGAACTCCAAAGCTGGGGCTGGCTGCCCTCAGGTTTATCAAATGACTTTAAAAAAAAATGGTGAAGAGGGGAGGGAAGAGCAGAATAAGAACCACCACCCTCCTCGCCAGGGCACTGAGCATAGAGACAGTGTCTAAGCTCACTTCCCAGGAAGGTGAGGAGGCGAGTGGGCAAGACCAGGCCTTCCCATCCTGGAGAAAACTGGCTTGGGGAGGGGCTGCAGGGCCTGGCTGGGGCTGCAGGATGCCTTTTGGAGGTGCAGGACACTCAGTCCCAGGTGAGAAGGGCAAGGTGCCCTGTGCCATTGCATGGCTCAGCTCCACAGCCAGGTTCTGTGCAAGATTCCTGCCTATGGGTCCTGGTCCTGATCTCATCTCCCACCCCTGTGCCACCTCCTGATGTGGGCCTGCCCTCCCGCCAGTCTCTACCAGCACTGACTGCCCCCTAGGAAGCCGCCTGGCTGGCTGCCACCCACTCTCCGCCACCTCCCTGACCTCTACCCTCACCCCCAGGCTCACTGTACCAGGACCCAACCTTCAGTCTGGCCTTGGTCACCAACGCAGATCTGGATGTGATGGTTTTGGGGAACTCTGCTGGCCAGAGAAGACTCAAGGGCCCAGGAACATTCCCTCGGGCCAGCCATCCTGCAGCTACTCTAGGCTGCCACGGCACACCAGGGCAGCAGCCAGTGCCCCAGGCCTGGCTCCAGAGCAGAAGGCAGTAGGGAGGGATGGTGTCCACCCTCAGGACCAAGGGCAGGCCCGTGCGGCTAGAACAGCGGGAAGGTGGGGGCACAGGCCACAGCAAGGATGCCCCACCCCACAGACACTCTCCTTTCACGTCTCTAGGAAAAACTTTTTATTACAAAATTTTTACAAGTAGGTGCTGGGCTGGCTGCCAGCCCGTGGGCTGTGACCCTCCCCAGTACAGACCCAGACTACACAGAAGGAGCCTCTAAGGGCTGATTCTCAGGACCAAGGCCCCACTCTCTGGAGACCCAGCCCTGAGGAGGAGGAGGAGGAGCACGGGGCCTGCAGTGATGCCCAGGCTGAAGCGGGCTGGAGGGGTTCAAGGAGCTGGATTGAGCGCTCTTTGCCCACCCAGGCTCCTGTGGGTACCAGAGTCTCAGTTCCTATTTCCTGGGCTGCCTTAGGGGCAGAGACGCTGAGGGTGGGGTGGAAGGATGGAGAAGACAGTGGTGGGGTGGAGCGGTGGGGGATAGAGGGTGGGTGGAGGAATGCAGGATACAGGGGCGGGGAGAGAGGTTGGGAGAGGGGTGGGTGGAGGGGTGGGGATACAGGGGTGGGAGGTACAGGGGTTGTGGGAGGGGTGGGAGTACGGGGTGGGGATACAGGGGTTGGGGGAGGGATGGGGCAGCTGCCCCCGTCGGCCCCTAAATGGTGCTTGGCAGCTTGGCGGAGTGCACCTGACGCAGCAGCAGGACAAGCGCAGCCAGGAGCGCGGAGGCGAAGAGCAGCAGGAGGACGACCCAGGAGCTGAAGTCTGTGCCCTTGCGCAGCCCCGGCGGGTCGGCGGGGATCAGGTTGGTCAGGTTCAGCATGTAGCCGAGCGCCCAGCCCACTGCAGTGTCCGCGGCCTGCGGGGAAGGGCGTGGCCTCAGCTCCCGAGAGGCCCCGCCCCGCAAGGTCGGCCCCGCCCCGCCCCGCCCCAGCCCACCTTCTTCTGGAAGATCACGCCGCCGAAGGCGCGCTCGTCGAAGCCGTAGCCGCGACTCAGCAGCTGCTGCACGAACATGGCCCCGGCGCAGTAGTCGGCCAGGCGGGCCCGTTGCCCTGGCACCCGAGCTTGCAGCTGGGACGCGGGCGGGACACCGTCAGGCAGGCGACCACCAGGAGGTCTCGGCCCCACGGGGAGAGGGGGCCGGCGGCGTGCTTCACCCCTCCCCAGACACACACGGGCCGTGCGAGGCCAGAGACCACCACACAGGCCCGGACACGAATGGCAAGACCGAGTCCGAGGGGCACCCCCGGCAGGGCACGCTTCCATCCCTCCCCAGCCAGCGCCCATGCCTGGAAGGCCAGTGAGGAGGGACAGCAGGCATGGCCACCAGGGAGCAGGAGGCAGCAACACCTTGGTGTGTGGCCAGGGGAACAGGACGAGCTCCAGGCCTGAGTCTGCCCGCTGGCTCGCCGCCTGTCCCCACCTCCCTCACCCCAGTCTGTCTGAGACTAGGCCCTGGGAGGACAAAATGGGGCCTCGCTCACCACCCCGGTCCTGGGACGACTCGTACGTTTCTCTTGGAGTCTCCGGTGGGCACACTCCCGGTGCCCAGACCCACTTCCATCTTCCCTTGTGTGGTACCATGGAGGGAACCAGTGGCAGAAGCCAGAAACCTGGGCACCGGCCTCCCCCTGCCCTCCAGATCTGGGATGAGGGTCGGGCCTGGCGAAGCTTCTCCAACCCGCCCGACTTGTTCACAGCCTACCGGCCACAGCCACGCCACCTCTGGAGTCAGCCTAATGCCTGCCATCGCCCCCACTGCAGCGGGTGCTCCGAGAGGCCTGTCCATGCAGGGCTGGGGAGGCATGCGGAGGCGGAGGCTGAGCCCTTCCGCACAGCCCTGAAGGAGTGGGAGCGGGGCTCACCTGAGCCCAGGTCTGGTTGCAGACATTCACTGCGGCTGCCTCCAGCTGCTGCAGGGTGGCCACGGGCAGCCCCATCGAAGTCCGCAAAAAGTCCACAGTGTAGAAGAAGGCAGAGAAGGCCTGTAGGGGGCGCAGTCACACTGTGACCGAACCCCAGCGGCTCAGAGCACCTGCTGCCACCCGCCTGTCCCTACTCACGACAAAGTTCCCAGCCACCCGCCTGCCCTTACCCACGACAAAGTTCCCAGCCACCCGCCTATCCCTACTCACGACAAAGTTCCCAGCCACCCGCCTGTCCCTACCCACGACAAAGTTCCCAGCCACCCGCCTGTCCCTACCCACGACAAAGTTCCCAGCCACCCGCCTGTCCCTACCCACGACAAAGTTCCCAGCCACCCGCCTGCCCCTACTCACCACAAAGTTCCCAGCCACTGGGGGCTGGAAGACCCCATTGAAAGAGCATCGGGAGAAGGGGCAGGAGGAGAAGCTGAAGAGCCCAGAAACCAGATCTCGGCAGAGGTGGGGGTCACTGCTCCCTGACAGGCTGACCCTGGCACTGCTGTTGAAGTTCTGGGGCCGCTGGGCCATGGTGCATGGTGACTGGTACACATCCCCGAGCAGCACTTGGGTGGAAAAGCCCCTCGGCCAGCAGGGGTGGAAGCCGTGGGTCTGGGGGAATCACCAGCGTGACAGGGTGGCACCACCACCGCTCCAGAGGACCAGCCTGACAAACCTCCCACAGGTCTCACTCTGGCAACTTCACTTTTGTGCTCAGGGGCAATCCATGGCTCCCCACTGCCTGCTTGACAGATCCCAACGCCCCTGACCAGGCTCCCTCTGAGAGCCGTCCCTGGCCCTCCCTTCTCCAGGCCCAGCCCAGCCACTGGGCCTTTGCTCATGCTCTGACCCTCCCACCTGTCTTTCCAGCCAATTAAAGCCCAGCCTGGAGAAGCCTTCCACAGCACAGTGGCTGTCCAGGCTCTGCTCCAGGAGGGAACAGTGCAGTGCAGGTGAGCCAGGGTGGAGGGGCACCTGGAGGGCGCTGGCCAGCAGCCTCTGGAGGACCTGGTCACGGCCATAGCAGAGGAAGCTGTGGGTGTAGACTCGGTAGTGCTGGCCGTAGAGATGCAGCTGGACCTCGCTGGCTCTGTCCTCAGCTGGACTGGTTGTCTCAAAAGTGATCTGGGTAGAGGCACCCCCCAGGTCCATGGCCCCCAGTGTCCCCTTCCGTGGCCGGAACCACCGGCCCACCCAGCCGTACTGTGGAGAGGGGAGTGTGGGGTCAACCAGGGGCCGAGGGCGCCCACGCCCCCTGGCTCTTTGGCTGGCTGCTGGGCCCACCTTGATGAAGTTCTCCAGCAGGTAGTTGGCAGTCACCCAGCCAAACACCCCCTCTTCCTGGCCCGAGAGGATGCGTGCACCCCGGAAGTCAAAGGGGTACTGGGTCAGTGTGTGAGTCACTGCCATGAGCACACTGGTCGAGGCCTCTGGATTGGTCAGGCTGCAAAACACAGAGAACTCCAAGAGGCCTTCTCCCCAGGTGGCTGTGAGCCTGCTGTAGGGGTGCTCGGAGTCCGCCCTGCAAGGGGTCACAGCCAAAGGCCATCATGGGGACAGGGCCAGGGCACAGGCACACTCACTTGAGCAGGCGCATACCCGCTGTGGCTCCCAGGTAGAGGGGTGTGCCCGCGTGTCTCTCTTTGGGCACATCCTGAAGCGCCTGTTCGAGGCATCCAACAAGACTCTGGCTGGCCCCAGAAGGGTTGTCTGCATAGCTGGAGATGCCCCCACCTAGAGGGAGGCAGAGAGATGAGCCTATGCCTCACGGGCAGCCCCTAGGTGGGCCGTAGGCCAGGAGAGTGAGGGTGGGGGTGGGGGCCGTGGGCTCCCAGACCAGGTGGCACACCTTCCCTGCTTAAGCCCCCAGAAACGCCCAGGTTGGAGACAAAGGGGCCCAGGTGCCACCCGGAGACCAAGGCTGCTGCCTGCTGAGAGGGTGTGGGTGCAGGTGCTAGGACAAAGCCCTGGGCATGGTCAACCCAGGTTGGCCTCCTGAGGCCTGCCTGGGTGTGTCCGCCAGGCCCCCAGACCTCCTCCTGCTCCATCTGGGGCACAGAAGCCAATACTGGGCCCGGCGAGGCTCAAACCTCCCCACCTGCTGCCTAGGCTTCCTTTCTAGAATGCAAACGACTCCTGGCCCCACTCAGGCGCAGGGGCACCAGCCTCTCTCTTTCCAGGGCTTCTGCCTGGAGTGAGCCCCACCCAACACTAAGCAGAAGGACCTGCACTGGCTAAGGCTGGAGAGGGTCCCAGAGACCCTGCAGTGAGTGGGCGTCCTGGCTGGGCTGGGCTGGGCCTCACCTGGAACATCACAGGAGCTGTGCTGGCCCACAATGCCTGTGTCGTTCTCCTTGTCTGCCGGCCACTTGTAGATAAACATGGACGTGTGTGAAGAACCAGCGTCCAGGACGATGCCATACTGCGGGGGAGGGGGAGGGAGTCAGCCTGGGGTGTCCGGGGGCCCTGACACCCTGACACCAAACGTGAAGTTGGGTTCCTCCAGTTTGCCACCGCTCCCCCCCCCACCCAGTCATGTGCCAAGCCTCATGCTGAAGCTCAGAGGAGGCCAGGGCCTCCTCTGAGGCCGTGGTTGGAAGGAGAACAGGGAGGTGGTGGGGAGGTGACTCTTCCCTCCTGACTACCTGAAGCCAGCATGCCAGGGTCTGGGCAGCAGCCTTCCTGGCAAGGGCAGACTGAGGGACTGAGTCAGGGACAGAGGGACAGAGGGTCCCCAGGGACTTTTCCCTGGGGCACAAGTTTCCCAGGCTCAGGGAGAGGAAGCTCCTCTGCAAGAGGAGCTCCCTAGAGTCCCTCTTCCTTCCTCCCCTCTTCCTTCCTCCTCTGTCTCCTTCCAGCTCCTCTGACGGCAGCCCAACCTGAGGATGCAGGAGGCAGGGCCCCAGGTGAAGAAGGTCCACCGAGGCTGGCCGTGGGCCTCAGAGCCAGGTCAGCTCTAAAGACACTCTCCCTAGGCCTCCAAGCCAGGGCCAGAGAGAGAGGCTGGCCCTGCCTTGTTGGGGGTGCTGGGTGGGCCTTCCTGCAGACCTGAGTGGCACGAGCTTGTAAATGCCCTTTTCCAGCTCCTGCCCCAGCATCCTGGATCCACCTGGAAAGCTGGGGACCAGCCTCCCAGGCCCGGGCGCCAATTCCAGCCTCCGAGAGGGCCGCACCAGTCCATCCCGACCAAGGCTTCCCCAGAGCCCAGAGCATCAACAGGTCAGCGCGTGCACCGCCACATGGCCGTCCTGCAGGGCCGCAGAGCTCCCTGCTTCTGACTCCCCATCAGGCTGGGGGACTTGGCTCTCCACCCCACCCCCCTACAAGCCCAATAAAGGGTTAAAGGGGCCGACCAGGAGGTCCCTGGGCCTGCTGGAGTGGAGATCCAGGCTAGCCTGCTCCAACCTTTTGAGGACCGGCCAGGGCTGCTCCGGTCAAGCCCTCCTGTCTTTCTGGGCCACTCTCGTGTCCTGGCGGGGGCCCTGGGTCCTGGGGCTTGTGGATCCCCATCTGGGCTGAATACCCAGTCGATGTGGCTCTAACCGCACCCTCCGGGGCGGCGGCACAGGGCAGAAGTGGCCCGGAGTGCCCCTGGGGGCCCGCACAGGCCTGGGGGCGGGCGTCCGGCAGCACCCAGGGGGCATCGCTGGGCTATCCCGGGAGCGGGGACACAGCCCCTGGGCTGCGTTGACGGACTCGGCGGCGGGCGCGGAACTCCCGGGACTTGTTCCTTCAGCACCGCGTCGCCCTGGAAGCGCCACCGCCCCCCGCCCCCTCCGCGTACCCGGTCGGGGAGCGCAGAGCGCGGAACCCGGGACCCCACCCAGCCCGCCAGGAGCAGAGCACGGTGGGGGTCCCGGGCTGATCCTGCTCAGGTTCCCAGCCGCACCCCCTCCCCGGCTCCAAGCCCGGCCCGCTGCTCCCCAGACGTGCGCTGGGTGCCCGGGCGCGCACCTTGAGGGCGGGCGGCTCCCGGACGTCGCGGGTGGGGACGCACAGC
Source organism: Homo sapiens (assembly GCF_000001405.40). Classification (NCBI taxonomy): domain Eukaryota; kingdom Metazoa; phylum Chordata; class Mammalia; order Primates; family Hominidae; genus Homo; species Homo sapiens. The sequence goes on from NC_000009.12 coordinate 137,053,927, forward strand.
AGTAGGAGGCCGGCGAGGCCCGCGGCGGCCAGCAGCAGCGGCGGCAGCAGTGACCGCACCTTCCCGGCCATGGGCGGGCGGGCGCGCGGGAGGACGATGCGTGGACCCGGAGAGTGCGGGGAGCCGGAGGCGGAGGCGGGCGGGGCCGCGGGACCGCGGGGTAGGGGCCCCGGGGCGGGACGAGGGGCGGGAGGCCGGGCGGGCCCGCCCATCACCGGCCACGCCCACGGGCGGACAGGTTTCGCCTCCGCTCCCAAGCTTCCGCCGTCCGGCCCGCGCAGGTGAGAGACGCGGGCGCGGCTGAGTCACCAGCACCGCCCCCCGGCTCCCGGGTCTGAGCCCGGGCGCCCCGCGGCTATGGCCCACCTTCCCCTTCCCGCCCACTCAGCAAGGGGATCCCCCGGCCGTGGAGGCAGGAGACCTGGCGTGGGGGTGGGCGGGCGAGGCTGGCTCGGAGGGTCCTGTGCTGGAGAGCCGCGCTTTTCCCGGGCCCGGGAAAGGAGGCCAGACTCGCTTGCAGGAATGAGGCACTGTCGGCTGCGGAGCCACGCGGGGCCCGGGCTGGGGACTCAGGAGGAAGCCGAGGGTCAGCACCTGTTTGTGGAGCAGGGCCCTGAGCGCCAACTCCCAGGGCTGGTGAGGACCAGGCTGGCCTGCGGGATGCCCTCCCGGCCAGCAAGGATCCGCCAGCCTGCGGCGCTGAGCCAGCGCAGGTCAGCTCCAGAGACACGCAGCTGACCCAGGCCAGAACTACCCTTGAGGCCCAGTCAGATCCACCTCACCTGGGCCCTGTACTGAGGTGAAGGTGAGGACGCAGGAACGGGGAAGGGGAGGGACGGCCCAGGTCACACCGAGCCGAGAAACAGGAGAAGCAGCACAGACCGGGCCAAAGGTCCATACCTCCCAGCCCAGGGCCTCAGCCGCGCCTGCTGCCCCCTCGGCCTGAGGGGAACAGAGGCTTGGGCTGCGGAGGCCAGAGGAGGCTTCCCCAGGACGGAAACAGGTGGGGCCTCTACGTGGCCTGAAAGGCAAGGAAGAGGGTCCCCAGGCCAAGCTTGGGGTGCGGGTCAGCAACAGGCTTCTGGGGACGGCTGGGGCAGGCGAAGCGCAGCTGGCCCCAGACGCAAGCCCTGCTCCTCCGTCCCACGACATGGCTGGCCTTTCGGCTCTGCAGCCTCACAGGCCCCGCATCCCAGCCCGGCCAGGGGCCACCCCCTTTGCGCCTGCTGCAAAGTGGGAATTCTTGTCCCAATAATTCCAGCCACACAGCGTCAGGGAGCCACGAGGCAAGGCCACCAGGGAGTGCAGGCTGCTGGGGCCCAAAGGGCAGCCCCATGGGGCAGGGTCCAGACCATGCCCGGCCTTCTGGAACGGGCAGTGACAATTGTGCTGGGATTGCTGCCTGGGCTGAGGGTCTGGCGCCACAGGCCCAGTAAAGGCATCTTTCTTCCAGCTCAGGACCCCAAAGGGAGGGGTGGGAACCCTGGGAAGCCTCTCTGCTGCCTCAGCCTCACAGCCCAGCCTGGCGGGGCTCCAGCAGGCAATCTCTGGGTGTTGCCGGTGCTAAGCTCCAGGCCCCAGGCCCCAGTTTCCCCCCACACACCCCAGGCCTTTCTTCCACCCCTGACCGCCCAGAGGAGGGAGAGGCACGCACAGTGCACATCATGCCTGAAAAGGAAGGAACAAAGGCCGCCCAGAGGCAGGGTGCTGCGACCCCCACTGGCCTGCGGTACCCCGCTTCCCTCCAGGCCCAGCGGGGCTTCCTGGTGTTCTGGACTCTTTTCATGGACAAAAAGCTCAAGCCAGGGAGTGGGAGGTCTGCCAGGCCTGAGAGGATGGGGAGGGAGAGGGGAGCTGGACTCTGCCCCGGGGAGACAGGCTCATGGCCGAGTGCCCAGCTTCGCCTGCGGAGGGAGAGGCAGGGAGCCCAGAGCGGCCAGGACAAAGGCTGAGGCTGAGCTCTCTTTGAGACGGAGTGAGGGCGGGGGAACGCCCCTTCCTGGCATGGACTCAGGGACCCTGGAAGGCAGACTTGGGAGAGCGTCAGAGGGAAGCTGGCAGGAGCTGAAGGGGTGGAGGGGCCTCTGGGTGGGGCAGCTCTCGGCTTCCAGGACCCTCTCGGGGATGGGGCCTCCAGATGTGCTGCACATGACCCCGGCTGAGCTGGGAACATGCGGATGCAGAGAGGTTAGGGGAGAACCCCTGGGGGAGGGAACTCGGAGCCTCCCGCCCACGCAGGGCTCAGACCTCCCAGGGAGGGGGGCTTTCCTGAGGCCTGCTGACATCTTGGCTGCCCTGCCTCAGTCTCCACATCAGAAGCTTGTGCTGTGTGGCTCACGTCTGTAATTCCAGCACTTTGGGAAGCTGAGGCAGGTGGATCACTTAAGGTCAGGAGTTCAAGACCAGCCTGGCCAACATGGTGAAACGCCGTCTCTAATAGAAATACAAAAATTAGCCGGTTGTGGGCCGGGCGCGGTGGCTCACTCCTGTAATCCCAGCACTTTGGAAGGCTGAGGCGGGCGGATCATCAGGTCAGGAGATCAAGACCATCCTGGCTAACGCAGTGAAATGCCATCTCTACTAAAAATACAAAAAATTAGCCGGGCGTGGTGGCGGGCACCTGTAGTCCCAGCTACTCGGGAAGCTGAAGCAGGAGAATGGTGTGAACCCGGGAGGCGGAGCTTGCAGTGAGCCAAGATCGCGCCACTGCACTCCAGCCTGGGTGACAGAGCGAGTCAAAAAAAAAAAAAAAATTAGTCGGCTGTAGTGGCAGACACCTGTAATTCCAGCTATTTGGGAGGCTGAGGCAAGAGAATCGCTTGAACCTGGGAGGCAGAGGTTGCAGTGAGCTGAGACTGCACCACTGCACTCCAGCCTGGACGACAGAGCGAGATTCCATCTCAAAAGAAAAAAAAAAAAGAAACTTGTGCTGTGGCCGAAACACCTTGATGGTTTAATTGTGAAAGGCCTTTCACTCACTGCTCCCTTTCTGCAGGTGCTCATTAAGTCATTCAACAAACGCTTGCTGAGTAGTACTCCTGGGTGCCCAAAGCACGCCAGGCTCCATGCATGCACAGGGAGCCCTGTGGGGAGGGCACCCACTGGCCTGGGGAGAGCAGACTTTGCAAAGGCCCACGGGAGGCGGGGAAGCCTGTGCTGTCCTGTTCGAGGTCGGAGACACAACAGAATGGGAGGTGCACATATGCACAGTTGGTAAGAGCAATGCCAGGGTGGCAGCAGGACCCCATTGGTGGTCTCTGATGTGCTGGACGTGCTGTTCTGGGACTTGCTTCTTTCACTCACGTTACGCGTTTGGGATTCACCCTGTTGACACTGAGAGGTGTGGCTTGTTTGTTCCTTGCTGTATTCCATCCTGTGAGTGAGAACATGCAGACGGCGTGTCGCTGCAGCTGGTGAACACACAGTGTCTGGCTTTAGGCTTTGCTGAGATTGCTGCTCTGCACATATACACTCTTTTTTTTAATTTTATTTTTTATCTGAGGTGGAGTCTGGCCCTATCGCTCAGGCTGGAGTGCAGTGGCGCGATCTCAGCTCACTGCAACCTCCACCTCCTGGGTTCAAGCGATTTCCCGCCTCAGCCTCCTGAGCAACTCGGATTACAGGCGCCTATAACCATTCCCCACTAATTTTGTATTTTTAGTAGAGACAGGGTTTCACCATATTGGCCAGGCTGGTCTCAAACTCCTGACCTCAGGCGACCCGCCTGCCTCGGCCTCCCACAGTGCTGGGATGACAGGTGTGAGCCACCGCGCCCGGCCTCTCCGTCTGCGTCGGCCTCCCACAGTGCTGGGGTGACAGGTGTGAGCCGCTGCGCCGGCCGCATGTGTGCTCTTGAGAGCACTTCTCTGGGGAGCATCCCGGATCTGAACTGCTGGTTGTCAGGCAAGTGTGTGTTCTGCTTCTCTAGCAAGTGCCAAATTCTTTTCTGAACGATGGCTCTAGCTGGCACTGTGAGCATTTTATTTCATTTTATCTTATTTTATTTATTTACTTTGAGACAGACTCTTCCTCTGTTGCCCAGGCTGGAGTGCAGTGATGTGATCTCGGCTCACTGCAATCTCCGCCTCCTGGTTCAAGCAATTCTTCTGACTCAGCCTCCCAAATAGCTGGGACTACAGCCGTGTGCCACCAGGCTAATTTTTTTGCATTCTAATAGAGACGGGGTCTCACTGTGTTGCTCCCAGGCTGGTCTCAAACTCCTGAGCATCCGCCCATCTCGGCCTCCCAAAGTGCTAGGATTACAGGCATGAGCCACCGTGCCCAGCCTAATTTTTGTATGTTTAGTAGAGACGGGGTTTTGCCATGTTGGCCAGGCTGATCTCGAACTCCTGACCTCAAGTGATCCACCTGCCTTGGCCTCTCAAAGTGCTGAGATTATAGGCGTGAGCCACCAAACCCAGCCCCCCATCTCCTTTTATTGGAGACCGGGGCCTCACTATGTTGCCCAGGCTGGTAAATTCCTGGCCTCAAGCAGTCCTCCTGAGTAGCTGGGGACTAGAGGTGTGTGCCACACCCTGCCTGGCTTTGGCCTTCTTTGATTTTGAAACCGGCTCAATTGTCCCGTGGAACTGATGTTTATGGTTTCTTTGAATAAACACAGAAATTGATCCTCCTAGTCTTAAAATTTGAGAAAGTGACATTTGTCCTATTTGAGTTCCTTTCTCAGAAAACCAACCATGAGGCCCCCAGATAGAATGAAAGAGCTAAAACTCACCAGATCACGGTATCTTGACAATGAGACACCAGACCCCCCAGCTGTCAAGATTGCCTGGCCAACCACCAGCTTCCTGTTGACCAACTCCTCTTCTTCAGCTGCCCCTAATTCCTGTTTTCTCACACCTAGTTACGTGGCTTCCCTGCTCTATAAACCCCTAATTTCAGTGGGTCAGGGAGACGGATTTGAGACTGAGCACCCATCTCCTTGGCTGCGGCCGGCTTAAAGCCTTCCCCCTGGCGGTGCTCCTGGTCTCCGTGATTGGCTTTCTGTGCAGCGAACAGCAGGACCTGGACTGAACCCCTGGTGTTTTGGTAACAGTCTCTCCCCTCCCCTGCCACCTGCTGCCTCTTCCCTGTAAGTAGGTAACAGGCCTTTGGTTTGTTTGTTTTAGCAACAGGGTCTTGCTCTATTGCCCAGGCTGGACTGCAGTGGTGCAATCATAGCTCATTGTGGCCTCAAACTCTTGGCCTCGAATGGTCCTCCTGCCTCAGCCTCTGCAGTAGCTGGGACCACAGGTCCACACCATGGCTGGCTTCCCTTTGCCTTTTTTTTTTTTTTGAGACAAGGTGTTGCTGTGTCACTCAGGCTAGAGTACGGTGGCTCAATCTCAGCTCACTGCAACCTCTACCTCCCGTGCTCAAGGGATTCTTGTGCATCAGCCTCGTGAGTAGCTGGGACTACAGGCATGTGCCACCACACCCAGCTCATTTTTGTATTTTTAGTGGAGACGGGGTTTCCCCATGTTGGCCAGGCTGGTCTTAAACTCCTGGCCTCGGGTGATCCACCTTCCTCGGCCTCCCAGAGTGCTGGGATTACAGGTGTGAGCCACCGTGGCTGGCCTCCTCTATGGTTTTGATATCATGATGGTCTGACCTGTAATCCCAGTACTTTGGGAGACCGGCCTAGGCAACATTGTGAGACCTCGTCTCTACCAAAAACAAACAAACAAAAAAATTGCTTTAATTTTTTTTAAATTAGCGTAATATTTGGATTATCTGTTCCTGCAATTTATGGTAGAACTTGCCTGAAAAGGCCGGGTGCGGTGGCTCACGCCTGTAATCCCAGCACTTTGGGAGGCCGAGGCGGGCGGATCACGAGGTCAGGAGATTGAGACCATCCTGGCTAACACGGTGAAACCCCGTCTCTAGTAAAAATACAAAAAATTAGCCGGGCGTGGTGGTGGGCGCCTGTAGTCCCAGCTACTTGGGAGGCTGAGGCAGGAGAATGGCGTGAACCCAGGAGGAGGAGCTTGCAGTGAGCCGAGATCGAGCCAGTGCACTCCAGCCTGGGCGAAAGAGCGAGACTCTGTCTCAAAAAAAAAAAAAAAAAAACTTGCCTGAAAAAAAAAACACCTAGGCCCAATTTTTCTGTGGGAAGTTTTTTGTTTGTTTTGTCTTTAAGAGATGGGTTAGAGACCAGACTTACTATGTTGCCCAAGCTAGACTCAACCTCCTGAGCTTCAAAAATCCTCCCACCTCAGCCTCTGGAATAGCTGGGACTACAGGCATATGCCACTGTGCTGGCTTCTACAGTACTGTTTCCATTTCTTTGATAGTTACAGGGCCAGACCCCTATTAACTATTCTTCCTGAGCCAATTTTGTATTTTTTTCTTTTCTTTCTTTCTTTTTTGTTTTTTGAGATTTGTTATTATTATTTTTAGAGACAGGGACTCACTCTGTTGCCCAGGCTGGAGTGCCGTGGTGCAATCACAGGTCACGGCAACCTCCGTCTCCTGAGCTCACGTGATCCTCCCACTTCAGCCTCCCGAGTAGGTGGGACCACAGGGGCACATCACCACACACAGACAATTTTTTTATTTTTTGTAGAGGTGGAGGGTCTCCCTGTGTTGCCCAGGCTGGTTCCAAACTCCTGGGCTCGGGCAGTCCTCCCGCGTCAGCTTCCCAAAGTGCTGGGATTACAGGCGTAAGCCTGCCCATGTGGCTGATTTTGTATTTTTCTAGGAAGTTACCCACTCCAGCTGAATTGGCATAATCTCATTTAAAATATCCTCTTAGAATCAGCTTAACTTCTGCAGCATGTGTGACTATTTTGCTCTTTTTTATTCCTAATATCATTTATTTGTGCCTTATCTCTTTTTTCTTGATTAATTTAGCCAGAAATTTTGTGTACTTTTTCTCAACCAAGTTTCTGTCATGTTTGTTTCCTATTTTACTATTCTTTTCATGAAAGAGGAAAAGCTATTTATACCTTTATTGGTGTGTGTGTGTGTGTGTCTGTTTGAGACAAGGTCTCACGCTACCACCCAGGCGGGAGTGCAGTGATGTAATCTTGGCCCACAGCAGCCTCGACCTCCCAGGCTCAAGCAATCCTCCCACCTCCACCTCCTGAGTAGCTGGGACTACAGGCACGCGCCACCACACCGGCTAATTTTTAAATTTGACACATAAGTTGTTTAGACGTGTCTGCTTTAATATCCAAAAGTCTGGGCCGGGCGTGGTGGCTCACGCCTGTAATCCCAGCACTTTGGGAGGCTGAGACAGGCACATCATGAGGTCAGGAGATCGAGACCATCCTGGCTAACACGGTGAAACCCCGTCTCTACTAAAAATACAAAAAATTAGCCGGGTGTGGTGGCGGGCGCCTGTAGTCCCAGCTACTCAGGAGGCTGAGGCAGGAGAATGGCGTGAACCCAGGAGGTGGAGCTTGCAGTGAGCCAAGATCGCGCCACTGCACTGCAGCCTGGGCGACAGAGCGAGACTCCATCTCAAAAAAAAAAAAAAATTCCAAAAGTCTGGGCTTTCTCGAATTCTCTCTTTTCTTTCTTTTATTTATTTTGAGACAGGGTCTTGCTCTGTCACTCAGGCTGGAGTGCAGTGGCACAATCATAGCTCATGGTAACCTCAAACTCCTGGGCTCAAGTGATCCTCCCACCTCAGCAGCCCCAGTAACTGGGAACACAGGCATGAGCCACCACATCTGGCTAATTTTTGTATTTTTGGTAGAGTCAGGGTTTTGCCGTATTGCCCAGGCTGACCTCAAACTCCTGGGCTGAAGCAACCCTCCCGCCTCTGCCTCACAAAAGGCTGGGATTACTGGTGTGAGCCACTGCACCCGACCGATACATGTTTATTTTATTAATATTATTTTTTTGAGACGGAGTCTCATTCTGTAGCCCAGGCTGGAGTGCAGTGGTGCCATCTCAGCTCACTGCAATCTCTGCCTCCTGGGTTCAAGCAATTCTCCTGCCTCAGCCTCCCGAGTAGCTGGGACTACAGGCGCCCGACACCACGCCTGGCTAATTTTTGTATTTTTAGTAGAGACGGGGTTTTACCATGTTGGCCAGGCTGGTCTCAAACTCCTGGCCTCGGGTGATCCACCCACCTCGGCCTCCCAAAGTGCTGGGACCACAAGCATGAGCCACTGCGCCCGGCCTAGTCTTCTTTATAGCATTAAGAGATCATGCTTTTCATGGAGTAAGGAACTATAAATACCACTCCTTGTTCATGTTTCCAGAAATCTCTTTTATTTCTTTAGATATATAAAACACTGTTACTTTATATTCTCTCTGATAATTCTAGTATCTGGGTCTAGAGTCAATCTGTTGCTTCTGCTGGGTCTCATAGTGTATTGTTTCCTTGTGGTGTTTATGAATTTTTAAACCTGGATCTCTCATTTTCTTTCTTTCTTTTTTTTTTTTGTAGAGATGGGGTCTCTCACTGCGTTGCCCAGGCTGCTCTGGAACTCCTGGCCTCAAGTGCTGGGATTCCAGGCGTGAACCACCACGCCCGGCTGAGATGTTCCTTTTCCTTGGAACTTGATCAACACAAAATCCTGAGGCCTGGTGTGGGTGTGTTCCTCTGGGGCAGATTCTCAACTGGGGACACTTCTGCCCCCAAGGACACATTTCAACATCCTGAGACATTTCCGGGTGTCATCACAGTGTGCACGCACGTGTATGTACCTGCACACGCTACTGGCACCTCGCGGATAGAGCCCAGGGACGCTGCTCACATCCTGCACGGAGACTGACCCGCCCAGCGTCCTAGGGCAGGCTCCAGGCAGGGTCTGCATGTGCCTCTGCCAGCCACCTAGACCCTGCCAGCCGGGGCCTTTAAATTCTCCCCTCGTGGTCTCCAGGGCCACTCACTAGCCTGATTTCAAGCTGTAAACTGGGAGGACCTATTTCTTTTCACCTTGCACGGAACACCAAGGCTGAAAGGCAGTTTTTCCGGAGGTGCCAGCCTGTCTCACATTTCCGCTTCAGCTGCGGGGTCCAGCTCTATGTGGGCGGTCTCCTGATGAAGTCACCCCGGGACAGACACTGTTCTGTCTCCTGCTTCCAGTCCAGTAAAGATGCCAGGATCCCCCAGGGCATGGCAGGCACCCTCAAAGGCAGACGTGGGGAGGCCCTGGTGGGCAGACCCCAGCCTGCTGACGGGGGGCTTCTCCCTGGCTGCCACTGGCCCACCCACTGCGCTGCAGTCCACCTGGTGCTGGGGCTGTGGGGCACAGGCCCTCAGGACCTGCACCCTTTCCTGCCCAGGAGGTCCAGGCCTGACATCCTTATGTCCCCTGGAAAGCCCACTCCCATCTTCAGGGTAGGAGGGCAGCTGCATGCTGGGCTGACTTGGGCCTGTCCTGGGACACCCCTGCAGACCAGGTGCAGCAGGGAATGTGGCTCTGTGGGGTTGCTGTGGGCAGGTTAGCATGGAGCTGGGCTCCGGAAGGGAGTTGCCACGCTGCCTGCCAGGGCCCCTCCTCTGAGACAGGTGCCTTGTGGGACAGTGTACCAAAGTGCCCTGGACACGAGGGGGCCCTGCGCCCCCCACGCACTGACCCCGCATCGGAGGCCCTGCGCCCCACACACACTGACCCCGCATCGGCATCGGGGGCCCTGCGCCCCCCACGCACTGACCCCGCATCGGGGGCCCTGGGCTGCAGAACCCATCGATGCTGTTGCCGTGCCCCTGGTTCTGGTGACACTGGGACCCTCCAGGTTGGGCTGAGCAGGGCCCCCCCACCAGTGCGTACTCCAGCACCAGCGGGAGTGGGCCTGGGCAGGGGCTGAGGGAGTGACACCCAAGGGGACCTGCCCCAGCCTCCTCCTGTACCCTGGGGGTTCTCGTTTTCCTTGGCTGAGGGAGGTGGCCTCTCCCAGCTGAAACCTGGGGACAGGCTGGGCGTGAGAGCAAAGGGGGGTGAGCAGGACCCCAGGCCTTGGAAATCCTGAGTCGGGGGAACAGGCTTTGCCTATGACGTGCCTGGGAGCTGTCTGGGGGCCCTCCTGGGGAGCCAGGCTCACAGGATGTTGTGTGGGACTCAACGTGGGGCAACGTCCCGGCCAAGAGGGGGAAGGCCATCACCCCAGGGTCTGTGGGAGGCACATGCAGGCCAAGCTCTCGCCCACCCGGCGTGCCGATCCGCTGCAGCCAGGGTCCCTCAGCCTTGGCCAGAACCTGAAGTCCGACCGCTATCCCTGGGGCTCCCCAGCCAGGCAGGCACCCCCCGCTTACAGGCCGTCCCCACCCCCTCCATCTACTTCCGTCCGTCCGAGCTACAGCCACCTCGTCCTGGTGCCCTGGTTGAGCGGGAAGCTGCCCTTGGACCCGCGTCGGAGCCGCCCCGCGCCCTCTGCTGCCCGTTGTTGGAAGTGCAGCCTGGCGTGGGCAGTGCCTTTCCCTGAAGATGGGACCCAGGGCGGCACCGCTGGAAACGGGGGGACGCTAACTCATGGAGGGGTACCCCACTGTCCACTGACAGCGGCAGTAGTAGCTGCGGACTATGCGGACTCAAGAGAGCCCCAGCCCATGTCAGCACCAGGAGCCAAAACGGAGTCAAGCGCTCGGTGCGGGGACCAGCCGGGGGCAGGCCTGGGGAGCCCATCTGGCAAGGGCGGCAGGAAGGCGCCCACTCCGGGACTGTGCCTGGGCCTGCCGGGGGTCTCCAGCCAGAGAGGGTGGGTGCGATGGGGCGCCCACCCTCGAAGGGCTGAGTGCCAGGCTGGCCCTGGGGGCCCACGCGGCCCACAAGGACTAGATGAAGGTGGAATCCAGAGGTCCCCCGTCCTGCTGGCTCAGGGCGCGGGCCTCAAACAGCTGCTTAATGAGCGCCGACTTCTCCTGCTCCAGCTGCGTGATGCGCTCACTCTTCTCGGTCACCTCCTGGGCAGGTGCACAGTTGGTCAAGGCCTGCGGGGCCTCACCCCCACCCCTGCACCCCTCCCGCGCCTGCCCTACCTGGGTGAGGAGTCGGTTCTGCTCCTTCAGCATGAGGATGGTCTGCTGCTGCCAGACCGGGGGTGAGGTGGACGTCAGGGCAGGGCAGGGGGGCCCGGAGGAGGACGGGGGCAGGGCCTGCGGGAGGGCAGGATTAGGCAGGCCTGGACGAGGGCGGGGAAGCACTAAACTGGCCTGGGCCCCAGCGTGGGTGTGGGGGTTTGGGGTACACTCACCCGGCTGGCACAGGCTGCAGCCAGCAGCTCCCCCAGGCACCGGGCCACCTCTTGTACCTTGGGCAGTAGCCGCCCCAGTGGGCGGGGGCTCCCTGCAGCCCCAAAGTCCTGGGAAGAAAGCAGAGGACAAGCGGTCAGAGAGGAGGTCCAGCCGGGGCCAGCAAGGTGCCTTGATAGGGGTTCCCACAGGTGGCTCTCCTGCCTCCTGATGCTGCAGAGAGCCTAGAGGGTCCCAGGGGCATTGCTGAGGTGGGAGGTCTGCCCAAGACACCTTAGGCCCTAGGAGTGGGGCAGCCACAGGCGGAGAAAGGGATGTCTCAGCATCCTGGGTGGAATCGACAGCCACTGTGTCCGGGAATAGGGGCAGCCACAATGCCCAAGGGTGCCTGGGGTGAGCTGGGGTCCCCATGTGTGGGGATCTGGGGACAGGGCTGTGGCACTCACGGCGCTGGCTCTGCTCTGGCCCAGGCGGCGCTGGCGCTCCTGCACTCGTTGCAGCTGCTGCTGGTACCAGTCGCGGCCCCGCGCCATCATCTCCAAACCCTGCAGCAGCACCTCCTTCTCCTGCTCCAGCTCCTTCATCTGCTTCAGCTGCAATACGTGCATTTACATGGAATGCCTGGCCCCAGTGAGCACGCACACGTCCACACATGCATGAGCTCACCTGTGGGTGGGCACCAGAGCCACAGACACAAATGCAGCAGCACGTGTACACGTTTGCAAACACCCACGGACGCACGCTTCTGCTGACACCTGCATGTGTGAGCCCCATAGGCCCATTTGGAGCAGGAGCCCCGTTCCTCCTGCTGAGGGGTCTTGGCCTTTCTTAGCCCCTCCACTCAGGCTTCCCTGGGGGAGGGGTGACGGACCCTTCAGCTGAGCCCACCCTCCCGAAGTCTGCCTGTGGTGAGCACACAGCTGGGAAGCCAGACTGGCTTGCAGCAGCAACCTCGTGAGGCGGGCTGGGCAGCCACCATAGCTGCCCTAAACGACCTCTTGACCTCCCTCTGCCTGACCCTGGGCCATCCCTCCAGGGGAGTCAAGCCCAGGTAGGGAGAGAGATGTCCAGAGCTGACTGTACTTCCGCCATGGACTCCCCCAGGCTCAAGGCCCCCCTGCTCCCATCCCGGCCTCCAGCCTCCAGGCAAGATGGAGAGCCCCACAGAGCCCCAGTCCCTGCTCACCAGGCCGCAGTCCACGCCGCTGGCGATGGTGTGCCTCCGACGTTCCCCTCGGGCACGGGGAGCCCGCCGGGCATCCCCTGAGTCCGCCTCCAGGGCCCTGCACGCCACTGCACCTGTTATGGAGAGGCATGGGCCTGGCTCACCTCCAGACCTGCCTGGCCAGGCTCTGCTGAGGTGCAGCGGCCTCCACATCTCAGCCCACCCTCGAGGTCTCGGGCACCAGCCTGGCATGGCCCACGTGTAGCCTCTGTGCCAGGCTGGAGTTTGGTCCCTCTCCCCTTTCCAGCTCCTCACACTGGCTTGGGGAGGGCTGTGCCGCCAAGCCCGCATGTTTGCTCAAACACACACCCTGCCCCCTCATCGGTCCGTGAGCTCTCTGGGGCCAGAGGCCTTATCCAGCTCTCTTCTGCACACCCAGTGCCCAGAACATGGCAGGCACACCCTGGGTCTCCAAGGCAGCTGGGTAAGGGAGGAGTGGGCGGGGGGGTTCTGGTCCTGACTACGCCTCTCCCATCTGCACGGGGTCCTGCAAGGCAGCAGGAGATGTGGGTGTGAATGACGGAAACCTAACTTTTCCCAGGATGGTGACTCTGATAGAAAGTTAGTCCCGCATGGCCGGGCACAGTGGCTCACGCCTGTAATCCCAGCACTTTTGGGGACCAAGGCGGGTGGATCGCTTGAGCTCAGGAGTTTGAGACCAGCCTGGGCAACATGGCAAAACCCCATTTCTTCCTTTTTTTCTTGAGACGTTGTTTTGTTCCTGTTGCCCAGGCTGGAGTGCAATGGTATGATCTTGGCTCACTGCAACCTCCGCCTCCCAGGTTCAAGTGATTCTCCGGTCTCAGCCTCCCGAGTAGCTGGGATTACAGACACCCACTACCATGCCCAGCTACTTTTTGTATTTTTTAGTAGAGATGAGGTTTCACCATGTTGACCAGGCTGGTCCTGAACTCCTGACCTCAGGTGATCCACCCACCTCAGCCTCCCAAAGTGCTGGAATTACAGGCGTGAGCCACTGTGCCCGGCCGGCAATACCCCATTTCTATTAGAAACACAAAAATTAGCCTGGTGCAGTGGCATGCACCTGTGGTCCCGGCTACTCAGGAGCCTGAGGCAGGAGGATTGCTTGAGCCTGGGAGGCAGAGGTTCCACTGAGCCCAGATTGCGCCACTGCACTCCAGGCTGGGCAACACAGCAAAACTTTGTCTCAAAAAAAAAAAAGATCCCTTGCCGGGCACGGTGGCTCACACCTGTAATCCCAGCACTTTGGGAAGCTGGGGCGGGGGGGGATCAGTTGAGGTCAGGAGTTCAAGACCAGCCTAGCCAACATGGTGAAACCCTGTCTCTACTAAAAATACAAAAATTAGCAGGGCGTGGTGGCATGCACCTGTAATCCCAGCTACTCGGGAGGCTGAAGCAGGAGGATCGCTTGAACCCAGGAGGCGGAGGTTGCAGTGAGCTGAGATTCGCGCCACTGCACTCCAGCCTGGGCGACAGAGCAAGACTCCATCTCAAAAAAAAAAAAAAAAAAAAAAAAAAAAGTCCCGCGTGTGTGATACGCCAGGCGGTGCACCCAACTGACAAGTCAGGCACGTCCTGGTGCTCACAGACCCCTGCTCTGAAGTTTGTTTGAGGGCTCCCCCTGGGGGCAGCCAAGAGTATCGCGTTGGTGCCACTCCGGCCCAGCTTCCTGGTGAGGGAGTAGGTGCACCTCCCCAGGCTACAGAAGTGGGTACAGGTGTGGAGGAAGGCATCCTCCTTCGGCCTCCAGCTGTAGCCCCAGCACCAGGCACATCCTTAGAGGCCATGCCCCTGGCACCTGGCCACAGGAGTCAGGGAGTGATGCAAGAATTGGGCCCAGGTAGGCACGGCAGAGAGCCTGGCTCCAGGCAGGCCCGAATTCGCACTCCAGCCTGCGGTGCTGAGCGGCTGGCAGCTCTGGGGCAAGACAGTGGAAGAGCACACAGCCCTTCAGGAGGTGGGAGCAGAGAGGGTACAGACAGAGGGAGGCCATAGAGGAAGTCCCAGGACACCTGGGCCCGGTCTGTACAGTTGAGTCCATAGAGCAGCTCCTGGGTCCCCAGATAGCAGCGTGCTGGGTGATGAGCTAGATGGCCTCTAGGTGGGGGTGGTGGCTCTGCCCCTCCAGGGCCCTGAGCCAGCAGGCCACACCTCCAGGGCCACAGCCAGCCTGGAGCAAACACGCAGTCCCAGGTGGGAACAAGGAAAGAGGCCCTGAACATCTGGGCTGGGGGCTTGGAAGGCTGTGTGTGTTGGCAGGCTTTCTGGGAGTTGGGGTGACCTCAGAGCTCCAGATTTGACACCCCAAAAGCCAGCTGTGTCAATCAAATATGTCACGCCATTTGTCTGGCCCTCCGTTTGCCTGTGAGAGGGTGACAGCTACAGCCCTAGCCATGTGGCCTTCAGGGAGATGTGGTACGTGAGCCAGTGCCGCATGGGGCATCAGAGCAGAGCAGGGGTGGACCACAGGCTTAGGCCTCCAAACCCCAGGCCCGGCCACAGCGTGCAATCCCATGGCTGATTTCAAACTGCATGGCCACATGGATGACGCTGACCCTGCATTTGGAGCCAGATACCCTCTGAAGGTTCCCTCACCATAGAACTAGGGGTCCCCCAGCCTGGTGTGGCTGCTGGATCAGATCACCAGGGAGGCCAGGGCCGCCGTGGCTCCAAACACCAGCTGTAGGGCTGGAGAATATGGCTGAGGTGGGGGAGCAGTACAGGGAGGGTGGCAGAGCAGCAGGCAGCACAGGGACCGGCAGGAGCCACCGGTGGGCAGGCCTCCCCTGGCAGAACGGGTGCACAGGCCGAATGGGCTGTGGGGCCTGGGGCCCCTCTGGGAGCTTGGCCCCCCAACCCCAGCCATAATACAGGTCCTGTTCCCAAGGCAGGCACTGGGTTGGGGGAGACAGGGGACCATTCAGCAATCTCCCATCACTGCCAACTGGACCGGAAGGCAGGAGAGGAGTGTGCCAGCCATCCCCAGGGACTACGGCCTATGTCCCTCCATGGCATCTGCCATAGTACAGCCCCACTGGGGTGCAGGAGATCCACCCACGCCCCTGCCCATCTTGGCAACAGGGCCAGGTCCTCTTGGGCCACCAGCAGCAGCCCCCGCCTGCCTAGGCCTCAGTGGGGTCAGTGGGCCCAGCCCCCCTGGCTAAGCTGTCACACTGAGAAGGGGGACCCTTTCTTTGAGAAGGAAGCACTTCTGCCTGAGCAGCCACAGACAGGAGGCTGAGGGCCCAGGTGTCCCCAGGTGCGGAAAGGGTATTGGAGATGGAGAGCCCAAGCTCAGGCTTGGTACAGGTTGGGCTCCCGGTGGGTTTTCTGAGTCACCTGCCACCCCCCGGCCCTGGTGGCCTTATGCTGTGGCAGGAGAGGGTCTGGCTTGCCTCCCTAAGCAAGCCCCTGGGCTCACCGCGACAAGCATGAAGCCCTTTCCCTCCAGACCCGCCGAGGCGCCCTCCAGGATCCGGAGTCCACGAAGAGCCGCTCCCCGGTCCCGTCCCTTGTGGGAAATGCACGGGCAGCAGCTGTGGGACTGCGGTTTCTGGCCCGGGCCCGGGAGAGCTACGAGGGTGCCCGGGGGCCGTCCGGAACTCACCTGCGTCCGCGCTGGAGCTCGGTTCCAGCGCCGCGCTCTGGGACCGCTCGGGCTCCGCGGGGCAGGGCGCCGCCTCAGCCGGGGCGCACAGCTGCTCCGGGCTGCGGGCGGCGGCGCTGGGACCGGCCAGAGGGGCGCGCACGCCCAGGGGCAGGGGCTTCCTCTCCAGGACCGTCCGCGGCTCGTCGGCCGGAGCGAACACCAGGCGCTGCGGCGGCGGCGGCGGCTGATCCCCGGGCCGGGCCGGGGCGCGCGTGGGGTCCCGGGGGCCGCCGTCGGCGCTCAGCAGGGAGGTGCGCAGGCCGGCCACGAAGCGCTCGAAGGTCAGGTAGCCGCTGGCCGGGGCCACCTGGCGCAAGCCCTCCAGCACCCCGCGGGGCAGCTCCCGCGCGTCGGTGCCCTGCCAGCGGGACTCGATCTCGCGCAGGTGCACGCAGCCGCGCCGCCGGTCGTCCAGGATGTCGAACAGGGTGCGCAGGCTCTGCAGGAAGGCGCGCGGCAGCCCCTCCGTGCTGGGCGCGGGTGCGGGGGGAGGCACGCGGCCCCGCTCGGCCATGGCGGCCCCGGCCATGGGCGCCCGGGATCGGTCCCCTCGTCCACCCGCGTGCGTCCCAGCGCGGCCCCACGGAGGGGCCGGCCCGGCGAGCTCAGCCCACGGCGACAATAGCGACTACTTTTGAATGGGGCCCTCCTCGCGGCGTCAGCCCTCATTAACATGCGCCGCGGCCATTGGCCGAGCCCGTCCCATCTGCTCTCTGATAGGCTGAGAGGAGGTTTGATTTTTTTTTTTTTTTTCTTGCCGAGTGGCCCTGGGAGGCGCGCGGAGGCCCTGGGCAGGCGGAACCGGATCCCCCAGCTCCTGCTCCACTCTGGCCTCGCAGACCTTCCTTTCTGCCCCGCCCCAGCCCCACCAAACCTCCTGCCGCGGCCAGGCGCTTTCTCGGATCCAGCTGTGGCTGGCTGCCCCGGCCACCTCTCCAAGGGGCGGGGCCTGGCACCCTACAAAAAAACCTGTCTCCAGGTAGCCTCGTGGGGTAAGAATGGGGGGGGGCACCCCCTCCAAAGATCCCACTTTTCCCCTCTAGTTCCCTGGCCGCAAGCACAGGTGACCCTGCGGCCCCCTTCTCTTCCACCAGGAGGGCCCCAAGAGGATCGTAGGCTCCAGCCAGCTGGGCGCTTCCCACTCACAGAGGCCTTTCTGTCCCCACTGCTGCTGGCTCCTCCTCTGGTCCCTCGGGACAGTCTGGCCTGGCCTGCCTGCTGCAGAACAAAGCCACTTTCTCCTGTGTCCCCAGATCCCCATCTAGTGACCAGCTCCCTCTGCCTCTTGCTCTCCTCTCCTCCTTCCCCTGGCTGGACACCTCCTCCAGCTGCTCTCCTGGCTCCCGCAGCCCTGTCCCCCTGCCTCTGCTGTGTTTCCAGCTGGGATCTGGTCACTCTGTCTTCATTTGGTCTGTCCACATGGGAGGTGAGACCAGGCCTTAGCCTGGGTTCTAGCCCTGGGAGCCCATCTCAGGGCTGGCCAGTAGTACCCTCTAGGTTCCAGGGAGGTGTTCAGGGTGCAAACACCCTCCCCAGACAGGCCCCCAATCCGAGACTTGCCTTGGCCCTCTGCGGGTCTCCCACCCTCCCTCCTGGGCAGGCCTCAGCTGGCATACCTACCTGGGTCTCTGTCCTCAGGCCTGAGCCACTGGTGCCTGTGTCTCAAGCTGTAGAGGCATCTTCCCAGGCCAGGGAGTATCCTGGGTCCACTTCTCTTCTGGGTCACTCACTCTAAGTGGGACTCCTTCATCGTAGGGAATGCTGGAAGGACATAAGAAGCTCTGAGCCTGGAGCAGCCCATCAGAGCTTGGTCCTGTAAGCCAGCTTCCCCTTTAATGGCTGGTCTGCTCAAAAACCCAGCACGAGGCCGAGGCGGGAGGATCACTTGAGCTGGGGAGTTCAAGACCAGCCTGGGCAACATAAGGCAACCCTATTTCTACAAAAAGTTTAAAAAATTAGCCAGGCGTGGTGGTGCATGCCTGTGGTCCCAGGTATTTGGGAGGCTGAGGTGGGAGGATCCCTTGAACCCAAGAGGTTGAGGCTGCAGTGAGCTGTGATTGAGCCACTGCTCTCCATCCTGGGTGACAGAGCGAGATCTTGTCTCAAAAACAAAACAAAACAAAACAAACCAGCACAACACGCAAGCCCCCGCCCCCCCATCCCCACACCTACCCTGCTTCCAGCACACCCCTCACCGCCAGTGCCAGGCCTGGGGTCCCTGCACTCCCTCACTTCCAGGCCCCTGTGCCTGGTGGCTCTTCTACCAGGAAGGCCCTTCCCCTCTGCTCCAGGCTGACCGCACTACATCCTTCAGAACTCTGCTCTGGCCCCAGTCCCCTTCCCCCTGAAGCCTAGTTAGATAAAACACAGGGGACAGCTTTCTCCTGGCCCAGGGGGCCCTGGCTATTTGCAAGCAGGACAGGGCTCCTTCTAGGCCTGGCATTGGCCTGGCCCACAGTGGGTGCTCTGTGAATGGCACTGGGGAGCCGTATCCAGTGAAATCATATGGGAAACACCATCCTTGAGTGGGCACCAAGCCAGGCTGAGGCCTAAGGGATGGGGAAGGGCTGGGAACAGCTCAGTGGTATGGCAGGGGAGGCCAGTGTGGATGTGGAGTCGGTGGCCAGCAGTGAGCAAGGCTGCTGCAGCTCAGGACAGCGTGGCCAGCAGTGTCCAGGCCAGGCCAGCCATGGCCCCGCATGGAACTGAACCCACCGTGCAGATGAAACAAGGGCTTTTCATACCATCCAGAGCCTTGGGGGAGGCGGCCCCAGCTGGCCCTTGGTCTGTGGGCTTCTCTGTGGCCCCTGGCTGGGTATTGGAGGAAGGTATGAAAAAGACTGGAGGCCGGGCACGGTGGCTCACGCCTGTAATCCCAGCACTTTGGGAGGCCAAGGCGGGCGGATCACCTGAGGTCAGGAGTTCGAGACCAGCCTGACCAACATGGAGAAATCCCGTCTCTACTAAAAATACGAAATTAGCCGGGCATGGTGGCCCATGCCTGTAATCCCAGCTACTCGGGAGGCTGAGGCAGGAGAATAGCTTGAACCCCGGAGGTGGAGGTTGCGGTGAGCCAAGATCGCGCCATTGCACTCTAGCCTGGTCAAGAAGAGCAAAACTCCATCTCAAAAAAAAAAAAAAAAAAAGGCTGGGCACGGTGGCTCATGCCTGTAATCCCAGCACTTTGGGAGGCCAAGGCGGGAGGATCACGAGGTCTGGAGATCGAGACCATCCTGGCTAACATGGTGAAACCCCGTCTCTACTAAAAACACACACACACACAAAAAATGAGCCGGGCGTGGTGGCGGGCGTCTGTAGTCCCATCTATTCGGGAGGCTGAGGCAGGAGAATGGCGTGAATCCAGGAGGCGGAGCTTGCAGTGAGCCGAGATGGCACCACTGCACTCCAGCCTGGGCGACAGAGCGAGACTCCGTCTCAAAAAAAAAAAAAAAGACTGGAGGCTGTGCCTGGCTTTGGGCGTGGAGCTAAGATGTGGTCCTGTGTCCTTCCTGTCCTGAGCTCTGACCACTTCCTCCTTCACTCCACTTTCCGGCTGGCCTGATAGTTTCCCAATCCTTCAGGTTTTAGTGCTGTGTCACCCCTGGGGGTCCCATGCTGTCCCTGTACTTTTGGAGGCCCCATCTTAGCTGTAATTGTGTTCTCACTGTGTAAGCCTGGACCACTCTGGGCAGAGGTGGCAGGAAGACCGGCCCCTCTGTCCCCTGATGTATCCCCAGCAGTGGGCACCAAGTGAAGAACTGGCAACAGCCACCCAGCCCCTGAGCCTCCCAGGGCTCCCCGTCTGCACTCCTGGCCTCTGAGCCTTAGGGCCTTGCTCCCCTGGGCCTCTTGTGAAGACAACTGCCTGGCCACAAGGTGGTCCAGGAGGTTGCTGCCCACCTCAGCCTTGCCAGCACTCCCACCCATCCGTAGGCTCTGTCGGTCTGGGCAGGGTCGCTCCTCCCCTTCTGGTGCCGCAAGTGCCTCTGGCTGTACAAACCTTGATTTTCCAAATCTTCTATTACAGCCCAACCCACACCTTGAGGTGGGATTTGGAATCACCCTGACCTACAGGGCCAACAGTTCATGTCCTGACACCTGCCTCCAAGAGACATGTGCCTCCTCTGCTGCCCAGCCCTGCAGGGGTGATAAGGGTTCCCATGGACTCTGGCCTGGGGCGGGAAGCCTGCTCTGCTCACCGGATTCCGCGAGCCTCCCCTCCAACTCCAACGTTCACCTAAACGATGTTCAACCACCACAAACCACTGGAGCAGAACAGGCCATTCATTAATTCATTCATGCAGCAGGTACTCCCTGAACATTTGCTGTTGCCCAGTCACGGTGTGGGCTGGGGTTCAACACTCGTTTGTTCAATCAACAAACATTGATTGAGTGCCTACTGTGTGCTGCATTTACCTGAGGTGATGGGGGCAGACCACTGGCCTAAACAATGCCCTGCCTGGGCTGGGCACGGTGGCTCATGCCTGTAATCCCAACACTTTGGGAGGCCGAGGCGGGCAAATCATGGGGTCAGGAGTTCAAGACCAGCCTGGCCAACCATCGCTACTAAAAATACAAAAAATTAGCTGTGTGTGGTGGCGGGCGCCTGTAATCCCAGCTACTCAGGAGGCTGAGGCAGGAGAATCACTTGAACCCGGGAGGCGGAGGTTACAGTGAGCCGAGATTGCACCACTGCACTCCAGCCTGGGCGACAGAATGAGACACGGTCTCAAAACAAAAAACAAAACAAAACAAAAACAGCAACTCCCCGCCTTTGTGGGGTTCGCTTCTCACAGGGGAGTCAGGTAGCCAAGAATGCAGAAAGGCAGCCTGGCACGGAGGATGGGAAGGTGCTCACCGAGTGGGCGTGGCCTGGGGAGCTGAGGCCTGACCAAATGCGTCCCCAGCCACACGTTTCTCTGGGGACAAGCGGTCCAGGAGGGAGGAACAGGAAGTGCAGAGACCCTGAGGCAGGCCCGAAAAGCAACTCCATGCAGGTCCAGAAGAGTGCATGTGGGCCTTGCCCCAGGGGTGAAGCCCCCTCCCAAACTCAGTGAGGGCATGTGTGTGGAGGTGGGGGCAGAACCCAACTGCAAGGAAACACAACTGCCTGAGGGGTCCACGGGGCAGCATGAGGGAGATGTTAGTTTTCATTTTGGGTCCTAGATCACTGTCAGAGGTGTGTGAACCAGAGCAACTCCATCTTGAATGGGAGCTGGGTAAAATAAGGCTGGGGCCTACTGAGCTGCATTTCTGGATGGTTAAAGGATTCCAAGTCAGGATGACACAGGAGGTCGGCACAAGATACAGGTCACAAAGACCTTGCTGATAAAAGAGGTTCCGATAAAGAAGCCGGCCAAAACCCACCAAAACCAAGATGGCAACGACAGTGACCTCTGGTTGTCCTTGCCGCTACACTCCCACCAGCACCATGACGGTTTACAGATGCCACTGCAACGTCAGGAAGTTCCCCTATATGGTCTACAAAGGGGAGGGATGAATTATCCACTCCTTGTTTAGCATGTCATCCAAAAAAACATAACAATGGGCAACCAGCAGCCCTCAGGGCTGCTCTGTCTGTAGAGAAACCATTCTTTATTCCTTTACTTTCCTGATAACTTGCTTTTGCTTTACTGTATGGGCTTGCCCTGAATTCTTTCTTGCGCAAGATCCAAGAACCCTCTCTTGAGGTCTGGAACCTCTTTCCTGTAACAGCATGATTTGTTTTTCTTTTTCGGTTTGTTTGTTTGTTTTTTGAGACAGAGCTTCGCCCTTGTTGCCCAGGCTGGAGTGCAATGGCGCGATCTTGGCTCATGGCAACCTCCGCCTCCCAGGTTCAAGCGATTCTCCTGCCTCAGCCTCTGGAGTAGCTGGGATTATAAGCATGCAACACCATGCTTATATATTTATATTTATATTTAATATTTGTATCTATTTTTAGTAGAGACAGGGTTTCTCCATGTTAGTCAGGCTGGTCTCAAACCCCAGACCTCAGGTGATCCGCCCGCCTTGGCCTCCCAAAGTGCTGGGATTACAGAAGTGAGCCACTGCGCCCGGTTTTTTTTTTTTTTTTTTTTTTGAGACAGAGTTTCGCTCTGTCACCCAGGCTGGAGTGCAGTGGTGCGATCTTGGCTCACTGTAACCTCCGCCTCCCGGGTTCAAGTGATTCTCGTGCCTCATCCTCCCAAGTAGCTGGGACTACAGGTACACGCCACCACACCTGGCTGATTTTTGTATTTTTAGTGGAGACGGGGTTTCACCATGTTGCCCAAGCTGGTCTTGAACTCCTGGGCTCAAGCGATCATCCTGTCTCGGTATCCCAAGGTGTTAGGATTACAGGCATGAGCCACTGCACCTGGCCACCATTTGAATTCTTTTATGCAGTCACATATATTACTTTTAGACTTACTATATAGTTTCTAGGAGAAAGTTTTGTGCCCAACTGGCAGAAGCTACCCTTTCATATTTTTCACAAGCAAACTATTTTATTTTTATTTTTATTGAGAAGTCTCACTCTGTCTCCCAGGCTGGAGTGCAGCAGCAGGATCTCGGCTCACTGAAACCTCCGCCTCCTGAGTTCAAGGCCTCCTGCCTCAGCCTCCCGAGTAGCTGGGACTACAGGCGCCTGCCACCACACCCGGCTAATTTTTCTATTTTTATTAGAGACGGGGTTTCACCATGTTGGCCAGGCTGGTCTCGAATTCCTGACCCCACTTAGGACTCCCAAAGTGCTGGGATTACAGGCTTGAGCCACCGCGCCGACCACAAGCAAGATATTTTAAAACCTGATAGTAAAATAACAATGTGGGCGAGGGGCTGCAGAGCGCTCTGGTCACCAGGCAATGGGAAGCAGGAAGGGTGTGCGGGAGGGAGCCCCAAGCCGCGGGATGGCATCCCGGAACCTGGTCTGGTTCCAGCCTCCCAACAGCTCAGCCGTAGCCCAGGCCTCTTCAATGCACTCTGGCCGGTTGTCTCTGCACCAGGAGGTCTCCGTCCAAGTCTTGGTTAGCGCAAAGGTGGCCATGCCACTCTCAGGTTCAAAGCCCGTGCTGGGACAGAACCTAGCTTTCCCCTGCGGGGCGTCCCTGGGGCCTCTTCCTCCCTTAGCTCAATGGTCGATTCCTCTGCCCACGCCAGCTGGCGCGACCCAGAGGGTCCTGGGATCTCTCGGGGCGGGGCGCGGAGTGGACAGGGCGGGCATGGGCCCGGGGCCTGGAGAAGAGCAGGAACGGGGACGGGAGCTCGAGGGAGCAGGCCAGGGCCAGACACCGGAGCGGGTCCAGGGGACGGAGAGGGACGGGGGACAGGCTGGAGAGATGGGGCTGGGCCCTGTCTCGAGTCTCGGACCGGACGCGGGGGGGCTGGGGGGATGTAGACAGGGCGGGGTCAGAGAGAACCCGGACAGAGTCTGGGGTGCGCAGCGGGGGTGGGCGGGCTCCAGGGCAGGGCGCGGGACCGGGCGGGATGGGGCGGGGCGGGGCGGGGCGGGGCGGGGCGCCCGGGGCCCGCCCCACTGGGGGGTCTACACCGCCCGCCCGGTCTCGTGACGCTGGTCAGTGGCGCGGGTCACGAGTGCCGACTTGACAGACGGCAGCGGCGACATGGCTTCGGAGCAGGACGTGCGCGCCCGGCTGCAGCGCGCTGGCCAGGAGCACCTCCTGCGCTTCTGGGCCGAGCTGGCGCCGGAGCCACGAGCCGCGCTGCTGGCGGAGCTGGCGCTGCTGGAGCCCGAGGCGCTGCGCGAGCACTGCCGGCGGGCGGCGGAGGCCTGCGCGCGCCCCCACGGCCCGCCGCCCGACTTGGCCGCGCGCCTGCGGCCCCTGCCCCCAGAGCGCGTGGGCAGGGCCAGCCGCAGCGACCCCGAGACACGGCGGCGCTGGGAGGAGGAAGGTAAGCGGGGTGGGAGGCCCTGGGGGCCGGCAGGGGGTCGTGCCCACGGAGCGGGTGGGAACCGAGGCCGCGCTCGGGGAACTGTAGTTCTCCTCGCTACTTTGAGACGTGTCTCGCCTCACGCGTTCCGGCCCCCGAGTCCTGGCGCCCCAGCCCCAGAGTTGGTTTCCCCTAAAGCGGAAGGGTGGGCGGGTCCCGGGCGTCCCTTCACGGCGCCCGTACCCCCAGGTTTCCGTCAGATTTCTCTGAACAAGGTGGCCGTCCTGCTGCTGGCTGGGGGGCAGGGCACTCGCCTGGGCGTGACCTACCCCAAGGGTATGTACCGTGTGGGGCTGCCCAGCCGGAAGACCCTGTACCAGCTGCAGGCGGAGCGGATTCGGCGGGTGGAGCAGCTGGCCGGTGAGCGCCACGGGACCCGCTGCACCGTCCCCTGGTGTGTCCTGCCTGCCCTACCTCGGCCCGGAGGTACCCTTCCCCACGCCCCCCCACATCCCCGCTCCAGACGCGAGCCCCAACCCCGGCACAGACCGGGACATTGCCCAGAACCGGCCCAAAATGGGGCCTGGCCCCAGCCCCAACTGGACACTGGACCCCGAACCCCGATGCCGGCTCTGGTCCGAGCCCCGTCTGCCTGCAGGGCCAGGCGTACTCGCGGCCGGCTCACCGCGCCTCCCTTGCAGGTACGTCATGACCAGCGAGTTCACTCTGGGGCCCACGGCCGAGTTCTTCAGGGAGCACAACTTCTTCCACCTGGACCCCGCCAACGTGGTCATGTTTGAGCAGCGCCTGCTGCCTGCTGTGACCTTTGATGGCAAGGTTATCCTGGAGCGGAAAGACAAAGTTGCCATGGCCCCAGGTGTGGCCCGTTCCTGAGACGGGGAGGGACCGCCCAGACTAGAACTGGGAGCGTAGTTGGGGGTCCACGCGCCCGGGTTCGCGGCTGCCCCGAGGCTGTGTGGTCCTGGGTTAGGCGCCTCTTTTTCTGGGCCTTGATCGTCATTTGTCACATGGTACACCAACTGGGCTGTCTGGTTAGTGACCAGGGCTGCCTTAGGCACAAGGCCGGGGCTTCCCCCGCCTCCAGCACGTCCTAGACTCCCAGAGCGATCCCTGGCGGGAGCCCTCGCGATGCCCATTCCCTTCTCCGTCTGCAGACGGCAACGGGGGCCTCTACTGCGCGCTGGAGGACCACAAGATCCTGGAGGACATGGAGCGCCGGGGAGTGGAGTTTGTGCACGTGTACTGTGTGGACAACATCCTGGTGCGGCTGGCGGACCCTGTCTTCATCGGCTTCTGTGTGTTGCAGGGCGCAGACTGTGGCGCCAAGGTTAGCGCCCGACTGCGCGGCGCCCCGCACCCGAGGCTGGCCCCGCCCCTCACGGAGCCCCGCCCCTCCGCCCAGCCCTCGGAACCCATCCCTGGTCTTGGCTGCAGGTGGTGGAAAAGGCATACCCCGAGGAGCCCGTGGGCGTGGTGTGCCAGGTGGACGGTGTCCCCCAGGTGGTGGAGTACAGCGAGATCAGTCCTGAGACCGCACAGCTACGTGCCTCCGACGGGAGCCTGCTGTACAATGCAGGCAACATCTGCAACCACTTCTTCACCCGAGGCTTCCTTAAGGCGGTCACCAGGTGTGCGGCAGCAGGTGGCTGCGGATTGCCGGCCAGAGCCGCCTGCGTTGACCAGGGACCCGCGGGGTCCCAGTGAGCTGAGTGCCCTGGGCCACAGCGGCTGTGGTCAGGAGTGGCTGTGGTCAGGCACGGCTGATGGGTCGGGGTGGAGAATGGATCCTGAGCTTGCAAAGGCAGAGGTGCTGGAGATCAGGCACAAGCCGTGCTCAGCAGGCAGCTGCTGTAAGGCTCTGTGATCAAGTCTGCCATCTCCTCCTTCTGGGGACCTGCCCTGGTGCCCAGGGTGCTACCTCTGCTCTGGGGCTTGCCAGTTTGTTTGCCTGGGCAGGGATGTGGCTGATGGTGCCTGGCACTTGGCACAGGGATGCAGGGAGGAGGCCTGTGCCTGCTTCTCCCTGGAGATCTGGCCCTACTCTGCCGCTTCTGTGCCCTGTAGTGTCCTTCTGCCATCCTGTCCCACCCAGCTGGGTGTGCTCAGAAGTGGGGACAGAGCCCCCAGCGGTGCCATATCTGATCTGTTTCTTTCCTCCCCTCTGCTCTCCCGTGCCCCAGGGAGTTTGAGCCTTTGCTGAAGCCACACGTGGCTGTGAAGAAGGTCCCGTATGTGGATGAGGAGGGGAATCTGGTAAAGCCGCTAAAACCGAACGGGATAAAGATGGAGAAGTTTGTGTTTGATGTGTTCCGGTTTGCTAAGTTAGTAGTAGAACTCATTTATTTTCCCCTTCTTCCTTCTCTCAGTTTTGGTGGTGGGAACTGAGGCGCAGCTGGTAGGGAAGTAGAGGCTTGAGGGAGCCAAGGGCCCCGCGGGCAAGTCTCAGGGAGAAGACCAGAGGGTGCTCTTGGCCCTGAGGGTAAGCAGCCCCTGAGGTGGGGGCATAGGGAGTCCTTGGGGCTGTGGACTTGGGAGGACAGTAGTGCCACCTCCCGGACCTTCCACTGCCCCCACCCATGGTTAGGAGAGGTCTCCTGGCCAGGTTGCCAGGGCGGCTCGCAGGGCCTTTGGCCCTCACTGCAGGGGTCCCAGGGTTGGGCCTTCGGCTGCTGGAAATGGCTGCTGGGATTGGGCCATCCCTGGCGTCTCAGGAGCAAAAACACTCAGTACCTGCGGGGGCTCCTCCCTAGACTTGCTGCCCATGGGACCAGACCTTCACTCTGTCACTGGAAACCTGGCCCAGCTCTCACCTGCCCGGATCAGGGCCTCTGTGCTGGGACGTGGGTGACTAGCCCTTTCCCCACCAGGAACTTTGCTGCCTTGGAAGTGCTGCGGGAGGAGGAATTTTCCCCACTGAAGAACGCAGAGCCAGCCGACAGGGACAGTCCCCGCACCGCTCGCCAGGCCCTGCTCACCCAGCACTACCGGTGGGCTCTGCGGGCCGGGGCCCGCTTCCTGGATGCCCATGGGGCCTGGCTCCCAGAGCTGCCCAGGTGAGTGTGGCCCTGGGGTAGCTACAGCCAGAAGGGGAGGGCTGTCAGGACCCAATCTTCAGCTCCAGAGCCCTGTTGGCTCTGCGACAGCCATGCTGGGGAGGGGTCTTCCTTCCCGGCACCACCGCAGGTGCAGGTAGCCTTGTGCCCAGCCAGCTCCAGGTCACACGGTGACTGTCGGCACAGCCTCCTGGCCCGACCCTTCAAGTTGTGCTCAGTGCACTGAGGGAGGCAGGGGCTCCCCAACTCCCTCCCCAACTTATCCACAAGGTTTTGGTTTGTTTACAAAGGCATACTTAGATTTGGCTTTTATTTATTTATTTTTATTTTTATTTACTTTTTTGAGATGGAGTCTCGCTCTGTCGCCCAGGCTGTAGTGCAGTGGTGGGATCTCGGCTCGCTGCAAGCTCCACCCTCCCCCGGTTTCCGCCATTCTCCTGCCTCAGCCTCCTGAGTAGCTGGGACTACAGGCGCCCGCCACCACGCCCGGCTCATTTTTTTGTATTTTTTTTTTTTTTTAGTAGAGACAGGGTTTCACCGTGTTAGCCAGGATGGTCTCAAACTCCTGACCTGTGATCTGCCCGCCTCGGCCTCGCAAAGTGCTGGGATTACAGGCGTGAGCCACCTCACCCGGCTATTTTTTTATTTTTATTTTTCTTATTTGTATACATTTGTGGGGTGTGTGTGCAACTTTGGTCAGTCAGGTCAGGGCTTTTAGGGGATCCATCACCCAACCAACGTTGTTCCCATTTATTCACAGGCTTTGAAACTGAGCCCCGGGCATGAATTTAGAAAGTAGCAGGACAGTTTGATTTCAGGGCTGGGAAAGAAAAGGACGTTTGGCTTCCATCTCCCTGATTTTCTAGGGCCACCCCTAAATCTAGCTGCCTAGGCTCTGCGTGGGAGGCCTGTGGGGGTGCTTTCTACCCCAAATCAGGTCCTGTCACTTGGCAGTGGGATGTGTGCTCAGGGTTTGGGGTGTCCAGAGGAAGATGAGCTTGCTGAGACAGGAGCTGTGGGGAGCCAGGTGTGTAGAGCTCAGTCTCCTATCGGGACTGGGGGTGCTGGGGGAGGGCTCTGGGCAGGTGCTGCAAGGAGATATTGACAAGTGGACTTTCCCTAGCTTGCCCCCAAATGGAGACCCTCCGGCCATCTGTGAGATATCGCCCTTGGTGTCTTACTCTGGAGAGGTGAGAGCTGCCCATCCCTATCTGGGGCTTTTCTGGTGTCAGGTTTGGAATACCATCTGGGGAGAGGTGGCTGCTCGGGTGGAGACGGCACAGCTCTACCTCGGTTAACCAATGGGGTCGGTGGTTTAAATTTGCAGAAGACTTTCCAAGATATGGGTTGGGGTGGGGTGAGGCATCCAGAGGCCTTTGCAGGTCCTGGGAGGGCATGGGGATGAGACAGCCCAGGTCTGAGCCCAGTGTGGGGCCAGTCAGGCCTTGGTGGGGGCCTTGCGGAGGGAGGACACCGGCCTCTGCTACCTCCCTGACCTCGGCTGCCCTTGCCCCTTTCTCTGGTCAGGTCAGACCTGTGCGTGACAGGAGGGTCCCCTGCTGGCCTAGGGTCTTGAGTGTGGTCTTGGGTGGCCTTGCAGTGTGTGTCTGCTCCTGGCCCTGGAAGCCTTTCTGTCCCCACCCCTCCCTGACTCCAGGCAGACCTGGGATCGCACCTGGGGACTGTGGCTCTTGGTGTGGCCAGAGGGGCTGTGACCCGCCAAAAGGTGGGTACTTGGCCATTGTCCCCTGCTCGTCTCCAGGGTTTAGAAGTGTACCTGCAAGGCCGGGAGTTCCAGTCCCCGCTCATCCTGGATGAAGACCAGGCCAGGGAGCCGCAGCTGCAGGAGTCCTGACCCGCCCAGACTGTCCCCAGACTCCCCCGAGACCTGCCAGCCCCGGCATCCTGGAAGTCCCGACTCCCCCCAGACCTGCCAGCCCCGGCGTCCTGGAGCTGGGGGCTACAGCCCAGCCTGAGCTCTGGGTGGGAAAGCAGCCTGCCCCATGCTTCCAGCCTGCAGAACACAGAATGAAACATGCTGGTAGACTCCACGAGGGCAGGGCCTCTCCTGTCGCCTCTGGACACAAGTGGCGACAGCCTGCTGGGGGCTCTGTGGCTCCATTCCTGGCTGTGGGGTCTAGTCAAGAGGCAGAGGGACTTGGGACCTGGGAGAATGGGGCTGAGAGGAGGCTTCGGGTTGGGGCCCAAGGGAGGTGTGGTGTCATCTGGGGAGAACAGGAGGGCATGTCCCTTTGGGAGCCCGCCTTGTGGATCCACCACACCCCACCGAGCACTAGAAGCTGCATAAGCTACACAGGATGTGCTTCTGCAGCCTACAGATGCAGAACCAGAATGAGGGGGACAATTCCACCCACTCGAGGGCTGCCCCCTCTTCCTTAGCAGACGAACCAGTAATGGGGGCAAGGCTGGGGCATCCCAGCCCACACACCCTGGATGCCCAGCAAGGCCACAGAAAGAGCCTGATGTCCATGATCCAGGTGGCTCTGAGAAGCTTGGCCTGGACACCTGAGCCTGCGGCCGGTACTCCTGCCTTCTCCCCATCTATCCCCAAGGCCTCTGCCTCTCAGCCTCTTCCATGGTCGGTTTAGGCTGCTGAGTTTTCTGTGCTTCCCCAAGAACCAGTGGGATCAATGCCGGCGGCCTCTGTGATGGTTGCTGACTAATCCGGGATTTCATGAGTCAGAGGCACCACCCCTCACCCCAGCTGCCTGCTGCTTCTGACGGATCTTGGTGCTCAGGCTGCCTGGCTCTCCGAGTGAGGACGCAGCCTCCATATTTGGTGCACTCAGGCATGGCTGGGACAAGCCAGCTGCCCCAGGGTTCTTCCCCTGGTGATTCTCGCCTGCTTTCTCATCTCAGGGGAGGCAGTGGCACCTCCCTCTCCCTGCTGACATGAAGAGAGCTATGATATGCCACTGCTGCCAACTCATCCTCTGCCCCCACCTCGAAACCCACAGTCCCCAGTGGAGGGCCACTACTCATCCCCATTGGTTTCCCAGGGGAGGGGTGTTGTCTGGAAGGGCAGGTTCAGATGCAGCCTTCCAGATTTAGAGGCACTGGGAGGACAGTGGCTGAGTGGAGGCGCCCAGACCTGGGCAGGCAGCAGGCTCAGGCCCACACCTTGTGATTTTTGAAACCAAAGCCCAGAAGATGATGTTTACTTCTCTCTCCCTGGCTCTGCCCTTCTTACTGCAAACCATGCTGTGCCTTAGGGCCCTTCTCATAGCTGTTCCTCATGGCCATGACTGGAACAGGGATGCAACCTCTTTCTACACAAGCACAGTTAGTTGGGTGAAGTCTTTTTTTTTGTTTGTTTTAGACGGAGTTTCACTCTTGTTGCCCAGGCTGGAGTGAAGTGGCGTGACCTTGGCTCACTGCAACCTCCAGGCCAGCCTCAGCCTCCCTAGTAGCTGGGACTACAGGCACCCACTACCACGCCTGGCTAATTCTTTGTATTTTTAGTAGAGATGGGGTTTGACCGTGTTAGCCAGGATGGTCTCGATCTCCTGACCTCGTGATCCACCCACCTCGGCCTCCCAAAGTGCTGGGATTATAGGTGTGAGCCACCGCGCCGGGCCGGTTGCTGGCATCTTAATGTTCTGTAGGTGGAATATTTCCAATAAACACAAGGTGCCGTAATTGACTGCTACTCTGGCAAGTGCAGTTTTTGGGCAGTGCACGGGTGTTGGGAACAAGGATCAGGTGTTCACAGCTGTGTCCCAGGGCTGGAGCTCACTGGGGGCCCCCTTAGGGACAGGAGTTCACACATGAAGGCCAAGACTACTTGGGGTGCCAAGGAATCCCCCCGCGGTCCCATCCCACTCTTCACCAGGGTCTCAGGAGGGCCTGAGACAACCTGCGGTCAGGAACCTCGGGGCGCTCTCCAGGGCAGGCTTCTGCATGCTCAGCTCTGACAGCCTGGAGACTCGCTCTCCTGCACCTGCATCCTTGAGATGCCAAGGTTTCCCTGCTAACCACGTGAGGATGCTTGGGGTACTCCAGGGACTGACAAGAGTGAGTGGTGTCAACCTAAAGAGAAACTCAGGCTCTCCAGAATAAATGAATTTAATCAAGAATAACACATAATTGCAATGCAGAGTATGCAAGCCTCAGTGGGTCACAGGCATGTGGTGGGGGGGTGGGGTGGGGATTGAGGAAAGGGGGAATTTTTTTTTTTTGAGACTGGATCTCACTCTGTTGCCCAGGCTGGAGTGCAGTGGTGCAATCATGGCTCACTGCAGCCTCGACCTCCTGGGGCTTAGGTGGTCTTCCCACCTCAGCCTCCAGAGTAGCTGGGACCACAGGTGCACACCACCACACTGGACTCATTTTTTTATTTTTTGTAGAGACAGGGGTTTCACCATGTTGCCCAGGTTGGACTCCTGAGCTCAGGGGATCTGCCCACCTTGGCCTCCAAAAGTGCTGGGATTACTACAGGCATGAGTCACTGTGCCCCGCCCACGGGAAATTTCTTTTTTTTTTTTTTTTTTTTTTTTGAGACAGAGTCTTGCTCTGTTGCCCAGGCTGGAGTGCAGTGGTGCCATCTCGGCTCACTGCAACCTCCACCTCCTGGGTTCAAGGAATTCTCCTGCCTAAGCCTCCCGTGTAGCTGGGACTACAGGTGCCTGCCACCAACCATGCCCTGCTAATTTTTTTGTGTTTTTTGTAGAGACGGGTGTCTCACCATGTTGGCCAGGCTAGTCTTGAACTCCTGACCTCAAGTGATCCACCTGCCTCGGCCTCCCAAAGTCCTGGGATTACAGAAGCCACCGCGCCTGGCCCCAAGGGGAATCTTTTAAAAAAGAGAAGTTCCCATAAACTGCTTTGAAACCATAAAGACCAAAGGTTAGAAGGGTTTGCCGCAGGCGCTCCGTTGCTAATGTTTTTGTGAGGGCTTCTTCAGGGCCTCTTGTTAGAGTGTGACATAAACGACTTCATTTGGGTACCAGCAAGTGTCACAGGGGGCAGAGACCAGCAGAAACCTAAAGATGACCCCTAGAAGAGCAGGAGGCCAGGGGAACAGAGTTAGACGAGCCACGTGCTAAGCAGGACGTCGCTGCCGGGGGAGCTCTCCAGACACGCAGAAATGCCACAGTCAGGACCGTGGGACGCAGCGGATTCGCCCAAGGGCAGGAGCAGCCTGGCCAGGAGAGAATGAAGGAGGGGCCGGGCGTGAGGTTCGGCTGGGGAGAACCCAGGCAGGGAGGGCCTCGGGCGGCCACGGACGCCGCTTTGCCATTTTGGGCGTTTCTGGGGAGGACAACGCGTGCAGGAAGCGCAGTCATCTCAAGCTGACCTCCAAGGTTACCGAGTTCGAGGGCTGGGAGCCGGGTCTGAAAGCCCCGACCCGCCTATGGCGCGGGGACTGTGGGTCCAGCCGGCCGATTGGCCGCCTCGCTCGGCGCCGGTCCAGGCGCAGCGCTCGGGCCCCGGGGACCGTGAGATGCGGCGCAGCCAGCTTAGCTCGGGGTAGCAGCCACCCCAGCCCGGGTGCCGCCCGGCCTGGTCCGCGACTTCGGGAGGGTCCGGTCCTTCCCCCGGCCCCCACGCCTGGGTGAGGCCCTGGGCTTCTTGCCGGTGACCACGCGGCCAGGGTGGGCACCAGCCCAGGACGGCGCCCAAGGGCAGCCCAGCTCCATCCCCGCGCCGCGGGTTCCGGAACCGAGGCGCGGGACGCTGGGACTCTCTGCCAACATGGCGGCCCCGCCCGGGCGCCTCCCCGGGTCCCTAGTGTCTGCGTCTCCCGTGAGGGCGTGGGCAAAGTCGGTGCAGCCAGACGACAGGAGGCGAGAGAAGCCCAGCTCCAGGCCCATGAGGCGAACCACGTGGGAGCCCCAGACAGCGACCACGCCCCAGGCGAACCAAGGCCCGCCCCGTTGCTACAGCTACGCTCGTAGCACACCTGGGCAGGCGCTGCCGGACGCATGCGCAATGAACCTGAGGGCAGGGCGGAGTCGCAGCAGTTGTCTGACGCAGTCGCCGTAGGACGCAGCCCCGTACGCTGGAGCGCAGCGGAGACAGGCGCGGGCGCACTGGCCGCATAGAGACGCAGCGCACGCGCAGTCGCGTATCCGTGTGATGGGCGGGCTGTTGACGGCGCTGCGATGGCTGCCTGCGAGGGCAGGAGAAGCGGAGCTCTCGGTTCCTCTCAGTCGGACTTCCTGACGCCGCCAGTGGGCGGGGCCCCTTGGGCCGTCGCCACCACTGTAGTCATGTACCCACCGCCGCCGCCGCCGCCTCATCGGGACTTCATCTCGGTGACGCTGAGCTTTGGCGAGAACTATGACAACAGCAAGAGTTGGCGGCGGCGCTCGTGCTGGAGGGTGAGGGTCGCGCCGGGCTGACTGGGGCCCGGGGCTGCCGTGCCCGCCGCCCTCCCAGACTGCGGCTCCGAGCGGGACCTGGGCGGGCGGACTCGACTCCCCAGGCGCCGCCCTCTCCACCCCTTCCCCGCAAAAAGGGGCAAATGTGCGTTCCTGGTTGGGGCAGCCGTGGGCGGCTCGCCTGCAGCGGTCTCAGCGGCCCAAATTCTGCGGGGCGGTGGTGGGAAGAGGGCTCAGAGCCCCAGCAGGTTTTCTGGGCTTCGTTCGCTTTTCTGCAAGGTCCTGGCCCAGGCGCCTGCCCCTCTTGGAGCGGAAACCGGAGGTTCCCCGTGGTGTATGCTCCCCTCGGTACAGTGAGAAATGAGCCCCTCTTGATTGGCTCCTGGTCTGTTCGTGGTGGTCTCAGGCCGAAGGGCATTGATAACCACATGCGGACTGTGCATCGCCTGGGCGGTGCCTGGGCTACATCTGTGGGAGTCGCAGGAGTCTTTCTCCACTGTTGATGAAATGTGACAGAAATGTTTCTGCTTTTTTCTTATCCTCGTCTCATCTGCACCACTGTATTAACGACATCTGTAGTATTGTCCCAGCAATGTTCCTACTCCCTGCTGAGAGGGAACTTCTCCCCATTCAAAATAAATAGAGCTGGCCGGGCACGGTGGCTCATCCCGCGTTCCACCCACTACACTCCAGCCTAGGTGTAACAGAATGAGACCCTGTTTCCAAAAAAAAAAAGAAATAGAGCTGAACACTGGATCTTCCAGAAGAATTCCTTATTGTCCTCACAGTTTGTGACAGTTGAGACGTTCCGTGTGATATATTCAGTAAGAAATGTCATTCTCTGTACCTCCCTTAGAAATGGAAGCAACTGTCGAGATTGCAGCGGAATATGATTCTCTTCCTCCTTGCCTTTCTGCTTTTCTGTGGACTCCTCTTCTACATCAACTTGGCTGACCATTGGAAAGGTATCAGAAACACGTGTACTTGAAAACGATATCTGTGTTGAGGGTTGATTGGGCAGAAGCAATCTTGCATTCTACCTTAAACAGCTCCAGGAGGCATATATGGCAACGAATTGGCAAGAAATCAAGATAAAGAGAAAGGTAGAGCTGTATGTAACCACCTGGCTAGAACACAGATGTTAATTTGATGCTGTCTGACTACTTTCTAGGTCTCTGGTGTAAGTACTGATATGTCCAGCCTCCCTTATAGAGTAAGTCAGCTGGTGGGCTTGAACACTCAGCCTAAATAACCACACAAATTTCGTAGCACTCATTAGCGTGTGTTTGGAAAAGACCAGGCAGAGTTCTGGTGAGGATGTGGAGAATCTCTTCTCACTTGGTCTAAGATGCTTCTCTTTGGAGCAAAGCTAAAGGGCTCCTGCCCACCTGCCACATGCTGAACGTCCCTGAATGGAAAATAGGAAGGCAAAAGATGTGGGGTTCTGTGTTATGGACAAGGACACAAACTGCCAAGTGTTTTGAAAAAGATTTCATTCCCTTGGGACATTGTTGAATTCATTTCAGTGACTATCAGGTATCATAATGTTGATTTGTAATGGATAGTGCCTGCCAAGTGTTTTTATAAAGCAGTTTAAATCTCTTGTAGGCCTTGTGGCATATTTGAAATAAAATAGCTTCTGTTATTCAGCTCTGGCTTTCAGGCTAGAGGAAGAGCAGAAGATGAGGCCAGAAATTGCTGGGTTAAAACCAGCAAATCCACCCGTCTTACCAGCTCCTCAGAAGGCGGACACCGACCCTGAGAACTTACCTGAGATTTCGTCACAGGTACTTTGAGCAAATGGTGTGGGGTTATAACTGGGGTTCAATCCAGAGGCATTTCAAACCACTGAAGATTGAGAAGAATTATTTTCCTTTACCATTTATTACCACGTGTTTACCTCTCTCTCGTTTTGGACTGGTCGGATAATACTTGGGGAAAGAGAGGCGTAGTCTTTGCTTCATTCTTTTTGAAGACCAGCCATGGCCAGTTCCGGTTTTACTTCTGACTGTGCAGTGTTGAATAAGACAGACCTGTTTCCTCTCAAGAGGCCACAGCTGGTAGGAGAGGCTGGTGAGAAGCCAGGCACAGATGGGCAGAGGCAGATGGCACATGGTGTACATCCTATGTGGAAAAGAGCAGGGCGCTGGTGAAGAACAGTGGCTGGTCCTGAGGGTTCAGGGGAGGCCGTGGCACTGAGGGCAAGATCTGAGGGCTGAGAAGCTGCTGGCACCGGGCAAGGTGGGGAGAGGCAGACTTGAGCCTGAGTGAAACTGCCTGAGGCAAGGAGGACCTTGGCATATGCGGGAAGGTGAAATTCCCAGGGCTGGGAGAGGGAGCAGGGGTTGGCTCAGTCCAGCTGTGGTCCTGCAGGTCCTGGAGGCAGCATGGAGGGTCCAGTTGATGTATGCGGGAAGATTTTGGCGTGGACTGGAGGTCTGAGATGTTTACTGTGAAACTGCTCTGGCTGGGTGGAGACACAGTGGAGGGCAGGAGGCCAGGAGAGCTGCCTGGCCGTGGGAAAAGCTGAGTGGGGGGAGGAGTGCTCCGCAGGAGTGGGCCTTGGGAGAAGGAGGGTGAGTCCCCGGGTGGAGGGGCCAGCAAAGGCTGTGCAGGCTCTGGCTTGGGGACACTGAGGAGCTCCGTTTTGGATCTGCCCACTGTGAGATGTCTGGGAGGCGCCATGGAGACCTTGGTGGGCAGGTGGTGCCAGGATCAGAGTCTGCCAGGGGAGACAGGTTTTAGGAGTCCCTAGGTATAGGTGGTTTGTGTCCTCTGGAAACGTTGGAAGAAGGGGCCAGGCCTAGTCCTGGGCACCACCAGGCTGAGAAGATTGGGGTCAGGGAGGAGGGCAGGGGGAGTGGAGACTGGGGATGGGTCAGGAGGCAGCTGGAGAACCAGGAAAACGTCCTGTCAGTGAAGGTTTGGTTCAGGAAGAACAGCCAAATCCCCGACACCGTTGAGAACACCAGGGTGGTGCTGACTCTGGTGTGGCTGCTCGGAACCCTTAGAAGGCCCTTAGGGTGTTAGTTACTGTTGTTGGTACATCTGTGATTGTGTCTAGCAGGTGTGGGAGTGCCTTGGGAGCTTCACCTGTGGCCAGAGTCCTCAGCGCCAGGTGGACTTCCCTGCAGGGCTGTGACAGGGACAGACAGCGCTTTCTAACAGTGGCCTTGGGAGTGGTAACCTGCCGAGGAACAGCTCCTGGGCTGGGGAGCTGGAGGCAGGCTGCTGCCCACTGGCTAAGGATCTCAGCAAGAGGGGCATTGGGGCATTGGCCCCCATGAGCTTGGGCCACCCTCAGACTGCCGTGGGGGTGTTTTGATTTTTTTTTTTTTCGAGGCGGAATCTCACTCTGTCGCCCAGGCTGGAGTGCAGTGGTGTGATCTCAGCTCACTGCAACCTCCGCCTCCCGGGTTCAAGTGATTCTCCTGCCTCAGCTTCCCGAGTAGCTGGGATTACAGGCGCCCGACACCACGCACAGCTAACGTTTGTATTTTTAATAGAGACGTGTTTCACTATGTTGGTCAGGCTGGTCTCGAACTCCTGACCTCTTGATCTGCCCACCTCAGCCCCCCAAAGTGCTGGGATTACAGACATGAGCCACCATGCCCGGCCCTTTGATTTCTTTAACAAGAAAATGTGTCCTTTTAAAATTTCTATAAGCTCAATAGAGAGGGGATGGACAGTACCAAAAAGCAGAAGGAAGCAAACCCACATTCTCCTTTCAAAGGCAGCATTCCTGTCGCTGAGCAGCTTCTCCAAGGGTGGTCTAGCCGGGCAGAGGGTGTAGGGTGGGAATTGGCCCCTAGAAGGTGCCGTGCCTGATGGGAGAGTCCTGCTCTTGATTGGCCATGGGGCCACTGCTCCACACTCTTCGGTGTGAGGATTTCTGCCTTTGACCAAGGTCTTTGTCTACAAATTGAATTTTCCTGACTGGAAAGCCGACAGGTGCTTCCTTTCCTTCTTTGGTCCTTCGTCTCCTTTGCATATGGAGTATCGTAACTGCCTGAGAGCAGACTGTGGTATTTTTTCCATTGAAAGATGTGTTTCCACCACTCACAAGTGACCCATAAGCCAGCACCTAGTGTCCAGGAGCAGCTGGGGTGGTGGATGGTGAATATTTCTGTCTTTCTCAAGCATTGACTTGGAGACATCCTGCCCTCCAGGGATCACTTGCACTGCCTCTCCTGTTCAGACCCTGGCACTTGTCTAGACCTGGTTAGGGATGAGGCTGTGTTTAGGCCAGATCCCTTTCTGTTAACGTTTTACTTTGGTTGAGTTCAAATTTTTTTGTTTTATATTTTTTTTTTTTTTTTTTTTTTTGAGACAGAGTCTTCCTCTGTTTCCCAGGCTGCAGTGCAGTAGCGCAATCTCAGGTCACTGCAAGCTCCACCTCCCGGGTTCATGCCATTCTCCTGCCTTGGCCTCCTGAGTAGCTAGGACTACAGGTGCCCGCCACCACGCCCGGCTAATTTTTTGTATTTTTAGTAGAGACGGGGTTTCACCGTGTTAGCCAGGATGGTCTTGATCACCTGACCTCGTGATCTGCCCGCCTCAGCCTCCCAAAGTGCTGGGATTACAGGCGTGAGCCACCACGCCCGGCCTTAAAATTATTTAATAGAGATGAGGTCTCACTATGTTGCCCAGACTGGTCTCCAACTCCTGAGCTGAAGTGATCCTCCTGCCTCAGTCTCCTGAAATGCTGGGATCACAGGCATAAGACACCACACCTGTCTGATTTCAAATGTTATAGGGGCTTAGGAGAGAAAATGGGAACATTGAGAAGGTATAAAGGGGAATACACAGCCACACATTACCCCTGTTCCCAGTCCAACTCTTGAAACACTTGGTATATGTCTTTCAATTTATGTGGCTGGGTATGGTGGCTCACACCTGTAATCCCAGCACTTTCAGAGGCCAAGGCAGGCAGATTGCTTACGCCCAGTCTGGGTAACACGGTGAGACCACCATCTCTACCAAAAAAAAAAAAAATTAGCCAGGCACGACATGCCTATAGTCCCAGCTACCTGGGAGGCTGAGGTGGGAGGATCGCTTAAGCCAGGGAGGTTGAGGCTACAGTGAGCTATGATCCAGCCTGGATGACAGGGAGACCCTGTCTCAAAAAATAATAATAATAATTTTATTTGGATAAACACATGTATACATCATTGAGGGTTAGGGGCTGGATTGGTATTTGGATACACACGTGTGTACGTAATTGAGGGTTAGGGGCTGGATTGGTCCCTGTTTCTTTTTTTATGCACATGAGAATATTCCCTTTCATACAGATTTTTATAGCTCTTCTCCATTGCTTGGATAAACCATCATTTTCTAAATCATTTATCTGTTGATTCTTTCTTCATTTGTAAATGTCCCCATTACATCCGTTGTACGTAAACTATTAAGAGTTAAAGGTTGTGAAGATTTTGATGTCCTATGACGTGTATCATGACAAACTATTCCCGAATTTGCTTCCCCTGCTACGGTGCTGAGAGTAGCAGTCAGTGGTGCCATGGCAGCACTGGGCATTCTCGTGTCGGCAATGTTTCCAATGCAACAGTCAGAAACTGGCGCCTGCTTTTCGTGGATGCTTGTGTGTCTTGCCTAGAAGCAGGGACACTTACAGGAGGGGAGAGGTGATGAACGGCCCTATGTGCTCCCATCCCGGAAGCTGTCCGTGTCCTTTGATGAGTCTTAGGACTTTTATATTTTCCTTTATTATTGGTATTCCCTTTATTATTAGTATGACTGTTGTGAGTTAGAATATTTCATCCTTTACCAAGTATGCTTCTTATGACTTCATCCGGCTTAGAAATTAGTTTTAGAGAACTTTGCTATATAGTAGCAGTAATCAATTAGAAAATGTTATTGAAAAGAGATCTCAGGAGGTTGCAGTGGCTCACACCTGTAGTCCCAGCACTTTGGGAGGCCGAGGCAGGCGGATCACTTGAGGTTTGAGGTCAGGAGTTTGAGACCAGCCTGGCCAACATGGTGAAACCCCATCTCTACTAAAAATACACAAATTAGCCAGGCGTGGTGGTGCGCACCTGTAATCCCAGCTACTCAGCAGGCTGAGGCCTGAACTGGGAGGTGGAGGCTGCAGCAAGCGGAGTTCGCACCACTGCATTCCAGCCTGGGTGATAGTGAGACTCAGTCTCGAAAAAGAAAAGAAAAGTGATCTCCATCACAATCACAAGAAAAGAATGCCACCAAGTCCGTAGGAGTAATCCTGATACTAAAATATATAAAGTCAGTATAAATAAAAGTACAACACTCAAGGTATTTGAAAAGACCTAAATAAGTAGACATTTTATTCTTCTGCTGTGAAGATTTAAGCAGTGGCTCACGCCTGTAATCCCAACACTTTGGGAGGCTGAAGCGGGTGGATCACAAGGTCAGGAGATTGAGACCATCCTGGCTAACACAGTGAAACCCCGTCTCTACTAAAAATACAAAAACAAAATTAGCCGGGCGTGGTGGCAGGCACCTATAGTCCCAGCTACTCGGGAGGCTGAGGCAGGAGAATGGCGTGAACCTGGGAGGCGGAGGTTGCAGTGAGCCGAGATCGCGCCACTGCACTCCAGCCTGGGCGACAGAGCAAGACTCTGTCTCAAAAAAAAGAGAAAAGATTTAAGTTCTCCCTAAATTCATCTGTAAATCCATTGACTCCCTATCAAAATTCCAACCTCTGTTTTTAAAGATGATTTTAAAATTCATATGGAAAGAAAATTTGGGAGTAAAACTCAGATGAACTTCCCTACAAGATCATAAAACTGTGATCATTGAACCCATGGTGATTTTTTTTTTTTTTGAGACAGAGTCTCACTCTGTTGCCCAGGCTGGAGTGCAGTGGCACAATCTCCACTCACTGCAACCTCCACGTCTCGGGTTCAAGTGATTCTCCTGCCTCAGCCTCCCAAGTAGCTGGGATTACAGGGATGTGCCACCACGCCCGGCTAACTTTTTGATTTTTTGTAGAGGTGGGGTCTCACTTTGTTACCCAGGCTGGTCTGGAACTCCTGGGCTCAGGTGATCCTCCTGCCTCGGCCTCCCAAAGTGCTAGGATTACAGATGTGAGCCACTGCACCTGACCCTCGTAACGGTGATTTTTAAGACTAGGTGATCTTAGTGACATAATTCTAATAGTTTGTTCCGACCTTCCACTGTGGACTCAATAGCAGGGAGATGAAGAGGACAGTGATTGCATGACCTGGTGGAGAAGAGACTAGAGAAACACAGTGGAACTAGTGGCTCACATCTGTCATCCCAGCACTTTGAGAGGCCGAGGCAGGCAGATTGCTTGAATGCAGGAGTTCGAGACCAGCCTGAGCAACATAGTGAGACCCCATCTCTATTAAAAAAAAAAACAGGCTGGGGCCAGGCATAGTGGCTCATGCCTGTAATCCCAGCGCTTTGGGAGGCTGAGACGGGTGGATTGCTTGAGACCAGGAGTTCAAAACCAGCCTGGCCAACATGGTGAAATCCTGTCTCTACTAACAATACAAAAAATTAACCTGGAGTGGTGGCGGGCGCCTGTAATCCCAGCTACTCAGGAGTCTGAGGCAGGAGAATCACTTGAACCCAGGAGGCAGAGGTTGCAGTGAGCCAAGATCACGCCACTGCACTCCTGCCTGGGCAACAAGAGTAAAACTCTGTCTCAAAAAACAAACAAACAAAAAAAACAGGCTGGGCATGGTGGCTCATGCCTGTAATCCCAGCACTTTGGGAGGCTGAGGTGGGTAGATCACCTGAGGTCAGGAGTTCGAGACCAGCCTGGCAAACATGGTAAAACCCCATTTCTACTAAAGATACAAAAATTAGCCAGGTGTGGTGACACGCGCCTGTAATCCCAGCTACTTGGGAGGCTGAGGCAGGAGAATCGTTTGAACCCAGGAGGTGGAGGTTGCAGTGAGCCAAGATTGCACCATTGCACTCCGGCCTGGGTGACAAAACAAGACTCTGACTGGGATTACAGGCGTGCGCCACCACGCCTGGCTAATTGTTCGTAATTTTAGTAGAGATGGTGTTTCACCATGTTGCCCAGGTTGGTCTTGAACTCCTGACCTCAGGTGATCCACCTGCCTCCCAAAGTGCTGGGATTACAGACGTGAGCCACCGTGCCCAGCCATAAGTAAGCATTCTTTCCTTTTTTAAAAAAAAAAAAAGTGGAGCAATCTAAATATCCATCAGTAAAGAAGTACAAAATTATGGCTTGTGCCGGGCATGTTGGCTGCAACCTGTCATCCCAGCACTTTGGGAAGCCAAGGCAGGAGGAATTCGTGAGGCCAGGAGTTTAAGACCAGCCTGGGCAACATAAGGAGACCCTGTCTCTATAGTAATAATAATAATAAAAATTAAGGTTTGGTAATACCACAGAAAACTGAGGCCATAGGAGAGAATGGATTTGCCTCTAGACTCACGTAGGAGGACCTAAGCCTCAGTCCGTG
Source organism: Homo sapiens (assembly GCF_000001405.40). Classification (NCBI taxonomy): domain Eukaryota; kingdom Metazoa; phylum Chordata; class Mammalia; order Primates; family Hominidae; genus Homo; species Homo sapiens. Next base: position 137,095,669 of record NC_000009.12, read on the forward strand.
ACACGGTCTGCAGCTTTCCCACGCTCCTGTTCACGTGGGGAAGGGAGCAGAGGACGGGGCTCTGTGCCTGCAGGTGTGGAAACAGGGAACAGGGTGGTGGGGGCTGGCTAGAAGGCCCGCATCACACAGCAGGGGGCGCCTGGCAAGGGGAACCCAGCTCCATATGTCATCGGAAGCTTTGTGCTTTGTAGTGAGGATGTGGGTGCCTGCCTCACTTTGCAGATGACTGTGCGGGAGGCCTGGGGACCCAGAGGTGTTGCTGGAGCTGGTGTTTACTGCAGCCCTTTGTTATTAACGCTTTAGGACCTGTGAGAGTTTGGAAATATTCCCACCGTGGGAGGGGCTTAAGCGTTTTGTCTGGGGCCGTTTAGCCAGTCGGCAGTGTCCCCAGGCTCCTAAGGAGCTGTCTTCTGAAGCTGCCTGTCGTATTGAAAAACGAAAGTAATTTAGTCAGAGGTCAGAAGCTCAGTCTGTGAGGTGTGGGCTGCACCTGAGGGCGTCCCATAGAGGGAAAGAAGGGCAGCTCGCAGACACCCCGTGATTTCCTGTGTGACCAATTTCTCTACAGAAGACACAAAGACACATCCAGCGGGGACCACCTCACCTGCAGATTAGACCCCCAAGCCAAGACCTGAAGGATGGGACCCAGGAGGAGGCCACAAAAAGGCAAGAAGCCCCTGTGGATCCCCGCCCGGAAGGAGATCCGCAGAGGACAGTCATCAGGTACAGAGCGCAGGGCAGGCTGCACGCCGCCGCTCAGGGCTTGATGTTCCGAAAAACAAGATTGCGGAAACGCATTGTGTCTGAGATCTATTTTCCTTTGAAACTGACAGTGTATGCTCTGTAATCTGTCCTCATTAACCTTAGATTACAGAATCGAATTTTTAAAACTGGAGGTCAGAGCTAAATTAGGTCCCCGATAATGTCCTCATGGTATGCAGTAACATTTCAGAATGTTTTGTGTGCGTGTGAAGGGTGCACAGGTGCGTGGGGATGGGGAGCCAGGCTCAGAGGTGGACGCTGGCTGCCTGGGCCACCTCCTTTCCCGAGCCCCATCTGGTCGAGCAGAGAGCAGAGGGAGAGGGAGTTGCCCGGTGCCCAGGCTCCCAGAGTGCTGTCCTCTGCCCGGTTCGTCAAGTCCAGGTAGTGGATCCCAGTGGAGCTTCGGTGCTGGAGGCGTCTCTGCCTCGTTTCCGGCTCCATGTTACGCTCTTAGAAACGGAGTTGATTGTGGTTGAGGCGGAAGGAAGGGTTCCCCGCAGACGTCCTCTCTCTTCTACAAAGTGTGGGCAGAGCCAGGGCCAGTGAGGGCTGCTGTGCAGGAGTGGCCTGAGACAAGCGCTGTCCGCCGTGAGAGATGGGCTCCGAAGAAACGGGCCCAGAGGCCCTGAACTCAAGCGCGTGGTGAGAGGCGTGGACATGTGCATGTGAGGGGTCCTCACGGCCAGGAGGAGAATTTGAGGGCCACTGTGCTCTAGTTAGCGTTGGCATGAATGCAAGGACGCTTTACTTCCAGAGCAAAAGAGGATTTGACCTCAGCTTGTCAAAAGTGCCACGTTTGTACTCCCAGCATGTAAGCCATCTGTGGTTGTAAGAGGCCTTTTGCTGATCCTGGGACAGATTCACCACAGGGCCCCAAGAGAACGCTCGGGCCCAGCCACAGTTAGGAGGTTGCGCGGCAAACCCTCTACACAACCTCATAGCTGTTCCTGATGGCCATTGGACAGAACTCGATGGGGAGTTTGAGTGGCCATGCGTCTCGTGTGTAGGGACAGCCCCCGTCTGTGTGGCCATCCTGGCATCTTGGGGCCACCTCACTGTCACTAGTGCTCCTGTTTGGATGAAAGATTCTCTACTCCTCCACCATAGAGGCCCCCCGCCTCCGGCCTCTGCAGAGGGATTTCTCACGATTCTCCAAGCTCTGGTCTCTGACCTCAGGCCAGCCTTGACCCTGGAGCAGTGCTGTGGTCTTGGCTCTCAGGCACGGGAGCTCAGGACTGAACTGTGTGTTTCCTGCCACTCAGCAGCCTGCACCTCAGGATGATGGGGCCGCTTTGGGTGCAGGGCTGTGCCTTGGCCGTGGGTATGGAGCGTGGGGGTGGGAAACATGGAGCCACAAATGTTTGACGGCAGCTGACACCCTTCCTTCTCCCCCGAAGCTGGAGGGGAGCGGTGATCGAGCCTGAGCAGGGCACCGAGCTCCCTTCAAGAAGAGCAGAAGTGCCCACCAAGCCTCCCCTGCCACCGGCCAGGACACAGGGCACACCAGGTGAGGCCACACCTGCACCCCTTCCTCCCCGGGCGCTCAGGGGCTGGTGGCTGATGGGTGCAGGCTTCGTCTCAGCCATGGTGGGTGGCGCCCCCGCCCTGGTGTGCACCTTGCCCTTCAGCATCCCCCTGTTGTCTGAGTCCTCACAGGCTCTGCAACCTTGGTGACACCATGTGGCTCTTGGCCTGCTGTCCCTGAGCACATGGCTGCAGAAGAAGGTGTGTCTGAGAGGTTTGTGTCTGGGCCAGGCTGCCCCACGGGATCCCTGGAGACTGCTGCCCGTGCTGTGTCCCCTGTCTCGGCCTGGCCAGTCCCAGGCAGCTCTGGGGGCCACTTCATTCTCAGCACCGTTTGTTGGGGGCCTCCCAGGTGCGGGCCTTCGGCCAAGCTCAGTGCATGACCTGAGGCCTCTTTCAACCTCATGACACCCTCTGACACGATAAGCCACTCACCCTCCCGTTCTCCAGACTGAAAAGCAGGGCTGAGGACAGCCACCCCCAGAGTCGTTTGCTTGTCTGTGGGGGCTCATGGCAGGTCGCTGAGTCTGGAGCCCTGCTCTCATCATGCCCCCCAGGTGTCTCTGAGGTGGGGAGGGAGCCCAGAGCCAGGACTCCCAGCCCCGGGCCTGTGAGGGATGTGTAGCAATCTCTGCGGCATCAATGAGGGCAGAGGCAGAGGCAGAGGCATAGACATGCCATGAGCACAAGGAGGCCTCAGAACCTTTCCTGAGAGGACGTGTGGTTTGGTGCCGTTACACACGTGTCAATCCACACATTAGTCAATGTTGGCCGGGCGTGGTGGCTCACACTTGTAATCCCAGCACTTTGGGAGGCTGAGGTAGAAGGATCTCTTGAGTCCAGGAGTTCAAGACCAGCCTGGACAACACAGTGAGGCCCCATCTCTACAAAAAAAAAAGAAATTTATATATATGTGTATATTTGAGACAGAGTCTTGCTTTGTCACTTCACTGCAACGTCTGCCTTCTGGGTTCAAGCAAGTCTCCTGCCTCAGCCTCCCTAGTAGCTGGGATTATAGGCACCCGCCACCACACCTGGCTAATTTTTGTATTTTTAGTAGAGACGGGGTTTCGCGATGTTGGCGAGGCTGGTCTCAAACTTCTGACCTCAGGTGATCTGCCCACCTCGGCCTCCCAGAGTACTGGGATTACAGGCGGGAGCCACCGTGCCCAGCCAAAAAAATTTAAAAAAAGGGAACGAAGGGACTGTAGCGCGTGTGCACAGTGCGATTCCCGTGGAGCACCTGAAGCCCACGTGGCAGAAGGAGCGTGTTTGAGTCGAGGATGTTCATCGCGAGGTCTGCACCCGTCCGTGTTTCACATTCTGAGTTGGCACCACACTCACCCACGTCTCCACAGGCTGTGCTCACTGTGCTGTCCCAGCGCCCTTGGGGCAGCCACCCTTGTCCCTTTGGCCAGAGGCCACCGAGGCCCAAGGAGGGTGTGCCTGCCCAGGCGCCAGGTGGAGGTGCATGGGCCCCAGTCAGGTGGTCGGGTGACAGGTGCCATCCTGTGCAGTCTCCAGAGGTCTCAGGCCCTTGGCAGGCTGTGTTCTCCCTGGGGGCTGCTGCAGCCTCTGTGGCCCTGGCCTTTGCTGTGCCCACCACCGCCCTTCCCGTCGTCCCAAACCCACCGTCATCTTTGCCCCATGGGGGTCACAGCAGTGCTCTGCCTGAGGGTGTCCATCTGTGCCGACGCCAGGACCACGTCCGCCATGGCCTGTGCTCTCTCCCCCCTACTAGTGCATCTGAACTATCGCCAGAAGGGCGTGATTGACGTCTTCCTGCATGCATGGAAAGGATACCGCAAGTTTGCATGGGGCCATGACGAGCTGAAGCCTGTGTCCAGGTCCTTCAGTGAGTGGTTTGGCCTCGGTCTCACACTGATCGACGCGCTGGACACCATGTGGATCTTGGGTCTGAGGAAAGGTACCTGGTGCTTTCTGGGGAGGGGCTGAGCCCTCCGTGTGGGCCTCGTGTGCTGAGGCAGAGTGTGGGTTGCACACGGGGTGAAAGCTGCTGTTTGCATCTGACCATGGGTTTTCCCTTCTCCTGGGTGCGGGAGTGGACGTGTTGGCTGTGGTCAGTTCCTGTTCTTGTCCAGCCACCCAAGGCACACACAGGGCCGCTGTCCCCAGACCTCTGCAGGAGTTGAGTGTGGACTCTTTGGGGGACGTCCAAGGGACATTCCCAGGCTGTGCTTCTCTTGCAGCTGGGGGTGGTGGGATGAGTGACTGTGGGGCCCCGCTGGTCCCAGATCTCAGCAGCATCCTTCATAGACCAGCACATCCACTTTGAATTGGGAGTATGTGTCTTCGGTTATTTAAGCGATAATTTAAACATTTGCCTAATTTTTTGAATAGGTTGAAGACCACCAGTAAACGACGTGTGTAATTTTTTTGGGTCGTAGCCTTTGGTTGTGACCCATTGGTGGCCATAGCAACTGCACTGCTGACTCCGTTTTATTAACAAATGTTGACGACTTCAAGATTTACCCCCTTGAGATAGGAGGTGATATTGAAGCCCTGCAGGGGAACGATAACGCCCCAGACATGGGTTTGGTTTTTTGTTTTTGTTTTTTTGTTTTTGAGATGGAGTCTTTCACTGTCTCCTGGGCTGGAGTGCAATGGCGCAATCTCGGCTCATTGCAACCTTGGCCTCCTGGTTTCAAACGTGGGTTTTTTGGAGACAGAGTCTAGTGGTGTGGCCCAGGCTGGAGTGCAGTGGCACGATCTCAGTTCACTGCAGCCTTCGCCTCCCGGGTTCAAGCTATTCTCATGCCTCACCCTCCCCAGTAGTTGGGACCACAGGCATGCGCCACCATACTCAGCTAATTTTTGTGTTTTTAGTAGAGATGGGGTTTTCCCATGTTGTCCAGGCTGGTCTCTAACTCCTGGGCTCAAGCAATCCACTTGCCTCAGCCTCCCAAAGTGCTGGGATTACAGGCATGAGCCACCACGCCCAGCCAAATGTATTTTGAAGATGGATAGATAATAGGAAAACGTTGGAGCCATCCATTTGTCTCTGCATCCTTTACTGTTTTATGTCATAGAATTTGAGGAAGCCAGGAAGTGGGTGTCGAAGAAGTTACACTTTGAAAAGGACGTGGACGTCAACCTGTTTGAGAGCACGATCCGCATCCTGGGGGGGCTCCTGAGTGCCTACCACCTGTCTGGGGACAGCCTCTTCCTGAGGAAAGCTGTAAGTGTCTTGGGGTGTCCTGCAGGGAGATGGTGGACTCGCATTCAAGCAGTTACCCCTTTAGTGGACTTGTGGGGACGTGACTGTCTTCCTGTTTCCTCTTCAAATGCACTGGAGTCTGTTTCTGAGCTCATATTCGTGAGCTGATGAAGCCACTTTGATCACCACTGGCCTTGTAGAGACATTCACTCAGTGCAGAGTGATGCCCGTTTCCTTGCTGCTGTGTTGACCCCAGAGAGCCTTCAGTGTCTCCACTGAACTGCATGAAAGGGTGTAGACGAGGCCTCTGGGTGACCTGAACGTTGGTTCTCTACTCTGCTCATATACCAGGAGGATTTTGGAAATCGGCTAATGCCTGCCTTCAGAACACCATCCAAGATTCCTTACTCGGATGTGAACATCGGTACTGGAGTTGCCCACCCGCCACGGTGGACCTCCGACAGCACTGTGGCCGAGGTGACCAGCATTCAGCTGGAGTTCCGGGAGCTCTCCCGTCTCACAGGGGATAAGAAGTTTCAGGTAAGGGGGCAGGCTTTCTGGCTGGATGCGCCTCCCCTGGAGCTACCTTTTGCTCATCACAGCAGGTACTGTGTGTGTGTGTGTATGTGCATGTGTGTTTTCAGGTTTTTTACTGTGATAAAACACACAAAACGCACCACCTTAACCATTTCCAGGCGTGGTCGGTGGTGTTACATTCACGCTGTTGCAGGCGTGCAGGTCGGTGGTGTTACACACATTCACACTGTTGCAGGCGTGCAGGTCGGTGGTGTTACACACATTTGGGCTGTTGCAGGCGTACAGGTCAGTGGTGTTACACACATGCTGTTGCAGGAGTACAGGTCGGTGGTGTTACACACATTCATGCTGTTGCAGGCGTGCAGGTTGGTGCTGTTACACACATGCTGTTGCAGGAGTACAGGTCGGTGGTGTTACATGCTGTTGCAGGCGTGCAGGTCGGTGGTGTTACATTCACGCTGTTGCAGGCGTGCAGGTCGGTGCTGTTACACACATTCCTGCTGTTGCAGGAGTACAGGTCGGTGGTGTTACACGTGCTGTTGCAGGTGTGCAGGTCGGTGGTGGTACACACATTCATGCTGTTGCAGGAGTATAGGTCGGTGGTGTTACACACATTCACTGTTGCAGGCGTGCAGGTCGGTGGTGTTACACATTCACGCTGTTGCAGGCGTGCAGGTCGGTGGTGTTACATTCACGCTGTTGCAGACGTGCAGGTCAGTGCTGTTACACACGCTGTTGCAGGCGTGCAGGTTGGTGGTGTTACATTCACACTGTTGCAGGCGTGCAGGTCGGTGGTGTTACACACATTCATTCTGTTGCAGGCGTGCAGGTCAGTGTTACACACATTCACGCTGTTGCAGGCGTGCAGGTCGGTGGTGTTACACACATTCACGCTGTTGCAGATGTGCAGGTCGGTGCTGTTACATTCACGCTGTTGCAAGCGTGCAGGTCGGTGGTGTTACATTCACGCTGTTGCTGGCGTGCAGGTCGGTGGTGTTACACACATTCACACTGTTGCAGACATGCAGGTCGGTGCTGTTACACACATTCATGCTGTTGCAGGCGTGCAGGTCGGTGGTGTTACATTCACACTTGCAGGCGTGCAGGTCGGTGGTGTTACACACATTCATGCTGTTGCAGGCGTGCAGGTCGGTGGTGTTACACACATTCACACTGTTGCAGGCGTGCAGGTCGGTGGTGTTACATTCATGCTGTTGCAGGCGTGCAGGTCAGTGGTGTTACACACATTCACGCTGTTGCAGGCATGCAGGTCGGTGGTGTTACACACATTCACGCTTTTGCAGGCGTGCAGGTCGGTGGTCTTACATTCATACTGTTGCAGGCGTGCAGGTCGGTGGTGTTACATTCACACTGTTGCAGGCGTGCAGGTTGGTGTTACACACATTCACACTTGCAGGCGTGCAGGTCGGTGGTGTTACACACATGCTGTTGCAGGCGTGCAGGTCGGTGGTGTTACATTCACACTGTTGCAGGCGTGCAGGTCGGTGGTACACACATTCACACTGTTGCAGGCGTGCAGGTCGGTGGTGTTACACACATTCATGGTGTTGCAGGCGTGCAGGTCGGTGTTACACACATGCTGTTGCAGGCGTGCAGGTCGGTGGTACATTCATGCTGTTGCAGGCGTGCAGGTCGGTGGTGTTACACATTTTCACGCTGTTGCAGACGTGCAGGTCAGTGGTGTTACATTCATGCTGTTGCAGGCGTGCAGGTCGGTGGTGTTACATTCACGCTGGTGCAGGCATGCAGGTCGGTGGTGTTACACACAACGCTGTTGCAGGCGTGCAGGTCAGTGGTACACACATTCACGCTATTGCAGGCGTGCAGGCCGGTGGTGTTACATTCACGCTGTTGCAGGCGTGCAGGTTGGTGTTACACACATTCACACTTGCAGGCGTGCGGGTCGGTGGTGTTACACACATTCATGCTGTTGCAGGCGTGCAGGTCGGTGTTACACACATTCACACTTGCAGGCGTGCAGGTCGGTGGTGTTACACACATTCACACTGTTGCAGGCGTGCAGGTCCGTGGTGTTACACACATGCTGTTGCAGGCGTGCAGGTCGGTGGTGTTACATTCACACTGTTGCAGGTGTGCAGGTTGGTGTTACACACATTCACACTGTTGCAGGCTTGCAGGTCGGTGGTGTTACACACATTCACACTTGCAGGCGTGCAGGTCAGTGGTGTTACACACATTCATGCTGTTGCAGGCATGCAGGTCGGTAGTGTTACACATTCATGCTGTTGCAGGCGTGCAGGTCGGTGGTGTTGCACATTCATGCTGTTGCAGGCATGCAGGTCGGTGGTGTTACATTCACGCTGTTGCAGGAGTACAGGTCAGTGGTGTTACACACATTCATGCTGTTGTGCAGCTATCACTTCCATCTCCAGAGCCCTTTTCATCTTAAAACTGAAGCTCTCCCATCACACAGTGACCCTTCATGTCCCTCCCCAGTCCCTGAAAAACACTGTTCAGGTTTTTCTTCCTGGACCTCATTGTGTGGAGTTCCTCGTGTGAGTGCAGTCACACACGATTTGTCCTTTTTTTGTTTTCGTTTGTTGAGACAGAGTCTCATTCTGTCACTCAGGCTGGAGTGCAGTGGCGTGATCTCAGCTCACTGCAACCTCCACTCCCAGGTTCAAGTGATTCTCCTGCCTCAGCCTCCCAAGTAGCTGGGATTACAGGCGCCTGCCACCACGCCCAGCTAATTTTTGTGTTTTTATTAGAGACAGGGTTTCACCAAGTTGGCCAGACTGGTCTCAAACTCCTGACCTCGTGATCCACCCGCCTGGGCCTCCCACAGTGCTGGGATGACAGGCGTGAGCTACCACACCCGGCTGATTTATCCTTTTATTTGGGCTCCTTTCACTCAGCGTCTTTAAGCTTCATACGCGAAAGATGCTTCAGAGATTCCTTTTTCAGGCTGAATATCTGCTGCGTGGCTAGGCCACTTTTTGTTTAATCCTCTCTCCTCTGGTGGACACCAGGACTGTGCTGTTTTGGTTGCTGTAAGCGCGGGTGCACACGCCTGCCTGAGGCTGTGTTTTGGCCGTTGTGAGTGTGGGTGCACACACCTGCCTGAGGCTCTGCTTTGTTGTGAGTGCGGGTGCACACACCTGCCTGAGGCTGTGTTTTGGGTGTTGTGAGTGTGGGTGCACACACCTGCCTGAGGCTGTGTTTTGGGTGTTGTGAGTGTGGGTGCACACACCTGCCTGAGGCTGTGGCGCGATCTCGGCTCACTGCAACCTCCACCTCCCGGGTTCAAGCGATTCTCCTGCCTCAGCCTCCCGAGTAGCTGGGACCACACCCACCACCACACCCCGTTATTTTTTTGTATTTTTAGTAGAGATGGGGTTTTGCCATGTTGGCCAGGATGGTCTGGAACTGACCTCAGGTGATCCACCCACTGGCCTCCCAAAGTGCTGGGATTACAGGTGTGAGCCACTGTGCCCGGCCTCTTTTTACTTTGTTAATGGTGTATTTTGATAGATAACAGATTGTCATTTTCATGAAGCACAGCTGGTCAGTTTATTGTTGCTCATGTATTTGGCCTCATGTTCGAGTCCCTGTTTTTAATCATGAGCTGGACACAGCCCTCTTTAGAGCAACTGTGACCACTTGTGGTGAGAAGTGCAGCCCACACCATCCACGTGAGGCTCCCACACGCCATCCACGTGAGGCTCCCATGCAGACATTTAGAAGGCGTTTTCACTGCAGCTCAGAAAATGGCCCCAGGCCCCCATGGGCACCCCCATGTCACCAGGGCCTCTGGTTGCTGCCGGTACACAGGGATAGGCAGCCAGGCCTCGAAGGTGCTGGGCATGGGTTTGGGTGTCTGCGTTGGGTAGAGACCCGGAGCGCCCTTGCTGGGCGTGCCCTAACATCCCGGTACCCTGTGCCCCTCTGTGGGCCAGGACGCCTGGTGCTGCCAGCTGGGCGTAAGCCCTGAGGAGCTGAGGGTGGCTGTGACTTGGAGGATGAGTAGGAGCTCACCAGGAGGGCGTGGAGCCGAGGCGTTTAATATCATCAGGAGCAACACTGGGCTCAGAAGGCAGGCACACTTGCCGTCCCTCCAGAGCCATGGCTGACGGCCAGGCCTGGTGGGCTCTCGTGAGGACAGTGCCTGTGGTTGTCAGATGCTGTCCCTTCGAGTAAGGGATGAGAGCCATCCTGAAGATGGGTCAGCTCTGTGGTGACCACCCGTTGGGAGCAGTGACATTCAGGTGCGTTGCACTGGTGGCTGTGTGGCTGTGTGGTACGGCCACCAGGAGCCATGTGGGCAAGGACAGCTGTGGGCTGGGCACAGAGCTCTCTCTGCTGGGAGTCAGTCGGTGCTGGGGCGAGGGGAGGCAGAGCTCACAGAGCCCCTCTACAGCTCACCCTGCAGCTCGGCCCTGGCCAGTAAACCCACCATCCCCCTTTCTGCCGCAGGAGGCAGTGGAGAAGGTGACACAGCACATCCACGGCCTGTCTGGGAAGAAGGATGGGCTGGTGCCCATGTTCATCAATACCCACAGTGGCCTCTTCACCCACCTGGGCGTATTCACGCTGGGCGCCAGGGCCGACAGCTACTATGAGTACCTGCTGAAGCAGTGGATCCAGGGCGGGAAGCAGGAGACACAGTGAGGCCCGGCCCGCTGCCCCCAGCTCCCGCGGCTCCCCCGTTCCCGCAGCCCCCCACTCCTGCTGCCCCCAGCTCCCACGGCCCCCGCTCCTGCTGCCCCCCGCCACACTGTGTGTCAGGAAACCGCAGCCGTGCCAGGCCTGGCCCAGGCATTTATGTGGAGGGCGTATTCATTCACCTCTCACCGTGGCCTCTGGGGGGGTGAGGGGGGCATCTTCACTGAGGGCCATGGGCTGTGCAGGGTGGCACCTTCTGTCCGGCAAGGGCCAGGCCTGCTGTACTTGTGTGGGCCCAGGATGTGCCTGTCCCTGGTGCCCCACGGGAGCCGATGCACCGTCCTGGTAGAGTGAGATGACTGCTGGTGTCCACAGGCTGCTGGAAGACTACGTGGAAGCCATCGAGGGTGTCAGAACGCACCTGCTGCGGCACTCCGAGCCCAGTAAGCTCACCTTTGTGGGGGAGCTTGCCCACGGCCGCTTCAGTGCCAAGATGGTGAGTGTGTCTGCGGGGCCTTCCGGCCGCCGCCCCTTTTACCTTGGCTTCCAAGGTGCCTGAGTCATGATGTCAAAAAGAACGAAATCCTGGCCATGGCGCCCACGTGGAGGCCCTGGGTGGACCGTGGCTGCCTGGCCAGGCCTGTCTTGGCAACAGGGCAGTAAGGCCTTGTGTGGCACCTGGGGTGGGCAGGGCTTCCCCAGGGCAGCTCCCTCCCCGTGCCCGGTGTGTAGCAGGTCCTCGGGCGGTGTGTGGGGGCCGGGTTGGAGGGCCTGGTCCAGGCAGCTCCGCTGTTCCATGCCAAGTGCCCTCGCGTGGCCTCCCCTCCCAGGGTACCAGGGCCGAGGCAGCGCTGGGCTCCCACGTTGGCTGCCCGTGCAGCTGCAGGCTGAGGGCAGGGCCTGGGATCTGGGGCTGAAGAGACCCTCTGATTCCAGGACCACCTGGTGTGCTTCCTGCCAGGGACGCTGGCTCTGGGCGTCTACCACGGCCTGCCCGCCAGCCACATGGAGCTGGCCCAGGAGCTCATGGAGACTTGTTACCAGATGAACCGGCAGATGGAGACGGGGCTGAGTCCCGAGATCGTGCACTTCAACCTTTACCCCCAGCCGGGCCGTCGGGACGTGGAGGTCAAGGTGGGCCTGGGCCTGGGTCAGGGTCCATCAGGAGGAGGGTGCTGGCAGGGCTGGCCTTGCCCTGAGCTCTGCTCCGCCCACAGCCAGCAGACAGGCACAACCTGCTGCGGCCAGAGACCGTGGAGAGCCTGTTCTACCTGTACCGCGTCACAGGGGACCGCAAATACCAGGACTGGGGCTGGGAGATTCTGCAGAGCTTCAGCCGATTCACACGGGTGAGCACCTGTCCTCGCCCCGCGTGGTCACGGCCACCGGGCCACAGGCACGGCTGGGCTGTGGGGCTCAGGCTGGCTCCGCTCTTGGTGGTGGCTGTGACCTGGATCCGGGAGGGGCGGGCTTGCCGCAGCCTCGGGGTGGCCACACTGCAGCTTGGGGGCCCTGGCATCCCCATCCCCACTGAGCTTCATGGTTGTGGGACCCAGAGTACTTGGAGGGGCTGGGCACCCCTCATTTTCATTTCTCAGGGCCTGTCTAGGGAGGGTCTCTGCTGTGGGCCCAGCATCCCCCCAGTTTAGGAGGCACACGCACCCATGACTGGGGCACCATCCCCACTGTGGACCAGGCCCTGTTTTAGGTCACGCCCTCCACGCCAGAGTGTCACTTCCTGGCTCTGCTGTGATCTTGGCCTGAGGCCCCCGCTGCCTCCGCTCCCACCGTCTGCCCTGTGCCCTGTGCCCTGTGCGGCAACTGTGAGGCCCCCTGAGCCCAGGTTCTGGGGGAGGCGGTTTCTGTCGTGGTCACTTGAGGGTTGTTGGCATTTCCAGGTGGGCTCCGGTGGAACCACACGGCTCGCCTGGGGGTGGCCATCATCCAGGCGCCCTCCACCCTGAGCTTGCGCTGGGGGCCACATTCACCATGGGGTGGAGAGCGCTTCGGTGATGAGGCTGAGGGGGGTGCAGGGTGCCCCCCGTGTGGTGACGAGGCCCTGGCTGCTGCACAGGTCCCCTCGGGTGGCTATTCTTCCATCAACAATGTCCAGGATCCTCAGAAGCCCGAGCCTAGGGACAAGATGGAGAGCTTCTTCCTGGGGGAGACGCTCAAGTATCTGTTCTTGCTCTTCTCCGATGACCCAAACCTGCTCAGCCTGGATGCCTACGTGTTCAACACCGAAGCCCACCCTCTGCCTATCTGGACCCCTGCCTAGGGTGGATGGCTGCTGGTGTGGGGACTTCGGGTGGGCAGAGGCACCTTGCTGGGTCTGTGGCATTTTCCAAGGGCCCACGTAGCACCGGCAACCGCCAAGTGGCCCAGGCTCTGAACTGGCTCTGGGCTCCTCCTCGTCTCTGCTTTAATCAGGACACCGTGAGGACAAGTGAGGCCGTCAGTCTTGGTGTGATGCGGGGTGGGCTGGGCCGCTGGAGCCTCCGCCTGCTTCCTCCAGAAGACACGAATCATGACTCACGATTGCTGAAGCCTGAGCAGGTCTCTGTGGGCCGACCAGAGGGGGGCTTCGAGGTGGTCCCTGGTACTGGGGTGACCGAGTGGACAGCCCAGGGTGCAGCTCTGCCCGGGCTCGTGAAGCCTCAGATGTCCCCAATCCAAGGGTCTGGAGGGGCTGCCGTGACTCCAGAGGCCTGAGGCTCCAGGGCTGGCTCTGGTGTTTACAAGCTGGACTCAGGGATCCTCCTGGCCGCCCCGCAGGGGGCTTGGAGGGCTGGACGGCAAGTCCGTCTAGCTCACGGGCCCCTCCAGTGGAATGGGTCTTTTCGGTGGAGATAAAAGTTGATTTGCTCTAACCGCGATGTCGCCTGTGTCTTTAGGGATCTCCATGACTGGAAAGTCTGGGCGGACGTTGGGGAGAAGGTATTCTTCAAGTCACGTCTCAGAATTCGGTTTGCTGAGACTGGACTCTAGCTGTCCCCTGCTGGTGGGCAGGGAGAGGCCACGGGGAAGCTCCGTGTCCCTGGCCCCACGGGGCAGATGCTTGGCGGGAGGCATCCTTGCGCCTGCGTTTCACACAGGGCCTGTTTCCCTGCAGGGCTGGCACTGAGGCGCACAGCTGAGGGATACACGGGCCCTCAGGTCAGGCAGCTCCCAGCAGCCTGGCATGGCTATGGCCCCGAGCCCTGGGCTGTGGTGGCAGAGTTGTCCTCATCATCACTCTACTGCTGTCCCTATCCCAGGGCTGACCCTGGGCCTTGGCTGGGTTCCCCCCGACCCTGAACCAGGTGACCTCTTAGGACCACGCCCCCTCGCTCTCCCCTGTGAAAAATCCATCACCTTCACTTCCGGAAGACTCCCCTTCCCTGGGAAGCCAGAGCCGGTGGCGGCACAGGGCAGGGCTACCCGGACCCAGCCCAGGATTGCCAGCTCCGCCCCTCGGGACGTCCGGGCCCCGAGTGTGGGCCTCGGCTCTGCCTGTCCCCACAACCCCCAACATCCCACAGCAGCCACCTGTGTCCCTCTGGGGACAGTGGGCACCCTGGGGCTTCGTCTCCCACTTCATGCTGGGCCCTGATCCTGCACTCCACCCTCTGTGCCTGGAAAGGTGAGAACATCGGCTGTCATGTGACCCTGGCGCCTGCCCCTTGTCACGGTGGGCCCAGCACGGCCCTAGCCTGCCCCTTGTCAGTACCACCCTAGCCCGCCCCTTGTCACGGTGGGCCCAGTGCTGCCCTCCTGGACCAGGTGCCCCATGGCCGGCTGAACGGGCAGGACTAGGGCAGCAGGTGGGGCCTCAACAGCCGGAAAAGGTGCACCTTCTCCATCTCACCCAGACCTCCGAGACTAACGTGCTGGGGGCGTGGTCCCAGAGGGTGGAGGGACAGCAACTGCATGCCCCTTGGGGGCCAAAAGCACTGTCCAGTGGCCTCCCCTGGAGGGGTCGCTGTGTACAGAGGATGTCAGGGAAGGAGTCACCTTGGAGGTGTGGCTGCAGCCTCTGTCTGCTGCGGCTCAGCAGAGCGGGGCTTCCTTGCGGGGCACTGCCCCCCGCTGCCCTAAGGAGCAGACCTGAGCGTTGTGGAGCCTCTACCTTGTGGAGCACATGGCATACCCGGCCTGTGTGGGGTGCGCCGCGTCCCCAGCCGTGTCTCCGAGGGTCCCGCTCCCACAGCCTGCGTGTGGGCCCCACAGACAGGAAGGACGGGACATACATGGCCAGGCCTCCAGGCGTTTATTCAGCCCCTTCCCTCTGCCGCCAGCTGCTTGAGTGAAGCCCCCACTCCATGAGGAGCCTTGAGACCCCTCCAGTCCTGTGCTCAGAGGCTGAGTCTGGGCCCCCCACGCAGAGCTGGCTGCTGCTCACGCCTGGCTGCCTTTACCCACTCGCCGATGATGGTGGCCTCCAGCTTCCGCGCCTCAACCACGGAAGCAGGATCTTCTGGGTGGGAGGCTCTGGGGAGCGGGCACAGAGGGGGCCCGTCAGCCCCAGCCCTCGGTGAGCCTGTCCCGCCCGACCCGCGACCACCGCCAGGCCACCTCCCTCCGCACCTGAGGTCGAGGTGGTGCGCTCCCCCCTGGATGGTGACGGCGATGACTGAGGCACTCAGGTTCCTCCGAATCTGTGGTCAGTGGAAAGAACTCCATCAGGTGAGGAACGAGGCAACTGCCCAGCCTCCGTGGGCCCATTGGAGAGGAGACGTGAGAGGGCGAGCCGAGACTCAGTGCCCATCA
Source organism: Homo sapiens (assembly GCF_000001405.40). Classification (NCBI taxonomy): domain Eukaryota; kingdom Metazoa; phylum Chordata; class Mammalia; order Primates; family Hominidae; genus Homo; species Homo sapiens. Next base: position 137,111,063 of record NC_000009.12, read on the forward strand.
AGCAACCAGAGAGAACCAGCCAGAGACGGAGGTGGGAAGTGACGAGATGATGGGGGCAAAACCGGGTGAGACAGGAGCAGGGAAGGGGCAGGTGTGAGGCCTGTGATCCCAGCACTCTGGGAGTAAGACAGGAGCAGGGTAGGGGCAGGTGAGGGGCCTGTGATCCCAGCACTCTGAGGGTGAGACGGGAGCAGGGTAGGGGCAGGCGAGGGGCCTGTGATCCCAGCACTCTGGGGGTGAGACGGGAGCAGGGTAGGGGCAGGCGAGGGGCCTGTGATCCCAGCACTCTGGGGGTGAGACGGGAGCAGGGTAGGGGCAGGCGAGGGGCCTGTGATCCCAGCACTCTGGGAGGCCATGCGGGGAAGATCGTTTGAGCCCAAGAGTTCGAGACCAGCCTGGGCGATATGGTGAGACTGTGTCTCTACAAAAAAATATTTTTTTAAATTAGCTGGGCATGTTGGTGAGCGCCTGTAGTCCCAGTTACTGGGAGGCTTGAGCCTCAGAGGTCAAGGCTGCAGTGAACCCTGATCTCGCCACTGTATTCCAGCCTGGGCGCCAGAGAAAGACCCTGTCTCAAAAAAAAAACAAACAAACTAACGGGGTCATAGGGCCCAGGCCAGGACTCACCCCGCCCCCTGCCCAGGGGTCCAGGTTCCCGTTGGAGAAGATGATGTTGCTGGCGGCTCTGAGATCTGCAAGGGGCAGAGAAAGTTGTGATGTGGGCCCCTCACGGGGGCTGTGAGCCATGGGCAGGGGGTGCAGAGCTCGGGGCAGAAAGCAGGACGCTGGCCCACCCCCCCTCAGCCTTACCACCCCCCCAGAAGCTGGTCAGCAGCCAGTCGGGCCGGGGCCACACGCCCCAGGTGTCCAGGCAGTACCGCTGGCGGAGCTCGTCAGTGAAGGGCAGGTCCGGGAACATATCGGTCACATTGTTGCTGGCGAAGGTCAGGTTGATCTCGGTGCAGGCCTGCAGGTGCCCCAGCCTGAGTCAGGCCAGCCCACGCCCACCCTTGCCCCCGAGTGGTTCCAGGCCACCCACACCCCCACACCTGGTAGTCCCAGGCCCTGGCGTCGGGGCCGGTGCCGCAGCCAGTGGGGTCAGCACAGCTGTGGTAGAGCCGGTAGATGTCGTAGCAGTGCTCGGAGCCCGAGGCGTTGTAGACCAGCCCTGGGGAGGAGAGGCGCTGGGGCCCAGCGGCCACACACAGACACACCGCGGGCTCCGGCCACCAACCTGTCCCCCCTCGGAATGGTCCTGCAGGGGATCTGGGGCTCTGGGATCTGTAGGTCCCAGTGAGGAAGGCCCTCCAGGCTACCTGCTTGGAGGTCGGCGGTGTCTGTGCTGCCAGCCCCGGGCCTGACTGTTGAGGGCCCCCCCGCTCTCCACGGGGCAGGGTGGGGCCTGCTGCCCTCTGTTGCCCTCCATGCTGGGGACCCCAGGGGCCCCTTGGGCAGCACCCACCAAGCTGGGCCTGGCTACAGCCAGTGCTGAGAGGGTCCCCAGGGACGGCCCCTGCCTCCCCCAGGGTTTCTGGGAAGGTCGTGCTGTCCACCCCACCACAGCCCTGGGGCAGGAGGCAAAGCCCCTGGCCGGGCTGCGGATCCTCGCCCCACCCGGCCCCAGGACCCAAGCCAAGCCTGGGGTCTCCACACTTGCCCATCTGGGGCCGGGGGAAGGGCACCTGCCAGTGCTCGCAGCCCCGTGATCCTCTGGGCCTCACTCAGCAGCCGATCACAGCCCACCTGGAGTGCAGGGGCAGCGGCGACTCAGCGGGGTCCCCTCCACCAGCTCCGCCTCCCTGGCTCCCAGGATGAGGGTCAGGCCGCTGACCACCAGCCTCGGGACACTCCAGCCGGCCTCTCCCTGCGCCCTGGGAGGCGGCGCCTCACCTTGACGGGGTTGGCAGGGAGGGGACCCAGGAAGTCAGTGGGGTAGGGGTAGTCCATCATGGCCAGCACGGTGAAGGCATTCCGGGCGAACATGAAGAGCTGGGTCAGGTCCTTCTCGTCTGACAGCGGCTGGCAGGTGCCGAACTCCCAGCGGACCGTGTCGTAGGCTGCGTGGAAGGGGCAGAGACTTGAAGTTTGGGCATAGCTGGCGCTGGGGCGGGTCAGGCAGTGGGAGGCGGTGGGAGGACCTCACCTCCCTGTAGGAACAAGTCCTTGATCTGTCGGAACGCTTCCCGCACACCCTGGGTGCATTTGGGACTCTGGCCCTCAAAGTCCTGGGGGAAAGAGACCGTGCTGACTGCAGCTGCTGTCCCTTAGGGGGCCTGGAGGACCCCAAGCCTCACTCACCGCCGTGACGTCCCGGAAGAACTGGTTGGAGTCGCCGAGGCCTGCCACAGCTAGAACGGGCGCGCTGGCCGCCAGCGCCCCCGCCACCAGGTGGGGATACTTCATCCTCAGGTAGGCACTGAGCATCCCCCCATAACTGGGTGAGGGACACAGGGTTAGGGCTGCTGCCCCCAACACCCCATTTCCTCTTTTCCTCCTCAGGGGCCCACAGGTGCCACAAGGAGGACGACACTTCTGAGACCCACAAATTCCAACCCTGGGCCAGGTGCGGGTGCAGCTCTCACTGGGAAAGGCCGCTAGTGTGGCCGCACATCCAAGCTGAGCAGGTGGCTGGGAGGACAGGTGGGAGGGCTTCCTGGGGGAGGCAACACTAAGCCTGGAACCACTGCCTGAGGCCTTACGAAAAGGCAGCGGTGGGAGTCAGAGGGGAGTGGGGAGAAGGGCTGGGGGCGCTGGGTCGGGGCAGGGGAGGGAGGGGGTGCGGAGGCCGGGGGAGGCGCCCACCTTCCACCGAAGGCGATGGCGGGGGCATCCTGGGCCCCGAGGTCGCGTCGTAGCGCGCGGAGCAGCTCTGCGAAGTCGGCCAGGGCCTGCTCCACCGTCAGCAGCTCCGTGTGCCCGCGCTGCGTGGACTGCGCACCGAACGGCAGCGACTTCCCGTAGTAGCGCTGGGGGAACGTGCCATTGAGCCCGGCCCCGCGACCCCGCCCGGCACCCGCGTGCCCCGCGACCCCCGCCCGCGACCCCGCCCGGCACCCGCGTGCCCCGCGACCCCCGCCCGCGACCCCGCCCGGCACCCGCGTGCCCCGCGACCCCCGCCCGCGACCCCGCCCGGCACCCACGTGCCCCGCGACCCCGCCCGCGACCCCGCCCGGCACCCACGTGCTCCGCGAAGACCAGTAGAGCCCCCCGCTCGGCCGCCAGCTCCGCGACGAAGGCCGAGTTGTTGGCGAAGGCCCACACGTCGCCCTCGTTCCCAGTGTAGAAGAAGATGGGCCCCTCGCCCCGGACCCAGAACCTGTCTGTGGGGAGGGCGGATGAGGCGAGGGTGCCGGGGGGCGGCGGGACGGCGGGGGCGGCCGGGCCGGGGCCGGGGTCTCACCCGACACCAGGAAGCGCTGAGGGAAGGTCTTGTTGCCGAAGCGCTCGAAGTTGAAGTGGTCCAGACGCTGCTGGAAGAAGCGCTCCTGGAAGCCGGGGTCCGGGGCCCTGCGGGCTGTGGGGGGACGCGAACCTCAGAGGCGGGGCCGGGACCGGGGAATGGGCCGGGGGGCGCCGCCACTCACCCCCCGCCTGGAGGCCGCGCAGCCCGAGCGCCAGCAGCAGGACCGGGGCCCAGGGAGCGGAGCCCATGTCGCCTTCCGCGGGCGCCCGTCACGTGGGCGGGGTCACGGGGCCGCCAGGGCGCGCTCCTCCCTCCAGGCCCCACGTGTTTCGGGCGCCCGCGGTCCCCACGGAGACCGTCGCTGCTTCAGCGCCGCGCCGGGGCTGTGCCCCCCAACACCCCGCGCCCCGCGGCCGCTGCCCAGGGGTCCTTCCCGGGCACGGCGCGGGGAAGCAGAGGGCCCCCGGGCCATCTCCGCGGCCTCCCGCCCCACTGGCTCGTCCTCCTACCGCGGCCCCATCCGGAGCTGCGCTAGGGCGAGTCCCTGCTGCGCCCGCCAAGCCTCCCCAGCACTTGCTCCTGGCAGGTGCCCCACTCCAAGGCAGGGCCGGGAGAGTGGGGGCCGTTCTGCTGCCCTAAGGGCGGGAGGGAGAGGGTCCCAAACAGAGTGCTGGCCCCCCGAAGAAAGCAACCCAGGGTTTGTCCAAGCGATAACGGGCTGGGCTTGGCGGGGCGGGGCCTCGCAGCGGGCAGGAGTGTGGGGTGCCCCTGGAGCGTCTGGGCAGGGCCGGGATGTGGCCGGGTAGCTCCCAAGAGCTGGGAATCGCCACCTGCCCTTCCGACTGGCACCCAGTGTGCCCACACAGCCCTGCAGGGACAAGGGGGGACCAGAGGCCTCTGCTGGGAGCTGGGGCCTCCTCCCTGGGGAGCACCCAGAGGATGGAAGAAGTCACCTTTCCCCAGCGTCCAGTTCAGGGAGTGGGTGAGGGGGCCGTAGTGGTGGGTGCCAGACTAGCTACGTGGAGTCCTGCTGGGGATGTACATGGGCCGCTAGCCAGGCCCAGAACAGGTGCAGGGGCAGCAGGGGCTCAGCTACAGAGAGTTACCCTGTCCTTCTCCCAAGACTACCCTCGGCCAGCATGACCCTGCCCTGCCCATCCTGTGTGGGGCTGAGCGGAGAAGACCGGCCACTTCCACAGCCCCTCACGCCATGGCCCTCCCGTGCCTCACACAGAGGCACCCCCCATGGTGGGTGACTGGTGGCTGGGGCCCTCAGCATGGTGGCAGTGACCATCACGTCACACTGCAACACGAGGTCATCCAGGGCCACACACCGTCCCCACCACGGCCCTCACATCTGGGCCCTGTCCCATCCCTACGCAGTTCCTGGGGCTGCCTGCCGGGGCCCCCGCAGGACGGGGGTGAGGACAAACAGCAGACCTCCTTGGATGTGGAGGTACCCCACGGCGTCCCCCACCCCACACCTCTGCTCCTTTGGCTCCCTCGGGTGCCTTAGGTGGCCAGAACTCCACCAGCAACCCTCACCCAGGACCGCAGCTCTGGAGACGCCAGCTAGGCCGAGAGCTGGCCAGCTCCCCAAGCACACCAGAGCCTGGAGACGCTCCAGGCTTGGCTGGGCCCACAGAGGGGCCAGAGCCTCAGGGAGGGCTCCAGGAGCAGGGTTTCCAAGGAAGCCACTTTCCCTCTTGTCCACGGCCCAGGCATTGATGCCCCTCTGGGCAGCAGCCAGGGCCTCCCAAGCCGGGAAGGGTGGGCATGGGGCTACCCAGCATGGCTCTGCCAGGGGTGAGGGTGGCCACAGTCCCCTGCCCACATCCCTGTGCCCACAGAAACATATGCTGTATGGAATCAAGGTTTAAGGCATCTAGGCCTGTGCTGGTAACCTGTAACCTTAGCCCCATCCCTGTGCCCACAGAAACATGTGCTGTATTGACTCAAGGTTTAGGGGATTTAGGGCTGTGCAGGATGTGCTTTGTTAACAATGTGTTTGCAGGCAGTATGCTTGGTAAAAGTCATCGCCATCCTCCATTCTCCATTAACCAGGGACACAGTGCACTGCGGAAAGCCGCAGGGACCTCTGCCCAAGAAAGCCTGGGTATTGTCCAGGTTTCCCCCCAGTGAGACGGCCTGAGATATGGCCTCGTGGGAAGGGAAAGACCTGATCGTCCCCCAGCCCGACACCCATAAAGGGTCTGTGCTGAGGAGGATTAGTGAAAGAGGGAGGCCTCTTTGCAGTTGAGATAAGAGGAAGGCTTCTGTCTCCGACATGCCCCTGGGAACGGAATGTCTCCGTGTAAAACCCGATCGTACATTAGTTCTATTCTGAGACAGGAGAAAACCGCCCTGTGGCTGGAGGCGAGATATGCTGGCGGCAATGCTGCTCTGTTACTCTGCTACACTGAGATGTTTGGGTGGAGAGAAGCATGAATCTGGCCTACGTGCACATCCGGGCACAGCACCTTCCCTTCAAGCTATTTGTGACACAGATGCCTTTGCTCACATTTTCTTGCTGACCTCTGCTCTGCTGCCGCATTCCTCATGCAAAGATAGTGAAAATGGTAATGAATAAATACTGAGGGAACTCAGAGACCGGGGCCGGTGCGGGTCCTCCGTATACTGAGCGCCGTCTCCTGGGCCCACTGCCTTCTCTATACTTTGTCTCTGTGTCTTATTTCTTTTCTCAGTCTCTCATCCCACCTGACGAGAAACACCCACAGGTGTGGAGGGGCTGGCCACCCCTTCACTGGCACAGCAACCTGACATGTGAAGGGGCCCAACTTCTGCAGGAGGACCCCAGGTCTGCATCGCCAGGGCCCTCGTCAGCCTGTGCAGGGCACAGTAGGTCACCCAAGGGGCAAGTGAGCCTAGGCTGCCCATGCCTGTGCAGACACCCCCGATCTCTCTCTGCCCATCCCCGGAGCAGCACAGACGGGCAGGTTGGCTGCAGAGCCACCAGCTGAGGGGGTGAGAGGTCCCTGGGCAGGGAATCCTGGGAGCCTGGCCAGCAAGGGTGAGAGGCTGCTGAGCCCAAACCCTCCCCTCGAGGTCCATCTGCCCTCTCCAGACCATCTAGGCAGCTCCTCCACACCCCGATTCCTGCTGGGACACCCAGTCCCACCCTCTATGGCTCACAGACTGGGGGCCATGCCCGGCCACACATCACGTCTGTGCTGTCCCTCAGACTGAAAGGCTATCGGCGGGCGGCTGGCCGTGACCTACTGCATCCGCACTTGGGGCCGTGCTGGTCTGTGTGCTGAATTATACATAATATAAAATTGACCACTTAACCACTTCCGCGTGTGAAATTTGGTGGCATTAGGTACATTCCTGCCTTCACAACGCTGTGCACCGTCATCACTATTTTCCACTATCTCATCACCCCCAGTAGAAACTGTAGCCATTAAACAATGGACCCCAGCCCCTGGCACTCACCATTCTACCATCTGTCTCTGTGGCTCTGCTGACTCCAGGTACGTCATATCAGTGGAATCCTACAGCATTTTGTCCTTTTTTTTTTTCGAGACAGAGTCTCACTCTGTTGTCCAGGCTGGAGTGAAGTGACACGATCTCGGCTTACTGCAACTTCCGCCTCCTGGGTCCAGGCCATTCTCCTGTCTCAGCCTCCGGAGTAGCTGAGATTACAGGCACCCACCACCACGCCTGGCTAAATTTTGCATTTTTAGTAGAGACAGGTTTTCAGCATGTTGGCCAGGCTGGTCTTGAACTCCTGACCTCAGATGATCTGTCAGCCTCAGCCTCCCAAAGCGCTGGGATTACAGGCGTGAGCCACCACACCCGGCCTGTTTTAGCCATTGTGAATATTGATGCGATGAACATGGCTGTGAAATGCCTGCTTTTTTTTTTTTTTTTTTTTTTTTTGAGACAGTCTCGCTCTGTTGCCCAAGCTGGAGTGCAATGGCGCAATCTCAGCTCACTGCAAGCTCCACCTCCCGGGTTCAAGCAATTCTCCTGCCTCAGCCTCCTGAGTAGCTGGGATTACAGGCGCACATCCACATGCCTGGCTAATTTTTGTATTTTTAGTAGACACGGGGTTTCACTGTGTTAGTCAGGATTGTGGGTGGCAAGCCACTCAGGTGCCAAGGCAAGAGACCGAGGACATGAGCTGTTCCAGTATAATAAAATATAAAACAAGAATAGTTATACCAGATATAGATCTTAGATATGATTATATATGAATATAATTAATCATTAGTAGTACTTATTCTTTATTCCAATATTATAATAATCCTCACTCTACAATCATAACCTAGGAAAAACCAGGCCATACAGAGATAGGAGCTGAGGGGACATAGTGAGGAGTGACCAGAAGACAAGAGTGCGAGCCTTCTGTTATGCCAGGACAGGGCCACCAGAGGGCTCCTTGGTGTAGCGGTGATGCCAGCATCTGGGAAGACACCTGTTGCCAAGCAGACCATGGTCTAGCAGTAGCGTCAGTGTCAAGGGAAAACACCTGCTACTTAGCAGACAGGGAAAGGGAGTTTCCCTTTCCCCTGGGGAGTTTAGAGAAGACTCTGCTCCTCCACCTCTTGTGGAGGGCCTGACATCAGTCAGACCCGCCCGCAGTTATCCGGAGGCCTAACCGTCTCCCTGTGATGCTGTGCTTCAGTGGTCACACTCCTAGTCCACCTTCATGTTCCATCCTGTACACCTGGCTCTGCCTTCTAGATAGCAGTAGTCAATTAGTGAAAGTACTAAAAGTCTCTGATACGCAGAAATAATGGCGTAAGCTGTCTCTCTCTCTGTCTCCTCTCCCTCTCTCTGCCTAGGCTGCCAGGCAGGGAAGGGCCCCCGTTCAGTGGACACATGACCCACATGGCCTTACCTATGACTGGAGATGGCTCACACTCTTTACCCTGCTCCTTTGTCTTGTATCCAATAAATATCAGTGCAGCCTGCCATTTGGGGCCACTACCGGTCTCTGCGACTTGGTGGTAGTGGTCCCCCTGGCCCAGCTGTCTTTTCTTTTATCTCTTTGTGTTCTGTCTTTATTTCTACACTCTCTCATCTCCACACACGGGGCGAGACCCACTGACCCTGTAGGGCTGGTCCCTACACAGGATGGTCTTGATCTCCTGACCTCATGATCCGCCCACATTGGCCTCCCAAAGTGCTGGGATTACAGGCGTGCGCCACCATGTCCAGCCTGTGGTTTTGATTTGCATCTCCCTAACGATTAGTGATGTTGAACATTTTCCCTGTGTTGACTGGCCATTTGTATGTCTTCTTTGGAAAAATGCCTATCAAATCCTTCGCCCATTTTTGAATTGGGTTGTTTTTTGTTGAGTTTTATGATTTTTAAAAATCATCTGGATTGGCCGGGCATGGTGGCTCACGCCTGTAATCCCAGCACTTTGGGAGGCCGATGCGGGTGGATCACGAGGTCAGGAGATCAAGACCATCCTGGCTAACACAGTGAAACCCCGTCTCTACTAAAAATACAAATATATATATATATATATATATATGTTAGCCGGGCGTGGTGGTGGCTGCTTATAGTCCCAGCTACTTGGGAGGCTGAAGCAGGAGAATGGCGTGAACCCGGGAGGCGGAGCTTGCAGTGAGCCAAGATCACGCCACTGCACTCCAGCCTGGGCGACAGAGTGAGATTCCGTCTCAAAAAAAAAAAAAAAAAATCATCTGGATCTCGGCCGGGCACAGGGGCTCATGTCTGTAATCCCAGCACTTTGGGAGGCCAAAGCGGGCAGATCACAAGGTCAAGAGAACGAGACCATCCTGGCCAACATGGTAAAACCTCGTCTCTACTAAAAATACACAAATTAGCTGGGCGTGGTGGCAGGCGCCTGTAATCTCAGCTACTCGGGAGGTTGAGGCAGGAGAATTACTTGAACCTGAGAGGCAGAGGTTGCAGTGACCTGAGACCGTGCCATTGCACTCCAGCCTAAGCAAAAGATGGAGACTGTATCTCAAAAAAAAAAAAAAATTAGCCAGGCGTAGCGGCGGGCACCTGTAGTCACAGCTACTCGGGAGGCTGAGGCAGGAGAATGGCGTGAACCCAGGAGGCGGAGCTTGCAGTGAGCCGAGATCGCGCCACTGCACTCCAGCCTGGGCAACAGAGCGAGACTCTGTCTCAAAAAAAAATAACTAAATAATAAATAATCTAGATCTCAATCCCTTGTCATATATGTTATTTTCAAATCTTCCTGTGGGTTGCTTCTTTATTCAGTTGATACTGTCTTTGAAGTGCAAAAATTATTATTTTTTGAGACAAGAGTCTCACTCTGTTGCCCAGGCGGGAGTGCACTGGCGCGATCTTGGCTCACAGCAACCTCCCCCTCCTGGGTTCAAACAGTTCTCTGCCTCAGCCTCCAGAGTTTAGTTGGGATTACAGCGCCCGCCACCACGCCCGACTAATTTTTGGATATTTAGTAGAGACGGGGTTTCATCATCTTGGCCAGGCTGGTGTTGAACTCCCGATCCACCCGCCTCAGCCTCCCAAAGTGCTGGGATTACAGGCGTGAGCCACCGCGCCCGGCCGATGTGCAGAAATTATTTTGATGACATCCACTTTGTTGGTCTCTTGTTGCTTGTGCTTTTAGTGTCATTTCTAAGAATCTGTTGCCAAATTAAAAGTTGTGAAGGTTTATCCCGTTTTTTTCCTAAGAGTTTTATAGTTTTAACTTTTTTTTGTTGTTTTTTGGGTTTTTGTTGAGACGGAGTCTCGCTCTGTCACCCAGGCTGGAGTGCAGTAGCGCCATCTCGGCTCCTGCAACCTCTGCCTCGCAAGTTCAAGCGATTCTCCTGCCTCAGCCTCCCAGGTAGCTGGGATTACAGGCGCCCGCCACCACATCCGGCTAATTTTTGTATTTTTAGTAGAGTCGGGGTTTCATCATGTTGGCCGGACTGGTCTCTGTGGGCGGCAAGCCACCCAGGTGCCGAGGCAAGAGACCGAGGGCACGAGCTGTTCCAGTATAATAAAGAAAATATACAGAATAAGAATAGTTATACTGGAACTAGAATATAGATATGATGATATATGAATATTAATCATTAGTTTGTAGCATTACTCTTTGTTCCAATATTATAATAATCTCTGTTCTACAATTATAACCTGGGAAAAACCAGGCCATACAGAGATAGGAGCTGAAGGGACATGGTGAGAAGCGACCAAAGACAAGTGTGAGCCTTCTGTTATGCCCAGACAGGGCCACTAGAGGGCTCCTTGGTCTAGCGGTAACGCCAGTGCCTGGGAAGACACCCACTGCTTAGCAGACCAGGAAAGGGAGTCTCGTTTCCCCAGGGGAGTTAGAGAAGACTCTGCTCCACCACCTCTTGTGGAAGGCCTGACATCAGTCAAGCCCGCCCGCAGCCATCCGGAGGCCTAAACGTCTCCCTGTGATGCTGTGCTTCAGCGGTCACGCTCCTGGTCCACTTTCGTGTTCCGCCCTGTACACCTGGCTGTGCCTTCTAGATAGCAGTAGCAGAATTAGTGAAAGTATTAAAGTCTTTGATCTCTCCGAGAAATACATAGAAGAAATAATGACATAAGCTGTCCCCATTCTCTCTCCGCCTCGGCTACCAAATAGGGAAGGGCCCCCTGTCCGGTGGACACGTGACTCACATGACCTTACGTATCGCTGGAGACGACTCACACTTCTTACCTGCCCCCTTGCCTTGTATCGAATGAATAACAGTGCAGCCAGGCATTCGGGGCCACTACCGGTCTCCATGCCTTGGTGGTAGTGGTCCCCTGGGCCCAGCTGTCTTTTCTTCCATCTCTTTGTCTTGTGTCTTTATTTCTACGATCTCTCATCTCTGCACATGAAGAGAAAAACACACAGGCACAGTAGGGCTGGACCCTATAGTCTTGAACTCCTGACCTCGTAATCCGCCCGTGTTGGCCTCCCAAAGTGCTGGGATTACACGGGTGAGCCACCGCGTCTGGCCCAACTTTGTTCTTTTTCAACATTGTTTTGGATCGCTTAGGGAAGTATTAACATCTTAACAATGCTGTCTTCCTACTCGCGAACGAGGGGTCCTTTGCACTTATTCAGGTTTTCTTTAATTTCTTTCAGCAATGTGTTGTAGTTTTCAGTGTGCAAGTATTTCACCTCCTTGGTTAAATTTATTTCTTGGCATTTTACTTTTTAGATGTTGTTATAAATAGAATCGTTTTCTTCATTTCCTTTTTGGACTGTTCGTTGCAGGTGCACAGAAATGCAACTGATTTTCTTGTTGATACTACGCCCTGCAACTTTACTGAATTTGTTTACTAACTCTAGTAGCTTTCTTGTGTATTCTTTGGTATTTTCTATATGTAGGATCATGTTATCTGTGAATAGAGATAGTTCTACTTCCTTCTTTTCCATTTGAATGCCTCTTATTTCTTTTTCTCATGTAATTGCCCCTGGGCAGGACTTTCAGTACAATATTTAATAGCAGTGGTGAAGCAGGCATCTTGTTCTTTTTTTTTTTTTTTTTTTTTTTTGAAACAGAATCTACCTCTGTCACCCAGGCTGGAGTGCAGTGGCTCAGTCTCGGCTCACTGCAACCTCAGCTTCCTGGATTCAAGTGATTCTCCTACCTCAGCCTCCCGAGTAGCTGGGATTAAAAGCATGTGGAAAAAACACGCAGCTGGGGCCAGCGCGGTGGCTCACGCCTGTAATCCCAACACTTTGGGAGGCTGAGGCGGGTGGATCACCCAGTCAGGAGTTCAAAACCAGCCTGGCCAACATAGTGAAACCCCGACTCTACTAAAAATACAAAAATTAGCCGAGCATGGTGGCGGGCGCCTGTAGTCCCAGCTACTTGGGAGTCTGAGGCAGGAGAACTGCTTGAACCCAGGAGGCAGAGGTTGCAGTGAGCTGAGATTGCACCACTGCACTCCAGACTGGGCAACAGAGCGAGACACCGTCTCAAAAAAAAAAAAAAAAAAAAAAAACCACGCAGCTGGCTAGGTCACAGAGCGGTCAAGGAACCCTACGTTTCTGTCAGGACAAGAGAAACGGCAAGTGGAACTGGGGGACCATACTGTGTTTTTGGGGGTCAGATGGGTAAGGCGCTGACTTTGTAAGAAGGTTTGAGAAAAGCACATCTCACATGAGTGTGAAACCAAATCATCACACTGAGGAACTACAAAAAATCAGTGTTTACAGACGTTAATTTCCACCTGAGCACAACCTGGCTCCATCCCATACATTCTGGTAGTTTCTGCTCTCGTCTTCATTCATCTCTAAGTATTTTCTACCTCCCCTTGTAGTTCTTCTTTGACCCATTGGTTAAGAGTATGTTGTTTAATTGCCACAGATTTGCAAATTTTCCAGCTTTTCCTGTTACTCGTTTCTTTCTTTTTTTTTTTTTTTTTGAGACAGCGTTTCGCTTTTGTTGCCCAGGCTGGAGTGCAGTGAGGCGATCTCAGCTCACTGCAACCTCTGCCTCCTGAATTCAAGCGATTCTCCTGCCTCAGCCTCCCGAGTAGCTGGGATTACAGGCACGCATCACCATGCCTGGCTAATTTTTGTATTTTTAGTAGAAAGGAGGTTTCACTATGTTGGCCAGGCTGGTCTTGAACTCATGACCTCAGGTGATCTGCCCGCCTCAGCCTCCCAAAGTGCTGGGGTTTACAGGCGTGAGTCACCACACCTGGCCTCCTGTTACTCATTTCTAATGTCATTCCATTGTGGCTGAAAAACATACTTTGATGGATGGACACACTAACTCACACCTACAATCCCAGTGCTTTGGGAGCCCCAGGTGGGAGGCTCATTTGAGGAAAGGAGTTCAGGACCCACCTGGGCAACATAGTGAGATCCCATCTCTACAAATTAAAATTAGCCAGGTGTGGTGGTGTGCACCTGTAGTCCTAGCTATTTGGGAGGCTGAGATGGGAGGATCACTTGAGCCCAGGAGTTCAAGGCTACAGTGAGCTATGGATCATGTAACTGCACTCCGGCCTAGGAGGCAGACAGACACACACACATGTGCACCCACGTGTGTGTATATACATACTGTATTATTTCAACCTTTGAGGCTGGGCATGGTGGCTCATGCCTGCAATCCCAGCACTTTGGGAGGCCGAGGTGGGCAGATCACCTGAAGTCAGGACCAGCCTAACCAACATGGCGAAACCCCGTCTCTACTAAAAATACAAAAATTAGGCCAGGTGCTGTGGCTCATGCTTGTAATCCCAGCACTTTGGGAGGCCAAAGCGGGTGGATCACGAGGTCAGGAGTTTGAGACCAGCCTGGCCAACACAGTGAAAACCCGACTCTACTAAAAATACAAAAATTAGCCAGGCGTGGTGGTGGGCGCCTATAATCCTAGCTACTTGGGAGGTTGAGAAAGGAGAATAGCTTGAACCCAGGAGGTGGAGGTTGCAGTGAGCCGAGATCGCGCCACTGCACTCCAGCCTGGATGACAGAACTAGATTCTGTCTCAAAAAAAATTAAAAAATAAAAAAATTAGGCTGGGCGCGGTGGCTCACACTTGTAATCCCAGCACTTTGGGAGGCCGAGGCGGGTGGATCACGAGGTCAGGAGATCGAGACCATGGTGAAACCCCATCTCTACTAAAAATATAAAAAATTAGCCGTGGTGGCCGGCGCCTGTAATCCCAGGTACTCGGAGAGGCTGAGGCAGGAGAATGGTGTGAACCCGGGAGGCGGAGCTTGCAGTGAGCTGAGATCGCGCCACTGCACTCCAGCCTGGGTGACAGAGCGAGACTCCGTCTCAAAAAAAATTAATTAATTAAAAAAAAAATTAGCCAGGCATGGTGGAACATGCCTGTAATCCCAGGTACTCGGGAGGCTGAGGCAGGAGAATCGCTTGAACCTGGGAGGCGGAGGTTGCAGTGAGTCGAGATCACGCCATTGCACTCTAGCCTGGACAATAAGAGTGAAACTCTGTCTTAAAAAAAAAAAAAAAAAAACTTTGAAAATGAAAATATAGGCCAGGCGCAGTGGCTCATGCCTGTAATCCCAGTACTTTGGGAGTTTGAGATAGGTAGATCACCTGAGGTTGGGAGTTCGAGACCAGCCTGGTCAACATGGTGAAACGCCATCTCTATTAAAACTACAAACATTAGCTGGGCATGGTGGCACATGCCTATAGTCCCAGCTACTCTGGAGGCTGAGGCATGAGAATCACTTGAACCCAGCAGGTGGAGGTTGCAGTGAGCCGAGATAGCACTACTGCGCTCCAGCCTGGGTGACAAAGTAAGACTCTGTCTCAAAAAGAAAAAAAAAAAAAGAAAATATCTTAAGGCCAGGTGCGGTGGCTCATGCTTGTAATCCCAGGACTTTGGGAGGCTGAGGCAGGCAGATCACCTGAGGTCAGGAGTTTGAGACCAGCCTGGCCTAGATGGTGAAACCCCGTCTCTACTAAAAATACAAAAATTAGCCAGGCATGGTGGCGGGAGCCTATAATCCCAGCTACTCAGGAGGCTGAGGCAGGAGAATCACTTCAACCCAGGAGGTGGAGGTTGCGGTGAGCCGAGATCGTGCCACTGCACTCTAGCCAGGGCAACAAAGAAAGCAAAAAAAAAAAAAAAAAAAAAAAAATATATATATATATATATATTAAAACTTCTTTTAATATATTTTAATATGTGGCCTAACACATGGTCTGTCCTGGAGGATGTTCCGTGTGCTTAAAAACTGTGTGTTCTGCTGTTGTTGGGTGAGTGTTCTGTGTCCGTCCTTTCTAGTTGATTTTAGCACTGTCCAGACCCTCTATTTCCTTGTTGATCTGCCACCTAGATACGTTTTCCATTACTGAAATAGGTTGAGTGACATCTACAACTATTATTGTAGAACTTACTTCTGTCTTCAAATCTGCCAATGTTTGCTTCATATATTTTGGGGAGCTGTTCTTGGTACATACATCTTTATTTATTTTTTTTTTTTTGAGACGGAGTCTCGCTCTGTTGCCCAGGCTGGAGGGCAGTGACGCGATCTCGGCTCACTGCAAGCTCTGCCTCCCGGGCTCATGCCATTCTCCTGCCTCAGCCTCCCGAGTAGCTGGGACTACAGGTGCCTGCCACGACGCCCGGCTAATTTTTTTGTATTTTTTAGTAGAGACGGGGTTTCACCGTGTTAGCCAGGATGGTCTCGATCTCCTGACCTTGTGATCCACCCACCTGGGCCTCCCAAAGTGCTGGGATTACAGGCGTGAGCCACTGCGCCCGGCCATACATCTTTATAATTGCTATAATGTGTTCATGAATTGACCCTTTTATTACTATATAATGTCCTTATATCATGTAATAATTTTTTTTTATTTTGAAACGGGGTCTTTTTCTGTTGCCCAGCCTGGAGTGCAGTGGTGCAATCATAGTTCATGACTGCCTCAAACTCCTCGACTCCCACAATCCTCCTGCCTCAGCTGCCTGAGTAGCTAGGACTATAGGTCCTAATTTATTTTATTTTTTGTAGAGACGGGATGTCACTATTTTGACCAGGCTGCTTTTGAACTTCCTGTCTCACTTGATCCTCCCACCTCAGCTTCCTCAAGTTCTGAGATTACAGGCATGAGCCACTGTGCCCAGTCCATCCTTTTACTTTCAATCTATTTAAATCTACTTCTCAACAGCATCTGGAATTTGGCCATTCTCCTTCCTGAACCGTATCTTCAATGATGAGATGTTTTCCTGGTTCTCTGGCTGCCCTTGCCCTCCTCCCTGACCCCAATCTTCTCAGTCTGGTGGCACTCAGGACTAGGCCTGGCCCCTTCTTCCAACCTTTCCGGACGACAAAAACCATCTATACCTAGGGACTCCTAAAACCTGTCTCCCCTGGCAGACTCTGATCCCGGCACCACCTGCCCACCAAGGTCTCCATGGCGCCTCCCAGGCATCTCACAGTGGGCAGATCCAAAACGGAGCTCCTCAGTGTCCCCAAGCCAGAGCCTGCACAGCCTTTGCTGGCCCCTCCACCCAGGGACCCGCCCTCCTTTTCCCAAGGCCCACTCCTGCGGAGCCCTCCTCCCCCACTCAGCTTTTCCCACAGCCAGGCAGCTCTCCTGGCCTCCTGCCCTCCAGTGTCTCCACCCAGCCAGAGCAGTTTCACAGTAAACATCTCAGACCTCCAGTCCACGCCAAAATCTTCCCGCACATCAACTGAACCCTCCATGCTACCTCTGTAGCAGGACGAGCCGCAGACAAAACCCCTGACAACGGGTTAAAGACGGAAGTGGCGAGACTCCGTCTCAAAAAAAAAAAAAAAAAAGGAAGTGGCTTCATTCCGCGGGAACTTCGGCAGACTTGCGTCTTTAAGTACCGAGCTCCCTGAAAAAGAAATTCCCGGCCCTTTTAAGGGCTTACAACTCTAAGGGGTCCACATGGAAGGGTCCTGGTAGATTGAGTAAGCGCGGGAAATGTGACTAGGGGCTATGCATCAGCTCACAGAACAGAAAGTTTTACAATGCTTCTGCATACAACGTCTGGAATTTACAGATAACACAAGTAGTTCAGGTCAGGAGCTGATATTATTATTATAATTATTAACCACCAGGGCTGGGTGGTGGCGCCAAGGTCGTCTGGCTATTTATCTTACTTCTGTTTCTTTCCAACTGTTTGCTTTCTCCCTTTCCTCCTGCCTTATAAACTAGGCAAGGTGGGGAGAGGAGGCCAGCAGGAAAAGTGGTGGTCTGCTTCCTTACCTCCAGGACCTGTAGGACCACGGATGGACTGAGACAACCCCCACTCCGTCTCCCAGCCCTGGGAATTTCACCGTCTCAAATATGCCAAGGTCCTCCTTGCCTCAGGCAGTTTCGCTCAGGCTCAAGTCAGCCCCCTCCCCACCCTGCCCGGTGCCAGCAGCTTCTCAGCCCTCAGATCTTGCCTTCAGTGCCGCAGCCTCCGCTGAGCCCTCAGAACCAGCCACGGTTCTTCCCCAGGGCCCTGCTCTTTTCCACACAGGACGTACACATGTGCCACCTGCCTCTGCCTGTCTGTGGCTGGCTTCTCACCAGCCTCTCCTACAAATCTGTTTTATTCATCTCTGCAGTCAGAACTAAAACGGCAACTGGCCACGGTAGGCGTTCAAGGAGAATGAAACAAAGAATATGCCTGTTTCTTCCCAGCCAAGAATAGGTTGTGCTCCCAGAGACAGACACAAAAGGGACTCAGAAAGGCATGCTCTGAGTTGAGAGTCTCAACTGAATCTCAGTGACTCTCCGACTGAGAGTCTATAACGCCCTTAAGCCAAAGACCACTGCAAACACGCCTGTAGTTAAACAAGTTGGGTCTTTTACTCTACGTACAAACACACCAGGTTGAGACGTTGAGGTGTCTCAGCAACAGGGTGTTCGGAGGAAACTATTACAGGATTTCACCTGTAGTTGGGTGATTTGGGGGATGATCTAAGGAAGGAGGATTTGGTTCTAGATTAGACGCACGCTGGAGCCCAGGAGGTCGAGGCCGCAGTGGGCCATGATCGCCACTGCGCTCCAGCCTGGGCGACTAAGCGAGACCTTGCCACAAAAACATAAAAAAAGATTAGACGCTGTGGGAAGGAAGAGGGTAATTCTCAGCTTATGATCGCTGCATGTGACAGGGTGAGCTGTGCGTTCCCTGCTTAGAATCAAGAAGAGGTCTTAGTTCATCTCACTTTGTCGTGGTGTCTGCGTGGCGCTTCATGCCTCACAGAACATGGGCTGGCTACGAGGGTCAAACCAGGCCACAGCAACGCGTCAGGGGCCGCTTGCTTTCTTAGGAGCAACAGGTCCAGAGGCTTCCGCTCCAAGAGGGACTGGGGCCTGGGCCAGGACCTTGCCGAAAAGCAAACGAAGCCCAGACAACCTGCTGGGGCTCCAACCCTTCCTCCCACCACCACCGCCCCGCAGAATTTGGGTCGCTGAGACCGCTGCAGGCGTGCCGACCACGGCTGCCCCGGCCCGGAAAGCAGATTTGCCCCTTTTTGCGGGGTAAGGGTGGAGAGGGCGGCGTCGGGGGGAGTCGAGTCTGCCCGCCCAGGCCCCGCTCGGAGCCGCAGGCTGGGAGGGCGGCGGGCGCAGCGACCCCGGGCCTCGGTCCGCCCGGCGCGGTCCTCACCCTGCAGCACAAGAGCCGCCGGCAGTTCTTGCTGTTGCCGTAGCTCTCGCCAAAGCTCTGCGTCACCGAAATGAAGTCCTGATGAAGCAGCGGCGGCGGATGCGTGGAAGGGGGCCTCGAGGAACCACCGGCGGCATCAGGAGACCCGGTCCTGTAAAAGACTGAGAGCTCCGCCTCTCCGATACTCGCGGGCAGCCATTGCGGCGCACAGAACCGTCCGCGTGTGAGCAGCGCGCACGCGCACGCAATGCGCCTCAACCCCGCAGCCTATGCGCCTGCACTGAGAGCTCACGGCTTGCGGCGCCTGCGTCTACCCCGCGCGCAGTCGCCACGGCAACAGGGCGGGCCTTGGTTCTGCTTCGGGCGTGGTCGGTGCATGGTCCTCCAGCACTGTTCGCCCCGCGGGTCTGGTCCTGGGTTCCTTTCGCCTCCTGTCGTCGGACGGCACCGGCTTTGCCCACGGCCTCGCGGGGAGACGCAGACACCCGGGACCCGGGGAGGCGCCCGGGCGCCGCCGCCATGTTGTCAGGGAGCGCCCGCTCCCAGCTCTTCGGTTCCGGGACCCGCGGCGCGGGGATGGGGCTGGGCCGCCCTTGGTAGCCGTCCTGGGCTGGGGGCCACCCTGGCCGCGTGGTCACCGGCAAGAAGCCCAGGGCCTCACCCGGGCGCGGCGTCGCGGGGGCCGAGGGAAGGACCGGACCCTCCCGAGGTCGCGGACCCGGCCGGCTGGGGCGAGGCTGGGGTGGCCCCTACCCCGAGCTAAGCTGGCCGCGCCGCATCTCACCGTCGCCGGGGCCCGAGCGCTGCGCCTGGACCGGCGCCGAGCGAGGGGGCCAAGCGGCCGGCTGGACCCACAGTCCCCGCGCCATAGGCGGGTCGGGGCTTTCAGACTCGGCTCCAGCCCTCAAACCTGGTAGCCTTGGAGGTCAGCTTGAGATGACTGCGCTTCCTGCGCGCGTTGTCCTCCCCAGAAACGCTCAAAATGGCAAAGCGGCGTCCGTGGCCGCCGGAGGCCTGTGTTCTCCCCTGCCGAACCTCACGCGCGGCCCCTCCCTCATTTTCTTCTGGCCAGGCTGCCCCCTGCCCCTTGGGCGATTCTGCTGCGTCCCACGGTCCTGGCTGTGGCATTTCTGGGTGTTTGGAGGGCTCCCCCGGCAACGACGTCTAATGTCTATAATCCCGGCCCTTTGGGAGGTCGAGGGGGGGCGGGGGATCACTTGAGGTCAGGGGTTCAAGACCAGCCTGGCCAATATAGTGAAACTCCGTCTCTACTAAAAATACAAAAAATAGCTGGGTGTGGTGGCGGTTGCCTGTAGTCCCAGCTACTCGGGAGGCTGAGGCAGGAGAATCGCTTGAACCCGGGAGGCAGAGGTTGCAGTGAGCCGAGATCGCCTCGTTGCACTCCAGCCTGGGCAACAGAGCGAGCCTCCGTCTCATAAGATTAAAAATAAATAAGAAATCACAAAAAATTAGTACGTATTTTGAGCTGAATAAAAATGGAAATATGCACATGAAAATGTATAGGATGCAGCTAATACAGTGCTTAGAGAAAGTTATAACTGCAAACTCTTAACGTTAGAAGAGGTGAGGCCGAGAACAGTGGCTCACCCCTGCGATCCCAATGCTTTGGGAGGAGACTGAGGCCGACCCCGGAGGATTGCATGAGCCCAAGAGTTTGAAATTAGCCTGAGCAACACGGTGAAGCTCCATCGCTACAAAAAAATATGAATTAAAAGGCCGGGCGCGGTGGCTCATGCCAGTAATCTCAGCACTTTGGGAGGCCAAGGCGGGCAGATCACGAGGTCAAGAGTTTGAGACCAGCCTGGCCAATACAGTGAAACCCCGTCTCTACTAAAAATACAAAAAAAAAAAAAAAAAATCTAGCTGGGTGTGGTGGCGGGCACCCCAGCTACTTGGGAGGCTGAGGCAGGAGAATTGCTTGAACCTGGAGGGCAGAGGTTCCAGTGAGCCAAGATCGTGCCACTGCACTCCAGCCTGGGTGATAGAGCGAGACTCCATCTCAAAAAAAAAAAAAAAAATAGGTGTGTTGATGCACACCTCTAGTCCCAGGTACTTGACAGGCTTAGAAAGTGGATCCCTTGAGCATGGGAGGTGGAGACTGCAGTGAGCTAGGATTGCACCACTACACTCCAATCTTGGCAACAGAGTGAGACCGTGTCCCCCCCGCCCCCCCCCCCCACACACACACACAAAATCCAAGCTATTCGGAAGACTAAGGCGCGAGAATTGCTTGAGCCTGGGAGGCAGAGGTTACCGTGAGCCGAGAATACACCATTGCACTCCAGCCTGGGCGACAGAGTGAGACTGTCTCAAAAAAAAAAAAAAGAAAGAAAAAAGGAAGTCAGTGAACTAGAACGCGGAAAAACAACAGAACATCTATGAAATAGAAAGTTTTTATTTATTCACTTATTTTTTTTCGAGACAGAGTCTTCTCTGTCGCTCAGGCTGTAGGTGCAGTGGTGCTATCTTGGCTCACTGCAACCTCTGCCTCCTGGATTCAGCGATTCTCCTGCCTCAGCCTCCGGAGTAGCTGGGATTACAGGCGCCTGCCACCACACCCAGCTAATTTTTGTAGAGACAGGGTTTCACCAATGTTAGCCAGGCTGGTCTCTAACTCCTGACCTCATGACCCACCTGCCTCGGCCTCCCAAAGTGCTGGAATTTCAGGCGTGAGCCACCGCACCCGGCCTGAAATAGAAAGTTCTGGCCGGGCGCTGTGGCTCACGCCTGTAATCCCAGCACTTTGGGAGGCCAAGACGGGCGGATCACGAGGTCAGGAGATCGAGACCATCTTGGCTAACACGGTGAAACCCCGTTTCTACTAAAAATACAAAAAATTAGCCGGGCGTGTTGGCGGGCGCCTGTAGTCCCAGCTACTCGGGAGGCTGAGGCAGGAGAATGGCGTGAACCCAGGAGGCGGAGCTTGCAGTGAGCTGAGATCGCGGCCACTGCACTCCAGCCTGGGGGACACAGCGAGACTCCGTCTCAAAAAAAAAAAAAAAAAAAAAGAAAGAAAGTTCTTAAAAAGTTGTTTCTTAGAAAAGATCAACAAATTTGATAAATGTTTAGCTAAACTGGCCAAGAAAAAACTAAAATTAGGAATAAAAGAGGGGCTATCACTACTGCCCTTCCAGATACAAAACGATTGTTAGAGAATACTACGAACAACTTTATGTCAATAAATCAAGCAGCTTAGATGAAATGGACAAATTTCTTAAAGCATATAAATTGCTGGCCGGGCACGGTGGCTCACGTCTATAATCCCAGCACTTTGGGAGTCCGAGATGGGCCTCAGGATTACCTGAGGTCAGGAGTTCGACACCAGCCTGGCCAATATGACGAAATCCCATCTCTACAAAAAAATACAAAAAAATTAGCCGGGCGTGGCGGCGGGCACCTGTAATCCCAGCTACTCGGGAGGCTGAGGCAGGAGAATTGCATGAACGGTGGAGGTTGCAGTGAGCTGAGATCGGGCCACTGCACTCCAGCCCTGGGAGATAAGAGCAAAACTCTGTCTCAAAATAAATAAATAAATAAATAAATAAATAAATAAATAGCCAAAACCAACTCCCAAAGAATAAAAAATCTGAATATAGCTATAAAGAAATTGAGTTAGTAATTTTAAATCTTTCTACAAGAAAAAGAAAAATGCTCAGGCCTAATCAATTTCACTAGTAAATTCTACCAAAAATTTCGGATAGAATTAATTCCAATTCCGACCCATTCTATAAGGTCCATATTCACCTAATACCAAAGCCAGAGAAAGATATCACAAAAATACTACACACCAATATCCTCCTTTAATATCAATGTAAAAATTCACTACAAATTATTAGCAAACAGAATCCGGAAAGATAAAAAGGATTATACATCGTAACCAAGTGGGATTTATTTCAGGAACATTTTGAGGATTTTTGTTGTTGGGTTTTTTGTTTTGCTTTGTTTTGTTTTTGAGACGGAGTCTCGCTCTGTCGCCCAGGCTGGAGTGCAGTGGCGCGATCTCGGCTCACTGAAACCTCTGCCCCACCCTGGATTCAAGTGATTCTTGAGCCTCAGCCTCCTGAGTAGCTACCACACCTGTCTAATTTTTGTATTTTTAGTAGAGATGGGATTTTGCCATGTTGGCCAGGCTGGTCTCGAACTCCTGACCTCAGGTGATCCGCCTGCCTCGGCCTCCCACGTGTTGGGATTACAGGCGTGAGCCACTGCACCTGGCCAGGAATGTAAGGTTTTAATATTCAAAAATGAATTGATGTTATGTACTAAGTTACTAGACTGAAGCACAAAAATTACATTATCATCTCAAGAGATACAGAAAAAGCATTTGACAAAATCCAATACCTGTTTACAATAAATATTTTTAACAAACTAGGAAAATGGTAACTTTTTTTTTTTTTGAGATAGAGTTTCATTCTTGTTGCCCAGGATGGAGTGCAATGGTGCAATCTCAGCTCACTGCAACCTCCACCTCCAGGGTTCAAGCGATTCTCCTGCCTCAGCCTCCCAAGTAGCTGGGATTACAGGTGCCCGCCACCACACCTGGCTAATTTTTTTTTTTTTTTTGTATTTTTAGTAGAGACAGGGTTTCACCATGTTGGCCAGGCTGGTCCTGACCTCAGGTGATCCACCCGCCTCTGCCTCCCAAAGTGCTAGGATTACAGGCATGAGCCACCATGTCTGGCCAGGAAAAATGGGAAGTTTTAAATGCTTTTCCAGTAGCACTGGAGACAGGGTGAGATGTCTGCTCTCATCATTTATATTGTCACGGTGCTGGGTTTCTATACAGTCCTCTCAGGCAAGAAGAGAAATAAAAGGTGGCTGGGCGTGGTGACTCACCCTGTAATCCCAGCACTTTGGGAGGCCGAGGTGGGAGGATCCCTTCAGCTCAGGAGTTTGAGACCTTCAAGACCAGCCTGGACAACACAGTGAGATCCCATCTCTAAAAAAAAAAAAAATACAAAAATTAGCCGGGTATGGTGGCTTGCACCTGTAGTCCCAGATACTTAGGAGGCTGATGTGGGAGGCTCACCTGAGCCTGGGGGGTTGGAACTGCAGTTAGCTGAGATCATGCCACTGCACTCCAGCCTGGGTGATAGAGCAAGACGCTGTCTCAAAAAAAAAAAAAAAAAAAAAAAGGCTGGGCACAATGACTCACACCTGTAATCCCTGCACTTTGGGAGGCCAAGGCGGGCAGATCAACTGAGGTCAGGAGTTCAAGACCAACCTGGCCAAAATGGTGAAACCCTGTCTTTACTAAAAATACAAAAATTAGCCGGGCGTGATGGCGGGCACCTGTAATTCCAGCTACTCAGGAGGCTAAGGCAGGAGAATCACTCGAACCCGGGAGGTGGAGGTTGCAGTGAGCCAAGATTGCACCACTGCACTCCAGCTTGGGTGACAGGGTGAGATCCTGTCTAAAAAAAAAAAAAAAAATCCAGTCAGGAACAGGAATGCTAAGGAATCAAGAGCAGCAACAACAAGCTAGCAGAAGTAACAACTAACGAACAAGTTCATAAAGATCACAGGGAGGACCAGAAGACCTGCATTCACTGTCAATTTTATTTATACTTATTAACAATAAATGGTCTGAAAATAAAATTAAGAAGACAGCTTCATTCACAATTGCATAGAAAAATAAAATACTTTAGATTAAAATTAAGAAAATAAATGCAAACCTTGTACATTAAAATCTACAAAACATTGCTGAGAGAAAGCAAAGACAGCCTAAAAAAATGGGGAGTGATCCTATGTTCACAGATTAGAAGATTCAATATTGTGGCCGCGTGTGGTGACTCATGCCTGAAATCCCAGCACTTTGGGAGGCCGGGGGCGGGGGGGGGGGTGGATTATGAGGTCAGGAGTTCGAGACCAGCCTGGCCAAGAGACCAGCCTGGCCAATATGGTGAAACCCTGTCTCCACTAAAAATACAAAAATTAGCCGGGCATGATGGTGGGCGCCTATAGTCCCAGCTACTCGGGAGGCTGAGGAAGGAGAATGGCGTGAACCCAGGAAGCAGAGCTTGCAGTGAGCCGAGATTGCAGCACTGCACTCCAGCCTGGGCAACAGAGTGAGACTCTGTCTCAAAAAAAAATATATATATATATATATTATTTTTATTTTTAGTAGAGACAGGGTCTTACCATGTTGGTCAGGCTGGTCTCGAACTCCTGACCTCAGGTGATCCTCCCATCTCGGCCTCCCAAAGTGCTGGGATGACAGGTGGGAGCCGCCGCGCCCGGCTGGGAGGTGTTCTTTCTAGACCTCACCTGGGAGTCACGCACCATTACCTCTACCACGTTCCATTTGTAAGTGCAGGCCATGTATGCCTGGAGGGAAATCAATCTTCTGCCGAACAGGGTGGTGTTCAAAGCACCACCGGCTCCACCACACTCTGCCTTTTATTCTGCATTCTGTTTCTTGAGACCACGCGCCGCTACGTGGAATGGTCTCAGGAGCTCATGTGTTTGTGCTCCATGAAGTCAGAAAGTCCAGCCTTTGCACTGCCACATACCCACCCTTAGAACAGCGTCTGGTACACGGTAGGTGCTCAGTGAATGTGCCTAGTGGAGTAAACGTGCGGTGCGGTGCTGCCTGCGGTCGGATCTGTGGGGATCCTGTGATGGGGAAGACGGCTACCAGGAAAGGTGGAATTTGGAAAGTCAGGACAGGGAGAGAGGAGGGACTTTGTGGAGGCAGGAAGGTATGGGAGCCAGTCCAGCACAAGGGCTGGCGGGAAAGCCTCGTGGGTGTCAGAGACTATACCTCTGTGAGGGTCCCTGGGCTCCCCCAGGTCAGGGCAGAGGTCCTGACCCCAGTCTAGCTCTTTAGCGGGGGCCAGGCCCGAGATGGCCAGCTCCGTTTCCCCTGCGTGGCCTGGCAGCCCCTCCAGGAGCTGGCACGGGAAGCAGGCCTGTCCTCCACGCCCTTGGCCGGCCTTGGCTGCGATGGGTGGAGACGCTTCTGCCCGCCCCACCCCTGTCTGTCTGCCTCCTCCTCTCAAGCAGGCTTCCTCTCGACAGAAATGTGTCTGCAGGTGGCTCTTGAGCCCCAGTTCTCAGGGATTCACCTGCAGAGGATGTAGAGCCGGGGTCCCTTCCCTGCTTCTGATCTGCCCAAAATCCTAGGGAGAGCCCTGATTGGCAACCCCTCGGCCAATGGACTGAGGCCAGGGCGCGTCTGCACCCGGGTTGACAGCCCTGACTAGAACCGCGAGGCTGGGGTCAGGGAGGAGCAGCCGCCTCCCGCCGGGGCCGCAGCTGTCAGAGTGGGCAAGGGGATCTCCACAGAGGGAGACTGTCCCACAGTGGCCCGGGGTAGAACAGCGCTTCCCTCCCCACCCAGCGCCTGACTGCTGGCCCCGGGCCCATCCCAGGGCAGTGCCCCAGGTCTCTGGTCCTCCCCACAGCCTTTGTCTCACCAGGTCTCAGAGGGGTCCGAGTCCAGGCTCATCTGTTGTGGTACCACTGCCCCCTCCCTCATGGTTGTGGAAGAAGCCCACGGGGGGAAAATGCAGAGCAGAATCCAGGAAAGACTCGCTCACAGGAGGAGCTGTGGCCTGGAGACGCGGCCTCCACCCCATCTCCATCATGGACAACCTGCCAAGGGGTCTTGAACAGAAGCTTGGGGACGCACATACGGTCCGGTGGGGCAGTGACCCACTGGCAGACCAGCTCCCTGAGTAGAAAAGAAAAAGCCCTGGTTTGTGGGGTTTGATGATTCCGTGGCAGCAGAGATAATCCCACTGTGGCCAATTTCGAAGCCTGACTGTAACAGCTGCTGGCAGGTGTCTGAACATTTAGCGATCAGCTCTCCAGGGTCAGCGGGAGTCGCTCCAGCACCCCACGGGGTGGGGGTGGGTGGGTGGAGCCAGGGCCTCTGCTGCAGCCTCCAACCCCTTTCTTCCACGCTGATGAGGCGCTGTCTGGGCTCAGGTCTACCCCCACGCAGCTGCCAGGCTCTGGCCTGCCTGAGGCGGATACTTTTTTTTTTCTTTTTTTTGATGGAGTGTTGCTCTGTCGCCCGGGCTGGAGTGCAATGGTGCGATCTTGGCTCACTGCAACATCCGCCTCCCAGATTCAAGCGATTCTCCTGCCTCAGTCTCCCAAGTAGCTGGGATTACAAATGCCTGCCGCCACGCCCGGCTAATTTTTGTATTTTTAGTAGAGACAGGGTTTCACCATGTTGGCCAGGCTGGTCTCGAACTCCTGACCTTAGGTGATCCACCTGCCCTTGCCTCCCAAAGTATTGAGATTACAGGCATGAGCCACTGTGCCCTGCCGAGGTGGAAGTTTGGAGATGGGCCACAAACTCCTGGAGATAGGGCCAGCTCAGTCCCCCTGAGCACCCACACACACCCTCCTGAGAGCCAACAGAAGGAGTGAGGGCCCCGAGGCGGATGACCCGTGTGCCTCAACCCGAACGGGGAGAGGCGGGGTCTGCAGCAGGGTACGGGCAGGTGATCCCCCAAGGAAAGATTTTCCTGTATTGAGAGAGAAGGGGCCAAGAGGAGGAGCTTGTCAAACACCACAGCCCCTCCCCCTCCTCTCAGCTCCAGGGGGTCCCTGGTGCCAGTGTTCGGCTGATGGAGAGAACGGCAAGCGGGAGAGAGAGTGTGACCCCTGTGGGCACATGACTTCCCTTGCTGCACTGCTGCACATAGCAGAGGTGTGGTGACGACCCTGTTTTGTCCCATTGGGGGCGTTTGCTGTTAGGTCTGCAGAATCCTCAGTTGCTATTGGAAATGGTGACATCACTGGCAGGGGCGGAGCTTCAGCCATCCTTCAAGTTAGGGAGGGGCACGCACACTCCAGGGGTGGAGGGGGACAAAGACAGGGTGGTGTGGACCAGAGGGATGGGTAAGGCTCTGGAAAAGGGGGCGCTGGGAGCGCATTGCGAGGGGGCTGGAGAGGGAGAGAGGAGCGGAAGCTGAGGGTGTGAAACGGCTGGCCCCGAACACACCTCGCGGCGCTCCAGTGATTCCTGGTGTCCGACCTCAGCCCCAGTCAGTGCGGGTCCAGTTTCCAGGCTCTCGCGGAAGGCCTGGCTGAGCACATGCGGCAGCCACGGTCACCCTCCCTATTCCTCTTAGCCCGAGGAGGGGGGTCCCAAGTTACATGGCCACGCAGATGGGGCCTCTCCCTCATTTCTGAACCTTGTGGGGAGGGGAACCTTGAAGGGAGCGCCCCCCAGAGCCATGGCTTAGGGCCTCCCCCACCCCTCTGGAGCTCCAGTCTGCAAGAGTCAGGAGCCGAAATATCGCTGACTGTGGGTGACGACTCTTGCGCGCACACACACATACAAGCGGGCACGACGCGTTCGGTCCTATTAAAAGGCACGCAAGGGTGCGGGCTGCACGCGGTGACACGGACCCCTCTAACGTTTCCAAACTGAGCTCCCTGCAGGTCCCCGACAGCACAGGCCCCTGTCCCAGGACCCCTCCAGGCACGCGCTCACACGCACACGCGCGCTCCCCGGCTCACGCGCGCTCCGACACACACGCTCACGCGAACGCAGGCGCACGCTCTGGCGCGGGAGGCGCCCCCTTCGCCTCCGTGTTGGGAAGCGGGGGCGGCGGGAGGGGCAGGAGACGTTGGCCCCGCTCGCGTTTCTGCAGCTGCTGCAGTCGCCGCAGCGTCCGGACCGGAACCAGCGCCGTCCGCGGAGCCGCCGCCGCCGCCGCCGGGCCCTTTCCAAGCCGGGCGCTCGGAGCTGTGCCCGGCCCCGCTTCAGCACCGCGGACAGCGCCGGCCGCGTGGGGCTGAGCCCCGAGCCCCCGCGCACGCTTCAGCGCCCCTTCCCTCGGCCGACGTCCCGGGACCGCCGCTCCGGGGGAGACGTGGCGTCCGCAGCCCGCGGGGCCGGGCGAGCGCAGGACGGCCCGGAAGCCCCGCGGGGGATGCGCCGAGGGCCCCGCGTTCGCGCCGCGCAGAGCCAGGCCCGCGGCCCGAGCCCATGAGCACCATGCGCCTGCTGACGCTCGCCCTGCTGTTCTCCTGCTCCGTCGCCCGTGCCGCGTGCGACCCCAAGATCGTCAACATTGGCGCGGTGCTGAGCACGCGGAAGCACGAGCAGATGTTCCGCGAGGCCGTGAACCAGGCCAACAAGCGGCACGGCTCCTGGAAGATTCAGCTCAATGCCACCTCCGTCACGCACAAGCCCAACGCCATCCAGATGGCTCTGTCGGTGTGCGAGGACCTCATCTCCAGCCAGGTGCCCTCCCCCACCTCCGCCACCCACCTCCCCTCTCCTCCATCCTGCAACCCCACACCCCCAGTTTCATTCCATCCTTTCCGTGCCCCCTTCCTCCCTGTAAGACACCACCCCAGAGTCAGCTGGCTGCTTCCGGGAGGCCTCGTCTCACTAGGAACCAAACACCAGGGTCTGCTGGCTCCCCTATCTTGGCCTGAGACCAGTCACCTGCCACCTTGGCTGGTCCTCAGAGGGCCCCTGGGGCTCCAGGCCCTGACTGGTGTGTGTAGACGTGGGGCTGGAGTGTGTCAGTGTGGGGGTGGGCATTCCGGGTAAGAGAGTAGAAGCGCCTGTCCAGCTACATGCCCGCCCTGCAGAGCTTTAAACAGGACGGGGCCTGGGGCCATCTTTGTTTCTGCTTCCAGGTTCTCCTGCCCTTTCTTTCGTCCCTTCCCCCTACCGATGGGTCCGCCTGGGAAGAGAAATGGCTCAGGTGCCACGGCAGGACGCTTTGTGGGGGTGGGAGTGGGGGTGCACACGCGAGAGGCATCAGGGCATGGGAGCTGTCGGCAGCCAGCGCTGCGGGGGAGGACGTGGCTCCTGGGATTTTGCCTGTCGGAGCTGTCCGCCCCTGGGCCGAGCGCCTGCTGAATTCCAATGAGGCTGCAAGGATCTGCAATGCAGCCCTTTATGTAAGAGGCAAGACAGACATCCAGCCTAGCACCGCTCACACGTGCCTACCTGATGGACACACCACATCTGTGGACACACATGCTCACACTCACACCAAATGTTACATTAGCACACACTCATGCACCTCAGCATCACACAATCAATTTCATATGCTCATCTGCACACATGCAGATCCATTGACACCTGCTCATGTGCCACACACGGCTTGGCATGCATTCCCAGAGGCACGTGCAAACATGCACATTTACACACATGGTTCCAGTCATTCACACGCATGTACACGAACAGACATGCCAGGGCATGTGATGCACATAACCATACCCTAGCACACGCGTGAACACCTGCATGGTCACACACGGACCTACGGGTCTTTGCCAAGCACCTCTGGGTGCAGGCTGGAAGCAAGAGCTGGGGGAGGGAGAACCACTTCAAACAGCTGCAGCTGCAGGGCCCACACCAGAGTTTTCTCAGAAATCCTCCCTCCCCACTTCACAAGCCACCCCCGTGCCCCAGCCCAGGACACCATGGGATGGGACTGGGGGGATGCATCTGTAGCCAGTGGCTGCAGTCACATATTCCATCTGGGACTGGGGAGGGACACGGAAGGTGGACTCAGGAAATCCAGGAGGGGCCATTCCTGGGGAATTGCTTCAACTCACGCCCATGTTGCTGTCTGTCTGTGGGCATGGCCTCTGCAGCAAAGGCAATGCCTGCAGCTACCACTCACGGAACACACCCCCGGCCAGGTACTGTCCTGCCACGTGGGGCCATGCAGTGCACGCCCCCATTCGCCAAAGCTCTAAGAGGCACAGGCAGACTTGGGGACAGACGCAGGTCCTTGCTGTGTGAAGGTGGTGTGGACCACCAGCTGCCTGCCTCCCTGCCTTGGGAGGCTGGGGAGAGAGGGAGGCATCAGCTCCAGGGGGCTGAGCCGCTGGCTTTAGATCTGCCCCATGGGGCCTTGGTCATGGGCAGGAAGGCTGGGCTGCACCCCCAATGCCTCCCTTCCCTTCCTTGAGGATGAGGCCAGCACTCAAAGTAAGGGCTTGGTGTTGTTCAGACAGAGCCCGTCACAGGCCCTGCCCCTGGAGACACCAGCAAAAGGGATCTCGGCCTCTTTGGCAGCTCCTAGCTGCTTCCCCCTGAAGTCCGGTACCACCCTTCAGAGCTGCCCGCCCTGTCTCGGGATGTGGGCTGGCCCCACCCCTGGCCCATCAGGAAGGACGGGTGGGTTCTGAGAATCAAGGCCATCATGATGCAGGACCAGCCATCCTCCCCGGTCCACCTTGGGTGCGTCCCGTGCTCCAGGCCCCCAGGACATCCCAAGGGCAGTCCTTCACCTGGCCCTTGAGCACAACACCTGCAGGGCCCTAGTCAGCAGTGTGAGAGGAGTGAGGGGAGGTCCGGGTGGGGTCTCCCTCCCCTGCCCTGTGGGCATGTGTGCATCTGGGCCTGGGCATGTAGCATGTACCCGAATCATGCCCCCAGCCCCCCTTAGCCTGCTGGGTTCAGCCCCTGCTGCTTCCAGATCTCAGCCTCTAACCCAGTGCCTGGCTCACCCCTGACTCAAGCTGATCATGTCTCCTGTGTCCACAGGTCTACGCCATCCTAGTTAGCCATCCACCTACCCCCAACGACCACTTCACTCCCACCCCTGTCTCCTACACAGCCGGCTTCTACCGCATACCCGTGCTGGGGCTGACCACCCGCATGTCCATCTACTCGGACAAGGTAAGCCTGACTGCCAGACCAGGCCTTCCGGCCCTCGGCCCCAGGGCACAGCCTGGCCACTCCAGGAGCAGCGGGCCGACCCGCTCACATGGAACTCACACACCACAAACAGCCACACAGCTCCCCCACATTCATGCACGTCCACACGCTCTCACGTGTCCAACTCACACATCTGCAAACATGCTCACATGCACACTCATGTGCTCTTACACACACAATACACACTCTCTTGCACATAGAGGGCTCACGTGGAGCCCAGCACGTGCCCCCAGCCCAGAGCAGGCCAAAGGGAGGGGGCACACATCACACACTCACACATCACACACACATCACACACTCACACATTCATACAGCACCCACACGCTACACTGCTATGCTCACCCTCCCCACACATGAACACTGACACACCCATGGATTCGCACAAAGTCACACACACTCACTGGCACAGGCACCAGTGACACCCCCTCAGGACGAGAGGGCCCGTGGGCTAGGAGAAGGGATGGCTGGGAGGCTTTCTAGACAGGTGGACTTTGAAGGGGAGTTTGGAGAGCTGGGGGTTGCTCCAGGAGGAAAGGGGTGTGCACGCAGCCAGGGTGGTGGGGCCAGCCTTTCCCACTGCAGGCATGGGTGGAGAGCAATGTCTGTGGTTGCAGCTCAGGGTCGGGGGCGCTGGCCTGGGGGCTTCCAGCCTCTAGGGCTGAGGGCACCTTGGCTTAGCCTCCTGCAGACCCTCCTGGCCCACAGGCTATGAGGAGGGCTTCTGTCCAATCCTGGAACATCAGCTGGAAGAGAGGAGGGTCATCCAGTCAGTTTTGCAGGAATCTCCAAGCCAGAGAGCCATGGGGGCTTGCTCTAGGTCACACAGCCCTCCGTCTACCCAGGATGCAAACTGGGCACTGAGAGGCTGACCAACCTGGGGCCACTGGCAGACAGACCTGCAGGGCCACTTGGCAGGGGACATCCAGTTTGGTGCCAGCGCTGAGGAGCCAGAGGGCTGGGCTGTGCAGCCAGGCTTCTGGGTCCCCCACCTTCTCCAAATTCCTCCTGCCCAGAGTCCACAGTCCTTGGTAACACTGCCTTAAAGCACAGGGGTCGCCCCAGCCAGGCCCAGGCTCTTCTGGGAGGATGGAAGGCCCCAGAGGCAGGAACTGAGACAGAGGCTGGAACAGCCACCTTCCTGAGGCTCTGAAAGCCCTGGCGTGCCCCCTCGGCACCCAAACTGCTCCTCCCAGGTGACTTCACCTCTGGCCATGGGAAGGTGGGGGTCTCATTCCTGTGCCCTCAGGCACGACCTCCTTCGCCTCTCTGGGCACCAGTTTCCTCACATGTGAAGGAGAGAAGATGGCCTTACCCAGGAAAGCAGCCAGTGGTCAAATGAAAGGCGGGGGAAACGGATGCCCCTGGCCCAGAGCAGGCCAAAGGGAGGGGGCACAGCTCACAGCTGCACCCTGGCCTTACCACAGTCTCTACACTACAACCAACCTGTGCCCAAAACATGAACCGGCAAGGCCAGGTCAGAGCTAGTCCAAGACCTCAAGCACAGCCTGCCTTGCCACCACGTCACCAGGTGGATAGACAGAAGCAGGGGACATTTTTGCACCCCAAGGCACTGCCCCAGGCCACAAAGAGGGAGCAGGTGAAAAATAACCTGGAAGCCTCAGAGGACCACAAGATCAGCAAGAGTCCACAGGGACACTGAAGGAACCAGGGCTTACCTGGACAGACACAGAGAACTGAGGCAGAGGGGGGCAGAGCCTGCTCCACTCCCGGCCATGCCACGGCACTCCGTGGCAGCTTGAAGCCAGGAAAAGCAAGCCAGGGCAAGCAAGCACCACGCTCTCGCCTGGGGAGATGAGGCCTTTAGCCCCAAGAGTGAATTCTTCTTCATACATAGAGTTGTTTAAATTTGGGAGGACTCTATGGGCAGCCCCAGGGGGATCTTCGAGGCGCTATGTGTCATCAAGAATTTCCTGAGCTCAGCTTGTCCAAAGGTGGTGGGCTGCAGGGGAAGAGGTGAGCTCACCCCAGGCACAATTCCACAGAAACCCACGTCCCTTAGGGTGCTATGGGGCCAACACTAAACCTCCTCCATTTCCGAGATTATATGTGGGAGGAGAGGCCGGGGTGGGAGAGAGGTTCCCAGGGTCTAAAAAGTGTCCCCAGGATGGTGGGGACAGGGGTGGGAAAAAGGAGGGGTCCCAGTGTCTAGAAAGTGTCCCCAGGTTGGCCGGGCGCGGTGGCTCACGCCTGTAATCCCAGCACTTTGGGAGGCCGAGGCGGGCGGATCACGAGGTCAGGAGATCGAGACCATCCTGGCTAATACGGTGAAACCCCATCTCCACTAAAAATACAAAAAAATTAGCCGGGCGTGGTGGCGGGCGCCTGTAGTCTCAGCTACTTGGGAGGCTGAGGCAGGAGAATGGTGTGAACCCAGGAGGCGGAGCCTGCAGTGAGCCGAGATTGCACTCCAGCCTGGGTAACAGTGCGAGACTGTTTAAAAAAAAAAAAAAGTGTCCCCAGGGTGGTGGGGACAGGGGTGGGAGACAGGAGGGGGTCCCAGGGTCTAGAAAGTGTCCCCAGGGGTGTGGGGACAGGAGTGAGAGGAAGGGGGTCCCAGGGTCCAGAAAGTGTCCCCAGGGTGGTAGGGACAGGGGTGGGAGACACGAGGGGGTCCCAGGGTCTAGAAAGTGTCCCCAGGGTGGCAGGGATGGGATGGGAGACACGAGGGGGTCCCAGAGTCTAGAAAGTGTCCCCAGGGGTGTGGGGACCGGGGTGAGAGGAAGGGGGTCCCAGGGTCCAGAAAGTGTCCCCAGAGGGGTGGGGACAGGAGTGAGAGGAAGGGGGTCCCAGGGTCCAGAAAGTGTCCCCAGAGGGGTGGGGACAGGAGTGAGAGGAAGGGGGTCCCAGGGTCCAGAAAGTGTCCCCAGAGGGGTGGGGACCGGGGTGAGAGGAAGGGGGTCCCAGGGTCTAGAAAGTGTCCCCAGAGGGGTGGGGACCGGGGTGAGAGGAAGGGGGTCCCAGGGTCTAGAAAGTGTCCCCAGGGGTGTGGGGACCGGGGTGAGAGGAAGGGGGTCCCAGGGTCCAGAAAGTGTCCCCAGAGGGGTGGGGACAGGAGTGAGAGGAAGGGGGTCCCAGGGTCCAGAAAGTGTCCCCAGAGGGGTGGGGACAGGAGTGAGAGGAAGGGGGTCCCAGGGTCCAGAAAGTGTCCCCAGGGTGGTAGGGACAGGGGTGGGAGACACGAGGGGGTCCCAGGGTCTAGAAAGTGTCCCCAGGGTGGCAGGGATGGGATGGGAGACACGAGGGGGTCCCAGAGTCTAGAAAGTGTCCCCAGCGGGGTGGGGACAGGGGTGGGAGACACGAGGGGGTCCCAGGGTCTAGAAAGTGTCCCCAGGGTGGTAGGGACGGGGTGGGAGACACGAGGGGGTCCCAGGGTCTAGAACGTGTCCCCATGGGGGTGGGGACAGGGGTGGGAGGAGGGGGGTTCCCAGCCTCCGGCGGGTGTTCCGGCAGTGGGAGGCGGGTGGGAGGGCGGGTCCCCGCGGGTCCACCTCAGCCCGCCGTGCCCCCGCCTCCCGCAGAGCATCCACCTGAGCTTCCTGCGCACCGTGCCGCCCTACTCCCACCAGTCCAGCGTGTGGTTTGAGATGATGCGTGTCTACAGCTGGAACCACATCATCCTGCTGGTCAGCGACGACCACGAGGGCCGGGCGGCTCAGAAACGCCTGGAGACGCTGCTGGAGGAGCGTGAGTCCAAGGTGAGGGTCGGCGCCGCGGGTGGGCGCCTGGCGGAGCCGAGGTGCAGGACGGGCCGCCTTGTGTCTGTGGCTCCGTGTGTGACACCCTCTTCTTTCCATCGTGCATGGTCAGCACCACCACGTCTGGCGAGCGCCCGCCCCAGCCTGTCCTCGGCTCATTTCACTCGCTTTTGCCATTAGTCGAAATCTCCTTCGTGTCAGTCCCTGCGGGGCGAGGGCCAGACCACCTGGAGCTCCGCAAACACCCCTGCCCCGCGCTGCCGAGCGCCCTCGTCCCCTCCTCCTGCCCATGCCCCTCGCTCCCTGGAGGCCCCAGCCGGGCTTGGGACTCGTCACCCTTCCCGCCCACCCTGTCCTGAGTCCCCAGCAGCCTCCCTCTGGGCAAGGTCTCCCCTGTACACGACCCCCACATACCGCCCCTGCAGGCCTGTCCCCTCCTGGCTGGGCCCATTCCCTGTCCTCCCCCGCGTGGCCTCCCCTGAAGCTCTGCACCTCATGGCTCAGCAAAGCCCTGTCCACAGACACCTGCCCCCCAGCCTGGACCGCCCCTGTGGGCTCCACTCCCCTCCTTGCCCCCACCACAGGGCTCCCTCTGCACTCCTCACCAAGACCCATTAGCCACCTGGTTCTAGGACACACTGACCCCCAACACAGCCAGGCGTCCACTCTGTGGGGCTGCAGAGAGATCAGAGCTGGGATTTGGGGGGGTCCGAGCGACCCCTTTCCCCTTCCTTACCACTCCCATTTGCAGTCTGGGGCAGAGCTGGTTCTCGGCTACAGACCCCCGGAGCCCTGGGTGCTCAGCACCTGGGCCAGCTCCTGATCAAGCAGTGGGAGGAGGCCCAGGCTGAGGAGGGCCAGACCTATGGGTGGCTGGGAGCATGTTTCGTGTCAGAGCTGGCTTCATCGGACTTAGGGCCAACCTAGCACCCCCCAAGGCACCCCAGGCCCCGGGAGGGACCAGAGGGCATGGGTCGGGGGTAAAGCCAGGGGCAGACCAGAGGGTCCTGGGAGTACTGTCGTGGGGGGTCTGCTGAGTCTTGGGGGGGAGGGGCATGGGCACCAAGGGCCCCACCCAAGACAGTGCCCCTCACCCCAGTGCCCGACAGGCCCCTCCCCCCAGCGCCCGACAGGCCCCTCCCCCCCAGCACCCGACAGGCCCCTCACCCCAGCGCTCGACAGGCCCCTCACCTTCTGGCATGTCCACCCACGGCCACGGACTCCCATCACACACTCACCCCTGCGCACCCAACTGCCTGCTTTCACTCACAGGTGCATGCACACATTCCCATCACACTCCACACCTCTGGCCACAGGCTCAGGCTTGCCTCCATGCAGCTCCAGCGCCACACACACACCTGGACACGTACTCAGGTGCGCTCCTCACACACACACCTGGACACGCACAGGTGCGCTCCTCACACACACACCTGGACACACGCTCAGGTGCGCTCCTCATGTGCATGCTCACCCTTACTTGCGCCAGCCAGCACAGACACACATGCACACACGCACACACGTGCACAGGCACACACATGCACACATGCACACGCACACACATGCACACACGCACACACAAGCACGCACACACGCACATGCACACATGCACACACACAAGCATGCTCAGACCATCTGGCCCTTCCCCAACCTTCACAGGCCTTTGTGGACTAACCCTCCCATGCTGACACCCACAGGCGCATGCCACCCCTGCAGGCGCACATAACGCACACACACCCTCTTGGGCGCATATGCGAGCCGAAGGGCGTGGGCACCCCAGTTAGTGAGGATACCTCGGTCTCTTGAGAGGCAGAGGGAGACCAAGGAGAGGGAGGGGGAGGGACATGGGGACAGGCCCCGGGGGGGCTGCTCACCTCCCACTCAGGACTGACACAGGTTGGAGTGGGCACTGCTGGGGCCACACAGCAGGTGCACGGCAGGGTGGGGGCGGCAGGTGGGGCTCCCTCCGAACGGTGGACGCGGACAGGGCCTCCTTTTCTCCCGAGAGCGACCGTTTCCAAGAGCACAGCTTCGTGGCAGGGAGCCTCCACGGCCCCGCCCCTACGACCCTCACCCCCAGCTCCACCCCGGCCCCCAGCCCCGCCCCGGGCCTCGGTGTTTGCGAGCTCCAGGTAGGAGCCCGTCTGCAGACGTGCCGAGGAGGTGGTGTGATTGCTTTAGCGCCGTCATTTTCAACCGTTTATAATCTTCTTCTGTGTCTGCATATTTTCTCTGTGCACATTATTCATCAGAGTAAAAAAAGGAACTATGAAAACCTCGACCAACTGTCCTATGACAACAAGCGCGGACCCAAGGTATATATGCATGGACGTGCACGCCACCCACGGCTAGGGAGCCCTGGCCTCGGCGCCTCGGCCACTAGGGCCACTGTCTGGCCCAGCCGCCGAGCCGCAGGCCCAAGCAATGAGGAGAGGCAGCCGGCAGCAGGCAGGAGAGGGCAGGCAGGAGAGGGCAGGCGTGGCGGCGTGGGTGCCTGAGGCCCACCCGCCGTGACCCTAGCCTGCACCCTCGAGGCAGGCGCGGCTGCAGGAGGAGCTGCTCTCCGGGAAGTGCATGCGAATCTCCGAGACCCCAAGGGTTTCCTCGTGGAACCCGGGAGGGAGCCCGCCCGCCTGGCCACCCACTCGCCGGGGCCGGGCTGCTCCTCAGGGGCCTGCGGAATCAAACCTCAGAGGACCTCCCATGGTTTTGGAAAAGTCAGCCCCATCTCTTTTCCTGGTTGCATTCCAAAACTCTTTTCTGTTTCCCGTCCGCTGCACGCCTCCTGAGTCTGGGTCCACTTCAGCTTGCATGCTCAGTGCAAAGATGAGGACAGGAGTGAGGTGGAGAGAGAGATCCAGAGAGAGCAGAGAGAGCACAGAACGAGCACAGGTGAGCGCGCAGGCTGAAGACAGGACAGGACCGGAGAGGCGAGGCCAGGCCAGGCAAGGACTGAGGAAGGCAGGCGGAGGCGCAGGTGGCAGGCGCAGACCATGGCAGCCCTAGCTAAGCTGCCTCGGGGTTCCCAGCGGCTCCGGCCCAACTCTCACCCCTGAGGCGCTATGTCCCCTGCCCCAGCCGCCTGCTAACACTCTTGCTCACACCGCAGGCAGAGAAGGTGCTGCAGTTTGACCCAGGGACCAAGAACGTGACGGCCCTGCTGATGGAGGCGAAAGAGCTGGAGGCCCGGGTCATCATCCTTTCTGCCAGGTGAGGCTGGGCAGGGCCCTACACACTCCACACAGGATGGTACCTGAGCCAAGTACCCGCCATCTGAGCCAGAGCTGGGACATTGTTGGGCACAGTGACCTTCAGCTTCCAAAGCACCTTCACCAAGGACAGCCACCCCCACCCCCACCCGCACCCACACTCCTATCGGCATGGCTGATGTGACACCCTCCATCTGTCCCTCCCTTCCTGGGCCCTTCCCCATTCCACAGTCACATGCTGCTGCTGCCCTGAGCTGGGCTGTGGGAGAGGGATATGGAAGAGACCCTGCCCTTGGGAAGCCCCGCAACTCAAGGGGGCAAACCTGTGCAAACAAGGCCCAGGCCTGGGGCCAGGGACTAGGCCCAGGGAAGTGATGTGCAGGTGTGCCAGGCGAAAAGGCCCACAGCAGGGAGAGGGCCAGATTTCCCAACTGAAGGATTGCAACAGCTGCAGCAGTAGCTTAGGGGGAAATCAGTTAGGTACCCGGGAAATCAAGCTGCTCTGGACAGGTCCGGTGCCACAGAGCAACCTTGGGGTGGAGCCCACTGTAAAAAGCTCCCTATTTGCAAATGGCTAGGTTCTCCCGGGAAGGAAAAGCCTGGGTGACTGGGAATAGGAAAAGCAAGAGTGGGGAAGGGCAGGGTGAGGAGCCTTGCCCCATGGGACAGCCAAAACCCCACTGTCCCTGACCTAAAAGCTCTGCTAGGCTCCAACAGAGCGGAGCAAAACAGCAGTGAAACACCCGGAGGAACACAGCCCAGCCCTCCAGCCCTGCATATGGGAAAGAGCCGGCGACACTCTCAGTCCCAGGGCAGACCACCATTTCCACGGTCCATCAAATGACCCTCTAGCACGGAGACAGATGCAGCCCCCTCACCAGGGCAGAACGCAGGGTGGGGCCAGCCAGGGCTCCTCGGACTAGAAGGCAGGAATCTCCCCAGCCCAAGGTAGGGTTGTTGCTTAGAGCTGCCCACGGGGCCTTACATGCTCCTCCTGCAGCTGCTATAAAAAGGCACTAATCGTCCCCCATTACGCCCCCTGCACTCGGCTTTAAGCTCACAGGTCACTTGTCCACTCCACTCATCCAACTGCAAGCCCCAGGGAGGGTTGGCCTGGGCTCCAGGAAAAAAGATTTTTAAAGACGTGACCAGGCAAAGTCCCAAGGGTATGCACAGGTCCCAAAGAAGGAATGCCCCGCCCAGGGAAAGACCCGCCCAGAAAAAAAGACCCGCCAAGGGAAAGCTCCGCCCAGAAAAAGACCTGCCCAGGGAAAGCCCCGCCCAGAAAAAAGGTCCTCCCAGGGAAAGCCCCACCCAGGGAAAGCTCCACCCAGATAAAAGCCCGCCCAGGGAAAGCCCCGCCCAGAAAAAAAGATCCGCCAAGAGAAGTCTCCGCCCAGATAAAAGCCCCGCCCAGAAAAAGACCCGCCAAAGGAAAGCCCAGCCCAGAAAAAAGACCTGCCCAGGGAAAGCCCCACCCAGGGAAAGCTCCGCCCAGATAAAAGCCCGCCCAGGGAAAGCCCCGCCCAGAAAAAAGACCAGCCCAAGGAAAGCTCCGCCCAGGGAAAGCCCCGCCCAGAAAAAAAGACCTGCCCAGGGAAAGCTCTGCCCAGATAAAAGCCCGCCCAGGGAAAGCCCCGCCCAGAAAAAAGACCAGCCCAAGGAAAGCCCTGCCCAGAAAAAAGACCGCCCAGGGAAAGCCCCGCCCAGAAAAGACCCGCCCAGGAAAAGCTCTGGCCAGATAAAAGCTCAGCCCAGGGAAAGCCCCGCCCATAAAAAAGCCCCGCCCAGATAAAAGCCCTGCCCAGCGAAAGCCTCGCCCAGGGAAAGCCCCACCCAGAAAAAGACCCGCCCAGGGAAAGCCCAGCCCAGAGAAAAGACCCGCCCAGGGAAAACTCTGCCCAGATAAAAGACCCGCCCAGGGAAAGCCCCGCCCAGAAAAAGTCCCGCCCAGGGAAAGCCCCGCCCAGAAAAAAAACCCGCCCAGGGAAAGCCCCGCCCAGAAAAAAGTCGCGCCCGGGGAAAGCCCTGCCCAGAAAAAGTCCCGCCCAGGGAAAGCCCCGCCCAGGGAAAGACCCGCCCAGAAAAAAGTCCCGCCCAGAAAAAAGTCGCGCCTGGTGAAAGCCCTGCCCAGAAAAAAGACCAGCCCAGGGAAAGCCCCTCCCAGAAAAAAAGACCCGCCCAGGAAAAAGCTCTGGCCAGATAAAAGCTCCGCCCAGGGAAAGCTCCGCCCAGGGAAAGCCCCGCCCAGAAAAAAAGCCCCACCCAGGGAAAGCCCAGCCCAGAAAAAGACCCGCCCAGGGAAAACTCCACCCAGAAAAAAGACCAGCCCAGAGAAAGCCCAACCCAGAAGAAAGCCCCACCCAGGGAAAGCCCCGCCCAGGGAAAGCTTCACCCAGAGAAATTCCCACTTAGAGAAATTCCCACTCAGAGAAAGCCCCACCCAGAAACGTGCCACCCAGGGAAAGCCCCACCCAGTGAAAGCCCCTACCAGAAAAAGCCCCGCCCAGAAAAAGCCCCTCTTAGAGAAAGCCCCGCCAGACTCTCAGAAGTTAATTTCCTTTTTCGTTGTTTTGAGAGGGAGTCTTGCTTTGTCACCCAGGCTGGAGTGCAGTAGTACAATCTCAGCTCACTGCAACCTCTGCCTCCTGGGTTCAAGCGATTCTCCTGCCTCAGCCTCCCGAGTAGCTGGGACTACAGGCACAAGCCACCACACCCGGCTAATTTTTGTATTTTTAGTAGAGACGGGGTTTCACCATGTTGGCCAGACTGGTCTCGAACTTGTGGCCTCTTTTTTTTTTTTTTTTTTTTTCTTTGAGATGGAGTCTCACTCTGTCACCCAGGCTGGAGTGCAGTGGCTCGATCTCGGCTCATTGCAAGCTCCACCTCCCGGGCTCACGCCATTCTCCTGCCTCAGCCTCCCAAGTAGCTGGGACTACAGGCCCCTGCCACCACGCCCTGCTACTTTTTTGTATTTTTAGTAGAGACGGGGTTTCACCATGTCAGCCAGGATGGCCTCAATCTTCTGGCCTCATGATCTGCCCGCCTCGGCCTCCCAAAGTGCTGGGATTACAGGAGTGAGCCACCGTGCCCAGCCACTTGTGGCCTCTTCTGTTATTTTCTGAATTGTTTACACTTCCCTTACTCATCACAGAGCTTGAGAGAAATTCTGTAGCTGTGATGGGATAAAAGGATGGATGGGCAGGTGAACAAATGGACAGACAGCTGGCTGGGAAGTGGAATTTCTTCATCCAAGATGGGTCAACTCAAGGAATCGATTGCCCTAAAACATACCTGTTCCACTGTTGGCCACTTTTGCAATAGACAAGTTCACATCAAGCTAGACCTGCCTGATCCCTACATTCTAACTGGAGTGACCAACAGGACACGGGAGAGAAAACCACATACAAAACCAATCCACAGAACCCCGCCATGCCCAGGTCCCCACAGAGAGGGGAGGGGGCGTTTTCTCCACTTTTTTTTCTCGGCCTGTGAGCCCCTGAGCCGTGCACTGCGGTCCCACAGGTTGACCCCGCGTTGCCAGCCTCAGGGCCAAGGTCACGTTTCCAGACATGGCCCTAAGAAAAAGGCCAGCCCAGGGGAAGGGACATGGTCAGGGCACACAGGAACCACGTGCATACCACACATCCATGCCCATGAGCACACACCACACACCACATGTGTATGCACATACCATACACACGTGCACAAATGCATGTATACACACTATAGTCACACCATGCATACATCTCTACCCACACATGCAGAATCATGTACAGGTCATACACAACACACACGCATGTATGCACATGCCATATACACACCACATGTACCATGCATACACCATACACACATGTGCGCAAATGCATGTACACACACCATCACACCACTCATACATCTCTACTCACACATGCAGAATCATGTACAGGTCATACACAACACATACACGTGCACACATGCCATATACACACCACGTGTACACACATGCACCATGCATACACCACACACACACGTGCACAAATGTATGTACACACACCATAGTCACACCACTCATAGATCTCTACCCACACATGCACCATCATGTACAGGTCACACACAACACATACACATGTGCACACATGCCACATACCACGTGTACACACATGCACCATGCATACACCATACACATGTGCACAAATGTATGTACACACACCATAGTCACACCATGCATCATCTCTACCCACACATGCAGAATTGTGTATAGGTCATACACAACACATACGCATGTATGCACATGCCACATACACACCACATGCTCCATGCATACACACACAAATGTATGTACGCACCATAGTCACACTACACATACATCTCTACCCACACATGCACCATCATGTACAGGTCATACACAACACATACACATGTGCACACATGCCATATACCACATGTGTACACACATGCACCATGCATACACCATACACACGTGCATCTACACATACAGATACAGGCACACACACCACCATATACATCACATACAAAGACATCCACTGATATACGCACACCTACATACATGTACACACAGCACACATGCACATACATCACAACACACATGCGCACCACACACCATGTGCACACCCATACACCCATGCTACATGCACACCATACCCCACACATATGCATACACTGACCACAGCACACATCAACCACACACCCGCCAACATAACTCTTTCTCTTTTTTGGGGAGATAGAGTCTTGCTCTGTTGCCCAGGCTGGAGTGCAGTGGCGTGATCTCAGCTTACTGCAACCTCTGCCCCCTGGGATTCAAGCGATTCTCCTGCCTCAGCCTCCTGAGTAGCAGGAATTACAGGTGTGTGCCACCATGCCCGGCTAATTTTTGTATTTTTAGTAGAGATGAGGTTTCACCATGTTGGCCAGGCTGGTCTTGAACTCCTGACCTCAGGTGATCCGCCTGCCTCAGCCTTCCAAAGTGCTGGCATTACAGGCATGAGCCACCGTGCCTGCCTTTTTTTTTTTCTTTTTTTTTTGTGTGTGTGTGTGAGACAGTCTTGCTCTGTCACCCAGGCTGGAGTACAGTGGCACAATCTTCGCTCACTGCAACCTCGGCCTCCCAGGTTCAAGTGATTCTCGTGCCTCAGCCTCCCGAGTAGCTGGAATTACAGGTGCAGGCCACCATGCCTGGCTAAGTTTTGTATTTTTAGTAGAGACTGGGTTTCGCCATGTTGGCCAGGCTGGTCTCGAACTCCTGGCCTCAAGTGATCCACCCACCTCGGCCTCCCAAAGGGCTGGGATGACAGGCATCAGCCACCACCCCCAGCTCCAACAACTTTTTTTTTTTTTTTTTTTTTTTTTTTTTTTTTTTTTTTAAGATGGAGTCTCACTCTGTCACCCAGGCTGGAGTGCAGTGGCGCGATCTTGGCTCACTGCAACCTCCGCCTCCCAGATTCAACCGATTCTCCTGCCACGGCCTCCCGAGTAGCTGGGATTACAGGCATGCGCCACCACCCCGGCTAATTTTTTTGTTTTTGTAGAGACGGGGTTTCTCCATGTTGGTCAGGCTGGTCTCAAATTCCTGACCTCAGGAGACCTGCCCGCCTCGGCCTCCCAAAGTGCTGGGATTACAGGCATCAGTTACTGCGCCTGGCCTCAAAATACTTCAGAGCAATGGCTCTGGACTGTCAGGGCTGGAAAGGACCCTCCTCTCACATGCTGAGCTCCTTGGAGTGGAGGCCAAAGTCCCACAGCAGAGGCCGACTGGCCCACCCAGCATGCCCATCTCCCAGGAGTGCAGAGAGGCAAGCCCTGGGCAGTGGCAGGCACAGGCCTTCTTGACCCCAGACCTTCAGCCTGTCATATTTTGGCTCCTCCTTAGTGAAGGTTGTTGAGGGTGTTTTGCAGAGAGACATGACGCCAATCTTAATTTTTGACAATTTTCCATAGCATGCAGATAATTTGTTTCCAAAACTTTTCATTTTCCTGAAGTCATCTTGATTGGTATCAGCTATTTCCATAAAACGATCGGATGAGTTTTGATGGACAGATCAGGCTTTTGTTTACAACTGTTTTGCTCCTAATCATTCCACCACATCACATGTCATGGACCTGAATTGCGTCAAGAAGACGGGCTTGTCTGTCAGGCCCTGGTGGGCACTTTGATAGCGGGCATGCTGTGCCATGACACGTGTGGTGTTGGGTCTTGCTGGACAAGCTGTGCTGTGTTCAGTGTGCGGAGCCTCTGCTAGATGCTCTCATTTGGGGCACTGGGCCAGTGCTACTGGGAGCACTTCTGTTTTGTGTCACTGACATCCAATAGCATCGTTATGTAGAGCAAACACCGAAGGGCTGCATTTCTTTGTGGGCTTATTCTCGAGAAAACTGGGGGCAGATCCCTCCTCAAGGAGGGGAGGGCCACCTTGGTTTCCAGTCAAGTATTGTGAAAATTATCCAACACTCAGGCAATCCACCCAACCCTGCTG
This sequence comes from Homo sapiens, assembly GCF_000001405.40. Taxonomy (NCBI): domain Eukaryota; kingdom Metazoa; phylum Chordata; class Mammalia; order Primates; family Hominidae; genus Homo; species Homo sapiens. The sequence continues at coordinate 137,155,582 of NC_000009.12, forward strand.
CCCATGTCTGGAGAAGCAAAGTGTCAGGGGTAGTCCAGGCCCACCTGGAGACAGGTCAGGCCCTGCAGAGAAAGGTCTGACAGACGGGGGTGAGGGAAGACCCCCCAAAGGCCTCCAGAGTCCCACCAGGTCTCCAGGTCCTTGTCATAACCAGAGAGGCCCCAGCCCCAGAGGACCAGGTCCCCTGCTCCACTGTCCACAGGGGCCCACCTGCAAGCACACTGGCAGAGCTCAAGACCACACATGCCTGCAAGGTGAGGCCTGTCTGGGCTCTGTCCTCCTGCAGGCCCCAGGCCTGGGTGGCTGGGCGAAGGCAGCTGCTTATGCAGACTCCAGGGGGAAAGCCGCCTCTCATCTCTGGCCGTCCCCAGGACGCTGGATCCACCAATATCTCACCAACCTGGAGAGCCACTCAACCCCTCATTTCACATGTTTGAACATAGAGGACCAGAGGGGTGTGGCCTGTCTAGGAGGTCTTAGGAGCTCGGGTCCTGACTCTGCCACTTACCAACTCTTGTGTGTCCCATGTGCCTCCGCTTCCCCTCGGGACACAGAGATATTGTGAAAGTTAAACAACATAATCCCCGTAAAACACTTCGAGCAGTGCCTGGTATCTGGCCAGCAAGTGATCAATGGTGATCCATTACCATCCTGGGACCCCATCAGAGCCTTCTGAGGTGGAGGGAAGGGCGTGCTGGGGAGCACAGGTGCAGGTCACAAGAAGGAAGTCAGTCCCATAAGCCAGGTATCTAACCCCATCCCTGCTCCCCCAAGGTAAGGGCCAGCATCTAACCCCACCCCTGCTCCCCCAAGGTAAGGGCCAGCATCTAACCCCATCCCTGCTCCCCCAAGGTAAGGGGGCCAGCATCTAACCCCATCCCTGCTCCCCCAAGGTAAGAGCCAGCAACGGAGGCCTGGGAGGCTCCTGGGTTCTGGGCCGCAGCGCCTCTGCGAGGTCTGCAGGCTTCGCTCTAGGAGGGGATGGGGGCTGGGCAGGTCCCTGCTCCAGAGGAGGAGGACCTGGGCCTGCGGAGCGCCGCGGTGGGAGTGCTGGAGTCCTGGCCCGTCATCCCCGTCTGCCCCACAGCGAGGACGATGCTGCCACTGTATACCGCGCAGCCGCGATGCTGAACATGACGGGCTCCGGGTACGTGTGGCTGGTCGGCGAGCGCGAGATCTCGGGGAACGCCCTGCGCTACGCCCCAGACGGTGAGTGCTGGGCCTTGGCGGGGTCCCCGAACGGGGAGGACCCCACGGGCTCTGAGTCGCATGCTCGCCTAGGCATCCTCGGGCTGCAGCTCATCAACGGCAAGAACGAGTCGGCCCACATCAGCGACGCCGTGGGCGTGGTGGCCCAGGCCGTGCACGAGCTCCTCGAGAAGGAGAACATCACCGACCCGCCGCGGGGCTGCGTGGGCAACACCAACATCTGGAAGACCGGGCCGCTCTTCAAGAGGTGGGCGGGGCCTCCCCGGAGCTGGGCGGGGCTGCTCTTGGGGAGGTGGGCGGGGTCACTCCAGAGATGGGCGGGGCCGCTCTTGGGGAGGTGGGCGGGGCCACTCTCCAGAGCTGGGCGGAGCAGCTCTCAGGACTAGGCGGGGCCGCTCTTAGGGAGCTGGGGGAGCGCTCCTCAAGAGATGGGTGGGGGCACTCTCGGGGAGGTGGGCGGGGTCGCTTCCAGGAGGTGGGCGGCGTCGCTCTCAGGGGTACTGCAGTGGAGCCTGCTGCCAACATCCTCTGGACACTGTTACTTCTCTCCTCTCCCCCCACACCCCCAGCACCACCACATCTAATGGCACAATCATCTGCCCTCTTCTCAACACTGACACCAGTACCTGGGCCGTCACTGGAGTGGGGACTGGCTCCACTGCCTCCGCCCCTACTTTCCACACTGCAGCCCACCCTGAAACAGCACCCCTCTCCCTGTGTGGCTGGCAGCCTTTGGGAGGAGGCTCTTGATGCAGATGGGGACTGAAAGCTTCCAGGGACCCAGGAGGCCAGACAAGCAGCCCAAGAACAGCACACGAGCCTTAGACAGCCAGGGTTGGCCAAGGCCCAGAGACCCAAGTGAACATCTGCAGTGTGGCAGGAGTTAGCTCACAGCACGCCTGGACACCATGCCATGCCAGCTCACCCCCAGATCCCCAACCACTGAGTAGCACGTGCAGAGCCACCATCCACAACGCCCACATAAGTGCAGATGTAGGCAGCACGTGTGCACACACACGACACACATACACAGAACCATGTGTGCACACAGACTCAGGCACATGACACACATGTGACACAAGCACATGCATGGGGTGCACCCCACATAGGGATCACGTGTGCACACAGGTTCACTGATGTGGCCCGATGGGTACAATGCACACGTGCACACACAGCCGGACAGGACAGCCTGGTGGTTAGAGCTGGCTCAACCTCGCCTTCACTTGCTGGCAAGAGGGCAGGCATCCTTCTGAGCTTCTGCCTCCGTCTCTGTAAGGCAGGATGGTTCTGAGGACAACGTCCTAACCCACAGAAAGCCGGGTCTGGCACCCATAAACCACTCAGCTGTCATGAACCACACCGTCCATCTGGTGCAGGCAGATACCACGGTGTCCAGGGTCTGGCGTCTGCTGATCTTTCCGTTCTTGGGACTGGGACAAGGGAAAAGCCCAAGCTGCTCAGCCGGCAGGAGAAGGAGCAGGGAGAAGGAGCAGGGGGAAGGAGCAGGGAGAAGCAGCAGGGGGAAGGAGCAGGGAGGAGCAGGAGAAGGAGCATCTCTGAGAAGCCTCAGCTATGCTTCCTTCCCTAGAGTGCTGATGTCTTCCAAGTATGCGGATGGGGTGACTGGTCGCGTGGAGTTCAATGAGGATGGGGACCGGAAGTTCGCCAACTACAGCATCATGAACCTGCAGAACCGCAAGCTGGTGCAAGTGGGCATCTACAATGGCACCCACGTAGGTGGGGGTCATGAGGGGGTGGGGGCTGGGGCCTTAGGGTCCTGGGGCCAAGACCCCTGCGTGGCCACCCTCCATCTCATACTCCCACCCCCAGGTCATCCCTAATGACAGGAAGATCATCTGGCCAGGCGGAGAGACAGAGAAGCCTCGAGGGTACCAGATGTCCACCAGACTGAAGGTGGGGGCCCCACAGACCTCCCTCAGTGTCCCCACCCCAGACAGCCCATCCACCCCCTCTGGCCTGAAGGAGGAGGGTGCGGTGAGGTCAATGAAAGCCACTAAAGGAAGTGGGGGTGGGGCCTGCTTCCCCTGGACACCGTCCAGCACACCTGGCACAGCACAGGAAGCAGAGAGAACAGGAGGGAGGAGAGGAAGCTGCCCCCATCCCACAGGGGGTCTCCAGTGCCCCTCTTGACCCAGCCCTACTTAAGTCTGGGGCAGTTAGTTGTCTGACAGGACCCTGCTGGGGAAGAGCAGATGGGGGACAGCAGGCAGACCTCAGCTTCAGCACTCGCTGTCCCCAGTCCTGGTCCTCCACACCCCTCATCCCTCCTCCAGCCTGCATTGCTCTTGATGGGACCGGGTCAAACTGTCCTCTTCCACCGTGTGGGACAGCCCTTCCTGACTCCCCTGGGCCTCTGAGAGCCTCTGCCCTCGCCGGCTTCCTCCTCCAGAACATCTTTCCCTTGGCTCCCTACTCCAGGGTGCTCTCCTGGCCATTCCTCCCCGGGCAGAGCCACACTACCCCCACTCCACACACACTCCAGTCCTGGTAGCATCACAGACCACCAAAGGCAAGGACCTCACAGGCGACACGCCCACCAACCTTCTCTCGGTCATTCCAAGCCCTCAAATGTCTCTTGACCCTGTCTGTTTTCTGAGCCCACCCCTGAAGCTTGGTGTCAGCCCCTGTGACCTCTCACCCAGGCTCCCTCCCCTGCTCTGCACCGGCCCCTGTGGCCTCTCACCCAAGCTCCCTTCCCTGCTCTGCAGACAGGGTGGGGTTTTCCAGTGCCAGTGTGGGTTTCATTGCAGCCCAGACACCTCACACTGAAAAGTCTGAAAGCAGCGGTCAAACGCTAATGGCCAAAAGGCCCCATCTAGGCTGTGAGATGGAGATGGCTTTTTACAAATTTGTTTCTGGCCTCACTAATTTTTTAAAAATACTAGCATATATATTACCTGTATAACAGGAAAATGTAATGAAAGTTTTATAAAGCAAATCAACTTCTTCAATGGCTCCTGATTCCCCTGGGGATAAAAGACAAAATGCTGCCTGGAGGCTGAGGGTGGGCGGGCCTGCCCCCCTCTCAGGCTCACCCTGCCTAGGACATGCCGGGAGGGTGCCTCTCCCACCACCCCCACGCCTCCCTGCCTTTGCAGTTCTGGACTGCAGACTCCTCTGCTCCACCTGCCCTCAGGCACCTGCTTGATCCCTGCCCACCTTGAGGGCTCAGCTCTGACACCATCTCCCCTCACAGTTCTGGCAGTGTGCTATGCTCTATTCCAGCCCCCTGTGCCCCAGATCCCTTCCCCACCCCCATGCCATGGTCCCTTGAAGGACAGACAGGAGGGCGAGCCCAAGCAGGAGTGTGGGTCGAAGAGGCCACGGCGCGGTGGAGCACGTACACACGGGCAAGAGAAAGGAGCCAGAGACCTACATTCAAAGCCTGAGGGCTTCGGGACTGGGGGCCGGGACAGGCAGTGCGCCGGGATGAAGGGAGGCACGGGTGGGTGGCCCCACGGGTCCCAGGTCCTGTGCAGGTGCAGGGTCGGCTTTGTGGACATGCCCCTGTCCTCGTGGCACAGCAGGGTGGGGGTCAGCCTGCAGGCTGGGCTGTTTCTCACCCCAGGAAGATGCCTGGCATACACGGGACATCAGCGGCTCCTCTGCTGGAGGGAATCATGTCTTTTTTTTTTTGAGACAGAGTCTCGCTCTGTCGCCCAGGCTGGAGTGCAGTGGCGCGGTCTCCGCTCACTGCAAGCTCCGCCTCCCGGGTTCACGCCATTCTCCTGCCTCAGCCTCCTGAGTAGCTGGGACTACAGGTGCCCACCACCACGCCCGGCTAATTTTTTTGTATTTTCAGTAGAGACGGGGTTTCACCGTGTTAGCCAGGATGGTCTCGATCTCCTGACCTCGTGATCCGGCCGCCTCGGCCTCCCAAAGTGCTGGGATTACAGGCGTGAGCCACAGCACCTGGCGGGGAATCATGTCTAAGCCAAGACTGGAGAAAAAGTGGCCAAGAGAAGGGTCCAGCTCTCCAGGAGTCTTTTCTGAGCCCCCAGCCCCCACCCCCCCGGGGCTGCAGGCAGACGATGCTGACGGTGGCTGGGGAGGACGTGTCCTGAACACTTGGGCTCGTGAAGAAGCTCCAGAGAGGGGCAGTGGCCGGCGGCGCAGGGCGGGGGGTGTGAGGGGTGCGTCGGGGATTAAGAGGGGCGCCAGGGGAGGCTGGGAGCTGAGAAGAGACTGCCGCCCTGGGCAGCCTTAGGTCGGTGGTCCAGGCTGGGTCTCCCCTTCCCCCCCAGATTGTGACGATCCACCAGGAGCCCTTCGTGTACGTCAAGCCCACGCTGAGTGATGGGACATGCAAGGAGGAGTTCACAGTCAACGGCGACCCAGTCAAGAAGGTGATCTGCACCGGGCCCAACGACACGTCGCCGGGCAGCCGTGAGTGCGCGGGGCAGGGCGCGGGGCGCGGGGCAGGGCGCGGGGCGTGGGGCGGTCTGGAGCCCAGCAGTTACCGCCCGCACCTACCCAGCCCGCCACACGGTGCCTCAGTGTTGCTACGGCTTTTGCATCGACCTGCTCATCAAGCTGGCACGGACCATGAACTTCACCTACGAGGTGCACCTGGTGGCAGATGGCAAGTTCGGCACACAGGAGCGGGTAGGCTGGACGGCGGGGGTGGGGACCAGCGTGAGAGGGGCCTGCAGGCGCGGTCGGAGTGGGTGGGGCATGGAGTAGGCGGGGCTTGCAGATGGTGGGGGGTCCTGGGGTGAGTGGGGCATGGAGTGAGCGGAGCCTGCGGGCTGGGTCCTGGCGTGGGTAAAGCATGGGGTGGGCGGGGCCTGAGGGCTGGGTGGGGCCTGACATGGGAGGGGCCTGACGTGGGGGTCGGAGTGGGTGGGGCACGGAGTGGGCAGGGCCTGCAGGCGGGGGTCTGGAGTGGGCGGGACGTGGAGTGGGCGGGGCCTGCTGGCTGTGGTGGGGCCCGCCCGGCGTGGGAGGGGTCTGCGAGCCAGGGCGGGGCTGGAGTGGGGTGGGGCCTGCGAGCTGGGTAGGGTCTTGGGGAGAAGACCCCCGGAGTGCTCTAGGGCGGCTTCAGTCGGGGGTACCTGTGGCGGGAGCTGGGAGGACGCTGCCTGCATGCCCGCCGGCTCTGTCGCCTCGCAGGTGAACAACAGCAACAAGAAGGAGTGGAATGGGATGATGGGCGAGCTGCTCAGCGGGCAGGCAGACATGATCGTGGCGCCGCTAACCATAAACAACGAGCGCGCGCAGTACATCGAGTTTTCCAAGCCCTTCAAGTACCAGGGCCTGACTATTCTGGTCAAGAAGGTGGGCAGGGGCCGGGTGGCGGGGTGGCGGCGGGGGGAGTCCCTGGAGGGCCCGGGCCGCGCTGACCTCGCGTCCCTCCGCAGGAGATTCCCCGGAGCACGCTGGACTCGTTCATGCAGCCGTTCCAGAGCACACTGTGGCTGCTGGTGGGGCTGTCGGTGCACGTGGTGGCCGTGATGCTGTACCTGCTGGACCGCTTCAGGTGAGCGCGACCCGGGGCTCAGACACCTCCATCTGCGGGGCGCGGAGCCGGCCAGGGGCGGGGCAGGGCCGCCTCTCCCGCCCTCTCTCCCGCCCGCCCTCTGCGCCCCGCAGCCCCTTCGGCCGGTTCAAGGTGAACAGCGAGGAGGAGGAGGAGGACGCACTGACCCTGTCCTCGGCCATGTGGTTCTCCTGGGGCGTCCTGCTCAACTCCGGCATCGGGGAAGGTAAGGCCCCGCCCGGCCCGCCTGGTCCCGCCTCGGCCCTCTAGGGTCTGACAGAGCCCCCCGCCCGCCCACAGGCGCCCCCAGAAGCTTCTCAGCGCGCATCCTGGGCATGGTGTGGGCCGGCTTTGCCATGATCATCGTGGCCTCCTACACCGCCAACCTGGCGGCCTTCCTGGTGCTGGACCGGCCGGAGGAGCGCATCACGGGCATCAACGACCCTCGGGTGAGGCCTGGCCGGGCTGGGGGAGGGAATGCGAGGTGAGCTGGGGTCGGCCTCGGTTAGGGGCCTGGGGAGCCGCCGCCGCGATCCCTGCCCTCCGACCCTGCAGCTGAGGAACCCCTCGGACAAGTTTATCTACGCCACGGTGAAGCAGAGCTCCGTGGATATCTACTTCCGGCGCCAGGTGGAGCTGAGCACCATGTACCGGCATATGGAGAAGCACAACTACGAGAGTGCGGCGGAGGCCATCCAGGCCGTGAGAGACAAGTGAGGCGCGGGCGGCCACCCTGGCGGGGCGGGACAGGTGCGGGGAGGGGGAGGGTGGCCTCCACCGGGCAGGAGAGCGTCCGGGCCGGGCACCCCGGAGGGCGCGGGCGTGGGGCTTCCAGGCTGGCAGGACCAAGGCCCCCGTGACTCCGCCTCTGCCGGCAGCAAGCTGCATGCCTTCATCTGGGACTCGGCGGTGCTGGAGTTCGAGGCCTCGCAGAAGTGCGACCTGGTGACGACTGGAGAGCTGTTTTTCCGCTCGGGCTTCGGCATAGGCATGCGCAAAGACAGCCCCTGGAAGCAGAACGTCTCCCTGTCCATCCTCAAGTGAGTGTCCGTGCGCCCGCGTCCCTCCTCCGCCCCTCTCCGCCAGAGGTGGACGCCCTCCCCAGTGCCAGACCACTCCGAGGCCACCACTGATTTCCCACCCAGGCCGGGCGCTGCCCACTCCACGCCGCACCCTACCCCGCAGGCCCCGCCCCGGCCCCGCCCCCAGCTTGCTCCTTCCCGTCCTGGGCCCCGCCTCACTGCAGGCTCACTTGTTCCCACCGCCAGGTCCCACGAGAATGGCTTCATGGAAGACCTGGACAAGACGTGGGTTCGGTATCAGGAATGTGACTCGCGCAGCAACGCCCCTGCGACCCTTACTTTTGAGAACATGGCCGGTGCGTTCTCCTTCATCCATTCTCGGGTGGGTTCTCCGTGGGCTGCGGCCTCCCTGGCCAGCAACTGAGGCTCTGGGTCCCGGCACACAGGGGTCTTCATGCTGGTAGCTGGGGGCATCGTGGCCGGGATCTTCCTGATTTTCATCGAGATTGCCTACAAGCGGCACAAGGATGCTCGCCGGAAGCAGATGCAGCTGGCCTTTGCCGCCGTTAACGTGTGGCGGAAGAACCTGCAGGTAGGGCAGGCCACCCTCCGAGGCCTGGTGCCCAGGGCCCGGCCTGGCCACGGCCCTCCTCCATCCCCGAAGGCCGTGGCACTGGCTCTGGCTCTGGTGGGCAGGACTGGAGCTAGGAGCCATGGCCAGGGGCAGTGGTGAGTGCTCCCAGGGCACGGGGGCAGCACCGGTGGGGGGCTGCCTGCAGGTGGCTGCCCACTGCAAAGCCGGGGCCGAGGGAGGCCACGCACCCTGCTCCAAGCCTCCGCCTGGCCCCTCTGTCTCCAGAGTCGCCCGCCGGTACCCATTCCATAGGAAGGCAATCAGGCAGGGTAAGACAGGGGCCCGCCTGTGTATGGCACGTGAGTCCAAGATGCATTTTGCCCTCCGCCGACCCAAGCCCCTTGACACCCTTCGGAGACCCCCCCCTTTCCTGCTATGTCCTTGTGCTCCGTGACTCTAATCCGAATTGGGCCAGGTCCGGTCCTGCCTGGTGCCCAGGTTGTATCCATGAGAATTTGCCACCAGCAAGGGCAGCCACGGCCCACCTGGGACAGGGTGGGCAGTGGGCCTGTACAGGCCTAAGGGCTCGTGGCCCGCGGTCGAGTTCCGGTTCACTCCGTCTCTTCTCTTTCTCTGGGTGCCGTCCTGGAGCCTGTGTCCTGAGATGAAGCCGACAGTGCGGCCAGGGCTGCTGGGGGATGGGGGTTGCTGGAGGCTCCACACCTCTCATCCGCCCGCTCTTGCTCTTGGCCCCCACAGGTCCCCTGGGGACCTGGCCGCTGCCAGCACTGGCGGGCACAGGCCACCTGGCCATCAGACCTGAGGCCAGAGTCCCGGGAGCTGCCTCTGTCACTCCAATTCCACCTCGACACCTGCCTCCAGCCCTCGGCCCCTTCCTGAATCTTGGTGTGTGCCCCTTGGGGGTCAGTGGCCTCCACGCAGACAGCTGGTGTGGCCTGAGGGGCAACTCCTCCAGTCCTCAGAGGACTCCTCCTCCTCGGGACGCCTGTAAGCCAGGGCCACCCAGGAGCCAGGGAGCCAGGCGGACCTCCCAGGAAGAGCCAGCCGAGAGCCCCCAAGCCCAGCCCCAGCACGAGCAAGGTCAGGCCCGAGACCCCGGGCAGGAGAAGAGGCCACCCTCGAACGTCCGCTGTCGGCCCGTCTGTCCAGCACAGGGAGGCAGGCAGGAGCGAGGGCCCAAGTGGCCGGCCAGGCTGGGCAGCGGCCCATGCAGGAGCAGGCGAGGGCAGGTGTGGCCACCACCCTAGCCATCTAATCACTTATACATATTCATTTTAGGATAGAAAGAGTGGTAGAGCAGAGCCTGACCCTAAAAAGAAAGCCACATTTAGGGCTATCACCTCCACCCTGGCTTCCAGCTTCAAGAGGCGTAGGTCCTCCAAAGACACGGTAAGGGGGAGAGCACCCCAGTCCCGCGTCCGACTCCACCTGCCCTGCCCTGCGTGTGTCTCCCGCCCCATCACCCCGCCCCGGACCCTGGGCTCCTGTGGCCCACTCTGCCCCTGTCTCCCTGTGGCGGCCGCTCTGCCCAGCCCGCCCATGCTGCTCTCTCTCACTCTCTGGACCTTTCTCCCCGGCCCTCCTGGGTCCTCGGCTTTCCCCGTGTGTCTCCGTTAGTCTGCCCGCCCACCTCCCCTGCCATGACCCACACGCCATCTTGAAGCCTGTCATCTCGTTGGTCAGTCAGTCAGCCACACCACCTCTCGGGGCCAGGTCTGGGGCCCTGGGAGCCCAGCGTGGCCCCATCCTGGACTCCTCAGCTGCCGGGAGGCCACACCACTTCTCTGTTATGTCCCCGTTTCTCTCGCCTCTCCCAGAGGGGCCCGCCGCCCTCACTTCGCCCCTGCGACGGCCCTGGAGGGGGTGGCTGTGATGTCCCATCCCGTCCGTCTGTCTGGCCACTGGCCCCGCCCCCCAGACACCTGTCTCACCTGTCTCACCAGAGCCATGCGTGTTGCATCTTCATGTGGTCTCTGTGTGGGCCGGGGGCTGGGGGCCGGGCCTGGGTCCGTCTGGGTGGACGGCTGGGGCCTGGAGTTGGAACTGGCCCCGGCCACAGGGGACTGTCAGGCAGGGAGTGGGGTGGGACCAAAAGGGGTGGCTCCCACCCCAGGCTGAGCGGGGGCCCTGCAGGAGGTGTGGCGGCAGCTCCCAGAGGGTCTGAGAATGGGTAGGGGCGGCCCCACAAGCCCTGGCCTGCAGAGCCCAGGACGACACTGAGGTTCCCAGACAGGGAGGCCTCTGGAAGGGAAACGACCACCTCAGCTCCTGACCCCAGCAACCCCACAAGGCCCACCCCAAAGAGCCAGGCCTTCTGCCCTTTGGAGCCCAGAATCCCCCACCTCCTGCTCGGGGCAGCTTGTCCCTGTAGCGGATATGCACACTCGGACCAGAGGCCCCCAGAGCGAACCCAGCCTTGCTAGAGGCACCCCAGGCCCAGGCACCATGGTGGGGAGGGGCTGCCCAGAGAGGCAGCGGAGACCTCAGCCCCGTGGCCACCCTGCAGTCCAGGGACCAGTCTGGCCCACAGGAAGCCCCCAGCCCATAAGCAGCATCACCAGAGAGAAGCTTACGCCCGGGGGAGGAAGTGCGATTTGCAGCCACCTGCCCCTCAGTGCACTGGAAGCGGGGCAGACCTCCAGGGCACAGACAGGACTTGGCATCAAGCAAGCCAAATCCCGAGATGAAGCCACCAGGGTGCCCCAAGAGGGACCCATGAGGCCTGGCTGCTCAGCTTCCTGGGGAAGGGACTTGGCATGCAGGATGGGTGGACAGTGAGAGCCTGTAGGCCTGGGGGCCACTGGAGGCTCAAGGAGCAGGTGGAAGCACCATTCCTGGAGCCACCTCTGCTGCGGAAAGCGGGCAGAGCTGATGCTGCAAAGTCTGAGCCAGGAGTCCCGCAGGGAACAGGGAGGGGGAATAGCGCAGGGATCGTGGGCTGGGCAGGCTGGGGAAGAGGGGGTGTCCAGGCAGACAGGAGAAACAGCGATTTGGGGCAGGCAGCCACGGGGGGCAAGCACAAATGTCGTGCAGGTGATGGGCCACTTTCAGAGGGTGACACTGGGTCCCAGGGCCCTGCCTGGAGCGAGGCCAGGTGCAGCTCAGAGACCCTCATGGTGCCCTCCCAGGGACATGTTCCCAGCGGAACCCTCACCCGAGCCTCTCTGGGCACCAGGGACCGTCCTCTGGGGCCAGTTCTGGCATCACGTGGCATCTGGGGCTGGCCCCGCCCTGCAAGGCTGAACTGTGGGGGGCACTGCCAGCTGGGGGTCTGGGCAGGGGAGGGCAGCCCAGCTCCCACCTGGTCTCTGGGGCTGCGAGCTTATTCAGAGGGAGGCGTGGGTGGGGGGCTCCTTTGGGTAGGGTGGGGTCAGTCCGGCTGCGGAGATCCCCTGCCCCTGTCCTGTGGCCGGTCCGGGCCAGGGCGGCACTGGGCGCTGAGGGCTGGGGTCCCTGGCGGCCGGCGGGGCCAGCGGGTATTGATTGTTGGTTCTTATTTATAGAGCACCGGGGGTGGACGCGGCGCTTTGCAAAACCAAAAAGACACAGTGCTGCCGCGACGCGCTATTGAGAGGGAGGAGGGCCAGCTGCAGCTGTGTTCCCGTCATAGGGAGAGCTGAGACTCCCCGCCCGCCCTCCTCTGCCCCCTCCCCCGCAGACAGACAGACAGACGGACGGGACAGCGGCCCGGCCCACGCAGAGCCCCGGAGCACCACGGGGTCGGGGGAGGAGCACCCCCAGCCTCCCCCAGGCTGCGCCTGCCCGCCCGCCGGTTGGCCGGCTGGCCGGTCCACCCCGTCCCGGCCCCGCGCGTGCCCCCAGCGTGGGGCTAACGGGCGCCTTGTCTGTGTATTTCTATTTTGCAGCAGTACCATCCCACTGATATCACGGGCCCGCTCAACCTCTCAGATCCCTCGGTCAGCACCGTGGTGTGAGGCCCCCGGAGGCGCCCACCTGCCCAGTTAGCCCGGCCAAGGACACTGATGGGTCCTGCTGCTCGGGAAGGCCTGAGGGAAGCCCACCCGCCCCAGAGACTGCCCACCCTGGGCCTCCCGTCCGTCCGCCCGCCCACCCCGCTGCCTGGCGGGCAGCCCCTGCTGGACCAAGGTGCGGACCGGAGCGGCTGAGGACGGGGCAGAGCTGAGTCGGCTGGGCAGGGCCGCAGGGCGCTCCGGCAGAGGCAGGGCCCTGGGGTCTCTGAGCAGTGGGGAGCGGGGGCTAACTGGCCCCAGGCGGAGGGGCTTGGAGCAGAGACGGCAGCCCCATCCTTCCCGCAGCACCAGCCTGAGCCACAGTGGGGCCCATGGCCCCAGCTGGCTGGGTCGCCCCTCCTCGGGCGCCTGCGCTCCTCTGCAGCCTGAGCTCCACCCTCCCCTCTTCTTGCGGCACCGCCCACCCACACCCCGTCTGCCCCTTGACCCCACACGCCGGGGCTGGCCCTGCCCTCCCCCACGGCCGTCCCTGACTTCCCAGCTGGCAGCGCCTCCCGCCGCCTCGGGCCGCCTCCTCCAGACTCGAGAGGGCTGAGCCCCTCCTCTCCTCGTCCGGCCTGCAGCCCAGAACGGGCCTCCCCGGGGGTCCCCGGACGCTGGCTCGGGACTGTCTTCAACCCTGCCCTGCACCTTGGGCACGGGAGAGCGCCACCCGCCCGCCCCCGCCCTCGCTCCGGGTGCGTGACCGGCCCGCCACCTTGTACAGAACCAGCACTCCCAGGGCCCGAGCGCGTGCCTTCCCCGTGCGGCCCGTGCGCAGCCGCGCTCTGCCCCTCCGTCCCCAGGGTGCAGGCGCGCACCGCCCAACCCCCACCTCCCGGTGTATGCAGTGGTGATGCCTAAAGGAATGTCACGCAGTTTTCGGTCTGTGTCGCTTGTTGACGCCGGCAGACAGTGTAAAGGGAGGGCAAAGGCATGGGGGAAGCTTCGAGCGCTCCAGGCGGCCGCGGCCGCTCAGGCTTGGGCGGCAGCGGCGGGGCTCCCCGGGTCCGCGGGCGAGGCACAGCCGTGGGGGTCGGGATCGGGGTTCGGGTCTGGCGGTCTCGGCGGGCGGAGGGCGGCGGTGCGGAGGCGGCGGCGGCGCGCACGGCAGGCGGTGAGCCCAGAGCCCAGCGCCAGGCAGGAAGCCAGGCTGACGAGGAAGGAGGCCGGCCCGAGCGTGTAAACCACGGCCAGGTCCCGCAGGGCGAGCGGCTGCGCGCAATGGCTAAAGGCGGCGTCGGAAAAGGCAGTCAGGGGGCTGAGCGTCAGGCGTCCCGGCCACACGCAGAGCACCGTCTCGGCCTCTGTGGGACACAGACAAAGGCGCGGCGTCAGGTGGCGGCTGCCGCACCGCCCTGCAGACCCCGACCCGCGTCCCCAGCAGCTCACCTGACGCGGGCAGCGGGTGCCGGCGCAGCCAGGCGCAGAGCGGGCGCAGCGCGCACCCGCAGCCCCAAGGGTTGCCGCGCAGGTGCAGCGCGTCTAGAGCGGGCAGGCGGCCCAGCAGCCCCGGCGCGAGTGCCGCCAGCTCGTTGTCCTGCAGGCTGAGTGAGCGCAGCAGCGGGAGCGCGCCTAGCGCCGCGGGCTCCAGGCGCGCCAGCCGGTTGCCGGCCAATGAGAGGTTGCGCAGCGCGCGCAGCGGCGCGAAAGTCCCTGGTGCCAGTGCTTCCAGCTGGTTGGCGCTCAGGTCCAGCAGCTGCAGCGCGCCCAGGCCCCAGAAGGCTCGCACATGCACCGAGTGCAGCCCGTTCTCGCGCAGGTCCAGGCGCTGTAGCGCGCCCGCTCCCGCGAAGGCACCTGGCGGCAGCGCACGGACGCGGTTGTGGTCCAGCAGCAGCGCGCGCAGGCGCAGGCTCAGGCCCGGGGGCACGGCGGGCAGCGAGAGTGCCGAGCAGCTGGCCAGGCCTCCCGGCACGCACGTGCACACCTCGGGGCAGTCCGGGGCGCCCAGGGACCCCGAGGGCGAGGCCGTGGCCGACACCTGGGCCCAGACAGGCCAAGGCGACAGCAGCAGCAACAGCAGCAGCAGCGGCCGAGGCCGCGACCAGGAAGGGCCCCGCATGGGGGCAGCCCCCCCGCCCCCGGCACCCGCGGTGGGAGGCCCGCTGCCTGTGCGTCCCTGGAGCCCGTCGTCCGCGGAGCCCGTTCCTGCGGCGCCTGCACAAATATTAACTCTCTGGCCCGAGCTCAGGCAGTTCCTGTCCCACGGCTGGATCCACGCTTGGGGCGGGGGCAGGGCAAACAGCCAACGCCCGGCACCGCCAGCCACCTGTCCGGGAGCTCCAAACTACTCTTGGCTCAGCGCCGGCCACAGCGCTATCAAGACCACCTCACCCCGCCTTGTCCACCACCGGGCGCCCGCCGAGCCCTGACCTGAGCAGCAGGACACCGCCCACCTGCACCCGCCCAGCTCACGGCTGCAACAGGCGCCCACACGCAATGCAACCCAGAGGTCCTGCTCCTCACCCGTCTCGACCCCACCCAGGCTCCGCAAAGTGATCCCAACGTGCACATGCGGAGTGGCCCCCACGCAGGGATGGTCCCATTCCCATGCTGGATAGGGCCTGGGTTGGAGACAGGCCTTGGGGTGGAGGGAGACAGCACACCCGAGGCAGGAGAGGCGTGCCTGCCCCACCCCTCCCCCCCAGGACTCTCCTGGGATAGAGGTACAGACCAGTGCAGTGGGGCAGGGGTATCAGCCCAAGTCCTGCTGTTAAACCCAGCGCCCTTCACAGTTGCCAGTTGCAGGTCCTGTTCTAGGGGCTTTCCAAAGCTGGGTGCAGGAAGGAGCCGGGCTGACCAGCTGTGGCAGAGAAGGTGGAAACATTAGGGGTATGGCTTACTGCCAGGGGGCAGAGGAACAGGGGAACTTGCTGTGGGGCCTGGGCACTCTGCTTTGATGAGACCCATATGCGCGTGCACCCCCCATGATGCAGCCGTGAGGGGTGTGAGGGCCTGCAGGGAGGACGGTGCACAACCACTAAACAAGCTTTAATTCCCCTCCCCCAGCTGCCCTCAGGAGGGCCTGCAGGGAGGACAGTGCACAGCCACTAAATACGCTTTAATTCCCCTCCCCCAGCTGCCCTCAGCCCTCTACTCAGGTGGTAGGGGCGGGGGTGGTGGCGGCTCCTCTGAAGAAGCCTCCATGGGGATGGCCACAAGGCTCTGATCCTCTAGTGGTGGCACCAGGGAGACCTCCAGGTCAGCGTCCATTAGCTGGGACTCCACGTAAACCGGGTGCAGGTCCATGAGATCTTCCTGGACCCCAAAATTCTCCACCAACCTGCATGACGGGCCGGGTCATCACGAGCTGGTAGAGTCCTTGTTCCCCCAGGACAGGCTGGCGTCTGGGACAGTGCACCCCCACAAAGGGCCTCCCTTGGGACAGCACACCTCCTCTTCCAGGGACAGCACCCCTCCTCCTCCAGGGACAGCACCCCTCCTCCTCCAGGGACTCCCCTGGGATAGCTCCCCCCGCCAAGGGCCTCCCCTGAGACAGCGTGCCTCCCTCGAGGGCCTCCCTGGTGCTCACCTGTTGTCCACTTGTCTCGGGCATGTTTCACTGAGGGGACGAAGGCCAACATGAGTCCTGGAACAGTGCTGGGCCCCCGGAGCTCCCCCAGCACACGCCTAGGAAACGCCATTCCTACCCCAGGTGACAGCCCACCCAGGGGGTAAAGCCCTTCTTGCAAGACCAAGGGCCCAGGGCAGCCAGCCTGGCCTCACTCCCATCCTCTCCCGGCCCCAGGGTTCACGCACCCCTTGGCCCGCAAGACACCAATTGCCACGATGACGAGGGCACAGAAGCAGCTGGCACTGATGCCCGCCAGCACCACAAGGAGGGCGATGAGGGCCTCGCGGCTGAGGCCAAGGCTGCATTCACAGTAGGTTCCAGCTGCAGAGACAGGGCCACATGGCCATGGGCCGGTCACCTGCCTGCAGAGGGCCCCCAAGTCTGCCCCTGCCCTGGTAGCCACCAGAAGGACACCAGAGCTCCCACCTTGCCTGGGGAAGGGGAGCCATGGCTGGGAGTGGAGTGCGGGGGCAGGAGGAGGCACCTGCAGCAGGGATGAGCAGAAGGGACAAATATGTGAGGCCCAAGGGGCCACCACGCAGGCAGGACACAGGCCAGGGACCGGGGGCCATGTCCAGCCCTGGCCCCACTGCACACCTCTGACGGAACTGTTGGAAGGTGCTGACTTCACAGTAGGACTGTGAGGTGGGGGTGGGGGGGCTCACAATGCCAGTGTGTCATTTGCCCTTGGGCACCGCAATTCAAGGAGCCATGGCCAAGCAGCTCTGGGAATGGGACAGGTAGGGTGGGCAGAGGCCTGAGAGCCCAGCCAGCTCAGGCCAGCTCTGAGGCAGAGGCAGCAGTGGGGCTGGCCTGGTCTTACGGGCAGTCCTTCAGTGGTTTCACCGTGTTAGCCAGGATGGTCTCGATCTCCTGACCTTGTGATCCGCTCGCCTCGGCCTCTCAAAGTGCTGGGATTACAGGTGTGAGCCACTGCGCCCAGCCAAATCCTTCACAGTGAAAGGGGGTGGGCAGCACTCCAGGCCCCGATGTGGGTGCGGTGGCCTGGCAACCTTGCAGGGTGGGCGGCAGGCAGCCTCGGCCTCAGCTCCCTCCCAGCATAAGGGCTGCGGCAGCTCAGCATGTGGGCTGGGCTCCAGCTGGCTGTAGGTCACCTTCCTCCAGGGCTGGGGCAGGAAGGGGCCAAGGAGGGCTAAGGGGGTGGGCTTGCACCCATCCTCCCTCCCCACTGCTTCTGGGAGGGTCTGGCTCACGCCCTGGCAAAGCTCAGGTCAGAAGGGCTGCCGGCACCCAAGGGAATCCCCCATCAACTTGGAAAGGTCTGGGGGACACTGGCCACCCCTGTCTGAGCAGGACCCCAAGCCCTGCCTCCCAGACATCCCCCAAGGCTCCAGACTAAAGGTGTCACTGAAGTTGGAGCCCCCAGGAGCTTTCCCCTCTGCAGAAAAGACAAGCGTTGCCCAAGGAAGTCGACCGCAGGCCGGCATGGCCAGGGTTGCTTTCAGCCTCCTCCCTGCACCTGCTATTCCAGGCTGGGAGAGAGGCCCCTGCCCTCCCAGCCTCCCCTCCTCTGGACCTGCCAAGCAAACCGCCAGGCAGCAAAAGGAAACACCTGCCCCACAGCCAACGGAGGCCAGGCCTTCTGCCAGCTCAGGACACATGGGACACGGGGGGTGGGGGGGGTGGGCACAGTCTGGCCCCAGTGGCCCTGGGCACCAGGGACCCCCTCGCCTGTTGACAGGCACCCTCCTGCTGGGGTCCTCCGACCTCTGACTTGCCGAGTGACACCGTGACCCGAGATGCACCCTTCGCCCTTGTCTTCAGGACACAACCAGAGATGGAATCCACAGGACACAGAACAAAAGGTGTACCAGAGCCAGGCTGGCAGTGACACTCGACAGGCCAGCCCAGCAGGTTTGTATCCTGGTTAGGACAATGGCACACCCAGCCTGGGGCCAGGTGGTGGCCACAGACAGCGGGATCCAGGCAAGGCCACCTTGCTCTGAGGGGGCATCAGAGCAATCGGGACCATCCCACCAGAATTCAGGAGAGGGGTCCCTCTTTTTGTGACAGCAGCACAGACAGCCTTGGAGTGAAGTGGAGCAGGTGGCAGGGCCCAGGGCTAGAGGGGAGATACCGCACAGGCGGAAGCAGCCCTCCTTGGCGGGGCAGAGGCCTGATGGGCACAGGCTGTGCATCTGGCGCCTGCCTAATCCCGGCCACTTCCTCCTTCAAGCCCTGAGGCAAACAAGAGTTCTCCAGAGCAAGGAGGGTGCAGGAATGTCCACTGAACGGGACGGCTCAAACAGGCCAGAGCTGGAGAGGTGGGAGGGTGCTGGGCGGCAGCTGCAGGAACCCACGACAATGGACATGGGACCAGCAAGGGCATCAGGCCAGAGCTGGAGAGGTGGGAGGGTGCTGGGCGGCGGCTGCAGGAGCCCAGGACCGTGGACATGTGGGAACCAGCAAGGGCATCTGGGGACAGCGGTGGGAGCACTGAAACCAGGCGCAGCTCACAGCCTGGGAAGGCGCTGCAGCAGGAGCGGGACTCGAGGCACCAGTTCAAAGGGCCTTTGTCCCCCGCGAGGACGGCGCCATCGGGGTGGAACGTGTCTGGCCTGGAAACGGCACCTCTGGGACAGAGGCCCAGGTTTGAGCAGCAGAAGAGCCCAGAACTGGACCCTAGGGCCCTTGCTCAGTTTTGTGGCGTCTCCCTCTCCTAGTGCCAGCCTCTAGGACAGGACCTGGGCAGCCTGCACACGCGTGACCACACGTGTGAAGGACGTAGGGGCGACCTGCCTTTCTGAGGCACACCTGTGAAGCTGAGCCCTCCGGCCACCCTGCCTGAGTGTGGAGCAGGGGACAAGTGCCCAGTCCCTCTGGCCACCAGGGCACAGCCTTCGGCAGAGCCTCACTGCCAGAGACGAGGCGTGTTGGCCTAGAGGTCATTCGCCAGCCTCAGCAATTCCAACCGAACCCGCACAACGTCCCAACCTCGCCCGAGACCTCCTGGCCGAGCGTGTGGAGGTGGGCACAGGCTGAGCAGAGGGTGACCCCAGGGCTCCTTCTAAAGGCCAGAGGCGCAGGAATGGAGCTGGAGGTCTGGCGGGTAGCAAGCACTAAGCCCTAGGACGTGGCTGCCTGAGCCGTGGCCCGGGCGTGACGTGGACCTTCACGTGCCGCTCCCTGAGCACCCTGGGTCGGGGGCGGCCCGGGATTCTCTCAGGAGGCTACATTCCCAGTGCAGATGTGTAGGCCTAGGTGGCCCCTCACCTGCTGCTGAGGAGCAGGCCCTGCCAGGCTGAGAGAGAGGCCCAGGCTAGAGGAGGATCCTGGGGGGCCCCACAAAGCCACCAGGACAGAAAAGGATGATCTGACTTGCTTTAATCTGCACACTGCGGGGGTGGGGGTGGGCATGCTCCTCAGCAGTGCATTCTGGGACACGGGCGGGCGGGGGCTGGCACGGGAGGACGAGAGCACCTGCAGGGCAGCGCCTGGCGGGCGGGCGGGCGGGCGGGCGATGTGTCAGCTGCAGTTCTTGGGCAGGCGGTAGACGCCGGCCGAGTAGACGAGCTGCTGGTCCCGCACCTTCTTCTGCAGGTAGCCCTGCAGCTCCTGCAGGTCAATCTCGGCCAGTGCAGGCCCAGTCACCACAAACATGCGGAGCATGTTGTAGATACGATCCAGTGAGAGGCTCTCCAGGTTGGTCAGCATGGCCTGGATGTACGTCCAGAAGAGCTGCGGACACAGGCCAGCCCCCGTCAGGCACCTGCAGGCCTCGCCCCCGCCCCCTGGCCCCCCGTGGGGCCTGCACGCGCACCAGCAGCTCCTCCTCCTTCTGGTCGGCCTGGGAGGCCATGCCGGAGTCGCTCTCGTCGTCACTGTCAATGAGCACCATGTTGTCCCGGTCCTGAGGCCGCTCCTCCTCAATGACAGAGAAGGTGCCGGGGGGCTCCTCACGCAGCACACCCTGCTGCAGCCACACGGACATCCGCCGCCGCAGCAGCGCCACGGGCATCTTCACCGCCTTGCTCAGTTCCTCCAGGGTCCAGCTGGCTGCGTGCAGAGTCACCGGGACGCTGGGCAGCCTGGGCACGGGCTGCACCTCCCCTGCCTCCCGTCAGCCGAGAGGTCGGGGGGCTCCCGGGCCACCCTGCCTTGCCCGTGGGAAAGGGAAGGGTGCCGCCTGCTGGCGCAGCTGCCCCAAACCACACCCTCACTGGGGAACAGCCCCTCACCCACAGCTGGGCCGTGTGGCCGGGGCAGGCCAGCTAGGGGCTGGTGGGCTCACCTTGGTCCTGAAAATACAGCAAGATCACCGCCTGTACTGGGGTGACCGCCACAGACAGCGTGCGGTCGGCCAGCTCCACGTCCATGGTCACCAGGCCCAGGGTGTGCTTCCAACTGAGGGTCCGCATGGCCTAAGGAGGGCCAGGGTCAGCACGGGCAGCTCGGCTGCAGGGCGCTCAGGCCCGTGGGCTCTGCCACCTGGTACCAGTGAGAAAGGGGCTCCCAGAGCCACCTGCCCCACCCCACCCTGGCAGGCAGGTGAGCAGCGAGAGCACAGGACTGGGTGGGGTCCCCACCTGCTCAGCCACCATGGAAGGGCAATGGGGCCAGCATCATAAGGTGTGTCCCGAAAAGGCTACAGGGGCCTCCTGACCCCCAGTGCTTGGAAATGTGGCCATATTTGCAAACAGGGTTGATGCAGATGTAACTGAGGTGCATCCTAACCCAACTGACTGGGGTCCTTCTAAGAAAAGGAAAGATAGGAAGACACAGGCAGGCGGGGAGGGGGCCACACGAAGACAGAGACCACCTGGAGCAACGCGGCCACAAGCCAAGAAACACCAAGGGCTGTGGCAAACACCAGAAGCTGGGGGGCAACGGAGGTCTCTAAGAGGGTTCAGAGGGAACGGGGCTGCCAGTACTTTCATCTTGGACTTCCAGCCTCCAAAACTAAGACAATCTATTTCTGTTTTTTAAGCCACCCAGTTTGTGACACTTTGTTACAGCAGCCACAGTAAACGAACAGATTTTGGTACCAGGAAGGGCCAGGAGGGGTGCTGCCAAAACCTAACACCAAGAACTGTGGCAGCAGCTTTGGAAGTGGGTGATGGGGAGAGGCTGGAAGAACTGGTGAGGCCTGCACGACTGCTGGTAGAAAGGCATGAAGACAAGCCTGGAAATGGCTGGAAGAGGAGAGCTGCCGCCGTCTTGGAGAATGCACACAGCATCACAGACTGGATGTCGGCAGCAATGCCGACCCAACAGGTGCTTCCAGTGAGGTCTCAGATGGAAATGACCGTGCTACTGGGAACCGGAGGAGGCAGCAGAGAGCTTGGCTGGCTGCTGCTCTGCTGTTGGGTGCGAAGTGGGACCTGCAGCTGATGAGCCTGGACATCAAGCTGAGATTTCCAAGCAGTGTGGAAGGTGCCACCTGGCTTCTCCTTGCTACTTATAGCAGAATGCAAGAGGGAAACAATCAGTGAGGCAGGGACCATTAAGCAAAAAGGCACCAGCCCTTGGGGATCTGAAAAATACTCTATCCAGGCAGCTCTGAGACGTGGCCAAGGGTGTGGCTGGACCAGGGTTTGCTAGACATGAGGTGTGACCTGTGTATCCAACTAACCATCTCAGCAGCAGACAGGGACAGGTGGGGCCTCCGGGAAAGGGCTGCGGACCCGCCTGTCTGAAGGCTTCGGCACTGGTGAGCTGCATAAGCCAACAAGGTGTGAGAATTTTACACCCGCAGAAGTGCTGCCAGGCTGGAGTGAAAGGAAGGCAGGCTCCAAGAGCAGAGCCGCCGAGGCCAAGGCTGACGGAGCAGGGGGCCAAAGAGGATTCGCAGGCCTGGAAGTCAAGTGGAATTTCGGCTGCTGGGTTTGGACTCGCTGTCCTTTTTCCTCCCAGTTTTCCCTTTTGGGGTGGGAATGTGTATGCTTGTCTTACGGCTGAACTTTTGAAACAGATCATCTGTTGGCTGATTTCACGGCGTCCCAGCTGGAGGAATGGCGCGCACTCCAGCCTCACCTGTACCTTGTTTAGATCTATTTACGTAGAGGAATGGCGCACACTCCAGCCTCACCTGGACCTCGTTAAGATGCATTTACAGGCTGAGATGTGTGTGGAACTTTG
The DNA here is from genome assembly GCF_000001405.40 of Homo sapiens. Lineage (NCBI taxonomy): Eukaryota > Metazoa > Chordata > Mammalia > Primates > Hominidae > Homo > Homo sapiens. The sequence goes on from NC_000009.12 coordinate 137,177,555, forward strand.
TGTGGATGGTAGTTAGATGAGATTTTGGACTTGGAGTTGATGCTGAAATGGTGAAGACTTTTGGGGACACTGGGGCTGTCACTTGCACGTGGGAGGGGCCCACCATGGGGCAAATTGTCATGCACTGAATTGTGCCCCTCGAAAAATGACACATGAACCCCTAACTCCCGGTGCCTCTGATGAGATCTTATTTGGAAATACGGTCATTAAAGATATAATTAAGATGACGTCACCCTGGAATAGAGAGAGTGTTCTTCTAAGAGGGAGATAGGAACAGAGACACGGGGGAACATCACGGGCGACGCGGCAGAGACCAGAGCGAGGCACCCACAGGCCCCGGAGCTCCTGGAGCCCCCAGAAGCTGGAAGAGGGGAGGAAGCAGCCTCCCCTAGAGCCTTCGGAGGGCCCTGCTGACCCTGACTTTAGACTTCTGACTTCTGTAAAATGATATGTTTCTTTTAAGCCCGCTGGTTTGTGGTACTTTGTTCTGGTAGCACTGGGGCACTGACACACCTGCTCTGTGGGCCAAGGGCTCCTGAGTCCTTCCAGGATCCGGCAGCTTCTAATGGAAACAAACCCCTCTTTATGGACAGAAAATGGAAGTGGAGTCAGTGGCTTGCTAGGTCCTAGTTCTGGCTCCAAGGCCATGACCTCCACAAACGCCGCCACTGGTCAGCCTGCCGCAGGACACATGCAAGGGCTCAGGGGTGACGCTGTGGGCTGCATGGCCAGCCACGTGTCCAACAAGGTCGCTCGGCCAGGAGCTCTGCTGGTGGGACCTCTCAGCACAGCCCCGGGGCCTCCCTGAGCCACTCCTGTGTCCCACTGAAGTTAAGACAAAGGGCACTAGAGTGTGGCTGTCCCAGCACATCAGGCCTGAGCAACAGGAAGTGGCTGAGTCATGCCTGGGACCCAAGGCAGGACCCTGGAGGGAGGCCATTGGGGCCTTGCCTGGAAGCAACGCTGGAGAGCCTGAGGCAGCCAGAGGGGCAGGGGGAAAGGGACCGAGCACGGAGCCGGGCCACACGGATGATTTGTACCAGAACACAGCGGGGCACGGTGCCCGCAGGCTCCAGAGACACCAGGCTGTATCACAGGCCAGAGCTCGAGGTGTGGGGATGGCCAGGGTGCTCCTTTCCACCGAGAGCAGGTGCAAGCCACACAGACCCTCCACAAGCTGCAAGGGACACCTGGACTCTTCCAGAGCCAAGCTGAGGCCTGGAGGGAGGCAGCAGGCATTCGCCACCATGGTCAGCAGCCCGGCCCTACCACAGCCCCTTGGCCTCCTGCCCTGGGGGCCTCCGCCTGGCCCTCCCCTTGTCTGTCTCCGGAAGGAAGCTTCCCCCTTGGTTTCTAAAGTGGACACATCGCCCTGCCCTCCCCTAGGAGTAAGTTCCCTTGGTTTGTCAACACAGCAAGGCCCTCTTACTTGCAAAAGAAAAAGGAAAACACATCTAGGTCCAGCCTCCTTCACAGCAGACCTGGAGAAGCTGTGGACCCTCCCTTGAACTCAGCCCCGCCCGCCCGCCGGCCTCCTGGCGGCTCTGTCCTGAGGCTGCTCCTCCTGCCTGGGCCGAGGCTGGACCATCCCCTTCCTGGGGTACCTGGGGTTGGGGTCTGCAGACTGGATGCTGGCTGTGCCCCAGAACCCTCTCCTCACATGTCCCCCGCTGGGGTGCCCGCCTCCCCCCAGTCCTGAGCACTCGCTGGGCACACTGGAGGCCTCACAGGCCCCACACATCAGACAGAAAGCCCTGGAACCCGCCTGTGACGACCATCCCGACCCCTTCCTCCCCGAGCCGACACCTCCCACCTGTGACGACCATCCTAACCCTTCCTCCCCGAGCTGACACCTCCCACCTGACTATGAGCTCAGGGAAAGAACCGCCAAGCCTAGTTCCATCCCTCAGGCTCTGGACGCCTGTACTGGGACTGCTGGGATCTCAGCAGTGCTGCCAGGGGAAGTGAGCCAAACGTGGCCAATACCATCCTCTGGGCACACTGTCCCCATCTGCCAGTGACCTCCAGGCCAGGGCTCACTCCTCCACTCCCCACATCTGCTCCCCTCCTACTCCCACCACAGACCCATAGCCCCGGTCCTCAAGTACCACTGGAGCCTGCAAAGGCAGTTCTCGAGGAAACAGACCTGGAGAAGGGGGCAGGGCTGGGGTCCTGGGGGTCAGGTGCGCCTGGGAGTGCTGCCCTGGGCAGAGGGCAGCCCTGGCTCCCTAGCTGCCTCCCTGCAGTGACGCAAGGCACCCCAAGCCCCGGTTCTGAGAGGCAGAGGGTGGATAGCAAAAGAGGAGGAAACGCTCAGAGGGCAGGGCCTGCTGTGGCCACAGGGGTCCCCCTGAAGCAGTTCAGGAGACCTGGGCCCAGCACAGCCCACCCAAGCGCCTGTGGGCCGCGCGGACGCTCGCTCACAGGGGACACGGGGTTGCTGGGAGGAAGGCGGAGAGAGCGTGGGCCAGGCCCACTCCCTCTCCTGCAGAGGCGGCTGCGAGACAGGACCAACCCAGAGACACTCGGGTGACAACGGGGCAGCCACAGGCACCAGGCTGCTGGGAGCCCCGCAGTGCAGGGTAGGGGTGCCAAGAGCCCATGGGGTGGCCTGGCATGGAGGTACCTTGAGCTGCTCATACTTCTTGCAGTAAGCCTCCAGGGCTGCCCTGATATCCTCGGGGACCTCCAGCTTCTCGTCCTTGAAGGGCGGCCAGAACTCACTGGACAGGATGACAGCGTAGACCCCGAACGGTGGCTGCTCCTCTGCTGGCCGCTTCTCATCCTCCTCCCGGATGTTGGCATTGATGCGGCGGGAGTCCGCCATGTCCTGAGGAGGAGCCGGTGTCACGGGGGACCTGCGGGGCGGCCGGGCAGCGGGCGGGGCTGGGACCCACCTTCAGCATGACTTCACAGAAGTGCATTGGGGCCTCGCCAAAGCGCAGCTTCAGCAGCTCCACGTTGCGGATCTCCCTGGAAAGACGAGTGTCTGGGCAGGGGGTCGTGATGAGCCCCAGCCCCAAGGAGCACCTGTGGCAGGGCACGGGGGTGCCCCCCAGGCAGAGCAGGGAGCCTGTGTGGGCACCCCAATGGCTAGCACACCCCCAGCCAGGAGTGGGGGCGGAAGCACAGCTCCAACCAGGCCCCAGGCACGGCGTCAGGGCCCTGTCCCGAGAGAGGCTGGGCAAAGGCCCCGGCACCCCTGGAGATGGCCAGCGCGTCACAGGCCTCACCGCTCGGGGCTGAAGCTGAACTGGTGCAGCAGGCGGTCGGCCAGCAGCGAGCGGTACTCATTGATGAAGAGGTCCTTGCTGCCGTAGATGCTGACCAGCAGGCTGATGATGTCCGATGAACGCCGCTTGGAGCTCGACTTCCCTGGCATGGTGGGGGCAGGGGTGTCACCTGACAGGCACCTGGGCAAGGACAGGGCCGCCCTCCTCCCATCCCGCCCAGCCAGACGGCACAGCCCAGCATGGCTCTTCCTGAAGGCCCTCGAGGCTGGGAGCAGCCCTGAGCCTCCCGGGAGACCTGGAGTCAGGTCCTGGAGCAACAGCTTCAATCCCCAGCCCCTCTCACCCCACAGGGACCTTCCGGGACTCCCATGCAGGCTTAGGGGACAAGCCAAAGGTCCTGGGGTTTTCCTCTGAGAGAGACTAAAGATGTGTTGAAGACTTACCATCTGTGCCAGGGCAGGGGCCAGGCCTGGGCCCCATAGCCCTCAGAGCCCTCGCAGACGAGGGCCAGGCACAGATGGGCTCTGAGCAGGAGCTGGCACCCTAACGGGACTTTGAGGCCCAAATCAGTACAGAGCTCAGGGGTCACCCACATCTTCACTCCTCTGCCAGGTGCAGTGGCGGGGCAGGGACACCCCACAGCTCACAAGCGGTGGGAGGCAGGGCATCCCCCACGGCCAGAGTGACCAGCCACAGAGGAAAACAGCCCATCACCGGCCTGCCCAGGCTGGCAGGTGGCGGAGCACTGCCCTGACCTTTGACACCCTCAAGCCTCTGAGACACTAGCGACACCTGACACAGCCAAGCTCTGTGACAAGGGATGAGTCCAGAGCGGACGGCCTGGCTGAAGCGCCCCCCACACTGGTGAAAGGGACCATGTGGGGCAAGCTAACCTGGATCGGCATCCACAGGGTCCGGGACCCAGTCCTCTGGCTCGCCTGAGTCATCCTCACTGTCCTGGCCTGTCTCCAGGCTCGCCGGGTCGGTCTTGGACAGCTCAACAGCCAGGTCCCCTGTCCCGTCCGAGTCCCCCGTCAGCCCAGCCACAATCTGCCGCACTGTGTCCTCCCGCGTCCTGCCGATGTGAGTGCTGCTGTGGCCCACAGTGTGGACACCCCGCGCGCACCTCCCACCACTCATTCCAGTCCCGGCCCCATCTAGGCCAGCACCACCGACCCTGCCTCTACACTCAGTGGTGATGGGCTATGTACTAAACACAGGCCCGTCAGACTCCTTAAAAACAAATAAACCCAACGTTACTTGGGAGCAGCAGGAGCTGCGAGCGCAAGGCCGGCCTGCGCACCTGCAATCCCAGCACATAGGGACACTAAGCCAGAAGACCTAAGCCCAGGTGTCCGAGGCTGCAGGGAGACAGGATTCTGCCACTGCACTCCAACAGAGCGAGAGCCTGCCTCAAAAAAAAGAAAAAGAAAAAGAAAAAAGGGCCGGGCACGGTGGCTCACGCCTGTAATCCCAGCACTTCAGGAGGCCGAGGCAGGCGGATCACGAGGTCAGGAGATCAAGACTATCCTGGCTAACATGGTGAAACCCCATCTCTATTAAAAATACAAAAAGTTAGCCAGGCTTGGTGGCGGCCTGTAGTCTCAGTTACTCGGGAGGCTGAGGCAGGAGAATGGCGTGAACCCGGGAGGCGGAGCTTGCAGTGAGCAGAGATCGTGCCACTGCACTCCAGCCTGGGCGAAAGAGTGAGACTCCATCTCAAAAAAAAAAGAAAAAACAAAGAACTGGCTCAGAAGCCAGGCCAGTTACAGCCACAAAGCACCAAAGGAGTCCAGGTAGGGGCCAGACTCCACCGGCTCCTGCTGCTCGGCTCCTGGGGGCCACTGTGCCTGCCAGCCCCGGGCCAGGGCCTCTGCGACCCCTGAGGAATTCCCAGGCAGCCATGTCAAGGTCCTCATCCCAACACATTCTCCACCGAACAGCCCCAGGAGTGTCTGTTCCTTGCCGTGGGAAAGGCCAGGACAGCAGAGCCCACTCCCCTTGCCTGGTCGGCCTTGGGGACTGGTCAGCACCAAGGCGAGGCCAAGTGGAAGAGCTTCTCTCTGTGCTGGAGATGGGGAGGCTGAGGAAGGGCTGTGGTGGGCCTCTGGCAGCTGCACACAGAGGGCACGGTGACACCGTGTGACAAGGACAGGTGCCCGGCACGGGCAAGAGGAAAGGAAAGAGCCTCGGGCCTGATCCCGTGCACTCAGCCCAGCCGGGGGAGACCTTGTGTCCTGACGGCCGAACACACCCTCCGGCTGCCCCCCAGGACCACGAGGAGCTCAGCAGGATGCCCAGGGTCCCAGTGGCTCCTGGGCCAGCTGCAGCCCTCACCTCAGGTAGCGGCGGATAGGCTCACAGGCCACCTCCAGGATGACCATGGAAGGGTCCAGCACGCGCAGCGCCTTGATGGCAGAGATATAGAGGGTGATGATGTCACACGTGTTGACGCCTACAGCCAGGGCAGAAGCCAGCAGTCATGCAGTGCCCGGGACCACAGCCTCCCAGGGGCAACACCCGAGTAGACAGCTGGCCATGCCGGTAGGTGGTCTACAGGTCCCCACTGCAGCCTCGTTCCCTTGTCCCCCCATCCCCACCTCTACCTGTTCACAGGTCCCGCCCTGCAGGGAGGTCTGTTCTGAGAGAACTAAGTCTCATCACCTCAGACCTACCGGTCAGTCCTGACTCCCTCCAAAGAAGAAACAAGCAAGCTGACGGGCACCTCAGATCCCCTAAGGACCTCACCAATTGCTTCTCAACCCATTTCTTCCTTAGACCTACAAGTCCAGGGCTGGCAGACTAGGCCCCAGGCTCCCTGGACATGGGTCCCCTGGTGAGTGTCTAAGCCCAGAGTGCTGGGTGGCCGGGCAGCACACAGCACCTGGATGCAGGAGCCGAGTCTCCAGGGCAGCCTTGAGGGACACGAGCAGCTGCTGCCTCTGGTCCGTCCTCTCCAGGCAGTACTTGAGGTCCTCGATGGCTGGCCGGGAGTCTGGGAAGTCTACAAGAAGAAGAACATCCCTCAGGGACAGACATGGATGCGTGCGCACGTGCAGGCTGGTGCAGAGTGTGTGCGGTGTGGGAAAGGACACGTGCTTGCCAGCCCCAGGACGATGATGAGACCACCTGCTAGGCACCAGACATCCCCCCGACACTCTGGCGTGCTGATGCATTTGACCACAATGCCACAGGGTGGACAGAGCAACACCCAGGGGCCAGTCCCCAGCAGGAGCCAAGGCCAAGGCAGCACAGCAGTGGACACCCAGAAGCACTGTCCAGCATCTGCCACACCTGCCCTGATCCAGGCACGGGGGACGCCGCAGTGGGGACAGTCCCAGCACTGCCCGGTGCACCCCCCTGCAAGAGCGACAGCGAAGGCACAGGGAGCCCCAGACGTGGACACAGGGAGCCCAGATGCAGACACAGAGCCGACATGGCGAAGGCCCTGGGAGCCCCAGATGCAGACACAGAGCAGACACGGCGAAGGCACAGGGAGCCCAGACGCAGACACAAGGAGCCCAGACACAGACACAGAGCAGACACGACGAAGGCCCTGGGAGCCCCAGATGCAGACAAAGAGCAGACACGGTGAAGGCACGGGGAGCCCAGACGCAGACACAGGGAGCCCAGACGCAGACACAGAGCAGACACGGTGAAGGCACAGGGAGCCCAAGACGCAGACACAGAGCAGACACGGCGAAGGCACAGGGAGCCCAGATGCAGACACAGAGCAGACACAGCGAAGGCCCTGGGAGCCCCAGACGCAGACACAGGGAGCCCAGACGCAGACAGAGCAGACACGGCGAAGGCCCTGGGAGCCCCAGACGCAGACAGAGCAGACACGGTGAAGGCACAGGGAGCCCAGACGCAGACACAGGGAGCCCAGACGCAGACACAGAGCAGACACGGCGAAGGCACAGGGAGCCCAAGACGCAGACACAGGGAGCCCAGACGCAGACACAGAGCAGACACGGCAAAGGCCCTGGGAGCCCCAGACGCAGACACAGAGCAGACACGGTGAAGGCACAGGGAGCCCAGATGCAGACACAGAGGAGACACGGGGAAGGCCCTGGGAAGACTCCCCAGACGGGAGAGCGGACCCCAGGGCCGGGGCAGGACCACCTCGGACGATGCTGAAGAGCTCCTCGATGCGCAGGCTGGCGTAGATGCGGTAGAAGAACCTTTGCACGTGGCAGCGCCAGCGGCGCAGGGTGTTGCCGGCCTCGGGAGATGCGGGCCTGGCGGGGCCGTCCTGCAGGAACACCTTGCCGAGCCAGCCGACCACCCGCTCGATCCACTGTCAGGAGAACGCTAGTGTGAGCTGCAGGGAGGCATGGTGAGCCCCGGGCTGACTCAGAGGCTGGGAGGAGCCTCACGGCCACCCACCCTGTCGGCCGGGACCGAGGGGAGCCCGAAGGCCACCTGCGTCTGGAGGCTGGAGCACATCAAAACCTGCAGGGTGGGTGATGGCCCAAAAGGCGACGTCCCGGCCCCCCTGCAGTCTTCGTGCCTCTCACACGCGCCAGTGCCCACACTTATCACTGGCAGCAGCAACCCTAGCGTGAGACATGACAGACACACACGACCTGTGCGCTGTGCCTGGTGGGCACACTTGCCCCCACTTAAATGGATAAACACGCCCTTGAGACCAGCCGGGGGGCCCAGGCGAGCACAAACCTCTAGGTGGCAATTCCGCCGCGGGGCCCAGGCGTGCTCATGCCCCACAGACCTGCTACCCAGTGGCAAGACCGCACGGATGTTCACCCTCTCCACCCTACTACCCACTCTTGCCCACCGCTTTGGGGACACCCTCCCTCTTTGAAAACCCAACATCACAGCCAATCTGCACCTCAGTAGGGGGACTCTGAAACACTGAGGAAAGGACAGGTGACACATGGGAACAGGATGGGGGGACCCACATGGCTGGGCCCAGCTCCCCTATGGCTCCGGGAGCCCAGAGCAGAGCCCCAGACCACACCCCAACAGCACAGGTGCCTGGAGGCCCCATGTGAGGGTGTCTCGCTCCCCGCTGTGGTGCAGGCTGGCTGTAGGTCAGTCCATTAGGGACCGGCCAAGCGAGTCCACACTCAAGTAGGGCAGCAAACAGGAGAAGGGGATCCATTCAGTGGCTCCTCTGGTGGGCCCAGCTTCGCCACACCTGCCTGAGGTAGCCCCCTCGGGATCCTGGCCCGATACCGCCTGCAGCCATGGGATTCTGCGCAGATCCGAAGAGCGCACCTCAGATGCGTCCTCGCTATCACCAGGGCCCAGAAGTACTGGTCTCTACCCCACATCAAGACAGCTCCAGCCACCACCCGGTCTGGGCCCACCCAGGCCTCCGTGCTCTGGATGCTTCTGAAGCCAGGTGTCAGGTTTGCCAGAAACCTACTCCCCTGTCTCCAGCGGGGCACAGCCCAAGGGAGGGGTCCTCACCTTGTGGAACTCACGCAGGAAGGAGCGCTCGTACTCGCCCCGGCAACGGTCCTCCATCCTCTCCCGGGTCACCTGGTGCAGGGTGGTGGTCACAGCCTCGGCACTGACCCGCTCCAGCAGACTGAGCCTGTGTCTAGAGGAGAGCCCTGGCCATGGGGCACCCAGAGCACACACCGGCCCCTCTAGCCCAGAACAGCCCCATGCCAGGACTGCCCTGCCTGTAGAGTGCATGCAGCACACACACACACACACACCCAGCACACACCTCCCCACAATCCTCAGCTGTGGGGGGCGGTTGTACCAAAGGCTTCAAGAAGCCACTGGGAGCACAGAGCACTCCCAGGCTCTGCTGTCCCCGCCCAGCTGGCCTCTATCCAGGTAGGGACACTGGCCTTCCCCATGTGATCAGTGGCAGCAGGTGTGGCTGTCGGGGGCCCTAGCCTTATCTCCTAGGATCAACTCTGAAACGACAACCAACTGCACTGCTACCCTGGCCGCAGAGGTACAGATGCCACTGTTTGTGCCTTTCAGTGCAGTCTCTGGTCTACAGTGACAAAAGGACTCAAGAGGAGGATGAGAAAAGTTGCCGTGTAACTTTTGCAGGGATGAGCCCAACAGAAGCCCTTCACGGTCTCCCTGACCCCTGCCAGCAAAAGGAGCACTCCTTTAGTCCACCTTTAGTCCACCTAAGACCTCTCAAGTAGCTGCATGGCTACACCCCCGTTCAATGTGACAAAACCACCACAAATGGCCAAGGGTATGACAATTGCTAGAGAACTACAACAGGACCTGTCTCTCACAACAAACCCCTCTCCTCTCCAAACTAACAAGAGACTGCTTGCCCTCACAGTGACCTGATCTTCCTGGAGAGAAGCAGCAGCAAGCTTCTGTTCACAATTACAGGGCAAGGAATGTCGACGAGGGTGAGAATCATTCCTCCCCAGGATCGACAAAAGGCACAGTGGAATTCTGCAGAGTCCAGGAAGTTTGGAGTTGCTAAGAAATTTGCTGCTGCAGACACAAGCCACATAGGGCCTTACCAGGGTCAAGGCATGAATCTGTGGGACTGAAGGTGAGTGACAGAAGAGAGACACCTGTGTCCAGGACACGCTGCACAGGAATCCCTGGGACTCTCTCTCTGTCATGTTCCTGGTTATCAGGACGGCTCACCAGCTTTCTGCTGAGGCCAGCTGGACCCAGGGGAGCAGCGGGGAACCAGAAGGAGCAAGGGCATGGCCATCGGGACAGACTACTCACAAGACCTGGCTGAGCTGATGGAACTGCTCCAGAGCCTGGCGACACCAGCACTGTTGCTTGTCACTGCTGCACCCTGCACACAGCGGGCTCTGCAGGAGCCGGTAGTACCGGCGACGGGCATACCGGCTGTCCAGCTCCCCTTCCAGTTCCGGGTCTGTGCCCCCTTCCCCCTTCCTCTTACTCTGCATATAGACTCTCAAGAAGCACCCATACAGACGCTGGATCATCTCTTGGAAGGTTCTGGGGGTGCTAAAGAACAAGACTCCGCGCAACATAGTGTGGACTTCTTCTCGCAGCCCCTGAGCACCAGTGCCCATCAGCAAGCCCAGGCGAGTCCATTTCTCCAGCAGCTCTAGGCTACGCAGGTAGGGATCCAGGCGGCTCTCCAGCAGGCCAAAAGCGTCAAGGAGTAGCAAAAGGCACTGGGGCTCATCCGCAGAGTTCTCGCATTGGGAGATGGCATTCCAGAACTCAGGGGAGATGTTGGCCTGCAGATCGTTCTGCAGCACCTCCACGAACCACTCCTCCAGGACCGAGTGTAGCCCGTGGCCCCTCAGAACCTCCACCGCCGCCCGGAGCTCCTCTTCCTTTGGCGGGACTGCACCGCTGGTCCGGGAAGACACCTGGGGTGCAGAAAACCGTGAGGCGAGGGGAACACAACATAGAGGTGGGGAGAGGCGGGGAAGGGAAGAAGCTGAGGGGGAGGCTGCAAAAACTCCGCTGCCCCCTGTCCGTGCTGCCCGGACGTTGGGCCGAAGCTATGGAAGGGCTGTCAGCGGAGCTGAACGAAACGAAACGGAAAGGTGGTGGAAAATGGCAGGACAGGACAGAGGCGGATGATGGACAGAGCCGTATGAACCCGAGGGTAGCGGCCCCAAAGCGCGTACGGTCCCGGAAACTCCGCGCGGGGCCGCCCCTCTCTTCCCAGGCCTCACCAGCCCCAGCGCAGCCGGCGGCACCAGGCCGGTGCTCACGGTGTTCCAGGCCACTAACAACTCCTGTCCGGGCCGGGAGTCGCTGTCCCCCTCCGCCACCACAACTGCCGCCGCCATCTGCACCCACCGACTCCGAGATTCGCTCGGCGCGGCGCGCGGCGATGACGCACGTCTGCACGCGCAGCCATGACGCGCACAAGGCGCTCAGCGATGACGCGCTAGTTCGGCGCGCCGTGGGGGAGTCGTGCGCAGGCGCGGACAGCGCTGCTTCCGCGGCGGTTGGGGTGGTGGGGCCCCGGGCGGCGTTGACCATGACCCAGCAGGGCGCGGCGCTGCAGAACTACAACAACGAGCTGGTCAAGTGTGAGCGGCGCAGCCGGGACGGGGAGGTCGGGAGGGCCGCAGGGCCGGGTTCCCGGCTCGCAGCGGGGTGCCCCTGGACCCGCCTCGCTGCGGGCATCGCGCGGCTGAGCAGAGCCCTCCGTGCCGGAGGCCGGGTGTCCGTGGCCCGAGCCCTCGCTGGCTCGCAGGCCCCGCGCCGGGCGCTCGGGGGTGGTGCCTGACTCTGGCTTCCTCGGGTGGAAGGAGGCCCGCCCTCCGCCGCCGCGCTCCTGCCCTGGGCCCACAGCGCCGCCCCTCCCGGCCCCCAGGCATAGAGGAGCTGTGCCAGAAGCGGGAGGAGCTGTGCCGGCAGATCCAGGAGGAGGAGGACGAGAAGCAGCGGCTGCAGAATGAGGTGAGGCAGCTGACAGAGAAGCTGGCCCGCGTCAACGAGAACCTGGCACGCAAGATTGCCTCTCGCAACGAGTTCGACCGGACCATCGCGGAGACGGAGGCCGCCTACCTCAAGGTGGAGCTCGGGAGGCCAGGCCGAGCATCAGGGGATAGGCACGGCAGGGGTGTTGCCACGGCAAGGCGTCAGGACCGGCTGGGGCTCCCGGCTGTGGGCAGTCTGTGCCTCGCTGGCATTTCGGGCAGGGGCAGCGTGGCCAGGCCCATTGAGGAACCCAGGCTGCTGTGGGAGTGACTGTGGGGCTGTCTGTGGGGCCTGGGGCATCCTGGGTCCTGGTCTTTATCCGGTTCTCGCTAGCCATGTGGTTATTTCTGCTCAGTGTGAAGAGCCAGGTCTTGGGCAGAGCACCCAGCACGGGCCAGTGCTAACCCAGCCTGGCTTTGAGGGTGGAGAGGAAGTGTTTTGGGTCAGATTCCGGAGGGAAGAGGGCCCTGCCACCCCGTCTGCCAGTCCCCTTGGGCTTCCGCCTTCCCCCACACAGGATCCCTTGGCTACAGCACCCCCAGCCAGGTCCCAGCACCTGAGTGTGAGGACAGCTGGGGCTTAGGACCTTACCAACAGGTGAACATTAACAACCTTCTCACTTCTCTGGCCCCAGATCCTGGAGAGCTCCCAGACTTTGCTCAGCGTTCTCAAGAGGGAAGCTGGGAACCTGACCAAGGCTACAGCCCCAGACCAGAAAAGTAGCGGCGGCAGGGACAGCTGACCAGACCACGGGCAGGGCCTGCCTCCGTGTGCCCCTCAGCTCAGCCCCAGCAAGTGTGTGCTCAGAGCATCTTTGTTCTTCACGGCAGCAGCTACCTTCCCTCACTGTCTCAGGTGCCGAGAGGGGCAGGTGCCAGCCTCCACTGGCATCAGTGACAAGCCCAGGGCACAGCCCACCCGGGGGTCCTCGCTTCATGCTCACACAGGCTATGGGGATGGTGGGCTCCAGGTCAGCTCTGCAAGGGGCTTGTCTCTGTGGCACCCACACTCCTGCCCTGCCAGGGAGGCTCTGGTTGTCTGAGCACCATGGGGGCCCCCTCACCTTGTCCCTCCTCAGCCAGCAGAGGCCCAGGGCAAGGGACAGGAGGACAGGGGTTCTCCTTCACCACAGAACCCAAACCTCAGGTCTCACCCCTGTGGCCTGTGATTATGAATAAAGATTATCTTTGTAAAGATCCGTGCCAGCCTGCTGCTTGCCCGTATCAACAGCATGGGGCTGCCAGACACCTGCAGAGCCAGAGCCTGAGGCTCCCCCTTGGGAGAGGAGGGAGGAGGGTCTGGAGTGGCCTCCCTGTGACTGCCCCACTAGCCTCAGGGACACCGCTGAGGGTGCCCACCCTCCCCAGGCCAGCCCCACCCTGAGCCCTCCCCAGCAGGGCCGCCGGTCCTCTTCCCCTGACTGGCCCACGGCTCACCCTCCTCTCAGGAGCTCTGCTTGCTCGTCCTGTTCTCTGCCACACCCTGGTGGCCAGCATAGGACCCAGCCCAGAGAGACAGCTGGGGATGCCAAGCATATCCAGCAGCTGCCTCAGATTCAGGTCCCTCTCAGCAAGGACTGGGGGGAGTTCACACCCCCCACCCCCGTCGGTTCCTCAGTTGCAAGTTTTGCTTGGCCTGATGACACCACTGCTGCCACCAGGCCCTGCTGCCCACCTTTCCCTGGCCGCACACCAAGCACTGGCCACTTCCATCCTTCCATGTGCCCTGGGGCCTCTGTTTTGTCCCTGCAGCAACCAAGCATGGCCCGAGGACTGGGCCGATTTGGGAGGCATGTGTTGATCCAGAGGGTCCAGAAAAGAGCTGGGCCTAACCCGACCAGGGAAATACACCAAACTCTCCTTCCGCCGGAGTTTGGCCAGACAGCATCTCTTTATCTCTTTGCTCTTAGGTTTGATCCTCCAGGGAGGAAATGGTGCTTGGGTTCCATGGGCTGTAAACAGCCCCAGCTCTGGCCGTCTGAGGCAGGCGCTGCTCCCGGCCTGCCTCATCCTGTGGGTCGGGGGGCACGCCAAGCCCAGCAGAAGACACCGTCCCCTGTGCTGCCCTCATGCTGCCCTTCCCTTGGTCCCTCCCCAGGCTCTGGGCCCCTCAGAGAAGCCACTTCAGGCCCAACAGCTGCAACACTCTCACCCTCCCACCTGAAGTCTAGGCCCCTGACAGCAGGCCTGTCATCCTACCTCCCACAGTGCCAGCTCTGGGAGGCTGGGGTGGAGGGGCAACAGGTTAACAGGCCATGGAAGTTGGGAGGTCAGAGCCTTGGCCACTGGGACATCAAGGAGTGGGGGTACCAGATCGGGGTCACCTCCCACACACCCTGGCATAGACGTGCAAACTGGGGCCCACTGGACCCCATGTGGCCTCTTCCTGCAGAGACCTCCCCCTGCTCCCTTCTCAGCCAAGGACCACGCAGTGGGGACACCAGCAGCCTTGTCCAGTGCTGTTTATTGAGTCCATCATCAGAGGCAGGAAAGACGCCACTCATCACAGAGGGCATGTGGGCTGCGGGCAGGGGCTTAGGGTCCTGCAGAGGACAAGTAGCTGGGACAGCCCTTCACCCCGACACCCCATGGCCACTGTGAGGCAGGCTGAGGAGACAGGACAGGGAATGGCCAGGTGCAGAATCTGCACAGCCCCCTGCCGGGTCGCAGATGGCCACCACCCAGCAGGCCCCTGGCACTCACCCACAGGCAGTTCCCCACCCCACTTCCCCCTTGGACCCTCCCAAATCAGGGCCGGGGAGTGAGACCCAGACCTGGCCCCGATGGCAGGAGGCACCCTAGCTGCTTCCAGGGCCAGGAGGGGTGGGTGGGATACAGTGAGGCCAAACAAGGCAGAAGCGGGTGCAGTAGTCCCTGGCTACTGCCCAGCTTCCGGGACTCCCACAGCTGGGCTCAGCCTTGGTCCTGGCAGTGCTGGGCTCAGAAATACAGGGCTGGCTCGCTGCGGAAGTCCGAGAGGTCATTCTGACTGGCGGGTGTGAGCTGAAAGTGAGAGGACAGAATGTGGACACATGGGCTCGCCCGGGTGTCAGACTCCCCCCAGCGCTCCACTCCCCCGCATCTCACCATGGCCTCCACGGGCGGGGGCTCTGCCTCCCTCGGGGCCTGCTCCAGCGCCTGCTCCTGCCACTTGCTGAAGGCCACAGAGTGCTTCGGGGTGTAGCTGGACAGGCCTGTGAATGGAGGTGCACATGCAGACGTGGACACAGACCAGGCTCCACCCCTCCCAGGCTGCCTGTCCCCCAGGTGGGCACTCACCTGAGCTACCCTCTGGCAGCCGAGAGCTCTCGGGTCTCACGCTGCTCACAAACGTGGCCCGGGGCAGGAAGAGTGCAAAGGGCTTCTCCTCTGAGCCGGATCCCTCTTCCTCCTCTTCCTCTTCCTCCTCCTCCTCCTCCTCCTCCTCCTGCTGGTCCACCTCTTCCTCCTGCTCTAGGGAGCTCTCGGAAGGGTACTCAAATGTGGTCTGCAGGCTTTTGTCGTTGAAGGAGATCTTCATCTGGGAGTGAGAGTCACGTGAACGAGGGCTGAGGGCCCACATGGGCACAGTGATGCCAGGGGCTCAGGTTCAGCCCTCAGGATGAGGCTGACCCAAGTGGGGCGCCAGACACACCATCAACCGTTCCGGGGGCTCCAGGAGGGGGCACAGAGCTCTCCAGCTGGACCCTGCAGGCGTCCATCCCTCCACCCTGGGGGTCAACCTCCCCTCCCCATTCCAGCCAGGGACCAAACGCTGACCAGGACCAGGAGCCCAAAGCCTCTGGGTCCCCAGAAGCCTCTAGACCAGCTCCTGGAGCTACCATCTCAGGCCCCTCCTGCTCTGCTGTCTGGGCAGAGTGCCAGCTGGGGGGAAACTGGGGTGGACACATCCCCTCCCACCAAGCAGCTCTAGAGCAGGAACAGGGTGGAAAAGAGGCTGTCCCCTCAGGGGCCTTGCACTCTAGGCTCCAGGCAGCTCCTGCTGGTGTCTGGGGCCTCTCTCTAAAGCCAAGTTCATGTCCTGGCTTACTGGATGCCTGGACAATCCAGCAGAGCATGGACCCCCCACTGTGAACAGGGGCCTCTGTGAGCCGTCAAGGCCAGGCAGTAGCCTCAGGCACCATCACCCACCTAACATAGTTGAGAGTTGGCCTGCGGCTGTGCAGAGTAGGGGGCTGCCTCCACTGAGCCTGGGTGCCAGCAACCCCAGCAGTGACCCCTTCCTCACCCTGCTGCCCCTCTGGCCCTCGTCCTCCATCCCCACTTCGTAGGCTGCAAGATTTCACATCTGAGCAAATTCTTTCCTTCTCCCAGTGGCCTTGAAGCCCAGGCAGGGCTGCTGGTTCCCAGGGGTAATGGGGGCAGTGGGGACCAATGGTCAGGACTCTCCACCTCCCCTGAACGGGGCTTGCATGGGGCTAAGCTCCCCACAACAGCCGAGCTCCCACTGCTCAGCTGCACTCAGCCCGGCCCCAGTGGTCCCTAATGAATATGAGCGGCCCCCGCTTGCAGCAGATGGAAGCAGCCCTGAGGGAGCTCGAAATATTAAACTCTTCCTGGGCACAGGACACCAGCAGCTCAAGTTCCTCCTCCTCCCCTAGAAGGACCCGGAGGCAGGAGCCGGGCCCCAGGCAGAGAACCACCGCAGCCAGGCACAGGACGAGACGGCCTCTCAGGAGGCAGCCGAGGAGGCCACACAGGGCTGCCAGGACAGGGCCAAGGGCACACACTCTTGCCATCATGCTCTCTCCCACAGCGGCCACACGGCCCACACAGCCAGGTGTACCCTCAGGTCCCTTCTCACCACGAATACCCCCGCCTCCCACAGCTGGGGGGCCACGCTTTGTGCCCAAACCCCCAGCTTCCCCTCTCAGCACAGCTCACACAGAGCCCTGCTGGGCAACTCAGCTGCCTGCTTGCACCCCTACCCCAGGCCCCGGCACCCCAGCCGTCTGCATGGATGAGCGGGGGAGGGGGAGGCCACCTGGGCCAGACAAAACAAGGAGGAAAGCACCCGCTCCTGTCCCTTAACTGCCCTGCCTGTGGCTAGGCCCACCTGGCCCTCCAACGCTCATCCCACAGGAGGCCAGGCAGGGAGAGGCTGGGACAGACCTCACAGGCACCCACCCACTGCCAGCCCACTTGGGGAGGGGGTCACCCGGCCCTCCCAGACTCATGCTTTGGGACAGATACCCCAGGTGGAGGTGCTCAAGGCAGGACAGGGCTGGTGGCTAGAGCTCTCCCACAGCCCCGAAGTCCAGCAGCAAATGGGGTTTCCAGTCGCCCTGGATATGTGGAGCTAACCCAGATGACCCCGAAGCCCTCCAGGCCCAGCCCCCACGGCTGAGAACACAGAAGGGCTGGCTGCCAGGGCCGCGGGATTAGTGCCCTCACTCGTGCACATGACCGGTCCCAGCAGGGGGGCCGCGGGGGCTGGGTGCACATGGGCCCTGAGCCTGGTACAGCCTGGCCAGGCGGTGCGGGGCGGGGGGTGGACAGGCAGCCCCTGTCTGCCCTCAGCTGGGGCCCGGGGCTCTGGTCACGTCCTGCCTCCCCAGGTCTCCTCAGCTGGGCTGGTGCCTGCTGACTCGCACAGCCCTCCCCTCCCACTGTGGGGACAGGACACCCCGTGACTCATACGGTGGGCAGCCTGAAGACCCCGAGACGCAGGATGGGCAGAGGGTGTGGCCAGGGTCTGGGACCGCACGCACCTGGCCGCAGCCTATCAGGGACTTTGCCTGGCACAGCCAACAGAGCAGGCAGGTGGGTCCCAGCTCAGCCCAGCCTCCCAGCAGAGCCTCCCGGCTTCTCAGGACCCTTCTGTTCTCGCTCCACCCACCCTGCCTGTGCACACCTAGCTTTGGTTACCAAAGGGCCTGGCCTCCACCTGGGACAAAGGGCCAAGCAGCCAGCCCCAACCTGCCCAGATGGAGGTGTGAGCTGAGCCCAGCCCCGCCTCTCCCTCCTCCCTGCACACAGCTACCTGCCTCCCATCCCCCACGCAGCCCCAGCCAAGGCTCCCACGGGTGGCCGGACCCTAGACCAGGCTGCACGAGTGCAATGCCCAGAGCAGGCTCCCGGGAAGCTGGGTGCTCCCTGAGTCAAGTGTGGCCCCAGCGCCAGGCACGGCCTCCACCCATGAGAAAGCTGAGGGAGGAGCGTCCAGGCCGCTCCTGGGGTTCCCGGCTTCAGAAGGACCACCTAGGCGGCACCTATGGGAAGAGCTGGCGGAGAGACGAGAAGGAAAGGAAAACTGACAAGAAGGGACTCAGCCAACAACAGTGAGAGCCTCTGGCCACCCAGGATCTGCCTGCACAGGGGTAGAGGCAGGGAGGAGCCCAGCCTGGGGCTTGGTGCTGGCCAGGAGGTGGTGTCAGTAGGAAGGGCAGATGTCAGGGTGGCTCTTGGGTCTAAGGATCAGAGAGCGAGGCCTTGGGAGTGGAGGCGGAAGTTGCACAGCAGGTGAGGGCGGACGGCCCTGGGTGTCCAGGACTGAGCCCTGGGGACACTGACACGCTCCAGCTGGGCAGAGAGCCAAGAGGGGAGGAGGGGAGTAGGGCAGAGGGGACGGGAAGGGGCCGCCAGACAGGTAGGAGCCAGGCCAGGTGGTGCTCCACGAAGAGGAAAAGCTACAGCGCCGAGTCTCAAGGGAGGCAGGTGTGAGGATGAGAATGGGTGTCCCACCCTCCAGGAAAGCAGCCCGGGCGTGGCTGCAGCACACAGCAGTCTGCTCCAAGCTCAGCCCTGCAAGACGGGGCACCTGCCGCTTCTGCCAATGGATAACTTAAGTGGGCCTGTGCCTGCCAGGCAGGCCCCCACCCCGGCACACAGGCCAGCAGCTCCCCACTGCCCAGAGCAGGGCTGCACCCCTCGGAGGCGGGCAAGGGTATCATACCCTGTGCAGGCACAGCCAGCCCTGGGGCAGGCCCCTCACCGACTCCCACCACCCAGACAACTCCACTGAAGAGCTGCCCTTCACCTGTACCCCAGGAAAAGCAGCAGCACCGCCAGCCGCTGAGGTGCACAGTGAGCCGTTGGCCCACAGTCAGGTCCTGCTAGACTCCGGGCCCTGCAATCCCTGCACTCCACCCCCACGCCCGGGGGTCACAGCCAGTGGTCCCAACCAAAGGCTGGGGTCAGCACGGTGGCTCACGCCTGTAATCCCAGCACTTTGGGAGGCTAAGGCAGGCGGATCATCTGAGGTCAGGAGTTCGAGACCAACCTGGCCAATATGGTAAAACCTCGTCTCTACTAAAAATACGATAATTAGCTGGGCATGGTGGCAGGCGCCTGTAATCCCAGCTACTTGAGAGGCTGAGGCAGGAGAATCGCTTGAACCCTGGGAGATGAAGTTTGCCCTGAGCCGGGATCCTGCCACTACCCTCCAGCCTGGGCGACAGAGCAAGACTCTGTCTCAAAAAACAAAAAATAAAAAAAGGCTGGCCAGGGTGGTCAGACAAGGCCAGGCACAGGACCCGCAGGGGCACCTCGCACCCCCACCAGTGAGTGCTCCTGGCCCAGGGGCCACAGAGTACATGGGACAGCCCTGCCCCACAGCCCACCGTGCCGAGGCCAGCAAGCCATTCTGAAAGGCAGGGCAGCCCCACGCCTCTGTCCCCTCCTGATGGACATTCTGGCTCTTCCCAGGCAGGGCAGCTGGCCTGTACCCAGGCGGGAAGTCACAGCCAGCAGGTCATGCTGCTCTGGCAGGGCCCTGCCCGGGCCACCTGGCCATGCCAGGTATCGTCCATCTGGACCCCCACCCCTTCAGGCTGGCCCGAGCTCCTCCCTCCTGCTGGTCCAGGGCCTGTTTCCCAGGCTCAGCCTCTCCCCCACTGCATCTTCCTGCTCCTGTTGGCCCTCCGGCCCCCACCCTGCCCTTCTGACCCTAACCCAGCCGCAAATGACCCCCACAGTTCTGTCCCTTCTTTGCTTTTTTCTTTTTGAGACAGAGTCTCACTCTGTCGCCCAGGCTGGAGTGCAATGGCGCGATCTCGGCTCACTGCAAGCTCCGCCTCCCGGGTTCAAGCAATTCTCCTGCCTCAGTCTCCTGAATAGCTGGGATTATAGGCGCCCGCCACCACGCCCAGCTAATTTTTTTATATCTTCTTAGTAGAGACGGGGTTTCACCACCTTGGCAAGGCTTGTCTTGAACTCCTGACCTCGTGATCCACCCGCCTCGGCCTCCCAAAGTGCTGGGATTACAAGGTGTGAGCCACCGCGCCCAGCCCAGTTCTGTCCCTTCTGAGGGCAAGATGGCCAGACTCTAGGCAGTGGCCTCAAGTCCCAGGAAGAAGCCAGGCTCCCAGGGATGGCCACACAGGTTAAGGGGAGGGGTTCTAGAAACAGAAACCTGAACTCCGTACTCGCCCCACAAGCCCCATGACCCCGTCTGACTCCCAAGCTGAGGCGCAGTTTCTCTCTACAAAGGGGGAGCTGTCCCCACTGCCACCTCTGGGGCAAGCCCAGGAGGTGCCCACCTCACACAGCAGCCAGGGCCAAAGGTACAGACGCAGGGGAGGGAGAGGCAGACAGGAGCTGGAGGAGAGAGGCTGTGGCTATCAGACTGACCCCACCTTGATGGGCTGGGGTGATGCTCGGGCGAGGGTCGGGGAGATAGACCCACGTGGCTCCAGGAGTGGGAGGGGCCCTGGACCCAGCCCCAAGCCCCCACTGGAAGCACCTCAGGAGGGTTAGCACGGATGCCTGGGCCGGCAGATAGAGCCGGCAGGGGCACCAACGCCCTGGTTCCAGGAGGGGAGTATGGCACAGGGAGAGGCGCAATGCCAAGGCCAATCCCGGGCAGGAAGCAAACAGAGGGAGGCAGCAGCCTATCTGCTGAGGGAGCCTGCAAGGTCCCATCCCCAGCCTGGGGAAACTGAGGCTGGAGGACAGCCCGCCTCAGGGGTGAGCCTAGCCAGCAATGGCTCTGGGGCAGTGCCTGGATAGGAAGACCCAAGGGAGGCGCCCCAGGCGCCCCCCCTCAGTCCCCAGGAAAGGTACACCTGCTTCCTGACAGGTCACCGCAGACCGGGAAGTCACATGGAGCTGCCCTTGGAATTTGCCCCAGGGAACAAATACAGGTGCAGGAATTACCAGAAAGAATCTGAAGATTTTTTTTCCTGTGCCCAGAGGATTCCAGGCCACTGGCCAAGAGGGAGACTCCCCTGCCTGGCTGGCTCAGAGCCTCCGAAGGCCCCTTCTCCCCAGCAAGCTTCCCAGGCCCAGAACAGGCATACACGGCACTCCTGCCCAGCTCCCAACCAGTGTGCCTTCTGGGGAGCTGATGGCCCTCTCCCAACTGGCTGGTGGGCTGCACCCCAAGGCTGACTGTGATGCGAGGATCCAGCCAACCCCGATCATCTGGCCCTTCCCATTCATAGCGTGGCGCCTGGCGCCCATGCAGCGGGCCTCCAGGAGACCATGTGAGGCCACCCCTCAAAGCCAAGCCCAGGGAGGAACCCACAAGCCCAGGTCTGCTTCTTTCAGCTGGACTCACAAAGGGACAGACCCGCCCAGCTAATTCCAGATGAGCCACAACAACTGGCAAGGGACATAGCACTGTCTGCCCTGTCGCTCTCCAGCAGCCTGGCAAGGCACACAGCAGGCCAGCTGTCCCCACGGCCCAAGTCAGGGGGCTCCACTGGGGCCCTGGACCCAGCACGGCCCACCCAGCCCCAGCTCGCCTCAAGTCCATGTAGAAACCATCCTTTGCCCAGGCCAAGCGTCCTGGGATCAGGGCAGGTGCTGCCCCCACAGTTCTGTGAGCTGTCACTCTCTCCCTGCCAGCCAGTGGCCCTGCCCCCACCACTGACCTTCTTTCTTGAGGAGCCAGCCTTGGTGAGGCAGGACTTCTGCAGGGCCAGGTAGCCGCCAATCACCTCGATCTCATGCACGGTGGGGTAGCGCTTCTTCAACGTGGGCCCCAGGAGGCAACTAGCCTCCTCCTCCTCGGCCTCCCGTGGCCGAGGCTCCCTGTTGGCCTGACTGAAGTGCTGGTCCTGCAGAGTCCCTGGCTTCCTCTTGGGCACCACTGTGAAGGTGTTGCTGCCCCGGGGCTGAAGCTCTGCCACGCACCCGGGCCTGGCAGGGTGCAGAGGCCTGGCAGGGTGCGGGAGGTAGGGTAGTTTGGCTGCTTGGGGGGCCTCCTCCGAGTCTACCTCATCGATGAAGGTGACAGGCAGCCCCGGCCTCACATATTCCCGGCTATTCTTGGCCAAGCCAGGAACCCTGAGGCCCTCAGCAGGCTCAGCTTCTTCCGAAGCAGCCGGCAGGAAGGGGGGCGGTGAGGACGGCCTCTGCCACCTAATAGCCCGGTCAGCGAGGGCGGTGGCTGTCCTGGGACAGGCCCCCTCCTCGACTGCCCACTGTGCCTCGACCTCCAGGGGGCTCTTCCCGAGGGCAGGCGCACCATCCCCTCCAGGCACCGGCTGGGATCCGAGCTCCTGGCTCGGGGAGGCCGGGCCCAGGTCTCCCTTTGGCAGCTCCACGGACTGCCTCCCCTCAGGAGGAGGAGCCCCGGAGGCCTTGCTCTTGGGGATGACCATGAAAGAATTTCGAGAGTTTGCGCGGAGGCTGGCCAGCGCCCGGGCCTGGAGGTCCCCCAAGGGGATGGTCTCCATAACTGGCTTGGGGGCCGGCCGTATCTCGAAGGAGTCGTTGGTGCTGGTGGCTGCGGAGACGCACTGGCGCTGGCTAGGAGTGGCACTGGCAGGGGGTGAGGCTGGAGTGGCACTCGGGGTCCCGGGGCTGGGGGGCGGGTGGAGGGAGGGATCCCCCGACTCCACCTTTGGCTTCCACTGTCCCGACCCAGGCGGGGAGCCCGCGAGGCGGTTGGCAGGGCCGGCCCGGGGCTCAGGGGCCGAGTGCCCGTTGGAGAGCAGGCGGGCGCCCGCGCCGCGGTGCAGACCCCGGGGGTGGACGGTGAAGGAGTTGCTGCCGGTCTTCTGGAGGAAGTCGCTGCGCCGGGCCCCGGGGCTCGCCCCGCCACCGCGGGGCCCGGGCGCGGCGGGCGGGCTGGGGGCCGCGGGCGGGGGCCGGGGCGGCGCGGGCGGCGGCGGCGGCGGCGGGGGGCGGGCGCGCTCGGGGCTCCCGCGGCGGCGCGGCGCGGCGGGCGGGTCGAACCTCTCCAGTAGGCGGCTGACGCGGCCGGGCGGCGCCCCGTACACCAGCACCTCGGCGGCGCGGATCTGCGCGGCCCCCGGGGCGGGCGGCGCGGGCGGGAAGCCGGGCACCGTCTCGATGATGAGGACGCTGTCGGCGCGGAGGGCGCGCACGCCAGGCACGCGGCGGTACCGCTCCAGCAGCCGCGCCCCCGCCGCGCCCCCGCCGCGCCGCCGCTCGGCCTCCAGCAGCATGAACGGGTTCTCGCGCAGCGGGCCCAGGCTCTCGGCCAGCACCCGCTGCTCGGGCTCCGCCGCCCCGGGCCCCGCGCCCCCGCCCAGCGCGGCTAGCTTGGCCCGCTTCCGCTCCAGGATCTCACGCTTCCAAGCGGGCACCGCAGCGCGCGGCCCCGAGCCCGGCCGCCCCAGGGCGGCCATGCTGCGAACGCGGCAGCGGACGGCTGGACTGAGGGCCGGAGTGGCAGCCGCCGCCGCGGCCAGCCTGGGCGCCGCGGCCACGCCCCCTCCCGGGCCACCGACCATTGGGGAAAGCCCGCTCTCCCCGCCCCGTGCGGGAGGCCCACCTATGGCAGGGGAGGAGGGCGGGCCCCTCAAGTGACCCTACCGATTGGACAACACTCGCCTCAACCCCGCCTCCCAAGGGACTTCATTGGACAACGCCTATCACCGGAGCTGGCCTCCATTGGGGACGGCCCCCCGGACACACCCCGGTGCCTCGCGCCGCTCACTGGCAGACCCCACTTCCGCCTCTGCGCTCTCAGCTCCCGGCGTCCCTGGGGGTAGCCGGGTGCGCGGCCCCTGGACCCTGCGCCCCGAGTGACCTTGGCTGAGCTTGGGACTTCCTCATGCTGCCAGCACCGAGGCCGCCTGTTCCGTCCGCTGAGAGCGCGGTGCAGGAAGGGCGCTGCTCCAGGACCGAAGGCACCCGTGTCCGTGGACGGTGCACAGGCCACACTCTGGCCCGGACCCTGCTTTCACCAGGGGTCCTCCGACCTCCGGCAGGTGCCTGCGGGGCTTGGAAATGCCAATTCTGGAGCCCCGAGCAGCCCCAACGAACCAGTTTCTCAGAAATCCCTAGTTTTTATAGGCTGCCCAGGTGGGAGCCTCTTAACCCAACCTTGCCATCCGTGGTCCCCAAAAAGCATCTGCAGGAGCAGGCACAAAGGAAGCAGCCTCTCCCGCCACACGCAAGCAGGTTCACCAGGGCAGGGCCCTGCATGCTTGGAGAGCTCTCCAATGCATTCAGAGCCAAAAAAAAAAAAAAAAAGCCAGGGTAACGGTGGGCCCCATAGGGCCGACCCCTGTGTCTGATTATTCCACCCTGCTGCCACGTTAAGGTTACTCCTCTCCCATCGGTTGAACGTCCCCTCATCAAGGCTCCGGATACCATGACCCTGAGGGCACAGCCTCCCGGCTGACAAGTCCCTTCTGCCCCAGGGAGGGCTTCAGAGTGCTTCCACAGCCTTTCAAGCCTGCAGACAATAGGGAGATCGCTTGGAGTCACGGGGAGAAGGGGAATTGGAGTGCACGGACATCACCTTCTTTCCATCACCTGCCCTGCAGTCAGCAGCCTGCTCAGTAGACACTGCTGTTTCCCACACCAAGGTCGCCTGGGTCTCTGCAATGATGCAGAACAGATTTTTTTTTTTTAACTTGGGGATGCCCTTCTCAGCTTCTGTGCCCCATGACAGTCTGCAGCAGCCGCTAGCTTAATGCTTGCCTTATTCTCCTGCCACTCCATTAAGCTGGAGAAAATAAACTTTTTCTTTTTCTTTTTTTTTTGAGATAGAGTCTTGCTCTTGTCACCCAGGCTGGAGTGCAGTGGCACGATCTCGGCTCACTACAACCTCCGCCTCCAGGATTCAAGCGATTCTCCTGCCTTCGCCTCCCAAGTAGCTGGGGTTACAGGTGCCCACCACAACGCCCGGCTAATTTTTGTATTTTTAGTAGAGACGGGATTTCGCCATGTTGGCCAGGCTGGTCTCGAACTCCTGGCCTCATGATCTGCCTGCCTTGGCCTCCCAAACTGCTGGGATTACAGGCGTGAGCCACTGGGCCTGGCCAGAATAAACTTTCATTTCAGCTTTCCAGAAGCCAAGTGTCTCCTCCCTTAGGGCCCTCCTCAAATCACCTTTCTAAAGGAAGCATCTGATGTTCATCACTTCTACCCTAGTAGGGTTGCCCAATTCTGAACTACCAAAATAAAACAGGGGAACACACAAAACACAAAATCTAGAAATAAATAACATTACGAGGAAACTCACTCCCACTGTTCAGCTTGAATCTGGCTTTGACAAAAGTTATGCCAATCCCAGGCTGGACACAGTGTCGTAGCAACAAACCAGATAAGCTGCCTCCAACGCAAGCCCCTCCATGGTTTACACAACTAAGCATACACGCCAGGCAGAGGCTGACACCGCACTCCGCTGGCCAGGCTGATGCATGAGAGCAGAGGTCAGCACACCTGTTCTGTAACGAGCCAGATAGGAAATTTTTTTTTTTTTTTTTTTTTGAGACAGAGTCTCGCTCTGTCGCCCACGCTGGAGTGCAGTGGTGCTATCTCGGCTGACTGCAATCTCTGCCTCCCAGGTTCAAGCAATTCTCCTGCCTCAGCCTCCTGAGTAGCTGGGATTACAGGCATGCGCCACCATGCCCAGCTAATTTTAGTATTTTTAGTAGAGACGGGGTTTCACCACGTTGGTCAGGCTGGTCTCAAACTCCTGACCTCGTGATCTGCCCGCCTCCGCCTCCCAAAGTGCTGGGATTACAAGCGTGAGCCACCGCATCTGGCCCCAGACAGGAAATATTTTAGCCCACTGGTTTTTGCCAGGGACAATTTTGTTCCCCAGGGCCCTTAGCAATGTCTGGATAAACATCTGCTTGTCACAAGTGAAGGCTGCTACTGGCATCTACCCAGGAGAGGCAGGAGCACTGCGAAACAGACTGCATCCTCACTAGAGAATCTTCTGGCCCCAAAGGCCAAGAGTGCCAATTAAGAGACCTTGGACTCTGAGGGTCATATCCACTCTCTGTCACAAGTTCTGCTTTTGTTTTTTTTTTTGTTTGTTTGTTTTTTTCTGAGACAGAGTCTCGCTCTGTTGGCCAGGCTGGAGTGCAGTGGCGTTGTCTCGGCTCACTGCAAGCTCCGCCTCCCGGGTTCACGCCATTCTCCTGCCTCAGCCTCCCAAGTAGCTGGGACTATAGGCACCCGCCACCACGCCCGGCTAATTTTTGTATTTTTAGTAGAGACAGGGTTTCACCGTGTTAGCCAGGATAGTTTCGATCTCCTGATCTTGTGATCCACCCACCTCGGCCTCCCAAAGTGCTGGGATTACAGGCGTGAGCCACCACGCCTGGCCTGCTTTTGCTTTTAATCATTTAGGGGTGTAAAAACCATCCTCAGCTCAAGGGTCATACAAAAACAGGCCTTAGGACATTGTTTGCTGATCCCTGCTCTACAGAGTGCCAACAAGGCCCACAAAGACCACACTCTGGCAAGAAGTCATGGGCTCTGGGGTCACAAACTATTCAATGGGTCTTTAACATGAGCCCAGATTGTTGTCTTCATACAGGGTGGGGGGGGGGGTGCCTGAGTTACCCACCTCCTAGAGCAGGAAGGAGGGATTCTCCAGAACAAGTGATTCCCACCACCACCATCCACTAAGCTCTAGCCACAGGTTTCAATCCATTTAAAACCGCAGCTCTGTAACCAGCTACACCACGTAGCAGAGAGTATCTCAATATTCATCCTATTTAACCCTTGAGGGTTACAGGCAACCACTATTCATTTCAGGAAAACATTCTCTTACTTTATTTGCATCTCAGCAAAGGTTCTCATGTGGCACCTGACTGGCATCAAACCAAAGTTCGTAGGCCAACAAAGATGGGCCACTCACAAGCTTCCCATTTGTAGATCTCAGTGCCTATGAGTATCTGACACCTGTTCCTCTCTTCAGTCTCTTAGGGAGGCTTAAATCTGTCTCAGGTGTGCTAAGAGTGCCAGCCCAAGGTGGTCAAAAGTCCACAAAACTGCAGTCTTTGCTGGGATAGTAAGCCAAGCAGTGCCTGGACAGCAGAGTTCTTTTCTTGGGCAACAGATAACCAGACAGGACTCTAATCGTGCTCTTATTCAACATTCTTCTGTCTCTGCCTAGACTGGAATAAAAAGCCAATCTCTCTCGTGGCACAGGGAAGGAGATACAAGCTCGTTTACATGTGATAGATCTAACAAAGGCATCTACCGAAGTCTGGTCTGGATAGACGGCACAGGGAGCTCTTAGGTCAGCGCTGCTGGTTGGAGGACATTCCTGAGTCCAGCTTTGCAGCCTTTGTGCAACAGTACTTTCCCAGGATCCACAGGAAATACTCAGAGTCCACCTGGACATTTTACTTATATTCAGTTTCCAAGTGTCAGAGGGGTTCAGGACTGTCTGGCCTGGGGGGCCTCCTCATGACCTCAATTCAGGATTATCTACTCAAAGCATTAAACAAAAGGAAATACATTTTCAGGATGAAGGCTGCTCTTTTAAGCCCTGCTGAAGAAACCATTTCAAACAGGATTGGAATAGGGAAACCCGGCACTCAGCTCGGCGCAAGCCGGCGGTGCCTTCAGACTAGAGAGCCTCTCCTCCGGTGCGCTGCAAGTAGGGCCTCGGCTCGAGGTCAACATTCTAGTTGTCCAGCGCTCCCTCTCCGGCACCTCGGTGAGGCTAGTTGACCCGACAGGCGCGGATCATGAGCAGCTGCAGGAGAATGAAGAGCGGGGACGTAATGAGGCCGAACCAGAGCTCCCGAGTCTGCTCCGCCAGCTTCTGGCACAACAGCATCTCGAAGACGAACTTGAGACTCAGGACCGTAAGTACCCAGAAAAGGCGGAGCACCGCCAGCCGCTTCTCTCCATCCTGGAAGAGGCGCACGGACACGATGGTGGTGAAGTAGGTGCTGAGCCCGTCAGCGGCGAAGAAAGGCACGAACACGTTCCACCAGGAGAGGCCCGGGACCAGGCCATCCACACGCAGTGCCAGCAGCACAGAGAACACCAACAGGGCCAGCAGGTGCACGAAGATCTCGAAGGTGGCGAAGCCTAGCCACTGCACCAGCTCCCGGAGCGAGAAGAGCATCGCGCCCGTTGAGCGCGGGCCGGGGCCCGGCCGAGCGTGCCACCCGCGGGGCTGCGTCTCCTCTCCCCGTGGCCCTCGCCCGCGCCTGCCGCCGCTGCTGCGAGCGAGAGGCAGCGAGCGGCCCCGCCAGCCCCAGCCCTCGGCCCTGATGCGCCGGCAATCCCCCGGCCCCGACCCGGGACTCAACCCTGGCCGCCCGTGAACGCCCGCCTCGATCGGACGCCATGCCCCCACAGGGCGCGTCCCTAGTGCGTCACTTCCGGTCGACGGCGGAAGGCGGAAGGCGGAGCGGTCCCTGCAACCCGGCCGGCGGGAACTGCCTTCTAGTTTTTAGTCTCAGACCAGACCACCGGGCGCACCCCGATGCCGAGCCCGCAGCTTCTGGTGCTCTTCGGCAGCCAGACAGGCACGGCTCAGGATGTGTCGGAGAGACTGGGTCGCGAGGCCCGGCGCCGGCGGCTTGGCTGCCGGGTGCAGGCCCTGGACTCCTACCCGGTGGTGAGGGCTCGCTAGGGCCTCGGCGTGGGGGACGAGCAGGCCTGGCGTGCCCGCCTCGCGGGGTCATCGACCCAAAAGGCGTCGCATTTTCTCTGAGAGCGGGTCTTTCCCTTATGGCGGATTTAGGGAAGGAGGTTTGGGAAGGGGAGTTCAGTTTAGCACCTGGAGGAGGTTGGAACCTGAAAGAGAAGACGGTCTGGCTGCTCACATAAATCCCTCTGCCCTGTCAGCCTGAGTAAAGGAGAAGGGGGTCAAGTTTTGGGAAGGACGCCCGGTCCTTACAGCCGGAGGTCTTACGTGTGTGTGTCTTTTTGTTGAGGTGAATCTGATTAACGAGCCCCTGGTGATATTTGTTTGTGCAACTACAGGCCAAGGAGACCCCCCTGACAACATGAAGGTAAGGCTGGCCTGATGTGGCTCCTCAGATCCCTGCCCTCGACCCTCACCCCGTTTTCATTGCCTGGCGTCTAGGTGCAGTAAATAGCTCTCCTTTATCTCATGCACCTTCAGAGGTGGATTTGAGAGAACGTCCGTGAGTGGGGCTGGGGGCTCCGGTTGCCCTCTCTAATAAACTCGTCGTAGCCACCAAATAGCCTTATTATCCGTTTTAACCTTTCTTATTTTTCCAGGGCTATCTATATGTGCATCTAGTCTGGGTCTTGTGTGTATTTCTAGACTGTATGACCCTCAGGGAACGTTGCTGAATTCTCTGACCATCTTTTAAGCACATATTCTATTCTTGGCACAGTCTGGTGCTGGGGATCCAGCTGTGAACCCAGCAGCCATATTTCCATCCTGGCAGAGTTCACACTGTAGCAGAAGCAGCTAACGGGCAATGACAGTGCCAGCAAACACCTGCTGCTGGGGAAAGTAGCATATGTCACAGGAGCACTGATAAGGGGCATCGAGCCTTATCTCACCCAACCTTGGGGCCCAGGCAGAGGTTTCTGGAAGAAAAGAGTGTAAGCTGAGTCACGGAAGGATGCGTGAGGGCTAGTCAGGCACCGAGGAAGAAGGAGCAGTCAGCGCAGAGGAAAAAGATGATTTGGTTTGTGTGAAAAGTGGAAAGCAGCTCAGGGTGGCCAAGCTGAGGAGTACACTGGGGCAAGAGGGGAGGAGAAGAGAGGCAGGAAGCCAGGCCCAGTCCAAAGAGCCTGAGTAACCACAGCAAGGCAGATGGGCTTGAAATGAAGGGTTGTCGGAACTGTAGGGGTGACACAGTCATGTTCCTAAGCTAGCAAAACCGCACTGGTCTGCAGGACAGCAGGAATAATGCCATGAGATGCACAGGACAGGCAGCAGATGCTACCGATCTGAGCTGAAGTGGTGGCAGAAGATAGAAGTGGACACATTGCAGTGGTGTCAGGAAGAGAGAGTCCCCGGGACATGGAACGGACCCAATAGGTCAAGCAGAATCGAGACAGGGATGTGGGCTCTGGAACCAAGATGGATGGTGGTTCCATCCACAGAAATCAGAGAACACGGTGGGAGTAGGGGGCTGTGCAGGAAGGGAACCTGGAGACATTGAAGTGGAGAAGTGCAGTAGGACTAGCGCTCCAAGGAAGATCCTGGGGCGGAGATAGGTGTTGAGGTAGCCACAATACAGAAGTGTGAGAAGAGGAAGCTCCTCTCTCCCCACAGGACAGGCTGCCCAGAACGTTAGAGCCCAGGAGGGCAGGAGAGTGACCAAGCAGCTAGAAGAGAGGGTGCAGCACCCCAAGGAGAGGACTGGGGGAGTGAGTGTTCCAGGAAGGGCTCTGGCATGTAAAGCTGCACAGAAGTCAAATCAGATAAAGCCTGAGAGGGATCCATGGGATTTCTTGGCAAAGGGATTGTTGGTGATACCAGGAAGAGCAGCTTCAGTGGCTCATGGGGAGAGAAGCCAGATTACAGGAGATCAGCAACTGAG
The DNA here is from genome assembly GCF_000001405.40 of Homo sapiens. NCBI lineage: Eukaryota > Metazoa > Chordata > Mammalia > Primates > Hominidae > Homo > Homo sapiens. The sequence continues at coordinate 137,207,822 of NC_000009.12, forward strand.
AGAGTGAGTGGAGAGCATCTTTTAAGAATGTCTTGAGTGCGGGCCGGCTGCGGTGGCTCACGCCTGTAATCTCAGCACTTTGGGAGGCCGAGGCGGGCGAATCACGAGGTCAGGAGTTCGAGACCAGCCTGGCCAACATGGTGAAACCCGTCTCTACTAAAATTACAACAATTAGCTGGGCACGGCGCAGTGGTGCGTGCCTGTAATCCCAGCTACTCGGGAGGCTGAGGCAGGAGAATCACTTAGACCAGGGAGTCGGAAGTTGCAGTGAGCTGAGATTGCGCCACTGCACTCCAGACTGGTGACAGAGCTAGACTCTGTCAAAAAAAAAAAAAAAAAGAAAAAGAGCCGGGCACTGTGGCTCACACCTGTAATCCTAGCACTTTGGGAGGCCGAGGCAGGCAGATCACGAGGTCAGGAGATCGAGACCATCCTGGCTAACACGGTGTGAAACCTCGTCTCTACTAAAAATACAAAAAACTAGCCGGATGTGGTGGCGGGCACCTGTAGTCCCAGCTACTCGGGAGGCTGAGGCAGGAGAATGGCGTGAACCCGGGAGGCGGAACTTGCAGTGAGCCGAGATCGCGCCACTGCACTCCAGCCTGGGCGACAGAGCGAGACTCCGTCTCAAAAACAAAAAAAAGACAAAAAACAAAACAAACAAACAAAAAACCACATCTGGCTGTGAAAAGGCTAAAGAGTTAAAAAGAAGGAGTTTTTTATGAGAGACGTTTGCCGGGCACAGTGGCTCATGCCTGTAATCCCAGCAATTTGGGAGGCCGAGGTGGGAGGATCGCTTGAGCCCAGGAGTTCAAGACCAGACTGGGCAGCATCATGAGACAGAAAATTCAAAGTGAACTGGTGCAGTGGCTCATGCCTGTGATCACAGTTACTCCAGAGGCTGAGGCGGGAGGAGCTCTTGAACTTGGGAGGTTAAAGCTGCAGTGAGCTGTGATCACACCACTACACTCCAGCCTGGGCGACAGAGCAAGACCCTGTCTCAAAAAAAAAAAGACGGGAGAAACTTGACATGTTTTTTTTGTTGTTGTTTGTTGTTGTTGTTGTTGGTTTGTTTTGAGACGGAGTCTCGCTCTGTCGCCCAGGCTGGAGTACAGTGGCGTTGATCCCAGCTCACTGCAAGCACTGCCTCCCGGGTTCGCGCCATTCTCCCGCCTCAGCCTCCCAAGTAGATGGGACTACAGGCGCCGCCACCACGCCCAGCTAATTTTTTGTATTTTTTTAGTAGAGATCGGGTTTCACCGTGTTAGCCAGGATGATCTCAATCTCCTGACCTCGTGATCCACCTGCCTCAGCCTCCCAAAGTGGTGGGATTACAGGCGTGAGCCACCACACCCGGCCAAAACTTGGCATGTTTAATTGCTGGCAGGGGAGAGACAGGAGAAAGAGGCTGAAGACTGAGTAGGTATGGCAGGGGATGTGCAGCGGCTTGGGGGAGAGCTGAACATAGGTCGAGGGGTCTCAGATAGAGTGGGATGGAAGAGAAGGGGTTTCAGAGTGGAGCACAGGCACGGGAGGGGAATGGTGGGATAGGGAAGCCCCAGAGCATGGGAGAGGAGAGGGACTGAGGCTGGGCTGGGCATTCAGTCAGCCAGTGGCAGGAAGCTGGTGCTAATGCCGGGATTCAGGTCAACGAGGAAACGAAGAGTCCCAAGTGTGGGCACCCACAGAGAAGACCAGGAGTTGGAGGGGGCAGCTAATGCCCACAGCGGGAACTGGGAGCTCCTTGAAGAGGCTGTGGACCCAGGGCCCATGGCCTCAGAGGCAGGGGCGAGTCTTAGTGGCTATCCATAGCTAAACCAGAGGACCCTGGCTCTCCATCCACAGCGAAACAGGAAGACCCTGGCTCCTTGCTGAGGATGCTGTAGGTGAGGCAGGTGCCCCCAGCAGCAGACAGGAGAAAACAGAGGAACCACAGTGAAAGGCCAAGTGACCAGGTCCCTGCCTGTCTGGTGAAGAAACCCATGGGGCGCTGGGCGCGCTGGCCCAAGCCTGTAATCCCAACACTTTGGGAGGCCGAGGCGGGTGGATCACCTGAGGTCAGGAGTTTGAGACCAGCCTGGCCAACATGACGAAACCCCATCTCTACTAAAAATACAAAAAATTAGCTGGGTGTATTGGTGCATGCCTGTAATCTCAGCTACTCAGGAGGCTGAGGCAGGAGAATCACTTGAACCCAGGAAGTGGAGGTTGCAGTGAGCCGAGATCACACCACTGCACTCCAGCCTGGGTGAAAACATGCACCAGAAAGAACCACACCCCACCCGAGGAAAGACCCGCATAACAGGCAGAGACGGGCACAGGCTGAAGCAGCCAAGGATGTTACCCCCACGGGGCAAAGCTGGAGACTCAGGAACAGGAAACAGTTTTTTCTCTTTCTCTTTTTCTTTTTCTTTCTGGAGACAGAGCTCTTGCTCTGTTGCCCAGGCTGGAGTGCAGTGGCAGCCATCAACGGCTCACTGCCCCCTGACCTTCCAGACTCAGGTGATCCTCCCACCTCAGCCTCCTGGGTAGCAGGGACTGCAGGTGCGCACCACCACATGCAACTAATTTTTTTTTTTTTTTGTATTTTTTGTAGAGATGGGGTCTCAAGCTTCTGGGCTCAAGCAGTCTGCCTGCCTCATCCTCCCAAAGTGCTAGGTTTGCAGGTGTGAGCCACCACACCTGGCCAGAAATAGTTCTTTAAATGGACATGAAAAAACTTTAAAAGATTAGAAGACGCTGGGCACAGTGGCTCAAGCCTGGAATCCCAGCGCTTTGAGAAGCCAAGGTGTGGGAGGATCGCTTGAGCCCAGGAGTTTGAGACCAGCCTGGGCAACATGACGAAACCCAGTCTCTACAAACAAAATAATAATAAATTAGCTGGGCGTGGTGACACACACCTGTAATCCCCACTACTTGGGAGGCTGAGGTTGGAGGATCGCTTGAGCCCAGAAGGTCAAGGCTGCAGTGAGCTGTGATTTCAAGACTGCATTCCAGCTTGGATGACAGAATGAGACCCTGTCTCAACAACAAAAAAGGCCGGGCACGACGGCTCACGCCTGTAATACCAACACTTTGGGAGGCCGAGGTGGGTGGGTCACTTGAGGTTAGGAGTTCGAGACCAGCTTGGCCAACATGGTGAAACCCTGTCTCTACTAAAAATACAAAAATTAGCCGGGCATGGTGGCACGCACCTGTAATCCCAGCTACTTGGGAGGCTGAGGCAGGAGAATCACTTGAACCTGGGAGGCGGAGGTTGCGGTGAGCTGAGGTCGCACCATTGCACTCCAGCCTGGGCTACAGAGTGAGACTCCATCTCAAAAAAAGATGAGAAATCCTTCTAGAAAGTATGACAAAAAGCAAGATAGAAAATGGAAGGAAGCAGATACCAAAATTCGAAGATAATTCCAGTGGCCTCAGAATGAGAAGACAATGGTGGAGAGGAAGTTATCCAGGAAAGTAATGATGTCTAGAGCGGGGTCTGCGGCCAGAGAGCCCCATGCCCAGGAAGGGCCCTGCTGAGAATGAAAGGGCTACCCCCGGGGCATGTCACTGTGGGTTTAGCCTCTGGGGACAGAGTGCCCTACACACCCCAAGGGCAGCAAGTGGGGCCCTGGCTTTTCAGTGGTGGTGCCAAGCCCAGGACAGACCCAGCCGCATGCCAGTCGAGTGAGGGAAAAGTCACAAGAATGTTCTCTCCAGAACCCTTTTCTCGGGAAGGAGGAAGTTCACCAAACGGAGCAGGGAAGAGAGTCTTTTGGGATTCAGGAAGCAAGGGTGTCTCAACAGCAGGGCGCTAGGGAGGGTCTCGGGGGCAAGAGGCTGGGTACATTTGCTCGCATAGCGTGGCCCAGAGAGGCAGCTGATGAGGCAGTGAGGTCCCGGGAGGCCAGGGGTGGTCCAGGGCCAGGGTCAGAGCTGTGGGCTGACAAGGCCAGGGCCTCCCTGTCTGCTAGCCTCCATGCTTGGCCACGGGAAGGGGAGGTGGGTGGGCGGCGAAGACCACGCACACAGGCCACCTGGGATCCAGGTAGGGAGGGGGCAGTAGGTTCCTTGGGGGGGCCTCTGATCAAGCTGGGAGGACACCGTGGAAGGCACGGTGTGGAACCAGAGGATCTGGACCCTGTTGGCTCGAGGTCCTGCAGCCACGGAAGGAGGGGGATGTGTCTCAGCGACACTGGAACCTCAGAGGGCCGAGTGTGAGAGCCCTTGGGATGGACCTCAGAGGTCTGAGTATAGGAGCCTCTGGGACAGACCAACTCAGGGAGTGGAGGCCCACGCTCTGGCTGGGAAATGACAGGTGGAGGTGAGGGACCCCTGGGGCGGTGGACAGTTTGGAGACCAAGTGCAGAGCTGCTCCTGGCAGCTCAGAGCCTGGGGCAGAGGAGGGTGATGTCCCAGGAAGGAAGCTCCACGCAGGCCTGTAGAGCACAGCAGGGTCTGGCTCCTGTGGGCAGGGTGGGACCTGGTCTCCCTAGACGCTGGACCAGCCCTGCCTCCTCCCGGTGCCCATCATCCTGCAGGCTGGACCTGGGCCCTGCCTTTTGGTCAGATAGGTCCAGTTGTATTCTGCCCCCATCCTACCCACCTGCCTGTTCCCCTGAGACCCTCCCCTCACCCCCTGCTGTGGGGCTAGCCTAGAGGTCGAGGACTCTGACTCAGAGTTTCCTCCGGCTGTAGAACTTCTGGAGGTTTATATTCCGGAAGAACCTGCCCTCCACTGCCCTCTGTCAGATGGACTTTGCCGTCCTGGGCCTCGGGGACTCCTCATACGCCAAGTGAGTAGGGGATGGGACAGTGGGCGGACGGAACAGTTCTGGGGGTCGAGCAACAGGTGTGCTGGCAGAGGACCGAGACCAGCTTCCAGGGTCGGCCCCTGCGCGCCTCAGGGCCCTCGCAGTGGTACTGGCTTCTCCACAACGCTCCCTGGTGGGCACCCCAGGCTTCACGCTGCGGGGAGGGCACAGAGGGGAGCAGGCAGGGTGGCAAAGGGCTGGGCTCCAGCCACGCTGACGTCACACAGGCCTACCTGGCGCCGGTCCCCACTTTTACAAAAAGGCGTGCTGTGAAGTGTTGACGACTTTGAGCCTGGAGGAGGACCCCGTATGCTCCTGCCACCCCAGAGGCCACCTCTGCCTTTTCTCCTGGGCATTTTCACAGTGCTCCTCTGCACCCTAAGCAAGGAGTGGCATGTTCAGTGTGCAAATGGCATCTTTAGACCCCACAACGGTGAAAACCCCGACTGTCCACGTAGGGCCCAGGTCCGCTGAGCACCGAGCATCAAAAGCCGTTTGCATAGCCAGGTGTCAGTCATTTCAGATGAAAAAGAACGGGAAGATCGGAGACAGCTCCCCCCGGTTCTGCCGGGAGGTTTTGTTCCGTGCGTGACGTAGGTCCGTGCATGACGTTGTTTCCTGCGTGACGTTGTTCTGTGTGGGACACAGTGTTCGTTCAAGAGAGGGAGGGAGGCCGCTGCCGACAGCGTTCCCAGGGAGGAGCGTGACCCAGAGCCAGTCATGCCTCGGAACCAGAGTGAGAAGAGAAACTGACCCCCGGGAAGATGCCTGGCTCTCTCCCCAGCACAGAGTTTCTCAGCTGAGGAGTGACCCACATCTTGGCTGGGGGCCTGGAGGCCTCAGCTGCCTCAAGTCCCTGCCCAGGGATGAGGGCCCATCAGTGGGACGAGGCCGCCTGCTCCCACCCACACAGGCTCATTCTCTGCGAGCAGAGGACCTGCTGCTTGGCACCCTGGCAGCTGCCCTGGTCTCGGCAGCCCCTGGCGTGTGGAGGCCCTGCCCCCTCCTAGGGTGCGGCCAGCGTGGAGTGTGTTTTCCACCCGAGGGAGGCCCTCCCCAGGCTCCACTCTTCGCCCGGGCTCCACTCTCCCGGGTTCCACTCTGCCTGGGCACCACTCTCCGCCCGGGCTCCAGCCCAGGACCAGCCTCACTGTCTCCACAGGTTCAACTTCGTGGCCAAGAAGCTGCACCGACGGCTACTGCAGCTTGGGGGCAGCGCCCTCCTGCCCGTGTGCCTGGGCGATGACCAGCATGAGCTGGGGTGAGTCTGCGGGCGTGGTACCCGCCTCCACAGTCTGGTCTGGCCACACGCAGGGTCCGCTCAGGCCAGCGCACGTGCTCCCTCCCAGGCCCGACGCTGCTGTGGACCCCTGGCTGCGAGACTTGTGGGACAGGGTTCTGGGGCTGTACCCGCCGCCTCCGGGCCTCACTGAGATCCCTCCCGGAGTCCCGTGAGTGTGGGCCCCGGGTCACCCACAGGCGCAGCAGACCCAACCTGGCCTGGGGACCTCGCCCTGGGTCCCTCCCGTGTGGGTGGGCGGCCCCTGGGGAGTGGGTCCTGGTCTGACCAGCGTGCCCTCCCACAGCCTGCCCTCCAAGTTCACCCTGCTGTTCCTCCAAGAGGCACCCAGCACGGGCTCTGAGGGGCAGCGGGTAGCTCACCCCGGCTCTCAGGAGCCCCCGTCAGAGTCGAAGCCCTTCCTAGCACCCATGATCTCCAACCAGAGAGTCACCGGCCCCTCCCACTTCCAGGACGTTCGGCTGATTGAGTTTGACATCTTGGGCTCTGGCATCAGGTGGGGACTGCTGGGGACCGAGGAGGGCAAGGTGAGGTGGGCCGTGGGTCTGGGGTTCGGAGGAGGCTGGGCCGGGCTGCAGGGGATGACTTCTATCCGGGGCCCCGACATCCTCCCTGCGGCGTCCCCACAGCCCTGGTGGCTTCTTCCACACAGCTTTGCTGCTGGTGATGTGGTGCTGATTCAGCCCTCCAACTCGGCTGCCCATGTCCAGCGGTTCTGCCAGGTGCTGGGCCTGGACCCTGACCAGCTCTTCATGCTGCAGCCGCGGGAGCCAGGTGAGCCCAGCCTCGGCCACCCTGACTCTCTGCCCTCTCCCGTGCCCTGGGCCCCCACCCCAAGGGCTCCGCCGCAGCCCACGGAGGCCTCCCACTCACCCTGCAGATGTCTCCTCCCCCACGAGGCTGCCCCAGCCCTGCTCCATGCGGCACCTCGTGTCCCACTACCTGGACATCGCCAGCGTGCCTCGCCGCTCCTTCTTCGAACTCCTGGCCTGTCTATCCCTCCATGAGCTGGAGCGGGAGAAGCTGCTGGAGTTCAGTTCTGCCCAAGGCCAGGAGGAGCTCTTTGAATACTGCAACCGGCCCCGCAGGACCATCCTGGAGGTGAGATGGGAGGGCGGCAGGCCCAGCCCCTGAGCTACAGCCACGCTGCAGCCACCCTGAGACTCTCTTTGCCTAGGTGCTCTGTGACTTCCCGCACACAGCTGCCGCCATCCCTCCCGACTACCTGTTGGACCTCATCCCCGTTATCCGGCCGAGGGCCTTCTCCATCGCCTCCTCGCTGCTGGTGAGGGGCCTGGTGGTTGGAGCCCAGGACCGGCCCTGGGAAAGCTGGGACCGGGGCTGTGGGGTTTTGTAAGCAGGGGCTGCCCTCTGACCAGGTGACGTTCCCCCAGTCGGACTGCCTCTGCGGGAGGTAGGTGGGGCCCACGGCCCAGGCACAGGTGAGGGCAGCCTTGTTCCACCACCCCCACCCCGCCGTCCTCCCCAGACTCACCCCTCACGGCTGCAGATCCTCGTGGCTGTAGTGCAGTTCCAGACTCGCCTCAAGGAGCCCCGCCGGGGCCTCTGCTCCTCCTGGCTGGCATCCCTGGACCCTGGGCAAGGTGACCCCTGCTCCCAGGGTGGGGGCCGTGGGCCCATATCCCCTTCTCTCCCATGCTCATGCAAATGCTGGGCTAGGGCCCCAGCAGACTCAGCACAGGTCTTTGATCCTCTTCATGCCACCTCCTTCCTGCAATAGGACCTGTCCGGGTGCCCCTCTGGGTGCGGCCTGGGAGTCTGGCCTTCCCAGAGACACCAGACACACCTGTGATCATGGTGGGGCCTGGCACTGGGGTAGCCCCCTTCCGAGCAGCCATCCAGGAGCGTGTGGCCCAGGGCCAGACTGGTGAGCACCCAGGGTCTCCGGGCAGGGTTGTTGCCAGGGCTCCCCAGCTGAACCTCAAGGACCTGTGGCCAAGAGCACCCTGTATTTCCCTAGGAAACTTCTTGTTTTTTGGCTGCCGCTGGCGGGACCAAGACTTCTACTGGGAGGCTGAGTGGCAGGAGCTGGAGAAGCGGGACTGTCTGACCCTCATCCCTGCCTTCTCCCGGGAACAGGTGTGTATGCTCAGGGGCTGGGAAAGGAGGGGAGGGAGCTCCGGCTCAGCCCCCAGCCCTGTTCTCTGCCCTACAGGAGCAGAAAGTATATGTGCAGCACCGGCTCCGGGAGCTGGGGTCGCTTGTGTGGGAACTGCTGGACCGCCAGGGTGCATACTTCTACCTGGCAGGGTGAGCTGGCCTGCGTGCAGCAGGAGTGGGCCCAGCCCCTGAGTGCCAGGCCTCATTGCGCCTTCTGCGACCTGCCCCTCTAGCAACGCCAAGTCCATGCCAGCGGACGTCTCGGAAGCCCTGATGTCCATCTTCCAGGAGGAGGGTGGACTCTGCAGCCCGGACGCAGCCGCGTATCTAGCCAGGCTCCAGCAGACACGGCGCTTCCAGACAGAGACGTGGGCCTGAGGCCCGCGGCTGCCCGTGCCCCCTCTGACAGCCATCCTCCTGGGAGCCCAGGAAGGCATCCACGAGGGAGCTCCTGGCCAGCAGCCGTCATCCTCTCGGACCAGCCAGCTGGTCCTCTGGGAACAGCCAGCTCCCGAGCACAGCCGCACTCCTGTTGACCCTGGATCCCACCCTTTGAGCCTGACCCCACTGCAGCCTCTGCCCAGCCAGCCCTGCGCTCCCCCACCCTGACAGTGAGCTGTGTCCTCGTCCCCCCACCCCCTTCCCAGTCAAGGTGGTGGCCTGGGCCGCTCCACCTCACCGGTGCAGTGACCCAGGACGGCATCAGCAGCCCAGTGAGCACCAGGGGTGGCATAGGGCACCCATGAGGCTGCGCTGCACTCCTCTGCCCTGGGGCCACCTCGGCTGCTGCAGCCTGCCCAGCAGCACATTCCAGTCACTGCCCCCGCACTCCCACAGGGCTCAGGCTGGGCTCAGAGGCCACTGAGATGCCAGCTCCTTGAGAGCAGTGGGGGTGTCCCAGGCCAGAGCAGCCTCTTCCTCTCCTGGTCCCAGAAAAACCCTTGCAGTAAATGGTGGCCTCTGGGTGGTTACTTCTAGCGCAGGCTTCCTTCCTTCCTCTAGCTCCTCCCGGTGCCCTGGGTGCTGGGTGCTGGATGGATGGGCGTCCTCTAGCTCCTCCCGGTGCCCTGGGTGCTGGGTGCTGGATGGGTGGGCGTCCTCTAGCTCCTCCCGGTGCCCTGGGTGCTGGGTGCTGGATGGGTGGGCGCCACGGTGCACCCTTGTTGGGCTGCCTGTGCCCGAGTGGCCTCTGCAGCTCTTATGTCTGCCTCTAATGGGATGTGCGCCCTGACTGCCTCGTTCTTAAGGGCATAGTGGGTCGGCTAAGATCTGATCGCCAGGACTGCGTTCTGGGCAGGTGCTGGGAAGGCGGAACCAAGCCGTCCGTGCCGCTAGGGAGCCGAGACTGCCGGAAAGAGGAGCGGCAGGAGGGGGCGTGGTTGTGCAGCCCCACCCCCGGGAGGGGCTTTAGGCACTGGGAAGGAAAGTCCTGTTGGAGGAGTTCGGTGGCTGTTCACACCCGCCTCGCTGTCTTGGAGTCTTGATCTGTCGTCGGCGGGTCGCTGGCACAGGACTAAACATGGCTGAGGCTGGGCTCCAGCCAGATCTGGCTGGGGACAGCACCGCGTGGGCCCAGGATCCACCCAGAGCAGGCAGGCCTTGCTGGGGCCCCAGTCAAGTCCACTTCCAGTGAGGAGAGCCAGCCGGGAGGTCAGTGCCAGAGCTCTGGTGGAGCCCAGACCCTGCCTTCCCTGAGGGCCGCCCCTGTCGCCGCCCTGGGGTCCCTGTCCTCCTATCCTGACTCCTGCCCCAGGGCCACCACCCCTGAACTGTGCCCTGGGGCCCCCACCCTCCACCTGGCCGACTCCAGCTCTGGGCCTGTCAGTCCACCTGGGTCCTCTCTGGGCCCTGAGTGCCTGGACCCTCTGTGCCAAGCACCAGCAAGCAAAGGGGATGACCTTGGGCACCCCCAAGGTGCTGAGACTACAGCCAGTGAGCCCCTGCTGGGGGCCAAAGCCATGGAGGGTGCCTGGGCCCTTCCAACCTGGAAGGAGGAGGGGAGAGAGCAGGCAGCAGGGCAGGGGGAAGAGGAGGAGTGCCCGATCTGCACAGAGCCCTACGGGCCCAGAGAGCGCCGCCTGGCCCTGCTGAACTGTAGCCACGGCCTGTGTGTGGGCTGCCTGCACAGGCTGCTGGGCTCGGCCTCCAGTGCCGACCTGGGCCGGGTGCGCTGCCCGCTGTGCCGCCAGAAGACGCCCGTGCTGGAATGGGAGATCTGCCGGCTACAGGAGGAGCTGCTACAGGCCGACGGGCCCTCACGCCAGCCCCGCCGAGAGGCCCCTGCATCCTATCACCGCAACCCTGGGCCCTGGGGCTCCCTGGAGCACCGCTACCAGCTGCGCTTCCTGGCAGGGCCCGTGGGCGGCCGGGGCTGCCTGCCCTTCCTGCCCTGTCCACCCTGCCTGGGTGCCCGGCTCTGGACCCTGCGGGAGCGGGGACCCTGTGCCCGCCGCCTGGCGCTGCTGAGCCTGCTGGCCCTTGAGCTTCTGGGGCTGCTGCTGGTCTTCACGCCGCTCCTGCTGCTGGGACTGCTCTTCGTGCTCCTGGACCGCTCTGGCCGCTGAGCAGAGCCCAGGACAGCCCCGCCGCCAACAGGCCAGGGGGCCCAGACTGGCCCACGTCCCCATGCCTGGGTGCTGTGAGGCCTGATGACCAGGCTGGAAAAACCCAAGGTTGGGTCCAGGGCAGTGGCCTTCAATCAAGACCTCCCATTGCTGAACCCACAACCAGGGCTACCCAGAGGCCTGACCCTGCCAGAGTCCATGGCTGCACTGCTGCCCAGACACTAGCTGAACCCAAGGACACCAGCGCCCAAGGACAGCTCCTGGAGGAGGCCAGCCCAGCAGGAAAGTCTGTGAGCAGGACCCCATTCACCCTGCGGCAGACGGGCACCGTACTGGCCACGGGCTGACGCCGGCCACACTTCCCCTCCGAGGGCCAGCTGAGCACAGCAGGCATGAAAGCAAACAGAGATACAGCAGTGAGTCAGTTCCTTGGAGAGGGCAGGGACTCCGCCCACCCTGTGTTCAGATAAGGGCCAGTGTGTGTCCCTGAAGGTCAGGCCAGCCGGGGGAGGGGTCCATGCTGCGAAAATTCAGCCTGCAAAGGCTCCTCTCCCCACTTGATCAGGCCCAGACCAGGTGGGGGTTGGCGCTGGCCTGTGTTGCAGGGGACAAGGGCCCACCCAGGCCTTGGAACATAAGCTCTGCCCCTGCACACCCTCATGTCACCACACCTGGGATGGAGACATCAGGTGGCCCAGCGAGAGATGGAGGACTGATCCTGGAACGTGAAGCAGCTTTCAATAAACCAGCTCCTGGGGATGCCATTGTTACTACTTGTCTTTGTTACCCCATCTTCACCATCTGGGCGGGCTTTTTTTTTTTTTTTTTTTTTTTGAGACAGAGCGTCACTTAGTCACTCAGGCTAGAGTGCAGTGGCACGATCTCTGCTCACTGCAACCTCCACCTCCCGAGTTCAAGCAATTCTTTTGCCTCACCCTCCTGAATAGCTGGGATTACAGACATGCACCACCACACCTGGATAATTTTTTTTGTATTTTTAGTAGAGAAGAGGTTTCACCACGTTGGCCAGCCTGGTTTTGAACTCCTGACCTCAGGTGATCCATCCGCCTTGGCCTCCCAAAGTGCTGGGATTACAGGCGTGAGACACCGCACCCAGCCTGGGGCGGGCTCTTCCTCCCACCCAAGTGGTCCAGGTGCCAGACAGGAGGCGCTGGGTCCTTATTCCCCTACCACCATTTCAGCCAGTCTTTGTCCCTAACTCCTGCACATGCCCAAAGGCTACTCCCACACAACCCTGGAAGACCCAGGTGGGTGCTCAGGTCCAGATGGGCACCAGGAGGGAAATCAACTGAGTTGTCCCCCACACAGGCACCCCCACACCATTGAAAATGTCCTCTCTGCCCAGCTGGGGTGTCTCTGCACACCCACCAGGTAGTCCTGCCAGGCGCACACAAGCAGCCCACTCTGTACGTGTGGGGGTTTGCACCGACACAGCCCACCCGGCCCTCCTGAGCTGCATGCACAGCCCAGCCTGGCCCCCAGTGCGCAGGGCAGGCCCAACCCGAGCAGCGCTGGGCCTCTCTCTGGCAGCTCCAAGCTGGGCCCTCTCTGGGTTGCAGCCCTGGGTGCCCACCCTAGGCCCAGGCCTGAGCACAGCCCACAGGAGCAAGCTTCAGTCCAGGAACAGGTGCAAACTTTGGCAAAGAGTTTTAATGGCAAAGTTGGCTGCAGCGACAATGCCACTCGGGGTGGGGCCGGAAGCCATGGTGGGGAAGGAAGGGTCAGCGGGCGGCAGGGCAGGGCCGGGTCCCTGAAGAAGCAGCGAGCGAGGCTCAGCGGGCAGTGGCGGGCAGGCAGGCGCTACTACATGATGGAGCAGGCGGACAGTGGGTTCCGCACGTGGCAGGTGCACGCGGCCCCACAGTACTGCCGGAAGGTCTGGTAGCAGCTGCCCTCGGGCTCAGCCCCCCACTGACCCCCGGATGGGGCCGTCAGCGCCTCAGGCGGCAGGCGGCTCAGGATGGACGTGTTGACAGCCAGCGCGGCCAGGCCGTAGTCGGTGAAGAGCACAGTCTCACGGCGGCAGGTGGGGCAGGAGATGAACTTGTACTTGGGGCAGGACTCGTAGAGAATCTGCAGGCACTGCTCACACACAGAGTGCAGGCAGGACAGCACGCGGGGCCTCCGCTGGGTGACATTGTAGGAGTGCCCACAGGTGGGGCACTCCAGGGGCTCGCCTGCCGCCGCCGAAGAAGCCGCCGAGGCCGAGGGGCCAGGCCGAATCACGTACTGATTCACAATGACCTCATCCTCTGGGGCCACGCGGGGAAAGCCCAGCTCCGAGCTTCCCTTACGGGGCCGCCGTGGCAGTGGCGGGGTATGGGGTGCCCCTTCCAAGGCAGGCATGTCCCCCCCACAGGCCTGGTTGACAATGATCTCTGTGTCTGAGGGCCAGGCACGCTTGGGTGCCAGAGTTGGGGTGGGCCGGGGAGCAGGCGGGAAGCAGGGGGCAGCCGGTAGCTCAGGGAACTTTTCAGGGTGGACAATCTTCATGGCCTCCATCTTGAGGATGACATGGGGACCCTTCAGGCAGGACATGAGGAGGCCCGGCCAGCCACTGCCCGCCTCGGGCCCGGGGTCAGAGGGCATCCGGCTGTCTCCAGTCAGACTGGATGTTCGGGTGGGTGGGGGCGTTGTGTGGGGCTGGGGGGCAGGTGACAGGGCAGCATCCTGGTCCCGCCAGGCCTGGGGGGGGCCCCGGACGGCCCGTGGACTCCTAGGGACAGCCGGCGAGAGTTGGGGGTGCAGGGCCCCCCCCAGTGGCCACAGTGGCTTCTCTGGTCCAGTCCTGGGAGGAGGAGGAAGGGGTGGGGGAGGGGGAGGCAGGCGGGGGCAGGGAGGGGTGGGAGGCTGCCCTGGGCTGGGGGTCTGGCCCAGGGTCTCACCCAGGGTCTCTGGCTGCTGAGGCTGGCGAGGGGGCGCGGGGGGGGCTCCCCCTGCAGCCGAGGTCAGCAGGCCGCGGGCCGGGACATCGGGGCAGGCAGGGGCTGGGTGGGCCCCATGGCTCCAGGACAGGGCGCCCAGGGAAGGCAGCTAGCCGAAGCGCTGGCTGCAGGAGGACCGGGGCGGCAGGCTCCGCGGCAGGAGCAGAGGCGAGGCCTGGGCCAGGCCTGAGCTGCAGGTGAGAGACGGCATGAGGGCAGTGCCCCGGCCACCCCCACCCTAGCCCTCGCCCTGCACAAAGGACCGGGCGCCCGACCTCTGACCCTGACCTCAGCCGTGGGATCCCGACCTCCGCGGGCCTCAGAACCCAACCCCCTCCCCGGTCCCCGCCTCCAAGGCCAGACGCACCTTCCCGAGGGCCGACCCCCGTCGCGTGGGGAGGGGCGCTGAGTCCGCCCCCGGCCCCCGCCCCCTGCGCTCACCTGCCCCAGCCTGGCGTCCCGGCCGCGCGCCGCCGCCGCAGAGGTTGTCTCAAAGGCAGGCCCGGACGCGGCGCCCGCGCCTCGGCCCGGCAGCTCGGGGGGCTCCGGCGGCTCCGGCGGCGGCCGCAGCGACCTCAGGCGATGGCGGGGCCCGGGCGGCACCGAGGGGCGCGGGCGCGGGCGTGGGGCGCGGGGCGCGGGTTTCGGCACGGCGGCGACGGCGGCAGGTGCGTGCGGAGCGTGGCGCGCTCTGCGGCGGAGGCGCGGGGACCGCAGTGCGCGCGGCGCCCGCCCGCGCCCGCAGCGCCACCCCCCGTCTGGGGACCCGCGCGGGGTCCGCGGGGCGGGGCCAGCCTCCCGGCCGCCCCTCGGTCCGCTCCCGGCGTCGCTCTCGCCCGCGGACTGCGTGGGGGGCAGGACCCCCGCGTCGCCCCCAGTTCTCTCCAGGCTGATCCTGGGTCCTGGTCAAGCCCCCGCCCCCCCAGATTCAGGAGGAGAATCCGGCTGTTCTCCTCCCTCACAGTAGGAGGCCTCAGGACTCTGGAGTGAGAGGGAGGGGACCTGCGCGGAGGATCCCAGGGGAGCTGGTTCCAGGGCCCACCGGTGCCTTCCCCCGTCCCCGGCCCCCCGCCCCATGGGAAGGCCCCGAGTCCTCCAGCTCCGCCTGTGCCCGGTGCCGTAGCTCAGATAGATCGCTGTGACTCTAAGGGGCAAGAGCGGGGCGGGCGGAGCGGATCAGAAGGCCGAGGCCGGTGGACGGACGGGTCCGGTGGGAGTGCGCGAAGGACAGGCTGGCAGCCCAGTGCGGGGTGGAGGCGGCCCTGAGGACCGCACCTGCCCGGACAGGGTGGCCCCTGGCACTCCAGCGCGCAGGCCCGGGCCTCTCCGCTTCCTCACCCGGGGCTTCCCTGCCCTCCTGGGTCCGCCTTCTGCCTGTGGAGCCCTCGGGCTTGCTGGTCACCGTGAGGCAGGGGACCAGGGCTTCGAGGGCCTCCGCTGCCACGCTGTGACCAGCTCTGGCCCCGCACCTGGCCCTGGACATCCTGGCCTCCTTCAGCTCCTCTCTCCGCTGGACTGGCCAGACCGCACCTGCTCTAGGCAGAGCCCCAGGGCCTGCAGAGTGCTGAGCCCAGAGGGGACGGTGCCGCTGGTGCGGGAGCTCGCGTGGGCAAAACAGGCTGGAGGAGCAGCCCTGCGCATAGGGTCTGGCTTGGCCCCTCTGTGGGGCCTCGGGCGAGTGTCACTCAGAAGAGCAATAGGGAGAGGTGTGCGGGTGACAGGGGCGCTGCTGGAGGGGTCCTTACGGGGCCCTGGCAAGATGGTGGGGCAACTGAGGCAGCCTGGGCCTGGGGAGGGCCGGGAGCCCAGCTCCGCCGCAGACTCTGCTCACCGACCCGGCGTGCGCCCGAGGAAGCACCAGGCCGCAGGCCCCGCCCCCTCAGCGAGACCCCACCCCGTAGGGGATGAGATCCCGCCCCCGCCACGAGGCCCCGCCCCCCAGGCCAGGCCTTTTCAGACCCGCCATTCAGAGCTGGAGAACCCCAAGCCGAGTATTGGTCACATCCGAACCGGGTCTTTCGGGAAACCCCGGAGCGCGTGGGCTTCTGGGCAATAATATTTCCACGGCCGGTTCCTGCCTTGTTTGCGCATGCGCCATAGGCGCCACTCAAGTGGCAGGCAGGGAGGTGGGCGGGACTTCCGGCGCCTGCGCAGTGGACTTCCGTCGCCGGCCTCTCAAGTTTTGGGTCCCCAGGAGCACCCAGTTCTCCCCAAATCGGGGCCGGGTTGCCTGAACTCATGTCCCGACCGGTCTGACTGGCCCTACACAGGCCACGTCTGACTGGAACCCGCCCTTCCTGGTGCTCCCCTGGGCCCCAAGGGCCCCACTGCCGTGGGTCGTCCCCGCGGCACTCGCCAGTGCCCGCTGCACCCCTGCCTGCGCCGGTGCAGATGGAGCCTGGGTTCGGCTGGAGGCGGGGGGCCCAAGGTGGGGACGCTGGGGGGGCGCGTGTGGCCCCCACGCCCGCCAGCCAGAGGGTAACTGCAGTTTGAGAAATGAGCTAAAAATGTCAGTAGTGTCTAAAGCCCGTGTCACTGATTGTAAGATAAGACCTGTGACAAAACGTGCAAATCAAACATTTTTTATCAGTGAAAAAAGCAGAAAAGCCACTGGGCACGCTGGCTCACGCCTGGAATCCAGCACTTTGGGAGGTGGAGGCAGGCGGATCACTTCAGTCCAGGAGTTTGAGATGAGCCTAGGCAACATAGTGAGACCTACATCTCTATAAAGAATTAGCCGGCGTGGTGGTGCACCTGTAGTCCTTCCAGCTACTCAAGAGGCTGAGGTGGGAGGATCACTAGAGCCCAGGAGGTTGAGGCCGCAGTGAGCCAGATCATGCCACTGCACCCCAGCCTGGATGGCAGAGTGAGACCCTGTCTCAAAAATCGGCCGGGCGCGGTGGCTCACGCCTGTAATCCCAGCATTTTGGGAGGCCAAGGCAGGCGGATCACCTGAGGTCAGGAGTTGGAGACCAGTCTGGCCAACATGGTGAAACCCTGTTTCTACTAAAAATACAAAAAATTAGCCAGGCGTGGTGGTGGTTGCCTGTAATCCCAGCTACTCGGGAGGCTGAAGCAGGAGAATCGCTTGAACCCGGGAGGCAGAGGTTGCAGTGAGCCGAGATCGCGCAGCTGCACTCCAGCCTGGGCAACAGAGCAAGACTCCATCTCAGAAAAGAAGCAGAAAGCCTCCAAGAGCCAATGGCTCTCAAGCATCTTGGTCTCTGCTAAGAAGAGGCTCAGAGGCTTAGAAGCCCTGCCTCGCCGGGGCTTTGAGGTGTGTGAGCAATGGCTGGGGACTGCAGGCCCGGGAATCTGAGGGCCTCACCCCACTTCCTTTCCAGAGCCGTGACCTCAGGCTCACCTCCTGCCCTCCTCTCAGGCAAGCTGCAGATGCCCTTTAGGGCCCAGGCCATGCCCCGGATGTGAGGGGCTGAGTCACTGGTTTGGCAGTGCCCCTCAGAGCCCAGGCCTGGGCTGCCACCCACCTGAGGACGAGGGCTGGGCCAGCTGTCGTGCTCCAGTTGCTGGGGCCTCTTGGGATCTTGGGAACCCCATCTCTGAGCCCCGCCCCATGGCCCCGCCCCTCCCAAGGAGGGAAAAGGCGGCTGCCAGTCGCTCAACTCAGGCACTGGGACCTAGAGCTCAGAAGACCGAGAGGACAGACTGCCGTGTTGCCACCACAGGTAAGCCCTTGGCCGCCGGGACTGCCCTGAACTCAGGGGCACTGCAGGGTCAGCCCCCTTCTCTCCCATCTCTCAGCCTCCCCGACCCCATTCCCAGCTCCATCCCAGGACCAATGCCACCAGGGGAGGGGGAGGATCCCTGGCAGGGGTGGCAGCTGGGAGACACCGGCCCTTGCTGCTTGCTCACACTTGGCTCACACCCATGACACTAGCCTTGCACACACATTTGGAGGTGATGGCACCCCGGCACTGATGCCTTGGGGATGCTGAGCTTGGACGAGGCACGCTGCTCCTGGTGGGGGCTTTCCTGGGCCGCAGGCTCGTGGGCAGCCATCCCACTCCACTGAGTTCATGTCTGTCTTCTCTGCCCACCCCTGCAGGCTGGACCATGGACCCCCAAGAGATGGTCGTCAAGAACCCATATGCCCACATCAGCATCCCCCGGGCTCACCTGCGGCCTGACCTGGGGCAGCAGTTAGAGGTGGCTTCCACCTGTTCCTCATCCTCGGAGATGCAGCCCCTGCCAGTGGGGCCCTGTGCCCCAGAGCCAACCCACCTCTTGCAGCCGACCGAGGTCCCAGGGCCCAAGGGCGCCAAGGGTAACCAGGGGGCTGCCCCCATCCAGAACCAGCAGGCCTGGCAGCAGCCTGGCAACCCCTACAGCAGCAGTCAGCGCCAGGCCGGACTGACCTACGCTGGCCCTCCGCCCGCGGGGCGCGGGGATGACATCGCCCACCACTGCTGCTGCTGCCCCTGCTGCCACTGCTGCCACTGCCCCCCCTTCTGCCGCTGCCACAGCTGCTGCTGCTGTGTCATCTCCTAGCCCAGCCCACCCTGCCAGGGCCAGGACCCAGACTTCAGCAAATGTGGCTCACACAGTGCCGGGACATGCCGGGACATGCGGGGTGGCTGTTGTCATGGGCGTCTGCCCCTTCACACCAGGCACTGGGGCTCAGACCCACCAGGAAGGTGGCCGTTCAGCCCGAGCTCCTGAAACGGAATCCCAGGTCCTGGCTGGAGAGGGACACCCCTGATTACCTTAAGGCCCAGGCAATAAAGCAGGGTGATCTTCCTCCCAGCAATTCTTCTTTGCTGCAGGCTCCTTTGGGAGGGGGTTGTAGCTGGACACAGGGCATCTGCCCCTTTATGTGGACCCGAGAACACACACACACAGTCACTGTGGACACTGCAAGGACAGGGATGCCACTGCCTCATGACGTCCACACTTTCCCCTGGCCTGCAAGTCCCGGGTCTGCCCAGAGACTGCACGAGGGCTTGCAGCGTGTCCACAGCCCTAGCTGAGCCAGGTCTGGATTTGAGCTGACCTGCGCTCCCTGGGGCCGAGACTGAGACTGTGAGCTGGGGTCAGTCCATGGGTCGGACAGCAGGAGGATACAGCGCATGGAACTGGGGGGACCCCAGGAAAGGCCTCCAAGAGAAGGAGCGTGTCGACAAGAGGGTGGTGGGTGCAGCAGGTGCTGCAGGTTTCAGGGAGTGGAAGGTTGGGACAGGAGAGCCCAGACAGCCAGGACCACGCCCTGCCCACTGGTGATTCACCTCCCAACCTCAGCTGGGATGTTTTTCTAGTTTCCCAGGAAATATCTAATTCCTGCACACCTCCTGTCCTGCCTCGGGGCCTGGGCTTCCGGGAGGAGGTGGCCTGGACCAGGCCTTGAGGATGAGGCAGGAGGAGGCTGGGGCCGTGGGTGCTGGGCCGTCTCCTGGTCTGCTGAGCAGGGTGGGGGCCTCTCTGGGGCTGAGCACCAGGCGCTAGGCTGCTCTGCGCAGGTACTGCCTCACCACTGTAAGCCAGGATGCCAGGCAGGGAGTGAGCATTGAGGCCAGCTTGGGGCGCCCTGGTGTTCCGGGCAGGGCAGAGACAAGGCGAGGAGGTGGCAGCCGAGCTGGCCACGCAGGACAGACGGGTCCTCACGCCATGCCAGCCCTTCCCTGACGCATGGTGACCAGCTCCACAGCAGGGCAGGGCAGGCGCGTGGCATGCAGAGGTCTCCAGGCGTGGGACAGATGGGTCACTGCCCTGACCCTGTGCCAGGACTTAGCGTGCCAGGCTCCCCGCCTTGCCCCGTTGCTGGCCCCCACCAGAGGGTGACCACACCCAGGCCAGCCACGAGAACTTGTCTGACCAGTCCTGGGGGCAGACTGCCAAGAAGGTGGGCAGGGGTGAGGAGGGGCCATTTGCTTCCACCCAGCGGGGCTGTGAGTGGTTCTGGGGTCCTGCCCACCTGTCCCAACCCTTCTTGGTCCCTCAACTCTGCTCTGCCTGCAGTCTGGTGTGGACACACTGATCATACCTCCCGGAACCTGGGCCTCCCAGGGTGGCCTGGAGGCTGCAGACGGGCAGAGCAGCCAGGAGCTGCCCACCAAGGAGGCGTCTGGCACTGTCTGGGGTCCCGAGCTGGGAGCGGGGATCCCCAGACACGGAGCTGGTGCGCCACCTGGAGTCCATGTGGACTGGTGCAGCCCTCTGCCGTCCAGCCGGCATCAAGGTGAGGCTGAGAAGCCACACAGATCCACAGACAAGCACAGTGGCAAAGTCTGCAGAAGGCTCTGAGCCAGGAGGGAACCCTGGCAGGCTTCCTAGAGGAGGAGATGTGAGCAGAGGCCAAGGCAGGAAAACATTCCAGTATGGAGGGGAGGTTAAGGGAAGGAGAGGGTAAGAGTGAGGGAGCGGAGGGAAGGGGAGGGGAGGGGGAGGGGGAGGGTGGGGGAGGGGAGAGGTGAGGGAGGTTTTGAGTGTGGCGAAGGGTGTGAGCGTGCTGAGAAGCCCTAAGAGTGGGGAAATGGACCCCAAGGCCAGCCTGGATAAGGTGTTAGCAGAAGCTGGCTGGGTCTGGACAGGAGGGGGTGGGCAGGGGGCGGGGGGCACCTTATCTCTTGCAAGTGGGTGGTGCCGTTAGATCTAGTTTCAAGGCTTTGTGGCTGAAACGGGAGCCCACGCCCGCCACAGCTGGCCACCTGCCTCTCTCCTGACTCCCGTGCAAGGCCAGTAATGCAACCCAGGAGGGAGCCGCAGGGCGCCCTGGGTCCCCCACTCCCTTCTCCGGCCACCCCGTGGCTGTGCATAGCTGCCCAGCAGAGCCCATGCAGGTAAGAGGCCTGGGCTCAGGTCGGCCAGGAGGGTGGGGGCCTGGAGCTGGGCCAGGGTGGTGCTGCGGGAACAGGAGGCTGCCCGGCTGGTGCCCACATGAACCAGAAGTGTGCAGACCCTGGTTCTGCCTGTGCCCGGTGCCACGCTCCCTCCCAGGTCTGCACGCACCACCCCCACAGACCCAGCGCCTGACCTCTGGGGTGGGCTCCTGGGGCCAGCACCCCATCCAGGCGGAAGGTCCTCGAGGCAGGCTGTCCACCGCTGGCTTCCCTCTGGCAGGATGCTGCAGCCGGAGGGCCCCCAGGCCTCGGAGGAGGGGGGCCCCCGGAGGAGAGGACAGACTGCATCATCTGCTGCTCGGCCTATGACCTCTCCGGGCACCTGCCCCGCCGCCTCTACTGTGGACACACCTTCTGCCAGGCGTGTGTGCGGCGGCTGGACACACCGGCGCCCGAGCAGCGCTGGATCCCCTGTCCGCAGTGCCGTCAGAGCACGCCCACGCCTCGCGGAGGGGTGGCCATGCTAGACCTGGACCTGGCTGCTTTCCTGGCGGTCAAGGCTGAGCGGGAGCCGGCAAGACTAGAACCCCTGCCCCTCACCTCCCTCAAAGGCAGCGCCATCACTCGGCAGCCAGCTGGGCTGTGCCCTGCCCTGGGACCCCAGCCCCACTTCCCCCAGCCCAGATACTGCTGCTGGGGCTGTGGCAGCCTCTGCTGCCCACCCCTAGGCAGCCCCGAGGTCTGAACTCTGGCCATTCCCACCCCTGCAGGGGAAATGCCTGCCTTGGAACCCCTGACCACACACCATCATGGGTTCAGCCCACTCAGAACAACCTGGCAGTAGCATCCTATACGCAGCTTCGTGTGGCCCAGCAGGGTGGTGTCATCCCAGCCGTGAACATCCCAGGCCACAGCCTAAGGTTGGGGGCTGGGAGGCTCCGCAGGAGGCTGGTGACCTCCCACCTGTCCTGGCCACAATTACCAGACCCCAGACTAGCCCGACCGGATGTGCCTGGTGAGGACACTGCTGTCTGAGTGGGCGGCAAGCCTGGCTTGGGCCTAGACGCAGCGCAAAGGATGGCTCCCAAGAGGATGCGAAGGCGTCCCGGGGGCCTGGGCTGCAGGCTGGAGGGGCAGGGCCGGTCTGGCTATGCCTGGCGGGCTGCCCAGAGCAGGTCTCCCCTCTCCCACAGACGTCCCCGGGGTGTACCGGGAGGGTGGCAAGACTACCTCCTTCCTCCCTGCCCTGCATGGCAGCCCTGTGAATTCACCCACTCAACAAAGCTCATGGAGTTCCCACTGTGTGTCGGGTGCGGTTCTGGGAGGGTCTCGTGTAGGCACGAAGCCATACAGGCATTGAAGGGGATGCCTCGGCGGGGCCTGCCTGAGGCCAACAGAGGGCTGGGGCCTGCTTGAGGTCTCACAGCCCAGTTGGTCTCATCCTTCGCTGAACCTTTCCTGGCTCCGAGCAGCCACCACACAGACCCTTTTGAGGGGCCGGGGCTGGGGCTGGGGCCAGACTGTGGACAGCAGTTACCACCAAGTCAGTGCTGCAACACCCCCACCCCCACTGGAACGAGCTGTCACTCAGGAGCCCCAGGGAAGGACTGCTGCCCCCCACCCCCAGAGCAAGGGCGCAGGAGGGAGACGGAAGAGAATTTGCTGAGCGGACACTCAGAAGCTTCTACCTTCTCCAGGGCAAAGTCCCCATGCACACAGCGGGGGCTGGGCAGCAAGCAAAGCAGGGCACCAGCAGCCCCTGGGCAGGGTGAGCCTCTGGGGGAGCTGCCCCGCACCCCAGGGCAGGAAGAGGCCCAGTCCTCCTAGGGGACACCCCACAGGCGGTGGGGCCAGCTGGGACTCCGCTGGGGAGAACTGTGCGCTGGGCCAGGCAGCGGGTGGGGAAGGTGGCCTGGGGAGCTCTGTCCTCCCCTCTGCAGATGGAGGCTGCCGGCCGCCGTCGCTGGCTATACCAGGGCCGAGCCCGCTAGCAGCCTGCTGGGCCCAACCCTGCCCTGAACCCGGATCTGAACCCTCTGACCTCGGGCTGGGTGCCCTCCCCGGCTACGTGAAAAAGCCCGTCCTCCCCCACCACCTGGTGCAAAGGGCTTCCCTCCCCTGCTCTGCCGAGGGCAGGGATGACCCTGAGAAGGTCTGGGGAGCCCTGAGGTGCATGGAAGTGGGGGACTGGCGTCTCTCGACTCCCGGGCAGCCCCAGCCATACTCTAGCATCCTGCCTGGCTGGGTGGAGTGTGTCTCTTGGGTCACACGGATGCCTGCTGAGGATGCCCAGTACCGAGGGCCGGTGCCCCGCCCCGCAGTGCCCTCGGCCTGATTCAGAGCCCACCCCTGGGAGGAGCCCCACTCCAGGAGGGTTGGGCTGGGGCTTGGAGGTCCTAGCCACAGAGTGACAGGATGGAGACAAGGCCTAGGGGCCTTGGGGCCAGGAGGGTACCCCCGTGAGGGCCTGGGCTCCTGGGTAAACATTAATGGGCTCAGTACCCAGCAGGTCATGTGCGCGATCAGGGGATCTTTGACCTGCAACTGCTCCCGCCCCGTGTCTCCTCCCTGCAGGTGCCCCCTCACCACCCACACAGGTAGGAGCTCCTAGGACCAGGCTGAGGCCCAGGGACAGTGAGGCCGAGGCTGGGTGGCCTCCAGGCCAAGGGCTTGGGCCCCATCCTGAGTCTCCAGGACCCAAGGGCAAGAGACGCCAGGCTTGGGCAGCAGGAGGGAGGGTGAGGCACAGGACGCCTGGACCTGAGCCCAGGGCACTAGGTGGAGGGGTCCAGGTGGGGGGCCCCAGGGGTGGGGTGACCAGGCCCAGGAGGCTAAGGCAGCAGCTTCGGGGCCAGGAGCCTTGAAGTGGTGTGAGGACCCCACCTGCTCCCCATCACCAGGGCGTGGGGCCCTTATCAAGCCGAGACGTCACTGTTTAGTATCAAATGCCAAAGTCTAAGTCGGGACCATCCACAGTGTCCCCGATGACACCAGATAGGGGAGGTCCCCAGGTTCCCCAGCTCATGGCCTGCACCCTCGGCACTAGCCTTCCAGTCAGGACCAGCAAGGGAGCCGGGGAGCTGGAGCCCCTTCGAGTCTACCCCTGAAACTGGACTGGGCTCGCCTGACAACTGCCTGAGGTCATTGTAGCCATCCCCCTGTGGATGGAGAAAGGGGGATGGTCACTGAGGCCTGCAGGGCGTAGAGAGGGAGGGTGGCGGCCAAGGGCTCAATTCAGGGGACCCAGGGGTGTGAATCCAGCTTGTGAGGACAGGGCCGGGGCAGGAGGAAATGTCTCTGACACGCGCGTCCCCCCCAGCAGATCTAGACCTGGGCCTGGGTCTGTCCCTGCCCGAAATCCATGCCGAGTTCCCTTCCCGGCAGCCAGGTCCCCCACCCCACTCTGGACGCGGTTGACCTAGTGGAAAAGACTCTGAGGAATGAAGGTACCAGTGGCCCCTGTGCCCCAGGCCTTCACCAGTCTGACCACCCACCCCCCAGGCACTGGGCAGAGACAGGCCAGGTTTCCTGCGGGCCTCCCGGGGAACCCACAGGGCTCATGACGCCTCCACTCAGGTCCAGCCCAGCTGGAGCCCCATCTTCCCCGTTCCGTTTCTGTCCCTCACTCCAGGCCTCTTACGCCTCAGCCCGTCCTCCGGCCTGTGCCCTTGTGCCCCCAGTTGGAGGGAGGTGGTCCTGGAAACAGCCGTACTCAATTCTACCTCCACAGGGACCTCCAGTTCTGCTCCAGTCTTGGAGGAAGGGGACACAGACCCCTGGACCCTCCCTCAGCTGAAGGACACAAGCCAGCCCTGGAAAGGTGGGTCTGGAGGTTCCGGGGGTGGCAGGCTGGCAGGCCTCTGTCCCCAACGGGACTGGGGAGACAGAGCAGGGTGGGGCCTGCCCAAACAGGCTGTGTGTGGGGAACTCCGCCATGCAGGCCCCCTCTGGGGAGACACGTGTCCCTCAACCGGGTGTCTGTGCTGTCCTGGGGCAGACCGGCCACCTCTGCCCATCCGTCCCTCCCCTCCTGCTCCTGCGAGGGAGGGTCCCAAGGGCTTCTGGCTTGGAAAGGCAGGAACCCGGGCCCTGCCCTGGGGGTTACGGAAGAGGAGGAAATGGGACCCAGCCCTGTTGGAGACAGAGGAGAGAGGGGGCAGAGAATGAGGGGCCTGGGAGGGAGACCTGTCAGGGTGGAGGGCCAGCCAGGGACAGCCTGCCCTGTGTCCTCAGAGCTCCGCGTGGCCGGCAGGCTGCGCCGCGTGGCCGGCAGCGTCCTCAAGGCCTGCGGGCTCCTCGGCAGCCTGTACTTCTTCATCTGCTCTCTGGACGTCCTCAGCTCCGCCTTCCAGCTGCTGGGCAGTGAGTGACGGGACGGGTGCCCAGGGCGGGGCGGGCAACCAGCCCTCCGCAGCTTCAGCGCACCTCTCTTGCCGGTGTAGGCAAAGTGGCCGGAGACATCTTCAAGGACAACGTGGTGCTGTCCAACCCTGTGGCTGGACTGGTCATTGGCGTGCTGGTCACAGCCCTGGTGCAGAGTTCCAGCACGTCCTCCTCCATCGTGGTCAGCATGGTGGCTGCTAAGCGTGGGTGCACACTCCCTCCCCGGGTGGTGGGGGGGGCAGGGTGGGCCGCAGGCTGACTCAGCCCCCCCACCAGCAGTGCTGACTGTCCGGGTGTCTGTGCCCATCATCATGGGTGTCAACGTAGGCACATCCATCACCAGCACCCTGGTCTCAATGGCGCAGTCAGGGGACCGGGATGAATTTCAGAGGTGAGTTGTGGGTGGAAGGGCTGGGCTGGGGCTGCAGTGGCAGCCCCAGCCCGGGCCCCCCCACCTGACCCTGCCCACTCTCTGCGGCCACAGGGCTTTCAGCGGCTCGGCGGTGCACGGGATCTTCAACTGGCTCACAGTGCTGGTCCTGCTGCCACTGGAGAGCGCCACGGCCCTGCTGGAGAGGCTAAGTGAGCTAGCCCTGGGTGCCGCCAGCCTGACACCCAGGGCGCAGGCGCCCGACATCCTCAAGGTGCTGACGAAGCCGCTCACACACCTCATCGTGCAGGTGAGGACGGCCACCGCCCCCGCCCAGAGAGCCTGAGCAGGCCGGATGGGAGGAGGGGAGGCCCGCCCTGCCCTGATGGAGGGTCAGCGGAGGGTCTGGGCCCTGTCCTGGGACAGGGGAGGAGAGGGCAGCAGTGGGCAGGGCTGGGCTGGACCCCGCGGGCGCCAGAGCCCCGGGTGAGTCCTGAGAGAGGGTGCAGCACACCGTCACGACCCCTCTGGCCCCCAGTTGGACTCCGACATGATCATGAGCAGTGCCACAGGCAACGCCACTAACAGCAGTCTCATTAAGCACTGGTGCGGCACCACGGGGCAGCCGGTGAGGCACCCAACCCTAGGCCCTCACTGACCCCCAACCTCCCACCTGCTGAGTCATCCCGCCCCACCCACCCTCACCTCGAGCCCTCTGACCTCTGTCTGCCCACTGAGCCTGTCCTGAGTCCTCCCTGCCCTCCCCAGACCCAGGAGAACAGCAGCTGTGGCGCCTTCGGCCCGTGCACAGAGAAGAACAGCACAGCCCCGGCGGACAGGCTGCCCTGTGAGGCCCGGCCCACCCCAAGCCCCCTACACCCCCCACACTCCCCCTCACCGGCCCCTACATGGAGAGGAACAGCACAGCCCCGGCGGACAGGCTGCCCTGTGAGGCCCGGCCCACCCCGGCCCACCCCCCAGGCTCCCCCTCACCTGCCCCTGCCCTGCCCCCAGGCCGCCACCTGTTTGCGGGCACGGAGCTCACGGACCTGGCCGTGGGCTGCATCCTGCTGGCCGGCTCCCTGCTGGTGCTCTGCGGCTGCCTGGTCCTCATAGTCAAGCTGCTCAACTCTGTGCTGCGCGGCCGCGTGGCCCAGGTCGTGAGGACAGTCATCAATGCGGGTGAGGGCGTGGGAGGAGGTGCGGTGGCCAGGGCTGACCCAGCATCCCCCATAGACTTCCCCTTCCCACCAGGCTGACTCGGGGGCTACCTGGCCCTCCTTGTGGGCGCTGGCCAGGGCTGACCCGGCATCCCCCACAGACTTCCCCTTCCCGCTGGGCTGGCTCGGCGGCTACCTGGCCGTCCTCGCGGGCGCCGGCCTGACCTTCGCACTGCAGAGCAGCAGCGTCTTCACGGCGGCCGTCGTGCCCCTCATGGGTGAGCAGGCAGGACAGAGGCCTCGGGAACGGGGGCTCGGGCTGGGGTCCTGTGGTGACTCCCAGTTCCCCCAGGGGTCGGGGTGATCAGTCTGGACCGGGCGTACCCCCTCTTACTGGGCTCCAACATCGGCACCACTACCACAGCCCTGCTGGCTGCCCTGGCCAGCCCCGCAGACAGGATGCTCAGCGCCCTGCAGGTACTGTCCACCCTGCCCCGCTGCCAGAACTGGCCAGCTTCCTCTCAGCCCCACAGACAGGAGTGTGTCACCAGCCCCGGGGCCCTAGGCTGGCTGTGCCCCCGCCTTCCTGGACCCCTTCCCTGGCCGCCAGCCTCAGCCCTGCTGCTCTGCCTCCTTGGACCCCACAGGTCCTGCACACATTTCACACCCTCCCTGCGTCTCCTCCCTTGAGACCTCCTCACTTCCACATTTTCTCAGCTCTTTGCTGTGTCCCTGGGGGCCTGCCCCCAGCATCTCAGGGGGCTCTAAGCCCCTCTATTCCAGCACCCTCAGATGCTTTCCCCCAACCCCTGCTCCCTCAAGGAGCAGCCACTCACCTCCAGCAGGTCCCCATCTGGACGACCCTCCCAGCCCCCATTCCACATCTGCAAAGGCCGAGTCCCACCGATGCTGGGCCCTGCCCTGCCGCTGCCAGGGCTGTGATTCTGCCTCCAGGACACTTCCCCCAGTCTGAGCCCCCAGCTCTGTGCCCCAACCCCAGTCTCATTTAGTCCAGCTGGTTCTCCCTCTAAAACAGCCCGTCTGCGGCCTGCTGCCCGGAGGCCCAACAGGTTCAGCTCCCGAAACTCCGGGTCATGCTGCACCGCCGCTGACAGGAAGAGACAAGTGCGGCACCCCCTGGAACCCACGCTCGTTCTTCTTGCCTCTGCCCTGTCTCTATCCACTTAGACCCTCCCAGTGCAGGGTCCTGCTCCACCCCCTGCAGGAAGCCCTCCAGACTGCACCTGTGTGTGGACTCCTCCAAGTCCGGCAGCCCCTGGAGGGGCCCGTGACACTGTTCTCCCCTCCTGTGGCCCTGTGCCTCCTCCCCGCAGGGCCTGGACTGTGCAGGCTCAGCACACTGGGGACTGAGGAGACGGGGTCTCTTGGCAGGAGGCACAGGCAGAGCCAGGTCGGAAGGTGCTTCCCCCGCAGGTCCCCCTTGAGGGCAGCAGTGATGCAGTCAGTGCTCGGGGGTGCTGGGCTGGACTGCAGCTCCCAGGAGCGTGCGGGAGGCGTGCTGGGGAACATGTCCACATCTGGCCACAGCCCGCCTCCCAGACGGCCATCTCATCCGTGAAGCAGGATGAACTTCAGACTTGGCGCTCCTTCTGTAGGGTGGAGGAGGGCAGGGGTCCGGGGCCCCTGGTGACCCCACCTCGTTGGGCCCAGGCCCCTGACAGCCCCCTCGCCCCCAGGTCGCCCTCATCCACTTCTTCTTCAACCTGGCCGGCATCCTGCTGTGGTACCTGGTGCCTGCACTGCGGCTGCCCATCCCGCTGGCCAGGCACTTCGGGGTGGTGACCGCCCGTTACCGCTGGGTGGCTGGGGTCTACCTGCTGCTCGGATTCCTGCTGCTGCCCCTGGCGGCCTTCGGGCTCTCCCTGGCAGGGGGCATGGAGCTGGCCGCTGTCGGGGGTCCCCTGGTGGGGCTGGTGCTCCTCGTCATCCTGGTTACTGTCCTGCAGCGGCGCCGGCCGGCCTGGCTGCCTGTCCGCCTGCGCTCCTGGGCCTGGCTCCCCGTCTGGCTCCATTCTCTGGAGCCCTGGGACCGCCTGGTGACCCGCTGCTGCCCCTGCAACGTCTGCAGCCCCCCGAAGGCCACCACCAAAGAGGCCTACTGCTACGAGAACCCTGAGATCTTGGCCTCCCAGCAGTTGTGACGGGCAGTTGCTGAGCAGACCGCCCCACCCTCCCCGGCTGGGAGGGCTCTGGAGGGCCCTGGAGGGGGGGTCCCCGCGGCAGCTGACCTCCGGTCACCTGCTTCCCCTTCTGTGCAAATAAACCAGGCTGTTATCTGGGGTGGCGGTCCTCACTCCCCTAGACAGGGGCCGCCTGCGCAGGTGGGGGAAGCAGCCCGATGCTGCCTCCTGGTGGACACTCCGGGGCCTGGGGCTCAGGCACAGGAGCCCGCCCACCCCAAGGTGTGTTTCTCACGGCAGCCGCTGGGGACAGAAGCTCCCAAGGAATGGCGGGCCTGGGGGGGCGGGGACTTCCCACAGTGGGAGCTGGGGCCCCTCCTGGGGGCGCAGGGGAGAGCCCAGCCAGCAGGGAGCAGGGCCGGTGGTGCAGGGTGTGGGGGATCCCGGAGCTCCTCTGCCCCGGCGGATGTCATGGTTGGGGTGGGGACTGGAGTCCCATCAGGTGCGTGGGGTGTGAGAAGGGACCCTGACGGCTTGGAGGGCCAGGTGGTCCCAGAGGCACCACCTGTCTGTCTGCCCTCTGTGTCTCTCAGCCGGTCCTGGGCTGGGCCCCTCGGGGACACTTCTCTGCAGGGCTGGGCCACGGCAGGTGCTCAGCTCCCAGAACCCACCAGGAAGCCAGTCTCACCCGCCAGGCTGGGGCACACTGAGGCCTCCCACTGCCACGGAGAATGAGACCCTGTCCCGGGAAGGCCTGTCCGTGGGGTGGGCCCAGGAGGGCGGACAGCACCCATGGGGAGGACTTGGGGGCCAGGGGGCCCTCCCTCTGCTGTGTGGTCGGGTTTCCACACAGGAAGGCTTGTCTGCCAGCCAATGGGTAACTGGACACCTAGGAAGTTGAGGGGGGGCTCCTGCCACCTCTAGCCCAGAGCTGCCCACAGCCCTAACCCAACCCCCACTCCCGCCAAGGGAAGAAAGCCTTGGGTTACCCCAGAACTGGAGCATTCATTCAGGCACACAGAGACGGGTGGGTGAGGGGACGGTCCCATCAGGGACAGGTCTAGTTTGCTCATTTGAGTCTGCTGCTGTGGCCAGTCACGTTCTCCCTTCCAGAACTGCAGCCCTGTTGGGGGGCAGCTCTCTTCCCAGAGCCTCCCAGGATTGCCTGGTCAGACCCCACTAGGGGATAGAGGTGCAGCCACTCAGGAAGATGAGGCCTGAGGGGGCCCCACGGCCACTTCTCCTCTGTGGCTCTGTTCTTTTCTGCCCTCAGTTTCCCTTTGCCCCTGCTCATGACCCCCAGACCCTCTGTGCCCTTGGCCCCCAGTCTTCCCTGGGTCCTCTGCCCCAGCCACCCCTCAAACTCTTAGGCCTCCTGGGCCTTGGTTTCACCTACCGAGGGAGGTGACCACCTGCTCTGGGAGCCAGGGGTGCCTCAGGGGTGGGCTCCAGTGAGAATGGGACCCCCAGCAGCTAGAGCTTTGGTTCTCACAGCCCTGTGATTCTAGGACGCCCCTGTGGACCTGACATCAGCCTCATAGAACCGTCTGGCACCCCTGTAGGGGACAAGCCTGGCTAGCTCCCTGGGGAGCCTGAGGGGCCGGGGAGCTCCCCTGTCCTTTGGGGGGGGATCAGTGAGGCCCTTGTGGAGAGAGGGAGGAAGCACCCCATGCACCTGTCCTTCCAGGGCAGGTGAGGCCTCCCACAAAGGCTGGGCGTCTGGTCCTTTAAGGCAGCCAATACTGTCTGCCTGCTGTCCCTGCCTGGCGGTAACACACCCTCCCACTGGGACCATGGCCACCAGTAAACAGAGCCTTCGTTGTGGATCCTCCGACAGCTGCAGGAGGAGGAGGGCAGGTGCCCAGCACTCCCACAGCCACGCCTGCCCCGCTTCCCTGCCCTTCTGGCCCTCCTTGGACCACATCCTGCCTGGCCACAGACCCCAGGCCCAGGAGTTGGTCCTCCTGCCCCACACTATCCCGCCTCTCCATCCTGCAGCAGGGCACCTTGGCTCAGGGTGGGACCTACAGAGCCTTCCCCAACCAGTTTTGTGCAACAGGGGTGGCTGCTGTCCTTGTTGGGCTCAGGCCCAGGCTTCAGGGTGTCTACTGCTGTCTTGTCCCCAGCCAGTGTCCACCTCACCAGGGCAATGCAAGGGCAAAGTAGGCAAGCTGGTGCCATGGCGAGCTCTGGGGCTCTCACCTGGGCAGGTGACACCTGTGAAACGGGTGGCACACTGACCTCCCAGCCCTGTGGGCACTGGTCACAGGAAGCAGGGGCCTTTACTGGAGAGGGGTTGGGAGACTCTGACAAGGTGCAGGAATGCCACACACCTCAAAGAGCAGCCTCAGTTGGGCTCTGCACAGTTCACTGAGGAAAAAAACAGAGCTTCTCCTTCTCCCCTTTGTGACAACTCAATGTTATGAGACTCCAACATGTCCCTGACTACTGCCTGGACAGCTGAGCTACTCTGCAGGACCCCAGGATGCCCTGGGCACTAGGAGAAACCTGGGATGGCTGGCAGCAACCTGTGCACCCCTCAGGCCGCTGCAGGACCCCAGTCCCTCTGAGGGTCAAGGCCTGTGTCACAGTGGTCACTGGAAGCCAG
Source organism: Homo sapiens (assembly GCF_000001405.40). Taxonomy (NCBI): domain Eukaryota; kingdom Metazoa; phylum Chordata; class Mammalia; order Primates; family Hominidae; genus Homo; species Homo sapiens. The sequence continues at coordinate 137,239,004 of NC_000009.12, forward strand.
GCCCGCCTTCCTGGGCTGATCTGTGGGGGAGGCCACCCTCCTGGACAGGATGGCAAACTGGCAACAGACCCCCGAGGAGTGAGCACAGCTGCAGGCCCTCGCCCCAGAAGGACAATGCTGATCCCCGCGCATGCTCCGGTGCTGCGTGTCCCGAGTTCTGGTATCGCGCATTATGTGGTGAAGACAGAGGTGCAGTCCCTCCAGGAAGAGAGAAATAAATAAGCAGATGTTGTTTCCAACAGCCTCCAATTGGGAGACAGATGCCCAGTGGCCAGAGCACAGGAGACTGTCAGGGCCGACCTGATGGTGTAATTTATTTAAAATGCTACAAAAATACAGCCAGGTGCAGTGGCTCATGCCTGTAATCCCAGCACTTTGGGAGGCCGAGGCGAATGAATCACAAGGTCAGTTCCAGACCAGCCTGGCCAAGATGGTGAAACCCCATCTCTATTAAAAATACAGAAATTAGCCGGGCGTGGTGGCGGGCGCCTGTAATCCCAGCTACTCGGGAGGCTGAGGCAGGAGAATCGCTTGAACCCGGGAGATGGAGGTTGCAGTGAGCCGAGATCATGCCACTGCACTCCAGCCTGAGCGACGGAGCCAGACTCTGTCTCAAAAAAAAAAAAAAAAAAAAATAGCCAGGCGTGGTGGTGCACACCTGTAGTTCCAGCTACTTGGGAAGGTGAGGCAGGCGAATTGCTTGAACCGGGGAGGCAGAGGTTGCAGCGAGCTGAGATTGCGCCACTGCACTCCAGCCTAGGCGACAAGAGCAAAACTCCATCTCAAAAAAAAAAGAAAAAAGCTACAAAAATGTAGAAGGCACGGCGGCTCATTCCCGTAAATCCGAGCACTTGGGGAGGCCGAGGCGGGCGGATCACTTGAGGTCAGGAGTTTCAGACCAGCTTGGCCAACATGGTGAAATCCCATTTCTACCAAAAATACAAAAATTAGCGGCGTGGTGGTGGGTGCCTGCAGTCCCACCTACTGGGGAGGCTGAGGCAGAAGAATCGCTTGAACCTGGGGGGGGGCGGGGAGCCAAGATCGCGCCACTGCACTCCAGCCCGGGAGACAGAGCGAGACTCTGTCTCAGAATAATAAATTAAGTAAAATAAAAATGCTGCAAAAATACAGCCCGTTTGTTTTTAAACAGGCGCAACCACATGTAATTCATTTTAAGTTTCTTTTCCCACCCAAGTAAAAATCAAGTCATAAATTAGGAAAAGCATTAACAGAAGTATGTTTCAGCCCCAGCGCGCTGACCTGTGGTTGGAATACCGGCCCTGGAGCCCGGAGGTCGGGGCCCACCCGCCGAGGGAGGTCTGGGCGCTGTCCTGGTCTCCACGGAGCTCGCGCACTCACGGGGCCGAGGCACCAAGGCGACCGGCGCAGAGCCAGCGCCGTCTCCACAACAGGGCAGGGCGCGCAGCTGCGGGGGAGGCCTCGCCCCTCCGCTCCCCTCCCCTGCCCTCCGCCCCGGCCCTCGGGGCGCGGCGTCCCCCACGTGCTCCCCTCACGCGACCGCGAGGGCAGTGGGCGTGCGGCACCCGGGAGCAGGAAACTCCGTGGCCTCTGCGGCTCTGTGGAGAGCTCCCCTCCACCGCCGCAGCCCCCGAGCCCGTGTATCTTCCTGCCTTTAAGGCATCGCAGCCTCCTCGGCCTGGAGGCCCCGGGCTCGCTCCGTGCGGACCCCGCTCCAGAACCCGCCCAGCGCGCAGATGCCGTGTCCCGGCGCAAGGCCAGAGAGGGCGCAACTCTGGACGTGGGGCCGCCACCGAGCCTGCCCTTCCCGGCTCCCGAAAGGCCCCGGGCTCAGAGCCAAGACTGCGCTTGCCCGAGGCCCGTCGGGCCCGCCCTCCCTCGGCGCCCCCAGCGCAGCTGCCCGCCGCCCGACCGGAAGCCCGCACTCGCGCCTGCGCCCCACCCCGTCCGCGCGCCGGCCGCGGCACTGCGGCGGTTACCAGGACGCTGAAGCAGCGCAGCCAATAGCGCCAGCCTGGCGGCGTGCTCCCGGCAGCCAGCCAATGAGACGGCAAATCAATCATTTGAAACACCCAATGGACGGAGCACTGCGGCGCCAGGAGGGGGATTGTGATAGGGAGATAGGAGGCTGCGGCTGACCAATAAAGACCAAACTGGCTTAAAAAGGCGGACCTTAGGCAGCTTGATTGACGGGGGCAAGGCCAATCAAACGAGGGAGCTTGCCAGCCTCGTTCTGGCAGCCCATTCCGAGACTAGCGGAGGCGGGCAGGGAGGGTATATAAGCGTTGGCGGAGCGTCGGTTGTAGCACTCTGCGCGCCCGCTCTTCTGCTGCTGTTTGTCTACTTCCTCCTGCTTCCCCGCCGCCGCCGCCGCCATCATGAGGGAAATCGTGCACTTGCAGGCCGGGCAGTGCGGCAACCAAATCGGCGCCAAGGTAAGTTGCCGGGGCGCTGGGGCCAGGCGGGCCTGCCGGGCGGTGTGGGCGGGCGGCCGGGGAAGATGGCGGCAGCAGCGGCCGGGCGGCGCCCCCGCATTGCGGCCGCCGGGCCCCCTCCGCGGGGAATTGGCCGAGCCGGGCGACCGAAGCCCCCAGGAACCCGGCGGCCAGGGCGCGCGGGGCGGGGGAGGGGCGGGGAGGGCCGGGCTGCCGCGCCCGTCCGGGGCGGGGCTGCCTCCCTGCGCACCGGCCGCGGTGACTCAGCCCCGGCCCGCCCGGGCCCGCCCGCGTCCCTTGTAGTTTTGGGAGGTGATCAGCGATGAGCACGGCATCGACCCCACGGGCACCTACCACGGGGACAGCGACCTGCAGCTGGAACGCATCAACGTGTACTACAATGAGGCCACCGGTGAGGCCCCGGCCCCTTCCCCGACCGCCCTCCGGGGACCCCGCGGCCCCTGCCTTGGCTGACGCCCTCCCGTCCCCGCAGGCGGCAAGTACGTGCCCCGCGCCGTGCTCGTGGATCTGGAGCCCGGCACCATGGACTCCGTGCGCTCGGGGCCCTTCGGGCAGATCTTCCGGCCGGACAACTTCGTTTTCGGTGAGCCGTGGCTGGGGACTGGGCGGCGGCTCAAAGGTCAAGGGGCTGCTCCAAGGGCACCGCCGTGGGAACTGCGCAGCCGGGGCCCCTGGACGCCCTCCTCTTCTCTGAGCCACTCAATCCCCTCTACTAAATCGGCTTTGGGAGCAAGGTCCAGCTGTCTGCCGAGGCGAGGAGCCGCCACACACGTAATCTCCCTGCAGGGAGCTGAGCTGGGGCAGTGGCTGTTCCTCTGTCCTTGGGAATTGGCAGTGGCCCCCCCGGGGAGGGGTTTGTTAAGCTGTCAGGTTTGGCCCCTGACTTAATTCGTAGCAGGGCAGGCTGCCGTCTTTTGGCTTTGAAGGGTCCGTTTGCTCTACCTCCAGGGTGAATTCTGTGGTCAGCTCACACCATGTCACTCGGCTTTTTTCGCATGGCGGTGACCAGTAGTGCTGTCTACCTGGCTGACAAATGATTAGCTGTGTTCTCTCACAGGTCAGAGTGGTGCTGGGAACAACTGGGCCAAGGGGCACTACACAGAAGGCGCGGAGCTGGTGGACTCGGTGCTGGATGTTGTGAGAAAGGAGGCTGAGAGCTGTGACTGCCTGCAGGGTTTCCAGCTGACCCACTCCCTGGGTGGGGGGACTGGGTCTGGGATGGGTACCCTCCTCATCAGCAAGATCCGGGAGGAGTACCCAGACAGGATCATGAACACGTTTAGTGTGGTGCCTTCGCCCAAAGTGTCAGACACAGTGGTGGAGCCCTACAACGCCACCCTCTCAGTCCACCAGCTCGTAGAAAACACAGACGAGACCTACTGCATTGATAACGAAGCTCTCTACGACATTTGCTTCAGAACCCTAAAGCTGACCACGCCCACCTATGGTGACCTGAACCACCTGGTGTCTGCTACCATGAGTGGGGTCACCACCTGCCTGCGCTTCCCAGGCCAGCTCAATGCTGACCTGCGGAAGCTGGCTGTGAACATGGTCCCGTTTCCCCGGCTGCACTTCTTCATGCCCGGCTTTGCCCCACTGACCAGCCGGGGCAGCCAGCAGTACCGGGCGCTGACCGTGCCCGAGCTCACCCAGCAGATGTTTGATGCCAAGAACATGATGGCTGCCTGCGACCCCCGCCATGGCCGCTACCTGACGGTTGCCGCCGTGTTCAGGGGCCGCATGTCCATGAAGGAGGTGGATGAGCAAATGCTTAATGTCCAAAACAAAAACAGCAGCTATTTTGTTGAGTGGATCCCCAACAATGTGAAAACGGCTGTCTGTGACATCCCACCTCGGGGGCTAAAAATGTCCGCCACCTTCATTGGCAACAGCACGGCCATCCAGGAGCTGTTCAAGCGCATCTCCGAGCAGTTCACGGCCATGTTCCGGCGCAAGGCCTTCCTGCACTGGTACACGGGCGAGGGCATGGACGAGATGGAGTTCACCGAGGCCGAGAGCAACATGAATGACCTGGTGTCCGAGTACCAGCAGTACCAGGATGCCACAGCCGAGGAGGAGGGCGAGTTCGAGGAGGAGGCTGAGGAGGAGGTGGCCTAGAGCCTTCAGTCACTGGGGAAAGCAGGGAAGCAGTGTGAACTCTTTATTCACTCCCAGCCTGTCCTGTGGCCTGTCCCACTGTGTGCACTTGCTGTTTTCCCTGTCCACATCCATGCTGTACAGACACCACCATTAAAGCATTTTCATAGTGTGTGGTTTCGCTTTGCCCATTCCTTCCAGTAGGCCCTCCGGGTGCTGTTGCCGAATGTCAGGGCGTAGTTGTCCTGCATGGCTGCGGGGAGCCAGGCTGCAGCTGAGCTGGGCTTATGTGCCCAGGACCAGCATGGGCTGGACACCCAGGCTTCAGAGAAGTGTGGGGCTGCCCTGGGCCCTGGGTATCTGCTTGGTGGGGAACTTGCTTGTTGAAGGCAGGCCTGTCCTGTTCCAGGTACCCAACCTTGGGGCTCGGCCTGTGTCTGGGACTTAGGTGGGTCCAGTGACCCCCCTTCCAAAAGGGGTAGGGAGGATGGCAGACAATCCTACCCCAACCAAGGTGGGACCCTGGTAATGGTCAGACAGGTGGTCCTGAACCAGCAATGAAGGGTGAGCAGGTAGAGCCGTCCCTCCCCACATTGGCCGGGGTGTGTCCATGTGACCCTGCCCACTCTACTCACCGGGGATGAACCCCATGTAGAAGGGGATCAGGCCTTGGCTGCTGTAGATGTGGTTGCTGGGCCAGTGTGTTCCAGGCAGCTTCTCGCCCAGGTCACAGTGGGGGTTTCTAAACAGGAACTGGGGAGACAGGAAGGTGCTAACAAGCTCCCTCCCCGGCAGGCAAACAGATAGTCAAGTTGTCCCAGTGGGGGCCTGGCCGGAGGGCCGGCACTCCGTGGGAAAGCTGCTAATGCTCCCAGCCTTCTGCATCCCCCTACCCCCGACTCCAAAACTTGAGTGCAGGGATCCAAGCAAGACTCAGGAGAGAGGGGTTGGGGCGGCACCTCCGGGGACAGGAGAGAGCCAGGCAGAGCCCCCTCCTCAGGCTTCTCAGGGAACCTGGCCTTCAAGGCACCCTCCAGGGAAGCTGCCAGGCAGGAGAGGAAGTGTGTGTGTGAGCTGGGAGCAGGCCCTGGATGGCGCTTTCCTACCTGGCTCTTGTCGAATTCGTCCATGGCTTGCATGACGCCGTCTCGGTAATTCAACCCCATTACCCAGGTGAAACGGGGAATGAAGCCAGCATAGCCTGGGGGTAGGCAGATGTACGGGCTACCCCAAGCCCCCTTAGCCTTCCCCTGGGCACACCCACCTGCCCTCAGACGTGTCAGGGAAGCCAGGCAAGGCTCCCTTTCGTTCCCTGAACGTTGGCGACTGTCTGATGTGGCCAAATGGGAACAGGCAGGCAAGGCACCGCCTCGTCTTGGGAAAAGCTGGGCTCCTGGAAGCAGCTGGGAGGCAGAGGAGGTCCCCCCAGGCCGCTAGCCTGTTCTGGAGCAGGAAAAGTGGGCCCCTGTGGCAGCCTCCTCAGGGGCTCTCACACTGCAAGAACCTTGTGGGGAGGGGCGGCCTTCTCCAGCCCAGCCCAGGCCCACACCCACCTGAGATGGCCTTGCGTTGGATTAGGTTAGGGTGGTCCAGCTGCGGCAGCCGCTGGAAGCTGCCCACATCTAGCGTCTCCTGCTGGCGGCGGGCGGGGGGTGGGTACTCATCCCTCTGGCAGTGGTACAGCTGGAGCGGGGAGGAAGCGGAGGTCACGGTGCAGCTCCCACCTGGGGCTGAGCGGAATGGGCTTGGCACTGGTGCATCCCCTGGCTGCCTGGTGCTGCCTGGGGGCCTCGCAAACAGGAGTGGCGCTCTTCCAGGCCTCTTCCCCGTATACTGGGTGTCCCAAGTCTCTGGAGTCTCCCTTCCTGCCTGGTGGGCACGGAGGGTGCGGGGTGTCGGGCGTGAAGCCTGCAGGCAGCAGAATCTGTCTGGGTATGTTCTCTACCCCTGGCGGCTCCTGGGCGTCCACCTCCAAGGGTGGGAGCTGGCCCAGAATCTCAAAGTTCTTAGAGGGCTTCAGACCTGTACCAACAGGGCAGCCTGTGAGTGCCGGGACAGGCAGGCGGGCACAGGAGGGTGCAGGGCTGGGGACTGGCAGCTCACTGGTGTAGTGGGGGATGTAGGGCTCCGTCAGGTCTTGGCAGGGAACCCTCGGGGGCTTGGACTGGCTGAAGTCCTCAATGAACTTGGGTTTGGACATGGGGGACAGCACAGAGCAGGGGCTCTTCTGCACACTGGGGTCTGTGAGCAGCTGCCCCGTGGTACGCCCATAGGTGTTCCCCACCTGGTAGCGCAGCTGCGGAAAGAAGCCGGCATAGCTGTGGAGGGAAGAGAAGAAGGCAGGGCAGGTCTCAAGGGCAGCCCCAGCACTGGGCAGGGCCCCTTCAAGCCAGATGTGGATTCAGCCTGCTGGCCACTTAGCAGCAGGTTGGCCTGTGGCAGCTCGCCTGCCCTCTGCTCACCTGTAAATGGGGCTGCAGTGGCACTTGCCTTCTAGAGCTCTCTCAGCCTGAACAGGCGGCACACACCACATGCTGGGAACACGTCAGCACCACAGCAGATGGCCGCCTGCCTTGTACCAGCCCCTCCAACCCTCTCCCACCCCTCATTCCAACTGCCAGCAAATCAGGGGTGCTCTGCCCTGGCAAAGCAAGTACAGGCACAAGACGTGTGGGCCAGGACATAGGCGAGGGACGGACCCTTGGACACACGCAGGGCCCACCAGGAGGGTGTTGCGTGGGCTTGGCCTGCACCTGTGCCACCCCAGGAGGCCAGTAGCCTCCTGCACGGGAAGAGAACTGGGAGGCAGGTGGAGGGCTGGGCTTTTCCGGGCCCTCATTCAACCTCGAGGGGCATGGTGCAGGTGGTCACAGGCGGTTCAGCGCCTCAGGGTCTATGTGATCTTTCAAGGAGTGAGAACTACCTTCGTCTTAAAAACTGCCAAAGGGCCGGGCGCGGTGGCTCACGCCTGTCATCCCAGCACTTTGGGAGGCTGAGGCGGGCGGATCACGAGGTCAGGAGATCAAGACCATCCTGGCCAACATGGTGAAACCCTGTCTCTATTAAAAATGCAAAAAGTTATCCAGGCATTGGTGGCGGGCCCTGTAGTCCCAGCTGCTCGGGAGGCTGAGGCAGGAGAATGGCGTGAACCCAGGAGGCGGAGCTTGCAGTGAGCCAAGATCGCCCCACTGCACTCCAGCCTGGGCAACAGAGCGAGACTCCGTCTCAAAAGAAAAAAAAAAGCCGAGCAACTTCCAGCCTCAGCTTCACCTGCCCCTTCCCCAGACGTAGCTGTTCAGAGGCAGGTGTGGTTTCTTCCCAGCCTTTCCCCTTTGCATGTAGCGTGTGTGTATGTAGGTGCACACACACACACGTTCCGTAGAGGGGTTACTTTTATTTTTTGTTTGGGGGGATATCTAGTGAGGCAGCCTGGCGTTTGCTTGCCTTGTCTTTAAAGTGTGGAGTCCTGGCCGGGCGTGGTGGCTTAAGCCTGTCATCCCAGCACTTTGGGAGGCCGAGGTGGGCAGATCACTTGAGGTCAGGAGTTCGAGACCAGCCTGACCAACATAAAGAAACCTCGTCCCTACTAAAAATACAAAATTAGCCAGGTGTGGTGGCAGATGCCTGTAATCCCAGCTACTCCGGAAGCTGAGACAGGAGAATCGCTTGAACCTGGGAGGCAGAGGTTGCGGTAAGCCAAGATTGCACCATTGCATTCCAGCCTGGGTAATAAGAGCGAAACTCTGTCTCAAAAAATAAATAAATAAAATGAAATGAAGTGTGGAGTCCTCTCTGGAGTGGGCGTCGGGCACTTACTAGCCGGCCTCTGCCGGCTGCTGGCTGACCCAGTTTCTGCTCGACAGACGTGCTGGCCACCAGGTATCGAGTTCGCAGCTGCACACCAGCAGGGAGGGTGAGGCCTGGGCCCCTGGCAACCCCATCCCTGAGCTTCCCCTGTCCCAGGGCTCCCCAGCCCACAGACTGCAGTGCCCCGTGGTGTGGCCTTCAGTTTCCTGGGGTCCAGCTCTGGGCCCCTCACAGCTGGCCTCCATGCCTCAGGCCCCAGCCATTCTCCCCCTCCTGCAGCCCTGGCCCCAGCCACCTCCAGAGCTCCCGGCTCTCACCCAGGGACATAGTGAGGCTCCGGCGTGAAGAGATCGTGTTTCTGAGTAGTTGTCATTTTGCTTTCACTCTGGCCTTGCTGGCTCCAGTCCCTCCCGGCATCCAGCTCCCTTCCCTGAGGGGAGTCCTGTCACCGGGCAACCATTGTGAGGGGCCAGCATTGTGGGCACCTCCTGGGCCAGGCCACCTCGCTAACCCTGTGAGGGCCCACATTGCACAGGTGAGACACTGAGGCCCAGACAGGTGCCAGGCAGGGGAGGAGTTGCGGTGAGGCAGGTGGTCCGGGAGGAAGTCCCATTAACTTCAGAGCTCAGAAAACAGGACTGTCCCTCCAGAAAGGGCCTGGGCTCTTGCTGCCCCCAGGAGGCCACCAGCCCCAGTCTCAGGGTGAGGCTAAGGGAGTCCCCAGGCCCCCTCCTCTGACAGGAGGCCTTGCAGCTGCAGAGCCTTGGCTCGAGTCAGGGGCTTCCCGGCCTGCAGGGCTGTGCGAACTCTCCCTCCAGCCCTTCATGTGGCGCAGGGTGTTATGTTTACATTTTAAGCAAATCCTGAATTTTGTTCTTTTTTTGTACAGGAAGGACTTCCTAACCATAAAAATGAAGGAAGGCGGCCAGGCACGGTGGCTCACACCTGTAATCCCAGCACTTTGGGAGGCCGAGGCAGGCAGATCATGTCAGGAGTTCGAGACCAGCCTGACTGACATAGTCAAATCCCGTCTCTACTAAAAATACAAAAATTAGCCAGGTGCGGTGGCGTGCGCCTGTAGTCCCAGCTACTCGGGAGGCTGAGGCAGGAGAATGGCGTGAACCCAGGAGGTGGAGATTGCAATGAGCTGAGATCGTGCCACTGCACTCCAGCCTGGGCCACAGAGTGAGACTCTGTCTCAAAAAAAAAAAAAAAAAAAGAAAGAAAGAAGAAAGGCTGGGCACTGTGGCTCATGCCTATAATTGCGGTGCTTTCGGAGGCCGAGGCAGGATGAGGTGTGCAGATTGCTTGAGCCTAGGAGTTCAGGCCAGCTGGGCAACATGGGGAAACCCCACCTCTACAAAAAAGAAAGAAAAATTAGCCAGGCATGGTGAATGTGCCTGTGATCCCAGTTACTTGGGAGGCTGAGGTGGGAGGATGGCCAGAGCCTAGGAGGTTGAGGCTGTAGTGAGCTGAGATCGCACCGCTGCACTTCAGCCTGGGCAACAGAACCAGACCATTTCTCACAAACAAACAAAAAAACAACTAAAAGGCAAACTAAAAAACTGGAAAAAAGTTTGCAGTAAGTGCTATGAACAAATCTGGTATCAGCATAAAAAGCTCTCACAAAACAAAGATATAAACAACACCTCCATGGAAAATGCAGACTAATATGGTTTTTTTTTTTGTATTTTTAGTAGAGACAGGGTTTCACCATGTTAGCCAGGATGGTCTCGAACTCCTGACCTCGTGATCCGCCCACCTCGGCCTCCCAAAGTGCTGGGATTACAGGCGTGAGCCACTGTGCCCGGCCAATATGACCTTTTTAAGAAAAAAAGACCGCAGTCCGTAAATATAAGGGCATAAAGCAGGACCATAATCACATACATGCTGACTGTGTGTTGAGAGCAGTTTCTGAGGCTTACTGCCGGCAGGGTCACAGTGAGAAGGGCCTCTAATTTGGGTGGTGCCTTCTGGAAACCAAGTTGGTATGGATCACGTCCATACAAGACACTGCAAACTGGGACCATTGCTTCCACTCCTAAGAAGCTGTCTGGCATTCTGGTAGACGCTGGTTTTCCTCCACCGTTCCTGGCTGGTAATTCCCATATTCCCATAGCCCTTGGTAGGGCCTTTTGTTAGAATGTTGGGTGGGTGATGCTTGGGGGGTGCGGGCGGGGGACTTTTACCTCCTGCCCTCCTTTCACCTGCCCCAAGGCAGGACGCTAACATTCTCACCTTTCTGACTGTGGGTCTTAAGACCCTTCCAGGAGAGGTCCCACCTAAGCCCTGGGGGCAGGAATGCTGACATCAGGAAGCTTCCGTAAAATCCCAAGAGGACTGAGGCTCAGGGAACTTCTGGACAGGGGAACACCTGGAGGTTCCCAGAGGGCGGCAACTAGCGAGGACATGGAAGCGCCAGCCCCTCCCCGTGCCTCTCTCTACGCTTCTTCATTGGTATCCTTTGCAATCAATACCCTTTACAATAAACCAGTAAACGTCATAACTTCCCTAGTTCTATGAGTGGCTCCAGCAAATTAACCCAAAGACGGTGTCACAGGAACCCCAAATTGAAGCTAGTTGGTCAGAAGTTCCAGGGGCCCAGGCTTGCGACTGGTGTGTGTCTGGAGGCCCTGCCCCTATCTGTGTCTGGAGGCCTTCTTGGGATGGAGCTCTCACCCTGTGGGATCTGACACCATCTCCAGGTAAATGGTGAAGGAAATGAATTAGAGGACACCCAGCTTGGTGTGTGGGGAACAACCCCCCTCCCTCAACATTTGGGCAGAGGCCTCCTTCTGTGACGGCTGTGGTGGTGTGGGCGCAGAGCCGGACACTGAGAGAGCATTTCCCCCACGCACCTTCTCAAGGAGAGGATGGATGTCCAGCAGCACCATTCACGGTGGCAACGTTTATTACAGGGCAGGGAGGACCTGGAGGAGCCTATCTGTCCAATGACAAGGGCTTCATTAGCAAAGTACACTCTGTTCCACTGGCAGCCAGTCAACTCTGAACCCGGCACAACCTGGGCAGGGGCCCCGGAGCACAGGCGTGAACCCCTCGCCCAGATAAAACCCGTGTTTCCTCAAGCACGTGTCCATCTGTCTGCCTGGCAGGCCCAGTGCTGAAGGGGAGGCATCCAGAGAGGGCGGAGGAGGGCCCCAAGTTGGCCCTGTTCACAGGCCCTGCCCTGGTGGATTCTGGGCCAAGGTCAGGGCTGGGACCAACTGGTGGTCAGCTCCAGAGACCACACAGTGAGGGCCCTGGTGCCCACACGGGCTCTTGCTCACACAGGCTGGCTGTTCCTTTGCAGCTCTGGCAGCCCGGCCATCTGTGACACCCTCTAGCCTCTGTGCCCCCAGGTGAGAGGTAGGCCCTCACACCCCAGCCCTGGCTGGGCTCCAAGGCCCGGCCTGCCTCTGGTGTCAGACCCATCTGATGTGGATTTGCTTTTCCCTTAAGTGGAAATCCAGATGGGGTGGCGGCTCCTCCTCTTCCTCCAGGGAGCCTTCCTGGGCCCCTCCCTCCTACCCCCAGGGGGTCCTGGCTGGCCAGACACAGCTGGGCATCTCCTAGGGCTTGGTGGATGCCGGTGGGTCCTGTTCCCTCCACCCCCTCTGCTGAGGCCTCAGTCCTCCCAGACCTGCTAGAGTGGACCCCAGACTCCCAGGAGACCCCAGGGTGCAGGAGAGGGGAGAAGGCTGGAAAGGTTGCGGGGAGGGAGAGGGCTGGGCCAGGAGTCACCGGGGCAGGCTGGGGGTCCTGGCCCAGGCGGACCCGCTGATCATCTAGTTAGTGGGGGAGGGGCCCACCAGGGGTCGGGGCCCGGGGCAGCCCCTCCAGGGCCAGACAATGTGTCTTCCTCAGGAGTCCCAGCAACAGAGGGGCCTACCAGTGAGGTCACAGAGCTCCGTGGTGCCGTTGGGGAAGAGAGCCAGGAGACTCTGATGATGAATTCTGACCAGAAGGCAGTGAAATTCCTGGCAAATTTTTACATCAATGGAGGCAAACACTGGACCCATGGTCACCTGAGGCAGACACAACCAGAGCCCACCCAGTAACTGGCGGAGAGGGGGAGAAGGGGCGGGCCAGCTGGGAGTGGCCAGGGGGCTGAGGGACAGTGTGGGGGGCAGGTTGCTGGGCAGGCGGCTGGGGGACTGAGGGACAGTGTGGGGACAGGCTGTGGGGCAGGCGGCTGGGAGCGGCCAGGGGCTGAGGGACAGTAGAGGGGACAGGCGGCTGGGAGCGGCCAGGGGCTGAGGGACAGTGTGGGGACAGGCTGTGGGGCACGTGGCTGGGAGCAGCCGGGGGCTGAGGGACAATAGAGGGGACAGGCTGTGGGGCATGTGGCTGGGAGCGGCCGGGGGCTGAGACAGTGGCTGCTGGTCTCCCTTGCAGGCCCAAGGCATCTGTGCTGTTGTTGGGCCCGGAGCCGGGGATGGCCTGGGATGAGACACAGCCCCCAAAGATGAAGGAGATCCCAGTTGGCCTCAGGTTACAGACGGGCACCCCCCAGGAGTCCCTGCCCACCTACACCCAGACCCTGAGGGAACTATGTGAGTGAGGGTCCTGGCCACCCCACCCCCAAGCTGGTCTTTGGGGGGCTGTGGGAGGGGCCCGCTGAAAGGAGCCCAGGCCCAGAGCTTGCTTCCTGTGGCCAGTGCTGGAGCAACGCCCCCTGATCACAGCTGACCTGGAAGTCCCCAGCCCCACCAGGTACCAGGTGCCGAGCCCGTCCGTACGAGAGTCCTCCCCACACCCCCACTACAGCATCGGCTGCAAGCACCAGGGCCGAGGTGTGTGTCCCCTCCCTGAGGCCCAACCACCGGGCCTGTCCCTCACCCTGGGAATGGGGGCCTTTGCCTCTGTGCTGAAACCCCCACGGCCTGAGGGCCCCTCCACCCTTCCCTGCGTTCACCTCTAGGCTCAGCACCTGTAAGGAGGCCTGGAGAGAGGAGGGCTAGGGCTGGGGCATGGGTGGACATTGTGAAGACAAGGGTTCAGGGGCCGAGGGTGGGAACCGGGAGACAGGTTCGAGTGGGGACTGTCACCTGGGTGGGGCTCCCAGCCTTCTCTCTCTCCATCCTCCAACTACAGAGGGCGGTGGCCGCAGGGCATGGCAGACTTTGTGGTTCCAGAGCGAAAGCCCCTTCACGCAGAAAGCTGACTTCGACCAAGAGCAAAAGGTTGGGGGCTGGGCAGGAAGGGGGCGGGGAGTCCACGCAGGCAGGGGGCTGGGGGTTCCAGTGGGGCCAAAGGGGGGCTGGCTGAGGGTCCGTGGGGAGCACCCTGCCCTGCAGCCCGTCTCCTACCCCCTCGCAGTGGCCCTCGCCAGCCCACTACCAGCTGCTCAGCCGGCCCGCCTTCCCCGCCTTCAGCTTCAGAGGCTGCCACTCCGCTTCCAAGACACCTGAAGGCCACACCCACCTAGGGCTGCCTGGGGCTAGGGGGCTGGGCCTCAGGGTGCAGCCCCAGTCCCTGCTTCAGGCCTCTTTGCAGGCACCTGGCAAGAGATGCCCTGGCCCCAACACCTACAATATCCTTCCTGGGAGCCGCCTGCAGAGCCCCCGCTCGCCGGCCTTCTCGATGAGCCGCTCCCCTGCGTTCACCTCCTGGCTCAGCACCTGTAAGGAGGCCTGGAGAGAAGAGGGCTAGGGATGGGGCATGGGTGGGCAATGTGAGGACAAGGGTTCAGGGGCCGGGGGTGGGAACTGGGAGCCAGGTTTGAGTTGGGGCTGCTACCTGGGTGGGGCTCCCAGCCTTCTCTTTCGGCAGCCCGAACCCCTGGCCCAGCCGCCTACCACGTGGAGGACTGCAACTCACGCTTCCCTTCGGCGCCTGGCGTGGTCATCCAGGGTGTACGCAGACCCAAGCGCCACGACACAGGCCCCTTCTGCACGCTCTAGAGCCAGCTGGGCACAACCTGCTTGGCCCGGCCACCGAGTGGAACCATGGCCTCCCCCGGGGCTTTCCCAGGCCTCCCCTGGGACTTGGGGCCCCAGCCTGGCCTTCTGACCCTCTGGGCACCCCGATGCACCCTTCTGGCTGGCCAACCCTTCTATGGGCTGTGGACAAGGCTGGCCCAGCCTGGATCCCCCATCTGCCCATCTCCCCGCTACACTGAGATGCTGTTGGTTTTCCCGAGCTCTGTGGTGTGCAGTTGTCTGTCCTTCACCCGGGGGCGGTCCTAGAGATATGGCTGCCGCTGGGTCATTTCCGGCTTTCCCTGTTGAGGGGTCTCCATTCAGCTGCCCCTGAAAGGTGCTCTCTTCTCTAGGGTGGCAGCCTGTGACTGACCCTGAGCTCTAGCCTGGAGCGAGATGGGAGGTGGGCTCTGTGGGACACCCCCACCCAGCCGTGTCACTCAGGGGCCTGGTCTAGCTGCTGTCCACCTGAGGGTCAGCTGCTTGCCGAGCCAGGGAACTGGGAAGGAGGCGTCAAATGCCCTGAGCCGCCACCTCCAGGTGGGGTCGGCCTGGCCAGACCTCAGGAAGGGCCCAGGGATCTGCTCACCAGGGCCCAGCCCCACTTCCCCTAGGCCTTGAGCTGAAGACCTGGCTGGGCTTAGTCACCTGTGCCCTGAACACTCTGGCCCAGGGCCCTGCAGACTCCACTCCCGGGGCCTTCACCTGCTGGGACCCTGCACTGCCCCTGCCTGCAACTTCGCCTGGCTGGGGCCTCCCTTGTCATCACTGGCCTGCCCTCCTACCCAGGGTCGGGCCCCAAGGCTGCCACCTTGCAGGAGCCTTACCTGCGGTGCCGTCACCCGCACCTCCCCAGGTCCTCCCCAGACCCAGGACCCAGACCAGGCCCAGAGCTCAACCCCTTCAAAAAGGCTCTGGGCAGCTGCTTCTGTGGCCTCAGCACCACCCCCTTTCTCAGAGAGGAATCCCAGGCTCAGGATTGTGTGTGTGCTGTGACCCTTGTCCTCCTCTGCCACCGAACCAGCTGGGGGTTGGATCAAGGCACTGGAACCCTCGCCCTAGGGCTGACCAACTTGGCCAGCGGCAAGAGAGCTGTGGTAGCCATGGCCTTGGGAGCTCGGCCCGGCTTGTGGGAACAGGAGCTCTGCTCACGGCTGCACCACCAGGCACCCCTGGTGAGACCCAAAGCTAGGAGTGGGAGCGGCAGGAAAGATGGAGCGATCTCCTCCAGCTGGGCTGAGGAGGGAGGGCTTCCTGGAGGAGGTGGTGGAGGAAGAAGCCTTCAAGGAAGAGCAAGAGTTTGCTGGGCAGCGGGAAAGAAATTTCTAGAGAAAATTTCAGCAGCGGAGACCGAAAAGAGAGAGGGTGTGTGTAGGGGGCTTGGCGCGGCACAGCCTGCGGGAGGGCGGCGGGCTGGAGAGGCGGGGAGGCCCGGGGAGCCCACCCGCCTGGGATAAGAAGGGACACTGTGGAACCTGGACTCTCCTTCACGGCTCCGCGGAGCTCGGTGGGCGCCACAGCCTCCCGGTGCCTGGGAGGGCGGCCGTCGCTCGCGCTCCCGCTGCGGGCCCGGTCTCCGCCAGGCCCCGGCCCCCTGAAGGCGCTCAGATCTCAGTTTTGGCGACAGCGCCGGGGTGGGCTTCGTGCCCGTTTCACGCGGAGGAACCCACGCTCAGGAGGGAGTCTGCGCCTGTGTCCGGCCCCTGCGGGGCAGAGGGGCGGGGAGCTCAACCCCCGGCAAAACGTCCCCGCTGCGCGTGGCTGCCGCGAGATCTGCAAGAGCGTTTTCCACGCTTATGTACACGAAATTCACTCGGCTGCGACGACGTCCGTTCCCGGAGCAGACGGACCCTGAGTCCGCCCCCCACGCCCTCACCCGCCCTCTTCTGCCAGAAAGCCCGGGCGCGGGCGGGACCGGGTGGGCGCATGCGCGCTGGGCTGGCTGGGCGGGGTCTCTCGCGCCGGGTGAGGGCGCTGCTCCCAGGAACCTGCGCGCGGCCCCGGCGGCGTTTCCCGGGGGCCGGTTGGCGGGCGGACCTGGGCGGTGCGGGGCGGAAGTGGGCGGCTGCGGGACGCGCGCGGAGTCGCGCGGCGGGCGGGACCTGGCCGAGCTGGAGGGCGCCGGGGAGCGGGGCTCGGGCGGTCCCCGAGGCCCGGCGGAGCGGGCTTCTGGGGTGTCTGCGGCGGCGCCGGGGGAACGGGCTGGGGATGGGGCGCCTAGCCGGGCGGTGGCCGGGGCCTCGGCCATGTTCGCGGGGCTGCAGGACCTGGGCGTGGCCAACGGCGAGGACCTGAAGGAGACCCTGACCAACTGCACGGAGCCGCTCAAGGCCATCGAGCAGTTCCAGGTGGGGCGGCCCCCGGGGCGGGGGGAGCCCAGTTGGAGGGCCGGGCCGCCTGCTCGGGAGTCGGGCCTGGCGGAGGCGCCGGAAGTTTTCCGGCTTTCTGCTGGTGGCTGAGTCCTGTTCTGGGGGTGGAGTCCGGAGCCAGCACCCCTTTGCTGGACGGCTGGGTGGCTTTCGGTGGCTGCGGTTACCGCCAGCACGGCTGGGAACACCTGGGTGCGTGCCTCCCTGTGCTCTCAGGACCTCGGGGTGCCCGGGCGCACTGGGCTGCGTTTGAGGTTTCTCTTGGCTTCCTCAGACAGAGAATGGTGTGCTGCTGCCATCTCTTCAGTCAGCCCTCCCCTTCTTGGACCTGCACGGGACGCCGCGGCTGGAGTTCCACCAGTCGGTATTCGATGAGCTGCGGGACAAGCTGCTGGAGCGAGTGTCAGCCATCGCTTCGGAGGGGAAGGCTGAGGAAAGGTGGGTCAGCGGGAGGGGTGGGCAGGTGAGATGTGCAGCCGGCCTCTCAGCCTTGGATCGACTCAGGGGCATTTATTGTCCTTTTGGCTCCACATCCTTGCTCCCAGAGGTGGCCTGGGCCTGTGTCTGAGTGACCCCTTGACCCATGTGTCCTGGGCGTGGAGGCTTGTCCTGGTAGCTGTTATCTGTGTAGGGACAGGCAGGTAGCTGCTGCGATTTGGCGCATCGCTGCACCATCAATCCTGTGAGTTGTTCCAGGTACAAGAAGCTGGAAGACCTTCTGGAGAAGAGCTTTTCTCTGGTGAAGATGCCGTCCCTGCAGCCCGTGGTGATGTGCGTCATGAAGCACCTGCCCAAGGTAGGGCCCTAACCCTAACCCTGATGGCGTGGACCGTCCGCCCACTCTCATGCCCTTGGTTAGTGGAAGTTCCGGTGGCCGCCTAGCTCCGGGAGCTTCCTGTGCTGCCTGCCCAAGTGCTGTCCATGGTGAGCTCTGTGCTGACTTCTCCCACATGAGCCGCGTGGAGACCGAACCTTAGCACTGGAGTTAGGGTGTGGGGCCCCTCCTGGGAAAGAGCTGTTGGTATTTAGCATGTCTGTCTGACATGCTGGGGCCGGGGAACCAGTCATAGGTGCCCTGTGGGGTGGAGCTTAGCTCGAGGTGGTCTCTGCGGGGCTGAGGCCTCTTGGCTTGTCTTGAAGGAGACCCAGGGACACAGGTGCCACTCACAGGCAGCCTGTGGTGTCATGTAGGTTCCGGAGAAAAAACTGAAGCTGGTTATGGCTGACAAGGAGCTGTATCGAGCCTGCGCCGTGGAGGTGAAGCGGCAGATCTGGCAAGACAACCAGGCCCTCTTCGGGGACGAGGTTTCCCCACTCCTGAAGCAGTACATCCTGGAGAAGGAGAGCGCTCTCTTCAGTACAGAGCTCTCTGTCCTGCACAACTTTTTCAGTCCTTCCCCCAAGACCAGGCGCCAGGGCGAGGTGAGGGGACAGGCCGTGTGCGGGGTGGGGCACCTCTTGGGGATGCCACGGCTAGCGCCTTCAGCTGCCTGGGGATCAGCACTCTGCTGCCCTGTGAATGATCGGGTGGTTCTGCTTCTTGGCTGGGTGGTGGGGGAGGGCTGGCTTGTACACATGCTGGAAAGAAAGTTGGTTGTTTTTCTGTTTGCATTTTACTTTTCGTTAAAGTGATATATGGACAACATTTAAAATCTGCGGAAAGCCCGCTCATGTGAAGTTAATCCCCCCTCCCCTACTTTTTTTCTTTTTCTTTGAGACGGAGTCTCGCTCTGTTGCCCAGGCTGGAGTGCAGTGGTGTGATCTCGGCTCACTGCAAGCTCCCGGGTTCACTCCATTCTCCTGCCTCAGTCTCCCGAGTAGCTGGGACTACAGGCGCCCGCCACCATGCCTGGCTAATTTTTTTTCTTTTTCTTTTTTTTTTTTTTTGAGACGGAGTTTCGCTATTGTTGCCCAGGCTGGAGTGCAATGGCGTGATCTCGGCTCACTGCGACCTCCGCCTCCCAGGTTCAAGCAATTCTCCTGCCTCAGCCTCCCGAGTAGCTGGGATTACAGGCATGCATCACCACGCCCGGCTAATTTTGTATTTTTAGTAGAGATGGGATTTCTCCATGTTGGTCAGGCTGGTCTTGAACTCCTGACCTCAGGTGATCCGCCCCCCTCGGCCTCCCAAAGTGCTGGGATTACAGGGGTGAGCCACCGTGCCTGGCTTTTTTTCTTTTTTTTTCTTTTTTAAGAGACAGGGTCTCACTCTGTTGCACAGGCTGGAGTGCAGTGGCGTGATCACGACTCGCTGCAGCTTTGACTTCCTGAGCTAAAGTGATCTTCCTGAGTAGCTGGGACCACAGGCACGTGCCACCACACTGGGGCTACTTAAAAATATATATATATTTTTGTAGAGGTGGGGTCTGGCTATGTTGCTCAGGCTGGTCTTGAACTCCTGGGCTGAAGCGATCCTCCCACATCAGCCTTCTAAAGTGCTGGGATTACAGACATGAGGCACCATGCCTAGCCGAGATTTGTTGGGGTTTTTTTTTTTTTTTTTTTTTTTGAGACAGGGTCTCACTCTGTCACCCAGGTTGGAGTACAGTGGTGTGATCGTGGCTCACTGCAGCCTCGACCTCCTGGACTCAAGCAATCCTCCTACCTCAGTCTCCTAAGCAGCTGGGACCACCGGTGTGTGACACCATGCCTGGCTAATTTGTATACTTTTTGCAGAGTTGGTGTTTCGCTGTGTTGCCCAGGCTGGTCTCGAACTCCTGGGCTCAAGTAATCTGTCTGCACACCTCAGCCTCCTGAAGTGCTGGGATTATAGGTGTGAGCGACCACAACTGGTTGTGAGATTTTTTAATTAGCCAATTTTTTTTTTTTTTTTTGAGACAGAGTCTTGCTCTGTCACCCAGACTGGAGTGCAGGGCCTCAATCTCGGCTCACTGTAACCTCTGCCTCCTGAGTTCAAGCAATTCTCCTGCCTCGGCCTCTCGAGTAGCTGAGACTACAGGCGCGCCCCACCATGCCTGGCTAATTTTTTTATTTTTTTGTTTAGTACAGACAGGGTTTCACCATGTTGACCAGGCTGGTCTTGAACTCCTGACCTCAGGTAATCCGCCCACCTTGGCCTCCCAAAGTGCTGGGATTACAAGTGTGAGCCACTGCGCCCGGCCCTAACCAACTTTAAACTAGCACTGTTCAGTGGAAAAAGCGAACTATAAGTTAAGATTTTTCAGCATCCACATTAAGAAAAAAAAATGAGATCAACTTCATTAATGTTTTCTTTGGTCCAGTATATCCAAAATATTATCTTTCAGCATGTAATTCATGTGAAAGATTGGGCTGGGTACGGTGGCTCACGCCTGTACTCCTAGTACTTTGGGAGGCGGAGGTGGGAGGATCGCTTGAGCTTAGTAGTTAAAGACCAAAGGGAGACCTTGTCTCTACAAGAAAAAAAAATTAAGCTAAGCATGGTGGTGCGTACCTGTTGTCTCAACTACTCAGGAGGCTGAAGCAGGAGGATTGCTTAGGCCTCGGATATTGAGGCTGCAGTGAGGTATGATTGAGCCACTGCACTCCAACCTGGGCGACAGAGTGAGAGATCCTGTCTCAAAAGGAAAAAAAAAATATTGAGCTATAATGCTTTTTGCGGGAGGATCACTAAGATTTGAAACCTGGTGAGTCTTTCATGCTTAGAGCCCATCTGAACTACTGCACTTCAAACGCTGAGCAGTTAGTGTGGCTCTGGGTTCCCTTCGGGCCGTGGTTCCTGACCATGTGCGTGGGCAGCAGCAGGCTTGTTGGGGGTGGCAGTGCCACCTCTGTCCTCCCTTCCCTGTTTGTTTATTCCCAGTTAGGTCCTCCATGGGCCTTTTTCTTGTTCCATTGCTGTCAGACAGAGCCCTTGGACCCCTCTGCTAACTGTGGGGTGCCCTGCATTTCCCAGGCCTTTCTCCTATCGCCTGTCTCTTCTGGTGACTTGGTGCTGCCTATACTGATTTCTGTCTGTAAGGGAAATCAGTCGGCTTGGTCGGCTTAGTCCTAGGTTGATTCTCTTTTATTTTTATTTTATTTTATTTTATATATTTTTATCTTGTTTTATTTTACTACTTTTTAAAATTTATTTTTTATTTTTTTATTATTTATTTATTTATTTTTTTGGAGACAGAGTCTTGCTCTGTCACCCAGGCTGGAGTGCAGTGGCACGATCTTGGCTCACTGCAAGCTCCGCCTCCCGGGTTCACTCCATTCTCCTGCCTCAGCCTCCCAAGTAGCTGGGACTACAGGCGCCTGCCACCATGCCCGGCTAATTTTTTGTATTTTTTTTTTTAGTAGAGACGGGGTTTCACAGTGTTAGCCAGGATGGTCTCAATCTCCTGACCTTGTGATCCACCTGCCTCAGCCTCCCAAAGTGTTGGGATTATGGGCGTGAGCCACCGTGCCTGGCCTATTTTTATTTTTATTTATTTTATTTTATTTTATTTTTGAGACAGAATCTTGCTCTGTTGCCCAGGCTGGAGTGCAGTGGTGCAATCTCGGCTCACTGCAAGCTCCGCCTCCCGGGTTCACTCCGTTCTCCTGCCTCAGCCTCCCGAGTGGCTGGGACTACAGGCGCCCACCACCACGCCCAGCTATGTTTTTTGTATTTTTAGTAGAGATGGGGTTTCACCATGTTAGCCAGGATGGTCTCGATCTCCTGACCTCATGATCCACCCGCCTCGGCCTCCCAAAGTGCTGGGATTACGGGCGTGAGCCACTGAGACCGGCTATTTTATTTTATTATTTTTTTTAATTTTTAAAATTTATTTTTTAAAATTTTTTTTATTTATTTTATTTTAATTTTATATTTTGTTTTATTTTATTTTAGTTTGTTTTATTTTTTTTTTTTTGAGACGTAGTGTCCTTCTGTTGCCCAGGCTGGAGTGCAGTGGTGTGATCTCAGCTCACTGCAACCTCAGTCTCCCAGGTTCAAGTGATTCTCCTGCCTCAACCTCCCGAGTAGCTGGGATTACAGGCACCCACCACCACGCCCGACTAATTTTTGTATTTTTAGTAGAGATGGGGTTTCACCATGTTGGCCAGGCTGTTCTCGAACTCCTGGCCTCAGGTAGTCCACCCACCTTGGGCTCCCAATTTGCTGCAATTACAGGTGTGAGCCACCGTGCCCAGCCCGATTCTCTTTTAAAAAGCTAAATTAGGCCGGGTGCGGTGGCTCACGCCTGTAATCCCAGCACTTTGGGAGGCAGAGGTGGGTGGATCACGAGGTCAGGAGTTCGAGACCAGCCTGACCAACATGGTAAAAACCCATCTCTACTAAAAATACAAAAATTAACCAGACCTGGTGGTGTGCGCCTGTAGTCCCAGCTACTCAGGAGGCTGAGGCAGGAGAATCACTTGAACCCGGGAGGTGGAGGTTGCAGTTAGCCAAGATTGCGCCACTGTACTAGGCGACAGAGTGAGACTCAGTCGCAAAAAAAAAAGCTGGGCGCAGTGACTCACGCCTGTAATCCCAGCACTTTGGGAGGCCGAGGCGGGTGGATCATGAGGTCAGGAGATCGAGACCATCCTGGCTAACATGGTGAAACCGCATCTACTAAAAATACAAAAAATTAGCTGGGCGTGGTGGTGGGTGCCTGTAGTCCCAGCTGCTCGGGAGGCCGAGGCAGGAGAATGGTGTGAACCTGGGAGGTGGAGCTTGCAGTGAGCTGAGATCACGCCACTGCACTCCAGCCTGGGTAACAGAGCACGACTCGGTTTCAAAAAAAAAAAAAAAAAGTAAAAAAAAAAAAAAACTGGGTCAGGTGTGTGGCTCATGCCTGCAATCCTAGCACTTTGGGAGGCCGAGGTGGGTGGATCACCTGAGCTCAGAAGTTCAAGACCAGCCCGGGCAACATGGTGAAACCCCGTCTCTACTACAATACAAAAAATTAGCCAGTCATGGCAGCCGGCGCCTGTAATCCCAACTACTTGGGAAGCTGAGACAGGAGAATAGCTTGAATCCGGGAGGTGGAGGTTGCAGTGAACCAAGATCTTGCCATTGCACTCCAGCCTGGGTGACAGCGCAAGACTCCGTCTCAAAAAAAAAAAAAAAAAAAATTGATTGGGTGTAGGGACCAGCCCCACAGGGTTGATGGGTTTTTCTCCCCGTGTGCGGAGATGAGAGATTGTAGAAGTAAAGACACAAGGCAAAGAAATGAAAAGACAGCTGGGCCCGGGGGACCATTACCACCAAGACGCGGAGACTGGTAGTGGCCCCGAATGTCAGGCTGCGCTGATATTTATTGGATACAAGACAAAGAGGCAGGGTAAAGAGTGTGAGCCATCTCCAATGATAGGTAAGGTCACGTGGTTCACGTGTCCGCTTGACAGGGGGCCCTTCCCTGCCTGGCAGCCTAGGCAGAGAGAGAGAGAGAGGAGAGAGAGAAACAGCTTACGCCGTTATTTCTGCGTATCAGAGACTTTTAGTACTTTCACTAATTGACTACTGCTATCTAGAAGGCAGAGCCAGGTGTACAGGATGGAACATGAAGGCGGACAAGGAGCGTGACCACTGAAGCACAGCATCACAGGGAGACGGTTAGGCCTCTGGATAACTGCGGGCAGGTCTGACTGATGTCAGGCCCTCCACAAGAGGTGGAGGAGCAGAGTTTTCTCTAAACTCCCCCGGGGAAAGGGAGACTCCCTTTCCCTGTCTGCTAAGTAGCGGGTGTTGTTCCTTCACATTTTTCGCTACCGCTAGACCCTGGTCCGCCTGGCAACGGGCGTCTTCCCAGATGCTGGCGTCACCGCTAGACCAAGGAGCCCTCTGGTGGCCCTGTCCAGGCATAACAGAAGGCTCGCACTCTTGTCTTCTGGTCACACCTCACTATGTCCCCTCAGCTCCTATCTCTGTATGGCCTGGTTTTTCCTAGATTATGATTGTAGAGCGAGGATTGTTATAATATTGGAATAAAGAGTAATTGCTACAAGCTAATGACTAATATTCAAATATAATCATATCTATGATCTATATCTAATATAACTATTCTTGCATATTTTGTTATACTGGAACAGCTCGTGCCCTTGGTCTCTTGCCTTGGCACCTGGGTGGCTTGCTGCCCACAGTTGGGTGTCGTGGCATGCAATTGTAGTCCCAGCTACTTGGGAGGCTGAGGCAGGAGGATCACTTGAGCCAGGAGGTCAAGGCTGCAGTGAGCCACAGTTGCAGCAGTGCACTCGAGCCTGGGCAACAGAGCAAGGCCTTGTCTCAAAAAAAGTAATAAAAAAAATAAAAATAACAGAACCTGCTACCATCAGACTGGGGGCCAATATTTAATGAGAGGAGGGAATGTTTTCTGCCAAAAAGTAGGAAGGACAGATGTCCAGAGAGAGGGCCGCGCTGTCGCCGGGCGTGACGTCCCTGTGTCTGGCGGAGCCCAGGACGGTCTGGGGGCCTGACAGTGCCTCTTGCTGCAGGTGGTGCAGCGGCTGACGCGGATGGTGGGGAAGAACGTGAAGCTGTACGACATGGTGCTGCAGTTTCTGCGCACGCTCTTCCTGCGCACGCGGAATGTGCACTACTGCACGCTGCGGGCTGAGCTGCTCATGTCCCTGCACGACCTGGACGTGGGTGAAATCTGCACCGTGGACCCGTGCCACAAGGTAGCACTGCCCTCCCTCCTTCCCCCCTACCCTCCTGAAGGTAGTGCTGCCCTCCCTCCCTCCTTCCCTCCCACTCCCCGGCCCTCCCTCCTTCCCCCACTGCCCTCCTGAAGGTAGCGCTGCCCTCCCTCCCTCCCTCCTTCTCCCTTCTCCCCCGCTCCCCGGCCCTCCCTCCTCCCCCTCCGCCCTCCTGAAGGTAGCGCTGCCCTCCCTCCCTCCTTCCCCCCAACTCCCCGGCCCTCTCTCCTTCCCCCTCTGCCCCTCCTGAAGGTAGCATTGCCCTCCCTCCTTCCCCCTGGCCCTCCTGGCTCCTCTCCTCTCCGTGGGTTTGGCTTGGCCCGGGACCACCTGGGCGCCCTTCTCTCCCATGCCTGTTTCCTGGGCTCTGGTCTTTCTGTCCTGTGTGCTGGCCCTTTGGCTTCTCTCCAGACCCTGATGGGGGAAGGAGGCTAGTCCCCTGCATCTGAGCCAGAGACCTGGCCGTTCCCGGGGACTCCCTTGCCCCGTCCAGCCCTTTCTGTGTTCCCGAGGGCTGTATGACCTACGGGCTGGACCTTGACCATTGCCCCAGCTTCCTCCCATCTTTCCACCTGGCCTGTGGCCCTCCCCTTCCCCAGAACCCTGGGTGCTGCTTGTTGGCCAGGTACCAAGTGCTCTAGGAACGGGGTTTCCCTTCATACGGACCCTCCAGCCCTGAGACCATCTTTCCGGGACTTGGGAGTCACCCTCCGAGGCTTCCATTGCTTGGAGTGCTGCAGTGGCCACCCCCACACTCAGGGTGCCATGAAGGAGTCCGTTTTTAGAAAGAAACATCATCACTTTCTCCACCACTGTCCTGACCCTGCTGCTTTGGCCGGGAGGTGTGGGGAACACTGCACCGTCAGGATGACTGGTGCCTGCTGCCGCCCCCCGCAGCAGCTATGATTGAACAAGAGGCCAGGGCCTGGAGCTGTGTTTGGGGCCTGGGTCTCTGGTCATCCTGGGAGGTTTGGGCTGGTCCCGACCGTGCTTCCTCCTTGCAGTTCACCTGGTGCCTGGACGCCTGCATCCGAGAGCGGTTCGTGGACAGCAAGAGGGCGCGGGAGCTGCAGGGGTTTCTCGATGGCGTCAAGAAGGGCCAGGAGCAGGTGCTGGGGTGAGGGTCGGCTCCACGAGGCCTCTGCCCCTCAGGGCCCTGCGTGCATCCGGTCTGCGCTTGCTGTGTTTTGCCGTGGGTAGCAGGCGTTTATTCCCGGATATTGCTTTTTCTTTTGTTTTTTTCGAGACAGAGTCTCGTTCTGTAGCCCAGGATGGAGTGCAGTGGTGCAATCTCTGCTCACTGCAACCTCCGCCTCCTAGGCTTAAGCCATTCTCCTGCCTCAGCCTCCCAAGTAGCTGGGATTACAGGCACGCGCCACTGCGCTCAGGTAATTTTTGTATTTTTTAGTAGAGACAGGGTTTCACCATGTTGGCCAGGCTTGTCTTGAACTCCTGACCTCAGGTGATCCACCCGCCTCAGCCTTCCAAAGTGCTGGGATTACAGGCATGCGCCACCGTGCCTGGCCTCCTGGATGTTTCAATAGAGCTATGCCGGGCACTGCTGGCCCACAGCTTAGGGACATGGTTGTCGGGATGTGTGTGGGTAGCAAAGTCTCCCTCCTCAACTCTGCATTCTGGAGCCAGGCCCAGGGGCTGGGGTCTGGTGTCTGCAGTGGCGTGGGGTCAGCCTCTGAGCTGAGGGGCATCCATTGGCATTTGCTTTCCAGCATCCTCTGGCTGGTGTATAGACACAGTGCTGCCTGGCCCTGCCTTTGCCACTTTTTTTCTTCCTTTTTTTTTTTTTTTTTTTTTTTCTGAGACAGGGTCTCTGTCACCCAGGCTTTAGTGCAGTGGTACAGTCTCCCTCAACCTCCTGGGCATTGATCCTGCTGTCTCCGCCTCCCAAAGTGCTGGGATTACAGGCACACACCAGTGCGCCTGGCCGATTTTTGTTATCTTTAGTAGAGATGGGATTTCACCACCTCGCCCGGGCTAGTCTCAAACAAACAATCCACCGGCCTCAGCATCCCAAAGTGCTGGGATGACAGGCGTGAGCCACCACACCCAGCCTTTTTTTTGTTTGTTTTTTTAACTTTTTAATTTGAAAAATCTTTGAATAGGTTAAGGACAAATTGCAAACCTTAAGCTTTTTTTTTTTTTTTTTTTGAGACAGAGTCTCGCTCTCTTGCCCAGGCTGGAGTGCAGTGACGCGATCCTGGCTCACTGCAAGCTCTGCCTCCCGGGTTCAAGTGATTCTCCTGCCTCAGCCTCCCGAGTAGCTGGGACCACAGGCGACCACCACCACGCCCGGCTAATTTTTTGTATTTTTGGTAGAGACAGGGTTTCACTTTGTTAGCCAGGCTGGTCTCAGTCTCCTGACCTGGTGATCCATCCGCCTCGGCCTGCCAAAGTGCTGGGATGACAGGCTGAGCCGCCGCGCCCGGCCTGCCAAAGTGCTGGGATGACAGGCTGAGCCGCCGCGCTCGGCCATCCTTAAGCTTTTTGTAAGAAACCCAGCATGTGATGGGCACCCGCTGCCAGTCCTGAATTCAGCCTAGGCCACCCCTCCTGAGGACTGTGCCGCTGAAGGGAGGGGCAACAGGCGTCGCATTAATGCCAGGGCGGCCTCCTTCCAGGGACCTGTCCATGATCCTGTGTGACCCCTTCGCCATCAACACGCTGGCACTGAGCACAGTCAGGCACCTGCAGGAGCTGGTCGGCCAGGAGACACTGCCCAGGGTGAGTGTGGGCTTGGCCAGCAGCTGTCGGGGCCATGCGGCCACTCCGCTGGCTGCTCTGGGTGGTCAGGGTGTGGACAGCAGCGGCCAGGTGGAGGCAGCTGTTGGGGCCCTGTGGCCGCCCTGCTGGCTGCTCTGGTGGTCGGGGATGTGGACTGCAGTGGCCCAGGTAGAGGCGTGTGCTTCCCCGCTGTGAGACTGCGTTTCACCCCGTGTGTGGGGCTGGTGATCGCAGTCGTGTGGTCCTGGCCATGGGCACCAGAGATCCTGCTGAGTAACGAGTAGGGTCAGAGGAGCTCCATGGCCAGGACACAGCTGCCTGGGAGAGGCGCTGAGCCCGTCCTCCCTACAGGACAGCCCCGACCTCCTGCTGCTGCTCCGGCTGCTGGCGCTGGGCCAGGGAGCCTGGGACATGATCGACAGCCAGGTCTTCAAGGAGCCCAAGATGGTAACGAGCCTCCTGTGGGGGCTGCCAGTTTCCTACGAGGGGTTGTGGGCTGGAAGTGGGGTGGAGGGGGAGGCGCTAGCAAGGTGATTGTGGAGGCCCCTTTGGTCCCAAAGCTTCCTTCCTGGAGCTGCCCACCTTCCTTTTGGGAAAATGCCCACCAGGGAGGTTCTGGGGTGTCTCCGTGGACCCTGGCTGGTTCTGGGGTATCTCCATGGCCCGTGGCTGGTTCTGGGGTGTCTCCGTGGACCGTGGCTTGTTCTGGGGGTGTCTCCATGGACCATGGCTGGCCACAGGTGGTGACTACTCCATGTGGGTCCAGACCTAGAAGGGGGTTTGAGGAGATGGCCTGGGTGGGGGACTCGGGAGGTGGGAAGAGGGACCTGGGGACCTGGAGAGGAGGGAGGGTCGGTGAGGTATCTGGGGGAGTGGGAGGGCCAGGGGCAGGGTGTGTGTCACGTCAGGGTGGGGTGGGGCAGGGCCCGGGCCCGCGCCCGCTCATGGCCTCCCCTCCTCGTAGGAGGTAGAGCTCATCACCAGGTTCCTCCCGATGCTCATGTCCTTCCTGGTGGATGACTACACTTTCAATGTGGATCAGAAACTTCCGGCTGAGGAGAAAGCCCCAGTCTCATATCCAAACACACTTCCCGAAAGCTTCACTAAGTACGGGCTGTAGGGCCATGGTGCAGGGGTGGCCGTGGCGCAGGGATGGCACTGTTGCCCAGGGGGCTGCCTCAGGGCTGGGCAGGGGTCGGTGTGGGGCTGAGGTGGGGCTGAGGTGGGGCTGAGGTGGGGCTGATGGCGCCCCGGGCGCAGGTTTCTGCAGGAGCAGCGCATGGCCTGCGAGGTGGGGCTGTACTACGTCCTGCACATCACCAAGCAGAGGAACAAGAACGCGCTCCTCCGCCTGCTGCCCGGGCTGGGTAAGTCCTGACGGGCGGTGCCTGGCTGTGTCTTCCCTGCGGCAGCTGCCGTATGCAGTCCTGCCCAGGGTGCGGGCCCCAGGGCCCCCAGGAGCTGCCTTGTCTCCCCAGCCCACCTCCAACTTTGCTAGCTTTGTTTTCACCTTTTTTTTTTTTTTTTTTTTGAGATGGAGTCTTGCTCTGTCGCCCAGGCTGGAGTGCAGTGGTGCAACCTCAGCTCACTGCAGCCTCTGCCTCCTAGGTTCAAGTGATTTCTCGTGCCTCACCCTCCTGAGTAGCTGGGATTACAGGCGCGTGCCACCGTGCCAGGCTAATTTTTGTATTTTTAGTAGAGACGGGGTTTCTCCATGTTGGTTGGGCTGGTCTCGAACTCCTGACTTCATGATCCGCCCGCCTCGGCCTCCCAAAGTGTTGGGATGACAGGTGTGAGCCACCACTCCCAGCCTCGTTTTCACTTTTACTTTTGTTTGTAGTTTATTTTACTAGGAAAGGGAGAGGGAGTTCAACTTTGTGCTTTCCCACAAAAAGGTGATGTAAGAGCTGTCTTTATTTCATCCTAACTGGCGAGGGGCTTGGGACCCCTCAGGTGCTCAGAGAATGGAGCAAAGGGGAGGGAGAGAGATCCCCTGCCCCAGTGCCCCACCCCAGGTGGTGACAGGCCCACTTCCTCCTGGGGGCCTTGACGGGGGAGGGGTTGTTGCAAGCCAGGAAGAAGAGGAAGGGTCCAAATGGGCACCTTCAAGAGTAGAGCTGCAGGTCCCCTGGGAGATGGGGCCTCTTTAGCCTGCTGTGGGTCCCATGGGAGATGGGGCCTCTTTAGCCTTGCGGTACCCACTGTGACACAGACCCTGGGCTCTTCCTTGCTGACTCAGGCCTTGTCTGGGGTTTGCTGTCTTAGTCCACGTTATGCTGCTCTAACAGAGACTTGAGACTGAGTAGTGTAGAAAGGGCAGGGACGGCCGGGCACGGTGGCTCAGGCCTGTAATCCCAGTGCTTTGGGAGGCTGAGGCGGGCGGATCACGAGGTCAGGAGTTCGAGACCAGTCTGGCCAACATGGTGAAACCCTGTCTCTACTAAAAAAATACAAAAATTGGTTGGGCATGGTGGTGGGTGCCTGTAATCTCAGCTACTTGGGAGGCTGAAGCAGGAGAATCCCTTGAACCTGGGAGGTGGAGGTTGCAGTGAGTGGAGATTGCACTATTGCACTCCAGCCCAGGCGACAGAGCGAGACTCCGTCTCAAAAAAACAAAGAGCAGGGACTTCTCCCAGTTCTGCGGGCTGGGATGGGAAGTCCGAGGTCAAGGGGCCTGCATCTGGCTGGGGCTTTTTGCTGTGTCATCCCATGGTGGAAGGCAGAGGGCAAGAGAGCACGGGCAGGGGAGACAGACAGACACAGACAGAGATGAGAGACAGAGACACACAGACCAAGATGAGAGACAAAGATGAGAGACACAGAGACAGAGATGAGACACAGAGAGATGAGAGACAGGTAAGAGAGACAGAGACAGGAGAGACATGGAGACAGACAGATGAGAGACACAGGACAGAGACAGATGAGAGACAGAGCTAGAGATGAGACACAGACAGACGGAGACAGAGAAGGGGCCACACTTACCCTTTTATCAGGAGCCACTCCTGTGCTAACAGCGAGAACGCTTTGGTGAGGACGGAGCCCTCACGACCTCAGCAGTGTTGCGTTGGGGATCAGGTTTCCGATGGTGAACTTGGGGACACGTCCACACCACAGCACGTGCCTATTGTGTTTCTCGGTGGCTGGTGTGTTTGAGGATGGCGCGTGCATGCGTTTTCCAGCTTTCTTTGTGGAGGAAGTTACCTGTGGGTATTAACCTGTCCCCAGCCATCCTCTCACTGAGCTTGGGTTGCCTGGGCCTGGGTTTCCTGTTGTTGCTGGAACGAATGACCACAGACAG
This sequence comes from Homo sapiens, assembly GCF_000001405.40. Lineage (NCBI taxonomy): Eukaryota > Metazoa > Chordata > Mammalia > Primates > Hominidae > Homo > Homo sapiens. The sequence goes on from NC_000009.12 coordinate 137,269,278, forward strand.
TGGCATTAGACAGCGCAGGCAGACATGACCTCCTGGGCTTCTGCGGGTGCCAACACTGCCGCTCCTTCTGGAGGCTCAGGGAGGCTCTTGAGGGCATTGGGACATCGTGCTGCCGGCCGCCGGGCAGAGCCGGTTTGTTTATTTTTTGAGACTTCCGGGAACATAGTTATAAATAACTTTAATTTGCCTTGGCCTGCCCACTGCAGTACAGTCACGTGTCACATAACATTCTGTCTACCGTGGACCACATATACGACCACGCGGTCACATAAGCTGACAATACTGTATTTTTACTCCACTTTCTCTATTTAGATACACAGTTGCCATTGTGTCCCAGCAGCCTTCAGTACTCAGTACAGCCATGTGCTGTGCAGGTGTCTAGCTCAGGGGCATGAGGCCATGGCCCAGCCCAGTGTGCAGTGGGTGGCACCTTCTGGATTTGTGTCAGTCACTGTGGAGTTCGCACAATGACAGACTCACCTGGGAGGCCTTCCGTGCGCTTCTGTTTCTTTCTCTCATTTGATTGTGGCTAGAAACAGGCTGGGAACCAGGAGTGCAGCTTCTCGGAGTACGTGGCTGCCCCACGGGGTGGGATGTGCATTTTCAGTCACATTTGGGGAGAGCACGCGTGTTCTTAAGTTTTTAGCGGGTTCTAGTAAGAATGGATGTTGATTTTTAGAATTCTCTCCTGTTTATTTTTTAACATTTTGTGGTGGGAATTTGTGAAAGAATACGAAGTCAAGAGCATGGTACGGTGAGGACCCAGCACCATCTCCAACCTCCCCGGGGTCCACGTGGGGTCTGCGTGTGGCCGCCTGTCCCTCAGCACGATGTCTGGGTGTAAATCTGAGACATCACAGCATGCAGGCTGCAGACGTAGGCATCTCTACAAAAGAAGGATGCGTTTACAGGAGAATCGCTTGAACCTGGGAGGCAGAGGTTGCAGTGAATCGAGATCACGGCACTGCCCTCCAGCCTGGGCGACAAAGCCAGACTCCGTCTCAAAAAAAAAAAAAAAAAAAAGGGCGGGGAGCCGGGCTTGGTGGCTCATGCCTGTAATCCTAGCACTTTGGGAGGCCAAGGCGGGTGGATCACCTGAGGTCAGGAGTTCCAGACCAGCCTGGCCAACATGGTGGAATCCCATCTCTATTAAAAATACAGAAATTAGCCGCGTGTGTGACGCATGCCTGTAGTCCCAGCTACTCGGGAGGGTGAGGCAGGAGAATCGCTTGAACCCAGGAGGCAGAGGTTGCAGTGAGCCGAGATTGCACCACTGCACTCCAGCCTGGGTGACAGAGCGAGACTCCGTCTCAAAAAAAACAAATAAAAAATAAGACTGTCTTTAAATGCCTTTAAAAAACTGGCCAGGCATGGTGGCTCACCTTGTAATCCCAGCGCTTTGGGAGGCCGAGGCGGGCGGATCACCTGAGGTCAGGAGTTCCAGACCAGCCTGGCCAATGTGGCGAAACCCCATCTCTACTAAAAATAGAAAAATTAGCCCGGCGCGGTGGCGCACGCGTGTAATCCCAGCTGAGGGAGGCTGAGGCAGAAGGATCGCTTGAACCCGGGAGGTGGAGGTTGCAGTGAGCTGAGATTGCACCGCTGCACTCCAGCCTGGCTAACAGAGTGAGACTCTTCTCAAAAAAAATAAAAACCAGTGACCACGGACCACGGGCCACTGTCACATCTGAGCCAGGTTCACTGCCGCTCCTCTGCCGACTGACTGCCTGACAGTGGCTGCGCTTCTCCAGGTGTCTCCTGCCTGCTGTGTGGACGGTCCCGTCAGGGTTGGGATGCGCCTGCTGTCCCCTCTCCTGTCTCGCAGTCTTGGGTTCCCCGGAGTTGCAGGAATCAGGGCATTTGCCCAGTGGGGCCTTGCTGCTGGATCCCCTGGTCGGGACTGTGTGCCTGCCACGTGTCCCGTGGCCACCTGGCCATGTGGCCGGCCAAGGCCCTGTGAGATGTGGCAGGCAGGCACCTCGGGGGCCTGGGTCTCCTGGAAATGTTTCTGTCACTCTGGGCGCAGGTGGCGCCAGCTGGGTTGTCCTCATAAAGGCCCCATCCGGGATACTAGGAAGGCCATCCTCAACCTGTCCGCACACGTCACCTCCATGTGGCCTGGCCACAGCTCCTTCAGGCATCAGTCTGCAGGCGGCCGCCCTCCCTCCCTGCAGGGGCCCCGTTTGGGGCGTTGTGCTGGCTCTTGGCAAATGTCTGCCAACACCGTGGCTTCTGTGCTGTGGTCGCACGTGAGGCGTCTGTGGGCACGAATGCTGTCTTTGTTGTGTTTTGGTGTCTGGCTTCAGAAAAGAATGTGGAAGAGTTTCGTTCTCTTTCCTGTGGTTCAGTGTAGCTGGCAGTCAGGGAGAACTCTCTGCAGCTGGCGCCGGCCCTGTATTTGTTAGGCTTGTTTCTCCTGGGCTCGGCTGCTGGGCAAGGCCTTTTGGGACTGGAGGAGCACCTCGTTTTTCTGTCTCCTTCTTCCTCCACCCTCCTCCTGTCCCCGGGCTGTCTCCCCCTCCCTCCACCCTCCTCCTGTCCCTGGGCTGTCTCCCCCTCCCTCCACCCTCCTGTCCCTGGGCTGCAGCTCTGCTTCCCTGCCACAGGTCCCACCCCCTGCCTGCCTCTGTCCACTTCCCACCCCCCTCTTCACCTGCTGAGACCCTGTGCTTCTCATCTCAGAACAACTGAGAACTCTCATGTGAGCACCCCCAGAAGTAGGTTCTGAGGTCTTTGAGGACAAGGGTGCCCTCTGGGGTGGGCAGGGTGAGTGGCACTGGGCTGATGCCTGCTGTGTCTGCAGTGGAGACCTTTGGCGACTTGGCCTTTGGCGACATCTTCCTCCACCTGCTCACGGGCAACCTTGCGCTGCTGGCCGACGAATTTGCCCTTGAGGACTTCTGCAGCAGCCTCTTCGATGGCTTCTTCCTCACCGCCTCTCCAAGGTAGGCCTGCTGGGTACCATCCGGCCCGCTCTGTCCTCTCAGCTCTTGTCCGTAGCAGCCTGAGAGGTGGCTGCTGTCCCCAGCCTGGGGCGGAGGGTCCGCAGGTGGGTCTGTTGGGCACCAGGGCTCGCATGTGGCCCTGCAGGGTGCCTGGGCACAGCTGGGGAGGGTCCCAAAGGCTGGCCATGTCCTGTCTCCAGGGGCCTTGGCCACCTGCATCTGGGCTGGGCCTGGGCAGACAGCAGGGCCTGCCTCCTGCCCCAGCCCTGCACGGCCTTTTCCAGGAAGGAGAACGTGCACCGGCACGCGCTGCGGCTCCTCATTCACCTGCACCCCAGGGTGGCCCCGTCTAAGCTGGAGGCGTTGCAGAAGGCCCTGGAGCCTACAGGCCAGGTGGGTGCCCGGGGGGGCTGCATCTGAAGGCACCTGGTCCCTACCAGCCCGTGTGTGCTTGCCAAGCTGCCCTTGTGGTGCTTGTGTGTGGTCGGTGGGCACCCACCCCTGTGCCCCCTGGGCCTGCCCATGCGCCTCGCCTGCCCCATGGTGTGGTTCCCCGCAGAGCGGAGAGGCAGTGAAGGAGCTTTACTCCCAGCTCGGCGAGAAGCTGGAACAGCTGGATCACCGGAAGCCCAGCCCGGCACAGGCTGCGGAGACGCCGGCCCTGGAGCTGCCCCTCCCCAGCGTGCCCGCCCCTGCCCCGCTCTGAGGGCCCTCCAGACCTGCTCGGGTGCTGGGGCCATGCCGAGTCGCGGCCCTGCTCAGCCGGAAGAGGCTCCCGGACCTGGATGTACAGGGCAGTCTCTCTTCCCGGGGCTATGGCTGGGCCTGTCCTGCCGTCATGGCCCCCTGCTTCCTGCTCCTTGGAGCTGGCTCCCGGACCTTGCCCACCATCCATGCAGTGGCTCCCAGGGCAGAGCCTCTCCTTGTACTTTGGCAGCCATAGAAAGCGTGCTCATTTTCTGTTTTCCTGTGTTAGGAAAAAACCACCTGTTTTCCAAGGGGAGAGGGCGGGGCCTGAGGGTGGGGGCGGGGCCTCTTCATTGGCCCAGCTTGGCGAAAGCGAGGCACACTGCTTACTGCCTTGGGGTTGTGGAGATGGACCCGTGACCTCGTGGAGGCCGTGTGGGGGCAGCAGCCTGGCCTGTGCCATGGTGGGTGTCCTGGGGCCTGTGCGGAGGGAGCCACCTCACCCTGCAGCCCAGTTTGCAGGTGTGGCCTTGTTTCTCCTTGCCCAGCAGTGCTGCCTTCAGCGGCCGTGACGGGGCCAGCTGGACACACGGTGAGATTTTCTCGTATGTAAATAAAAGGCATTTTGGTAAACGTGGAGGCTGAGATGTCTCTGTGCCTGCCCTGAGGTTGGATGTAGCTCAGATGGACACAGGCATTTGTGCTATGGAGCCAATACTTGGGGCTTTGTGGGCCACAGCCTCTCTGGACTGCTCAGCCCTGTCTGTGACCAGCAGCTGGGGACGATATAATAATTTCTGGGGGAGGTTGATATAATAATTTCTGGGGGAGGTTGATAAAATTTCTGGGGGAGGATATAATAATTTCTGGGGGAGGTTGATATAATTTCTGGGGGAGGATGATATAATAATTTCTGAGGGAGGTTGGCAGGAAGCCCTCACCCTCGGGGCTTTGGTGCCCCTAAGACGCAGATCAGCTGCTTTGTTTTTGTCCTGCGATTCCAGGGGGCACCTCTCACCTCCTGGTGCACACCAGGGACAGGAGCCCTGGAGGCCCAGGATGTGCCATGGGTCACAGGCACAGAGCCAGGGCCATTTCCAGCAGATGAGACCTCAAAGCCGGGCAGCAGTTCATAGCATGCAGGGGCGATGGCCCGGCTGCCAGGTGTCACTGTCCTTGGCTCGCAGCATGCAGGGGCGATAGCCTGGCTGCCAGGTGTCACCGTGTCCTCAGAGACGCCTGTTGGCGAGCTCGCCTCCCTGGAGTGTGAGGCCACAGCTGAGCAGGTTGGGACCTGTTGGGTGAGACAAGCCCATGGTGCTGGGATCTCGTGGGTATGGGAGTCTCTGAGCTGGTATCCTCTGGGGCAGAGCCAGGGACGCCTGGGACTCTGTTGCACCTGTGCATGGGGCTTGTGGTCTACACTGGGAGATCTGTGCCTCAGTTTATTGTGGTCTACACTGCCGGATCCATGCCTCAGTTTATCCAGTCATGTCTCTCCAAGAGCCCCAGGGCAGGCGGAGAAGTCCCAGCCTGAGGGCTTTGGTTGGGAGCTGGGGACCCAGGTGAGGCTGGGTGTCTGGGGCTGGCCTGGCTGGTGGGTGGAGGGCGCAGGTTCTGGGTAGGTGTGAGCAGCAGAGGAGTCTTGGAGGGTCCAGGGCTCTGAACCTGCCCAGGTGGGCTGTGACGGGAAGATGAAGGGCTTGTCTGACAGGCACATGCAATGGGTTTGGGGCTGTGGAGCTCAGAAGAGACTGGGGCCAGGTTGTGGATCTGGATGCTGTCATAGGGAGTGGTGTTTGAGCTACTGACTGGGCCAGATCAGCCCAGGTGAGGGAGAGCAGCCGTGTGCTCTGGGCGGGCCTTCCTGGCCAGCTGGGGCGGGGGGGTGGCAGCTGGCAGCAGATTGGGTGCCCCACAGCCCAGGGAGGAGGGGCTGAGGAACAGTGCTTTGGAGGGAGAGCTGAGGAAGCAGGAGAGGCCTGGAGACCCAGCTGAGAGGCACTAAGGAGTGGGATGAAGGTCAGTTCCGGCCAGGAGTGCGTGCTTTTTTTGCTTTTTTTTTTTGAGATGGAGTCTCGCTCTGTCGCCCGGTCTGGAGTGCAATGGCGCAATCTTGGCTCACTGCAAGCTCCGCCTCCCGGGTTCACACCATTCTCCTGCCTCAGCGCCCCCCCCACCCCAGCATCTGGGACTACAGGCACATGCCGCCACGCCCGGCTAATTTTTGTATTTTTAGTAGAGACGGGGTTTCACTGTGTTAGCCAGGATGGTCTCGATCTTCTGACCTTGTGATCCACCTGCTTCGGCCTCCCAAAGTGCTGAGATTACAGGCGTGAGCCACCGCGCCCGGCCTGGTTTTTTTTTAAAGATAGAAGAAATAGATGTTTCTGGGCTGATGGGAATGACCCAGTAGGGTGAGGAGTGGAGGATGGTCCAGGGGCTGGGCTGTCACTGAATGAGCAGGTGGCCGGGGTCTCAGCACAGCAGGGGTGTCCTCAGAGGAGGGCTGATGGGCGCAGATGCTGGGGTGACGGCTGAGGAGACACTGGGAGTCCACTGCTGCTGCCTCCCATTTTCTCAGGTCTTGGGCTAGGAGGCAGGATAGGGGGAAGTGGCAGGGGAGAGGACGAGTAGAGGACTTGACTGTAGGAGGAATGGTCAGTGAGTGGACCCGGGTGCCTGGTTTGGTCACTGGGCAGCGGGCGCGTCCTGTCCAGGGCGCCTGCAGGGGGTGCCAGGCCTACGGGTGGGGAGTGAAGGACAGAGAGTGAGGAGCCCGTGGGTGAGGGACTGGTGAGGTGGAGGGTGTGAATTGCAAGGACTGGGATGGGACCGTGCGTGGACGGCTGAGCCTCGGGGGCGCATGGTTACTGTAGCGAAAGCCTTTAGGGGCAGAAAGAGCAGAGCTGCCTGAGCGACTGGGTGTGGACGCTGCTGGGAAGTTAGGGAGAAGGACTTGGTAGGGGAGGACCGAGGGCCCAGGCACGGGAGGCATCGTCTGGTGAAGTGAAACCTATGGGGAATTTGGGAGGAGAAGTGGGGAGGCTGCCCACGGTTTGGGGAAAACAACCTTGCTGGCAAGGGCTGGGGGAAGCAGTGAGGGTGAAGTCCTTTCAGAGGCTGAGAACATGTACTGTGTTTGTGGGTGATGGACATGAATTCTGGGCGCAGCGGCAGGGCTGGGTTGGGTAGGGAGGCGGGAGGGGAGGCCTCCTGGAATGGGAATGGGTGTGATTGGGGGTGGCCCTGGGTATCACAGGAGATGGTGATGGCCCTGGGAGCTGGGGTTCTGGGGCTCCCTTCACCCCTGTAGATGGGAGAAAGTGCAGGGGGTGAGGCCTTGGCCCAGGCCTCAGATTCACCTTTGACCCATAGGGCCAGGTCTTGGGGCACCCCTTGAGCGAGTCCCTTTCCTGCAGAGGGCTCTGGCCTGAGGATTTGCTGGGCCAGCCTCTGGCAGAAGCAGCTCCAGCCCTGGGTGCACTTGGAGGCAGGGCAGAGGCTTTGCTGCAGGTTTTCCAGGGCTCGGTCAGCCTGCATCTGCCCGAGGGCCTCCCCTCCAGGGTCCTCTCTGTGTCAGAAGAAGCACCGAGACTCAAAGCCTGAGGCCCCCAAAGGACCCCAACCTCCGTGCTGGGGCCACGGGGCCTGGACAGCCAACCTCCTTCCGCTCTGGTCCCACAGAGGCCGGGGAGTGGGCCCAAAGAGCACCAGCATTCCACCTGGTGTGTGCGGCCCCCGCGGCCTCGACAATTGGGGATCCGGGCCCCCGAGCACCCCTTGCACAGGGGAGGGGAGCCCTAGGCCTGGCTCCTGGAGGGGAGCGTGATAGTCCGGTGGACCCCATACCCTGGAGAGAATGGAAACCCCCAACCCACGACCGGTTTCCCTGATGGAGCCTGTCTGGTTGGGTGCAGTGTGTGAGGAATATACAGCTGGAACCATCAGGCCCGGGCTGGCTGTTGGGAGGAGTGGGGCGTCCCTGGGACTGCGGGGTCCTGAGCTGAATGCCAGCAGCACTGGTGTGGCTGGAGCGGCCACCTTGCCCCTCCTTGGAAGGCGGCTTCCAGGCTGGGCCAGGGTAGGAGGAGTCCAGGGTCCTTTAGGCAGGCCGGCAGGGGGAAGGGCCCAGAGCTCCAGCTCCTGGCTCCCGGCCCAAGTTGTTTCTAAATTTGTTCCCCAACCCCCACAGGGACCCTGAGCCGCACGTGGTTTTTTCCGTGATAGAACTTCCGTCTGTGTGTGCTGGCCTGTCCTGGGCAGGGGGCTCCAGGCTGGGGACGGAGGAAGGGGGAAAGGAAAGACAATGAGCCCACTTTGGGGGGCCCCCGATTGGGGTCAGGAGGGGAATGAAAAAGCGGGGAGAGGAGTAATAAGAGAGGGATTGGGGGTATGCAGCTCGGCAGAGGACCCTGCCCGCCCCCTGTGCTGCTGCCTTGCTCCCGCCTTGCTTACACAGGGCCTGGAGCCCCTCCCCCCAGCTGTAAGCCCTGTGTGTGGGGTGACAGGTGGAAGGGATAACCTGGGGGAGGTGGGGGCCCTGGAGGACAGGCTGAGGTGCAGGAGCCCAGGGTGGGGGCACAGCATGCAGCAGGGGCCCTCGGCCTCACCAGGTGTCCTGAGCCTGACCAAGCCAGGAGGGCTCTGAGCGCTAGAGAACTGAAGCGGGAATGTGACCTCCGGCCAGGGGATCTGGGCAAGCCGGCCAGGCCTCCCCCCTTTGGCGCCTCCGTCCAGCCCAAGTCCCGCCTGGGCCGCACCCCCTGACTCACTTCCTTTGCATAGAAGCGGAAACCTCCCCAGAGCTTCCTCTACTCCGGCCGGCCGCTCCCTGGGGACCCACAGGTGTCGCTGCCCCTCCAGGCCGAAGCTGGCCCAGGAGGCCCCTGGCCCACCCCCTCGCCCTGGGAGGCGCATTTCCTGCTTGGAGTCTCAGGCCCCAGCGTCTGGCACAGGCAGGGGCCTGCGGAGCTGAGGGCAGTGGACCAGCTGCAGGTAGGGGGTGGGTTGGGGCCCAGGGCCCAGTTCCTGCCAGTCAGTGGCTCTCTTGCTCCGACCGGCCTCTTCTTTCTGTCCATCTTTTCGTTTCACCTCCACTAGTCTCCGGGGGGCTCCCTGCACTGCTCAGCTCGTTCACTGGAGGGGTGTTGGGAGGACCCCAGTTTTGGAGTCGGGGCTGGGAGGCCTGGGTTGAGCCTGGGGACGGGGCCCGGGCCTATTCTCAAAATCATAAGTTCCAGCCAGACCCCCGCCAAGTGTTCTGGAGCGTGTGGGGGCGTCTCTGAACTCCTGGGCGCTCAGGCCTCTGCTTCCCGCGGCCCCTCCTTGGGAGACGGCCCAGTCCAGTGGGAGCCGCGGGCGGGGGCAGGGTCCGGGGGTGACTGTTCACCCCAGTGGGCGCCTGGGCGGCCACTGACTCCTTCGACGACTCCTCCAGGAAGCCGGGGCGGCCACCAGATAAGCCTCTACCCCGCCACTTCCTCAAGGCCCGCGGCCGTTTATGGGAAGACCCGAGAGATTTGCATCGGGGCCCTGCGGAGGGGCGGAGGGGCGGAGGGGCGGAGGGGTCGCTTGCCGGTCTGAGGGGCGAGGCCGCGACCAGGCCCCTGGCCCTGGGGCAGCCCGGGCCGCACCCCACGGGACTCCCAGGGGGTAAGATCACTCCGGGGACCGGTTCCGGCGGCCCGCGGGAAAGGGCAGTGGCGGGAGTCCAGAGACCCTCCCCGTCTTCCCGTTGCAGGGAGGGCGACCTGTATGCGGAGCGCCGTTCCTGCGACATGGACCGCGGCCAGCCCAGCCTGGAGCCTGCTGCCGCGGCCCCCCGAGCCTCGGGCCGGTGCGTGATCGCGCCCGTGCGCGCTGTGCTCCGCCTGCGCCGCCGGGTGTGTGTCCTACGCAAACGGCGCCTCCTGCAGCCGGGTGGGGGGCCCGACGTCGGGACCGGGGCGCCCAGGCCGGGCTGCAGCCCCCGGGCACCGCGCGCGGACCTGGACCAGCCAAAGTTCTTCACCTTCGACAGCCCCGCGGAGCTACCCTCCAGGACGCCACGCAAGAAGCGCCGGCGCAGCCGCCTGGTGCTTTACCCGGAGACCTCGCGCAAGTATCGGCCGCGCGTGGAGCACAGGAGCCGCGCGCAGCGCTGCCTTCTGCTGCTAGTCGCCATCGTGGGCTTCCAAGTTCTCAACGCTATCGAGAACCTGGACGATAACGCGCAGCGCTATGACCTCGACGGGCTGGAGAAAGCGCTGCAGCGCGCGGTGTTCGGCCAGCCCGCTGCCGTATCGCGCATCGTGGCGCTGATGCGGGACTACCTGGCCACGCATGTGCACAGTCGTCCGCTCCTCCTGGCGCTGCACGGGCCCAGTGGCGTGGGCAAGAGCCACGTGGGCCGCCTGCTGGCGCGCCACTTCCGCTCGGTGCTGGAGGACAGCGCGCTCGTGCTGCAATACCATGCGCGGCACCACTGCCCCGAGGCGCGCGCCGCACAGGACTGCCGCGAGGAGCTGGCGCGGCGCGTGGCCGACGTGGTGGCGCGGGCCGAAGCGGAGGAGAAGACCCCACTCTTGGTGCTGGACGACGTGGAGCTCATGCCGCGGCCGCTGCTGGACGAGCTGCACGGCTTCCTGCAGCCGCAGCGCTCCCACCACTTCCACAACGCCATCTACGTGCTCCTCAGTGGCGCGGGTGGCGCCGAGGTCACGCGCTTCGTGCTGCAGAACGCGTCCCGCGCGCTGCCCCTGCGCCCCGACGGCTTCCGCAGTGCCGAGGCCGCAGCGGCGCAGGCGGAAGAAGACCTGCGCGCCAGCCTGCTGGCTGTGCTGTCCCGGGAGCATCCGCTGTGGCAGGCCGCGGCCATCGTGCCGTTTCTGCTGCTGGACAAGCGGGATGTGGTCAGCTGCTTCCGGGACGAGATGGCGGGTGAGGGCTTCTTTCCTGACCAGGCCCGCGCGGAGAACCTGGCCGCGCAGCTCAGCTTCTACCGCGTGGCTGGCCGCGAGTTTGCCGTCACCGGCTGCAAGCAGGTGGTGGCCACGGTGAACCTCCTGTAGTGGAGGCGCAGGACGGGACGTTTGGGTTGATGGCGGCAGTAGGAGGGCGACCAGGGACCTTGTGGGCTGGTGCAGGCCCCTGAGGTTTCTAGTGAATTTGTGGCTGCCCGGCTGGTGGGTGCGGATCAGCTTGGAGCTCTGCTTCCAGGTCCACACCCGCCTCAGAGTCCGGAGTCTGTCCCTGGGGGCGGCAGGACAGCAGCCACCTCCCTCCCAAACTTGCCCATTGCCCTGCTGGGCGTCCCAGGCATGGTCTGGTGCGTTCTCCCTGTGGCCCCAAGAGGTGGGTTCCCATGGTACAAGGATGATCTCAGGGCCAACAATTCCCGGGGTCACACAGCTGGGACGTGACCCCGCCTCTTGGGGGTGGTCGCGTGTTGCTCAGTGCTGAAGTGGGGTTCTCATTCCGGCCCCCCTGGAGATGACCCCGGAGGAGGCCACAGCCAACCATGACAGTGCTGGGGCTCTGGCTGCCTTCTCCACCCACCCCACCCCTCACTCAGGTCGTGTTTTCAGGAGCTCAAGGCTGGAGTGTCTTGACAGTAAGGGGAGGGGAGCGGAGGCGGAGGCGCCTCAGGCAGCCTCTCCCCCTCCTTCCTGGACCCCCCAACCCCGGGCCCGCCAGCCCTGGCTTGGGCTTACTGGGTGACCGAGAGCCCGCGGGGCAAGCGGGAGGTGCCTAGGCCTCTCCCCATCCCCCTCTTCTCCGCACGTGGGACCCTTAGCCCGTGGCCAGTCCCCTGGTCACCACGATTGCGCGACCTCCCTTTCCCTGGGGCCTTTTGTGCCCCGAGTTCCGCCCACCCGCACCCTCTGCGCAGAGCGCCCTCCCCACGCCAGTCGACCCCACACCCCACACTCCCCACGCGCCGCCTCCCGGAAGCCCTCCTGGACGCCTCCCGTGGATGGGCCCACCGCGCCCACGGGGGCTTTAGGGGAAGGTGCTTTGGGCGTTTTTTGCGCCATGTCTCCTCGGGGCCGGCGGTTGCCTCGGGACGGTTCTCGCCTCCTCCCACAGCCCCGGTGTCTGGGACGCACCCGGCAGCCCCGCTGCTGCCGCCTTGTGGCGCGCCCGGCCCAGCCGGTGGCTTCTGTGGTCGCCGGGGGCTGAGCGCGCGGCTGGGCCCTGAGTCCCCCAGGCCGCCCCGATCCTCTGTCCCCGCCGCCGGCCCCGCTGCAGTCCCAACCCGGGCCTGCCCGGGAGGAGCGCAGGGGCGGCGATGACCAGTCCCGAAAGGGGCTCAGAGGGCAGCGAGGAGGTTTCACGCCGGTGCGGGGCGCCGTCGAGGTGGGGGCACCGCGAAGGTGGAGGCGGGGCCGCGCCGGAAGCCCCGAGTCGAGCGCACACGGCGGGCGCCCCTGGCAAGTGGGACTCCTCCGGCCCCGAGGCCTGAACTCAGCCCGGAGACCGCGCCCACCAGCGCCGGTGTCCCCGGAGGGGCCCCGCTAGTTCCCTGAGCAGAGGTCCTGCGGCTTCCCGGAGGGTGTCCTGTTCTCTCCCCCGCCTCGCATCCATTCTCGCCCTGGTGGTTGGTGTCTGTGGTCGGGGGCGAGGGCCGTCTAGTGGAGACGGGGATTCAGGCCGCTTGAAAGTCTGGGATCTCTGGGCGGATGGCAGCGGCTCCGCGGAGCTCGAGCTCGGCGCGCAGGTCCTGGGCCCAGGGCGGGAGCGCTAGCGAGAGGGCTGCCCCGTCCTGCCCAGAGGGTCCTGAGGACTCCCGCTGCTCCTGGAGTCTTGGGGAGGGGTCCGGCTCCACGGGGTGGGGGTGGGGGCTACCAGGAAACCTTTGCCTCCTGGGGCTGTGCAGGACCGGCTAGCCAGCGCTGGGAACCAGGGCTGAGTTCAGCCCAGCTCTGTCCACCCCAACCCCAGGGCTAGGGGAAGGAGCTGGGAGAAGGAGCCCCACCTCTCCCAGGCGAGTATCTGTCCCAGGAGCCCACACAGAGGGACACCCAGCTCTGGTCTGGCCTTCGTGTTGGCTTCAAGGTGGTAACAGAGAGAGCTGCAGAGTGGGGGTGTGTTTGCCAGTCCCTGCATGGGTGAATGTTGGGGTGCCCACTGCTCCCCAGGCAGGACCCCCAGGACTGTCAGCTCCCCTTCCCACAGAGCACCCACCTGGAGGTGTCACCTGCCGGCAAGCGTGGGCCATTCATCCACCTGTCAGTCAACAACACCCGCTGAGCATCGGCTTGTATCAAAAGGTCCAGACCTAAGGGGAAATTTTATCTCTTTCTTTCTTTCTTTCTTTTTTTTTTGACACAGAGTTTTGCTCTTGTTGCCCAGGCTGGAGTGCAATGACACGATCTCGGTTCACTGCAACCTCTGCCTCCTGGGTTCAAGCGATTCTCCTGCCTCAGCCTCCCGAGTAGCTGGGATTACAGGCGCCCGCCATCACGCCCGGGTAATTTTTTTGTATTGTTGGTAGAGACGGTGATTCACTATGTTGGCCAGGCTAGTCACGAACTCCTGACCTCGTGATCCGCCCACCTCGGCCTCCCAAAGTGCTGGGATTACAGGTGTGAGCCACCGTGCCCGGCCTCTTTTTATTTATTCCTAAAATATTACCTTGAGGCCAAATTCTGCGCTTAAGGAGAATGTGCACCAAGTGCTGGGGTGGGGGCTGGTAATAAACGAGGCCACAAATCATGCTTGTTAATAAATTGTGTGGTTCAAATCTGACGACCTACTGTTTGGTTTGTTTCTTGTCTGTCTGGTCTGTTAATAATTGAGGAGGATGCTGAAATCTTTCCCTAATTGTAGATTTATGGTAGATTTATCCATTTCTCTCTAAGCTTCTATTTAATAGGACATGCTGATCGAGAGTTTTGTTTTTTGTTTTGTTTTGAGAAACTTCTGAATGGGGAAGTGGTGTGGACCTGGAGGCTGATGGAAGGATTGGGGCTCACATGCAGTCTGCAGCTCAAACATCCGGGCTTTCCAGGAAATCCATAAATAACTAAAGTATTTTCTTTAATTGCCCTGGACAGGTGCTGAGGGCAGATGACCCAGGCTGGACATGCGGGAAGTTGCCAGCTAACCAGATGATCCCAAATGTCATAGCTGCTCTCCCTCATATGTGCAGAAACTGTTTCTGTGCAGTTGTCTCTGAGTTATTCTTTGACATCTGCCATGTGTCATTACGTAGTAACCCTCGTGATCTGTGTGTGCACATCATAATGACTTTTTTTTTTTTTTTTGAGACAAGGTCTCGCTCTGTCACCCAGGCTGGAGTGCAGTGGTGTGATCTCCACTCACTGCAGCCTCCACCTCCTGGGTTCAAGTAATTCTCCTGCCTCAGCCTCCTGAGTAGCTGGAATTACAGACGCCCACCACCACACCCAGCTAATTTTTGTATTTTTAGTAGGGACTCAGTTTCACTATGTTGGCCAGGCTGGTCTCGAACTCCTGACCTCAGGTGATCTACCCATCTCAGCCTCCCAAAATGCTGGCATTACAGTTGTGAGCCAACGTGCCTGGCTTCTCTTTTCTTTTAATAGAGACAGGTTCTCTCTGTCATTCAGGCTGGAATGCAATGGCGTGATTGTGGCTCACTACAGCCTCGACCTCCTGGGCTCAAGCGATTCTCCCACCTCGGCCTTCCAAAGTGCTGGGATTCCAGGCGTGAGCCGCCGCGCCTGGCCATTCTCTGCATTTTTCAAGGTCAGCAACACTGCATCCTTCCGACCACAGCCAGGAAGAGTTTTCTGCTTTTAAAGACCCATGTGACTAGATGTGTCCACCTGGGCCAGGCGCAGTGGCTCACGCCTATAATCCCAGCACTTTGGGAGGCCAAGGCGGGCAGATCACCTGAGGTCAGGAGTTCAAGACCAGCCTGGCCAACATGGTGGAACCCTGTCTCTACTAAAAATACAAAAATCAGTCGGATGTGGTGTCGAGTTCCTGTCATCCCAGCTACTTGGGGGGCTGAGGTAGGAGAATCGCTTGAATCCAGGAGGTGGAGCTTGCAGTGAGCCAAGACCCTGCGACTGCACTCCAGCCTGGACGACAGAGTGAGACTATGTCTCAAAAAAGATAAAATAAATAAGTAAATGTGTCCACCTGGGTAATAACGGATTATCTTCCCATCCAAGGTCCACACTTACCTACATCTGCAAAGTCCCTGAGTCAGTTTTGGTAATTTGTGTCTTTCTTGGAACTTCTAGGAATTTGTCCATTTCATCTAAATTGTCTAATTTTATTGATTTTTTTTTTTTGAGACAGTCTTGCTCTATCGCCCAGGCTGGAGTGCAGTGGCTCGATCTTGGCTCACTGCAACCTCTGCCTCCTGGGTTCAAGGGATTCTCCTGCTGTAGCCTCCCTAGTACCTGGGACTACAGGTGTGTGCCACCATGCCCAGCTAATTTTTTGTTTTGTTTTGTTTTGAGACGGAGTTTCACTCTTGTTGTCTAGGCTGGAGTGCAATGGTGCGATGATCTCGGCTCATTGCAACTTCCACCTCCTGGGTTCAAGCAATTCTCCTGCCTCAGTCTCCCGAGTAGCTGGGATTGCAGGCACGCACCAACATGCTCAGCTAATTTTTGTATTTTTAGTAGAGACAGGGTTATACCATATTGGACAGGCTGGTCTCAAACTCCCCACTTACAGTGATCCTCCAGCCTAGACCTCCCAAAGTGCTGGGATTACAGGCGTGAGCCACCATGCCTGGCCCTAGGCAAACTTTTTGAAATAAAGCTTTTTTTTTTTTTTTTGGTTTGTTTGTTTGAGACAGGGTCTCACTCTGTCACCTAGGCTGGAGGGCAGTGGTGCAATCTCAGCTAGTGGTGCAATCTTGGCTCACTGCAGCCTTAAACTCCCAGGTTCAAGCGATTCTCCTGCCTTGGCCTCCTGAGTAGCTGGGACCAGAGGCGTGTGCCACCATGTCCTGGTAATTTTTGTTTTTTTTTTTTTTTTTGAGACAGAGTCTCGCTCTGTTGCCCAGGCTGGAGTGCAGTGGCGCGATCTCTGCTCACTGCAAGCTCCGCCTCCTGGGTTCATGCCATTCTCCTGCCTCAGCCTCCCAAGTAGCTGGGACTACAGGCGCCCATCACCACGCCTGGCTAGTTTTTTGCATTTTTTTTTTTTGAGATGGAGTCTTGCTCTGTCATCCAGGCTGGAAGTGCAGTGGCGCAATCTTGGCTCACTGCAAGCTCCGCCTCCCGGGTTCTCGCCATTCTGCCTCAGCCTCCTTAGTAGCTGGGATTACAGGCGCCTGCCACCATGACTGGCTAATTTTTTTTTTTGCATTTTTTTAGTAGAGACGGGGTTTCACCATGTTAGCCAGGATGGTCTCGATCTCCTGACCTCATGATCCGCCCTCCTCGGCCTCCCAAAGTGCTGGGATTACAGGCATGAGCCACCGTGTCCGGCCCCACATTGGGTAGTTTCTATTGATCTAGTCTCAAATTGCATGGCGAGCACATACAATTCCAGCTGCCCGGGAGGCTGAGGCAGGAGAATCACTTGAATCCAGGAGGCAGAGGTTGCAGTGAGCCGAGATTGAGCCATTGCACTCCAGCCTGGGAGACAGAGCGAGACTTATCTCAAAAAAAAAAAAAAAAAATCTGTTGCTCAACCTCTTTAGTGGATTTCTCATTTCAGTTTTTGTGCTTTTTAACTCCAAACTTTCCATTTCCATTTGGTTCTTTTTTTTTTTGTCTTTCAATTCTTTATTATATATAAAAAATTGTTTTCCATCTTGAAAGTTTTTTTTTTAAATTTTTTTTGAGAGATGAATCTCAATCTGTTTCCCAGGTTGGAGTGCAGTGGTGCAATCTCAGATCACGGCAACCTCTGCCTCCTGGGTTCAGGCAATTCTCCTGCCTCAGCCTCCTGAGTAGCTGGGATTACAGGCATGTGCCACCACGCCCAGCTAATTTTTGTAGTTTTAGTAGAGACAGGATTTCTCCATGTTGGCCAGGCTGGTCTCAAACTCCTGATCTCAGGTGATCCACCACCTTGGCCTCCCAAAGTGCTGGGATTACAGGTGTGAGCCACTGCACCCGGCCTAATTTTTGTATTTTTTTAGTAGAGACGGGGTTTCACTATATGTTGGCCAGGCTGGTCTCGAACTCCTGAGATCAAGCAATCCTCTTGCCTCGGCCTCTCAAAGTGCTGGGATTACAGGCGTGAGCCACCGCACCTGGCTTCACCTTGAAAGTTTTAAAGCCAATGTATCTTCTCTTTCTGAAGATTTGAAACATTTTGTAGACAGAATGGAAAGCAATGAAAATCTACAAAAATGTTTTGAATACCCAAAAGAAAAAGCATCAGATTTGTTTCTGGCAATACCTGTGGTTGAGATGAAGGAATCCATAGCAGAGGTTTCTTCAGAGCCTCAGGCTTGGGATCAGTTTTTGTTGCACTATCAGGTTGAGTGTCTGCGATTACATGTTCAGAGGATCAACCAAAGTCAGAATTTCTGAAGTTGAAGTGAAACTACAGTATACTTTTTTTTTTCCAGACAGAGTTTCACTCGGTTGCCCAGGCTGGAGTGTAATGGCATGATCATAGCACATTGCTCAAGCACATAGCAACAGGCTCAAGCAATCCTCCTGCCTCAGCCTCCCGAGTAGCTGGGACTACAGGTGCATGTCACCACGCCCAGCTAATTTTGTTCATTTTTTGTACAGATGAGGTTTCACTATGTTGCCCAAGCTAGTCTCAAACTCCTGGGCTCAAGGGATCCTCCTGCTTTGGCTTCTCAAAGTGCTGGGACTACAGGCTTGAGCCACCACACCTGGCCCAGACTGTGTTCTTTTTTTTTTTTTTTTTGAGACGGAGTCTCGCTCTGTCGCCCAGGCTGGAGTGCAGTGGTGCGATCTCGGCTCACTGTAACCGCCTTCTGAGTTCACACTATTCTCCTGTCTCAGCCTTCCAAGTAGCTGAGATTGCAGCATGTGCCACCACACCTGGCTAACTTTGTATTTTTAGTAGAGATGGGGTTTCACCATGTTGGTCAGGCTGGTCTTGAACTCCTGACCTCAGGTGATCCGCCTGCCTTGGCCTCCCAAAGTGCTGAGATTACAGGCGTGAGCCACTGCACCTGACCCAGGAGAAGGTCTTTGACTGTGTGGAGCTGGTGATGGATGAGCTACAAGGAGCAGTCCCTGCCATGGGCCTTCGTGGACTGAGGCCGTCAGAGCCTCCAGCAGGTGTCAGTGCAGCTCAGGGAGAGACACCCACTCAGCACCTCCCAAGAGATGCAGACTCATGTCCAGGACCTCGTGGAGTTTCTGGAGGCTGGAAAGGGAACGGGGATGGAAGGCGCTCCAGCACGTGGCCATTGCCCGGGGGTGTGAGCTGGTGATTTCTGCCCTTCTGCCTCTGAGGATGAGCGTAGAGCGTCGTAGTTTTTCTTATTTTTTTTTTCAAGACGGAGTTTCGCTCTTGTTGCCCAGACTGGAGTGCAGTGGCGTGATCTCGGCTCACTGCAACCTCTGCCTCCCGGGTTCAAGTGATGCTTCTGCTTCAGCCTCCCGAGTAGCTTACCTGGCTAACTTTTGTAGTTTTAGTAGAGACAGGGTTTCATCATGTTGCCCAGGCTGGTCTCCAACTCTTGACCTCAGGTGATCCACCTGTGTCGGCCTCCCAAAGTGCTGGGATTACAGGTGTAAGCCACCGAGCCCAGCCTCTTTTCTTTTTTTAAAATTTTTATTTTTTTGAGACAGGGTCTTACTCTGTCACCCAGGCTAGAGTACAGTGGTAGAGTCATAGCTCACTGCAGCCTTGCACTCCTGGGCTCAAGTGATCCTCCCAGCTCAGCATCCCAAGCAGCTGGGGCCACAGGTGTGCACCACCATGCTTGCTTAATTTTTGTATTTTTTATAGAAATGGGGCTTTGCCACATTGCCCAGGCTGGTCTCGAACTCCTGAGCTCAAATGATCCACCCACCTTGACCTCCCAAAGTGCTGGGATTACAGGTGTGAGCCACGGCGCCCAGCCGCCCATTCCTTTTTAAGGCTGAAATGAGTACTGTGGATCAGGATGCAATGTGACTGGTGTCCTTACAAGAAGAGAATATTTGGGCCAGGCACGGTGGCTCACGCCTGTAATCCCAGCACTTTGGGAGGCCGAGGCGGGCAGATCACGAGGTCAGGAGATCAAGACCAACCTGGCTAACATGGTGAAGCCCCATCTCTACTAAAAATACAAAAAATTAGCCAGGCCTGGTGGCAGGTGCCTGTAGTCCCAGCTACTTGGGAGGCTGAGGCAGGAGAATGGTGTGAATCCGGGAGGCGGAGCTTGCAGTGAGCCGAGATCGCGCCACTGCACTCCAGCCTGGGCGACAGAATGAGATTCACTCTCAAAAAATAAAATAAAATAAAATAATAAAAAAATAGAAAAGGAAAGAAAAAGCGCCTCTGCCCGGCCGCCCCTACTGGGAAGTGAGGAGCCCCTCTGCCCGGCCAGCCGCCCCGTCCGGGAGGGAGGTGGGGGGGTCGGCCCCCCGCCCGGCCAGCCGCCCCGTCCGGGAGGTGAGGGGCGCCTCTGCCCGGCCGCCCCTACTGGGAAGTGAGGAGCCCCTCTGCCCGGCCAGCCGCCCCGTCCGGGAGGGAGGTGGGGGGGGTCAGCCCCCCTGCCCGGCCAGCCGCCCCGTCCGGGAGGTGAGGGGCGCCTCTGCCCGGCCGCCCCTACTGGGAAGTGAGGAGCCCCTCTGCCCGGCCACCACCCCGTCTGGGAGGTGTGCCTAACAGCTCATTGAGAACGGGCCAGGATGACAATGGCGGCTTTGTGGAATGGAAAGGCGGGAAAGGTGGGGAAAAGATTGAGAAATCGGATGGTTGCCGTGTCTGTGTAGAAAGAAGTAGACATGGGAGACTTTTCATTTTGTTCTGCACTAAGAAAAATTCCTCTGCCTTGGGATCCTGTTGATCTGTGACCTTACCCCCAACCCTGTGCTCTCTGAAACATGTGCTGTGTCCACTCAGGGTTAAATGGATTAAGGGCGGTGCAAGATGTGCTTTGTTAAACAGATGCTTGAAGGCAGCATGCTCGTTAAGAGTCATCACCCATCCCTAATCTCAAGTAATCAGGGACACAAACACTGCGGAAGGCCGCAGAGTCCTCTGCCTAGGAAAACCAGAGACCTTTGTTCACTTGTTTATCTGCTGACCTTCCCTCCACTATTGTCCCATGACCCTGCCAAATCCCCCTCTGTGAGAAACACCCAAGAATTATCAATAAAAAAATAAATTAAAAAAAAAAAAAAAGAAAAAAAAAAGAAATTGGAGAGCCAGCAAACCGAGAAGATGGAGACCTGGAGACCTAGTGTCCTGAACCAGTATCTTACATTTTCCATGCTGGCAGGAGGGTTTTCATGGGATGGGGGATGTGGAGAAACTATGTGCAGGGCTTGGGATCAGGAGGGGACCGAGGACCACACACATCTGGGTGCCAGCGAGGGTGGGAGGGACCGAGGACCACACACATCTGGGTGCCAGCGAGGGTCTGAGGAGGCTGTGGCCACTTCTCTGTCCTTGGTCAGGTCACAGTGCTCCTGTAAATCTTTTTTTTTTTTTTTGAGATGGAGTCTCGCTCTGTCGCCCAGGCTGGAGTGCAGTGGTGCAATCTTGGCTCACTGCAACCTCCGCCTCCCAGGTTCACGCCATTTTCCTGCCTCAGCCTCCCAAGTAGCTGGGACTACAGGCGCCTGCCACCATGCCCGGCTAATTTTTTTTTTGTATTTTTTGTAGAGTCAGGGTTTCACCATGTTAGCCGGGATGGTCTCGATCTCCTGACCTCATGATGTGCCCACCTTGGCCTCCCAAAGTGCTGGGATTACAGGCGTGAGCCACCATGCCCGGCCCTTGCTCCTGTAAATCTTTAACAAAACCTAGTTAGTGGGTTTCATTTTTATTTTTTTATTTTTTTTTCAGGGTCTCACTCTGTCACCCAGGCTGGAGTTCAGTGGCGTGACCTCGGCTCACTGCAAGCTCCGCCTCTTGGGTTCAAGCGATTCTCCTGCCTCAGCCTCCCGAATAGCTGGGATTACAGGCATGCGCCACCATACCAGCTAATTGTTGTATTTTTAGTAGAGAGTGTTTCTCCATGTTGGCCAGGCTGGTCTTGAATGCCTGACCTCAGGTGACCCACCCACCTTGGCCTCCCTCAGTACTGGGATTACAGGCGTGAGCCACCGCACCGGTCCCCACATATATATTTTTTGAGACAGGGTCTCTCTCTGTTGCCCAGACTGGAGTGCAGGGGTGCAATCATGGCTCACTGCAGCCTAAACCTCCTGGGCTCAAGCCATCCTACCACCTCAGCCTCCAAAGTGGATGGGACCACAGGCGTGTGCCACGTCTGGCCAGGTTTAAAAAATTTTTTTAGAGACGAGGTCTCACTATGTTGCCACGCTGATCTCAAACAGCTGGGCTCGAGCAATCCTCCTGCCTCCTCCCAAAGTGCTGGGATTACGGGCGTGAGCCACCACACCTGGCTTTAAGTAGAATTTATTTTTATGTATGTATTTATTTATTTATTTATTTGAGATGGAGTCTTGCTTTGTCGCCCAGGCTGGAGTGCAATGGCACAATCTCGGCTCACTGCAACCTCTGTCTCCTGGCTTCAAGTGATTTTCCTGCCTCAGCCTCCGGAGTAGCTGGGATTACAGGCACCTGCCACCACGCCTGGCTAATTTTTGTATTTTTAGTAGAGACGGGATTTCACCATGTTGGCCAGACTGATCTTGAACTCTTGACCTCGTGACTCACCTGCCTCAGCCTCCTAAAGTGCTGGGATTACAGGCATGAGCCACTGTGCCCAGCCTGATATTTCTAGTTTTATTTTACCAATAAGTTAAAAACTATTTTTGGCCTGGCATGGTGGCTCACGCCTGTAATCCCAGCACTTTGGGAGGCTGAGGCGGGCAAATCATGAGATCAGGAGTTCAAGATCAGCCTGGCCAACATAGTGAAACCCTATCTCTACCAAAAATACAAAAATTAACCAGGTGTGGTGGCACGCACCTGTAGTCCCAGCTACTTGGGAGGCTGAGGCAGGAGAATCGCTTGAACCCAGGAGGCAGAGGTTGCGGTGAGCCAAGGCGGCAGCATTGCACTCCAGCCTGGGTGACAGAGCAAGACTCTGTCTCAAAAACAAACAAACAAATAAAAAAACATTTTATTTACCAAAGATTATAAAATTCATGTGAACCTGATAGACATTTGGACTTAACTTATGAGTATCCATTTACTTATAGGCCAATTTGGTAACATGCTACATACAACATATAACAATACCTGTACATATACATAAACACATTTAAACATATATACATACAAACACACACACACACAAAGATCCAAACCTTTTTTTTTCTTTTTTTTGAGACGGCATCTGGCTCTGTTGCCCAGGCTGGAGTGCAGTGGCATGATCTCAGCTCACTGCAACCTCTGCCTCCTGGGTTCAAGTGATTCTCCTGCCTCAGCCTCCCGAGTAGCTGGGATTACAGGCACCTGCCACCATATCTGGCTAGTTTTTGTATTTTTAGTAAAGACAGAGTTTCACCAAGTTGGCCAGGCTGGTCTTGAACTCCTGACCTCAGATGATCCTCCCGCCTTGGCCTCCCAAAGTGCGCTGGGATTACAGGCATGAGCTAACGCGCCCGGCCTTTTTTTTTTTTTTTTTTTTTTTTTGAGAGAGTTTTGCTCTTGTTGCGCAGGCTGCAGTACAATGGCATGATTTTGGCTCACCACAACCTCCGCCTCCTGGGTTCAAGCGATTCTCCTGCCTCAGCCTCCTGAGTAGCTGGGATTACAGGCATGCGCCACCATGCCCGGCTAATTTTGTATTTTTAGTAGAGACAGGGTTTCTCCATGTTGGTCAGGCTGGTCTTGAACTCCCAACCTCAGGTGATCCACCCGCCTTGGCCTCCCTAAGTGCTGGGATATTACAGCCATGAGCCACTGCGCCCGGCCTAATTTTTCTGTTTTTAGTAGAGACTGGGTTTCACCATGTTGGCCAGGCTGGTCTTGGACTCCTGACCTCAAGTGATCCACCTGCCTCAGCCTCCCAAAGTGCTGGGATTACAGGTGTGATCCACCATGCTCAGCCTGTTCTTTATTTTCAAGATTATTATTATTATTTTGAGATGGAGTTTTGCTCTTGTCGCCCAGGCTGGAGTGCAATGGTGCGATCTTGGCTCACTGCAACCTCTGCCTCCAGGGTTCAAGCAATTCTCCTGCCTCAGCCTCCCAAGTAGCTGGATTACAGGTGCCCGCCACCACGCCCGGCTAATTTTTGTGTTTTTAGTAGAGATGGGGTTTCACCATGTTGGCCAGGCTGGTCTTGAACTCCTGACCTCAGGTGATTCACCTGCCTCAGCCTCCCGAAGTGCTGGGATTACAGGCATCAGCCACCGCACCCGGCCTCTTTTCAAGATTATTTTGTTTATTTTTTTGACATTTGTGTTTCCAAATGAATTTTAAAAATCATCTAGCCAATTTCCACGGAAAGCCTGCTGGATTTTGACTGTGATTGCATTGAATCTGTAGATGAATTTGGGGAGCACTTATAACACTATCAAGTCTTCTAGGCAGTGAACATGATACGTATCTCTTTTGATTCAGATTTAAAAAAGAATTTCTCGGCCAGGTGCAGGGGCTCACACCTGTAATCCCAGCACTTTGGGAGGCTGAGGAGGGTGGATCACAAGGTCAGGAGATCGAGACCATCCTGGCTAACACGATGAAACCCCGTCTCTACAAAAAATACAAAAAATTAGCCGGGCGTGGTGGCGGGCGACTGCAGTCCCAGCTACTCAGGAGGCTGAGGCAGGAGAATCGCTTGAACCCGCGAGGCGGAGGTTCCAGTGAGCCGAGATCAGGCCACTGCACTCCAGCCTGGGCGACAGAGCGAGACTCCATCTGAAAAAAAAAAAAAAAAAAAAAGTTTCTGGCAATGTTCTATAGTTCTCATTGGAGAGATCTTTCATTACACACTTTCATTAATTTTTTTGTTAAGCATTTTATGTTTTGCCGTATGCTATTTTAGTGGTATTTTCTGAATGTTGACAGGATATAGAATCACAATTGGCTTTTGTGCATTGACTTTGCGCCCTGCAAGGCTCGACATTCACATATTCGTCCTAGCAAAGTGCCTGGTAGGCAGCTCATTCCTCCTTCCTCTGGCAAAGGAGAGGCCCCAGATCTCAGGCCTGGTCTGCGGTGGGAAGAGCCTTGCACCGGAGCTGCCGGGTCTGCAACCCTCCGAGGTTGGATTTCCAGTCCCTGGGCTCAGTGCCTGGGAGGGGAGACGGACTACCAGGGAACATGGCGGGGCCCCTGTTGGGGACACAAGAGCTGGCCGGTGCCACGCTCTGGGATTCCAGGAGGGTGTCCTCGTGACGCAGTTCCTTTCTGGAGGAGGATGAGTGTGCCAACTGAAAAACTACCCGGGAACATGAGCCTGTGTTTGTGGCGCACCAGCCAGATTTTACGAGTTCCGAAAAAAAAAAAAAAAAAAAAAAAAGAGGCTACACCTTGCAGAAGTTAGGGAAACACGAACCACACAGACAAATCTCAACAGCATGGCGACGAGTTTCAGGGGCAGGACAAAAGAAGCGCGTGCCACGTGATGCCTTTAGAGAAAGCTCTGGAACAGGCGCCGTGAATCCACGGTGCTAGAAGTCGGATGGGTGGTGATCTGGGGCAGGAGGAATTGACTGGGATGGGCCGGGAGAACTTTCTTGGCTTTAATAATATCTTTATATAATTGTGATTGTGGTGTGGGTTACATGGTGTAAACAGCCATCAAGACTTGCCACACCCTCAAGGGGTGCATTTTATTGCATGTAAATTACACCACCCTAACGCTGACGTTTAGGAATGTGAATGATAAACCTAACGATTTTCTTTCCGTCTGGAGTCGAATGAAAAGAAACAGTCCGTAAAGAGACCGAGGGGAAGACTTGAGAAGGCGCACTTTATTGACAAAGTAACCTTGGGAGTTGAAAGAGCTGGGTTACTTATTACTTTCCTCAAGATAAGGGAGCGGGGACCTCGCCATGCCCTTGGAAGAACCAGGAACCAGGATCCCGCCGAGGCAAAGGCTGATCCCGGGCACTTCTGCGGGTGCTGCGTTACACGGGGCGAGACGCTGCCCGCAGTGCTTCCTGGGCCATTAGGTCAGAAAAGTTAATTTCCTGATGGCCACATAGTCTCGTGGGACATTGTATTCTTCAGCTAATCTATAAAATGATGTTTATTTTTAACTGAGCTGTGTTTGCCACACTCATCACTGCACAAACTGTGAGCGCATGGCTTGGGAATTTTGCCAGCAAGTGCATGTGACAACATGGCCAGGATGTTGACGCCACCGAGGGAGGCACAGCCTTTCGCCCACCCAACCCCTACCCCCCAGATCGCTAGTCCTTCTTCCTCCATGGCTCCGTTTTAAGCGGGCACATTTCACAGATTAAAGACTACATTTCCCAGCCTCCCTTGCAGTGAGGTGGGTCGTATGACTACGTTCTAGCCAATGGGATGTGAGCAGCTGTGGCAACACAACTTTTGGGAGGCATCCTTGAAGAAGAGGGCCCTGCCTCCTTTCTGCTGGCTGGAGTGCAGATGTGATGGCTGGATCTGGGGTGCCATTTTGAGCCATGTGAACGAAAAGCCTATCCATGAAGTCTGGGGCTCCCTGGGCCACCCATCCCAGCTTCATTGGGCTGAGAAGTACACTGTGTTTTGACACCACTACTATTTCAGTTTTGTCATTTCTCTTTGGAAAGTTTATGGGATATTTTGGGCTTCATTCCTGTGTGGGTTCTTGTCTGTGGGGCCAGCAGATGGCAGTGGGGACCTTGTTTGCAGGCTCACAGACCTGAGGAGCGTTTTATCCATTTAAACACATAGCGGGTGTGAACCAGGTCTCCAGGCTCCATTCTCCGAGCACGCGAGCGTCTGAACAGAGTTCTGTTCTCGCGCCTCCGGCACAGCCACTTCCGTGAGAGGAGTGCGGCGGGGCAGCCAGGACGAGCCTGCAATTCCAGCGCCGGCCTCCTCTGCTGCGGCTCCATGGCTAAGGTAGCGGCACCTGCGGCCCAGAGGGCCCGGCTCTCGGCGGTCCTGAGGGATGGGCGCCGGGTCCTGCTCCCGTCCGAAGTGTGACCTGTGGTTGGTCGCGTCCACGTGGTCCTGCTGACTATCTACTTACTCGTTGCGGCTCAGGGCCTCCCTTTCCCATCGGACCGCGTGGAGAACGGCACACCATTGCCAACTGCTTGTTTAGGACTATGAAGGGGTCACTTTTCCAGACCCTCGTCTGGGGGTCCTTCTAGGGGCTGCAGAAGCCACGAGTCGCTAAGGGGTACCTGCCGCTTCCTCTGCCCCAGGGCGCCCCTGACCTCCGGGCATTGGGGCCCGGCTCCCCGCAGCCTCCCACCCCGCCCCGCTCCCGAGCTAGCAAAGCCCACATGGCCCCGCCGTCTACCCCGGCGCCCGCCCCGCCTCCCTGGGGCCGAGGGGCTGGCAGGAAGACTCGGGGCCCGCGGAGGTCCGGGGCAGGGCGGAGTGCGGGGTGCACGCGCTGGAGCGCGGCCGGGCCCGAGGCGCAGTGCGGGCGGCGGCCACAGGGCGGCAGCACAGCCGCGGCGGCTCCGAGGCTCGGGAACCCGGGGGCTCCGGCCCTTGCGCCCGGGCGAGGTCGGTGGGAGCCCCGGGCGCGCCCCCTCCCCTGCCTCGCATGCCCCCGCGGACCGGGCCGGGGCGGGCGGGGTGTCTCCGGCGAGGTCCGCGCTGGGTCGGACCCCCCTCCCCACCTGCGCCGGGCGCACTCTAGCCCCACGCGCGGCGGCGTCTGGTGGGCGGGGCGGGGTCCCCAGGACGAGCCGCGCGTCCCAGGCCGCGACCCCAGCGCTGGGGCGAGTGGGTGCGCGGCGCTGCGAGCCGGGTGCGCCCCCTCGGCCCGGCCCTCGGCTCTGCCCTCGCCCCTCGCGGTGCGGGCGCTTTCCGGGTGCGCAGGCGCCCCGCCCCCACCGTCCCCGCCGTCCCCACCGTCCCCGCCGTCCCCGCCTGGCGCGCTGGGGACCGGAATGGCCCGGCTGGTTTTGAATGTAGAGATCGGGCTTTGTGAGCGGCTGCCCCCACCCCCACATGCCCCCCACGGCCCGGCTCCCTCCCCCCGCACCCCGGCCCCAGCCCCCCGCCCTCATTAGCATAGCAGCTGCTCGCCGAGCCGGACGGCGCGGAGGAAAGGGCAGAGGCCTCGGGAATGAATGGGGGCCGCGGCTTTGGAGGGGCGAGAGAAGAAAGACCGACAGACGGACGCGCGGAGGACGGTCGGAAGGACGGCCCGGCAGAAGAATGCGCCGGACGGGTGTTGGGAGTTTCCAGCGGGGGGAGCGGCTCCGGGCGGTGGAGCCTGAGTGTGCGGGGGTGGGTGGAGGGCGGCCTCCCGGGGACCTCCAAGCCCCGGAGGGTCTGCACTGGAGGCCCTGGAAGCAGCAGTTGCGGAGGTTCCCAGACCTTCCACGGCCCCTCCCGTGTTCCAAGCCGTCGCATCCCGGCCTCAGGCTTCCTTCCCCAGGTGTCCCTGGCGCGGGGCCTCCTTTCCCGTCCTTCAAGGCCCAGGTGGACGCTGCCTCCTCCCCGCAGGCTCAGGGAGCTTCAGGGGCAGCTGGCCTTACCGATGTCGGAGGCTCTGTGCGCCGGGTGTTCTAGTGTCCACGACCCCTCTGTCCCAACCTGTGCTGAGCTATGAGGCCTTTGGGGGACAGACCCCAGCGGGCAGCTCCTTCCCGCTCTTCCTTCCCTGCACCCGTCTCCCTGGCTTCTAAGTCCTGTCCACCCTCCTCTGGCCTGCTGTGTCCTGGCTCCCACGCCTGCTGGCTTCAGACATCACTCTTTCTAGCTGACCATCTTCCTGCATTTCCTGGTCTTTCCGTGGCGTCTGTTCCAACGTCAGTGCTTCCTGCCTCCAGCCGGGGTCAGATCAGAGACAGACAGTTGGACGGGAGCCCAGCAGTCCTGGCGGGGGATGTGGGGCAGGCCCTGACCTTGCCGGGACTGTCTCCTTTCTCTCAGGGGTTCCCAGGGACCCAGCCCCCACCTGCCAGCCCCTCCACCGTGGCTGTCCTCCGTGCCTCTCGGCCGGACACCTCACCTGGCCTCCAAGGCACACCTGCAGATCTGGGAGGCCGGGGCTGACGGTGTAGGCTGGGCCACCCAGACCTTCTTTCTCACCCTGGCCACAAAGGGGCCTGCCTGGGGAGGGGGGTTGGGGACTCCCCAGTAACTCTGCCATAGGCCAGTACCCACCATAGCTGCTAATACCTACCAACACCCTGCTGCAGTAAGTGACCTGCTGAACACAGAAGCACTGGAAGAAGCGTGTGCACAGGCCCCTGAACTCAGGAGGGAAACAGGCATCAGAGACACATAGCAGCATCGACCTGGCCATACCCAGAGACCAGGTACTTCCTCCTTTTTGCCCATACCCCAGAGCTGCCCCCCCCTCCCCTTGTGGCCAGGGAGGCCCACTCTTGGCGCACAGGTGGCCAGCCTCCCCCTCCACTGAGCTGCTTCTAGGAATGTGCTACCCCGGGCTTCCTAACAAGGACAAGCCTGTAGGCTGTGCTCAGCGTCCCCGGACCGTCCTCCTGGGCTCTCAACACCTGGACCCTCCCAGCTGAGATTTCATTCATAAATCTGACCCCCAGAGGTGGGAAGAAAATTGTGGTTTTAGAGAGTGTGTCTACCTGCCCCTAGGGCTGTGCCTGGTTTTAGAGTGTGTCTACCCGCCCCCTAGGGCTGTGCCTGGTTTTAGAGTGTGTGTCTACCCGCCCCCTAGGGCTGTGCCTGGTTTTAGAGTGTGTGTCTACCTGCCCCCTAGGGCTGTGCCTGGTTTTAGAGTGTGTGTCTACCTGCCCCCTAGGGCTGTGCCTGGTTTTAGAGTGTGTGTCTACCTGCCCCCTAGGGCTGTGCCTGGTTTTAGAGTGTGTCTCTACCTGCTCCCTAGGGCTGTGCCTGGTTTTAGAGTGTGTGTCTACCTGCTCCCTAGGGCTGTGCCTGGTTTTAGAGTGTGTGTCTACCTGCTCCCTAGGGCTGTGCCTGGTTTTAGAGTGTGTCTACCTGCCCCCTAGGGCTGTGCCTGGTTTTAGAGTGTGTCTACCTGCTCCCTAGGGCTGTGCCTGGTCTTAGAGTGTGTGTCTACCTGCCCCCTAGGGCTGTGCCTGGCAAGAAAGGTCAGCGAGGCTGTCCCCAGTCATCCGGGCCGGTCAGTGTACACAGCGACACCTGGGGAGGAAGCAGACCCCCTCCAGGGCTCCACCCTCTCAGCCCTCCTCTCCTCAGCTGCCCACAGGGCTGCCCGGGCAGGCTTCCTTTTGTTCCTGCGCGAGAGAAGAGCAGCACAAGGCCTTTCTCAGTCAAATGTATCTTTCAGAAGACAGAATTTAAGGGAGCTGCAAAGAGTACCCTGGGGTGGCAGCCATGTGCCTGGGAGGCCCCTGGTGCCAGGCCAGGCCTCTCCGCAGTGGGAGAACTTCCCGGATATTGCAGGGGCAAGCAATTGGCTGGGACCCCACCCACCTGCAGGCTAATGCCAGTAACAAATGTTACCTTTGTTCTTCAGACCCTGGGTGGGGAAGGGTGGAGTGGTCCAGCATAGCCCTGGCCATCACTGGGGCTGCCTGACCTCATTCTCTGGTTACCCCAATCGTGTCCAGGTTCTTGTGGCCACTCTCCTTTCCAACGGCTGGGCATTCCCGGGCTGGCCCAGGGCAAGACTTCCCAAAGCCTGCTTCAGGGAGCTGGCCCATCTCCCAGGCCGATTCTGCAGGATAGGAAATGCGTAACCGACGGAAAACGCGCCTGGAAAACCAAGGGTAAACAGGGCGGCAGTGCAGAGTAGGAAGGCGGAGGCGTGGGGAAAGTTTGTGGGAAGGGCAGCCCTTCTGCGGACACGGTTTAGGGAAGCAGATTCCCCTTACATTCGGCAGAGGGGTTTGAAAAGTTGTTACCTTGTAACTCCCGGTCTTTGCCCTTCTCCAAGTTCTCTCTGCTGGCTGCTCTTGCTGGGGGCGGGTGTGCTCCCTTGCAGCCCGGTACAGGGCCCCCAGGGCCCCAAGGGCATCTCAGGAGTGGACCAAGAGTCTCTGCTCCTTTCTGTCAGGTGCCAGCAACAGCCATCCTGCTCTGCTCTCCTTTCTTGCGAATGGGAGTGCCCGGCCCCGATGCTCGTCTAACTCAGGGTCTGTGCTCTTTGGGGTGTTTTGACTCCAGGCCTGTGCAGGCCTCCAAAGCTCCCGGGTGCCTCCAGGGGACTTTCTACCTGCCAGGAGTGAGCAGCTATGGGATTTCCCCCCAATTTACAAGATACACTTTCTGTGCAGCAGGCAGCCTCCAGCATGACCCCCTAGCGGGTCAGAGTGGGCAGGGCTTCAGGCCGAACTCTCCTCTCCAGCGGAGGTCTCAGCTGCTTTGCTGGGGAACAGAGCAGAGGCTGTGACACCAGCTCTGGGCACGCTGGAGGTGCTGGGTCCTCGTGAGTCCTGTGTGCAGCCGGGTTGGGCTTGGCCGTTGCGTGGGGCTGGGAGCGAGTTTACCAGGCTCTGTCTTCAGACAAATACAAGCCAAGCATTGTGCACCCAGCACCCACAAACCGTGTCACAGCCTGACC
The DNA here is from genome assembly GCF_000001405.40 of Homo sapiens. Lineage (NCBI taxonomy): Eukaryota > Metazoa > Chordata > Mammalia > Primates > Hominidae > Homo > Homo sapiens. The sequence goes on from NC_000009.12 coordinate 137,299,584, forward strand.
CTCGTCCCCAGAGAGGGTGTTCTGCAACTTGTGCCAAAGCCAAGAAGGACCAAGAAACTTTTTTTTAATATAAAAAGATCAATGAAAAATTTATTTATAAATTTTTCACGCTGGGCTACAGGTCAATATCGTACACTCAGGAATGTGCTGCACAAACTTTATCCAGTTAGCAGTGATCACCCCGTGACCCACACACAGCTTCGATATAAGCCTAGAAAGTCTTAACATTAATTAACATAATTAAAAAGGTATTTGCATCTAGAAAAAATATACAGAAGAACTCCTTGTGGAGTAATCTGTGCCTCCATTTCAATGTCTGCTTGTTTCACTGACATTATCAATATATTCTTCTCACACAAAGTTTTATAAAAAGCGACGGAGGGCTGCCCGAATACGACCAGCCACGCACAAAGGGCCTCCACCCACCTGTGTCCTCAAGTGCTCCCCATTTCTGCACGAAGGGTCAGCAGCACTTCCATGAAGGGGAAACCTCATTTAAATTTGAATAATTCAGCCTCCCTTTTATTTCTCAGGATCAAAACAACAAGGGGTGTGGGGCTGCATAGAAAATTGGAGCCACAGAAACCAGGAAGGGCGCCTTTCAGGACAGAAAGTGACGCAGGAGAACCTCCCCGGGCCCAGGTCTCGACGCAACCCCTCCCCCACGGCAGGATTTCGGGTTCGAATTGAGTCCTCGAAGCTCTGGGAGGCTAAAAAGGGGCAAAACGATCCTTCAATTAACTCAGCCATTAGCACAAGAGATTCACAGTCTTATAGGTATTTTATAAAAATATAAATATGGGTACACTCTGTTGCCTTCACAACGCTGGATACATCGCCCTTTAAAATTGGGTTTATAACCAAGATTCAAAAAATACACCTAAAACTTGGCTTAAAATATGTTAATATTTTATATTCTGTCATAAATGTTATGACATTTAATTGTGGCAAATCCATTTACTTTTTTTAAAAAAGTGTGCAACCGTTAACTATGATAGAACGCACTAGAAAAGGTAACGAACCTTCACCCACCCCCCCGTGTCCCCGCCACCCTCGAGCGCCAGCGAGCTTCCAGGATCCTGGGGAAACTGCAAAACAAGCCGGTTTGGGGGATGGTGGCCTCATCCAGGAGGGGCGGGGGAGAGAGGCCCTGGGGCTTCCAAAACTCACGGATTTGAGGGAGAGGGAGAAGGAGGGAGGGGGAACAGAACGGGGTGGGGAGGTAGACGCGGGGAGAAGGGAAGGGGGAGGGACAGCACGGGAACACCATCAGGCTGGGCGGTATTTTCAGTGCAACCAAGAAATGGTAGACTCAAGTTTTTAGTTTTAAGACTAGAAAAAAATGCATCACTCCCCCCCATAACCACATTGACCACGCAGTGTTTTCCAAACAAAAAAACCAGGCGCACAAACTCCACCCACAAATGTACACACACAAGATAAATAGTTTAGAACACCAGCAACAGCGAACAGCCGAGCGTCTCCTCGGCCGCGCGCCAGCGGCGCGGACCTCGGACCTCGGGGCTGCTCCTCGGCTGCAGCCGGCATCGGCGCGTCCCGGGCCTGCGGGCGGGTCCTGAAGGCGGCGGCGGAGCGCTCCGAGTCCGCCTTCGGCTCCCGCCGCCCGCCTTTCACCTTCGGGAGAAAACATTTTGCGCAGAGGATCCGGTATCTCGGGATTCCGAACTTGCTGGTTGCGAGACTCAAATTTCAAAAGGGGCTGGAGCCCGCGCCCCGCCCCCACCCGCGAGGCGGCGGGCAGGCGAGCGGGTGGGGGCCGTGGGAAGCTGCTCCGGCCCGGCCGGGCCCGGCTAGGCCGCAGGGAGGCGCTCGGCCGGCGGGGCTGCCGGACCCTGGGGCCGGGACGCACGCGCCGTATTCGCCGTGGCCACGGGCCTTCTGGCGGGGCCTGCGAGCCGGGCGCGCACCGAGGTAGTTGGCGGGAAGGTACAGCAGAGACGACGCGGGCGCAGGGCCGGGGTCCGGGGTCCCGGCGGGCATCACCGGCCGCTGGCCGCGTACTTCGCCTTGGTGATGAGATAGAGCACGATGTCCTGGTGGCCACCGAACGCGGCGATGTGCAGCGCGCTCCAGCCGTCGCGGTTGGCCAGGCGGATGTCGGCGCCGAACTTGACCAGCAGCTTCACGAGCTCCAGGTTGCCGTCGATGACCGACTGGTGCAGCGCCGTCTGGCCCTCGGGCCCGAACGAGTTCACGTTGAACTCGCAGTTGGTCATGTTCTGCAGCAGCGACTGCAGCTCCTGCGTGTTGCCCTTGCGCACAGCCTCCTGGAAGATGCGCTGCGTCTGCGGCGCGGAGCAGGTGGACAGCTCGGCCTGGCTCATGCTGCCGCCGGGCGCGGGCCGCGGGCCGGGCCGGGGCTCAGCGCGGGCGGCGGCTGCGGCGCGGGCCCCCGGCTGTCTCGGGGCGCGCCTCGGCGCATGGAGGGCGCGGCGTCCCCGGGCCCCGCACGCCGCCTCTGGGCGCTCCGGGCGCTCGGGGCCGGGGGTCGCCGCCGCGGGGACCCCGCCGCATCCAGCCGCGCCCGGGTGGGCGACGGGGGCGCGCGCTCGGCTCGCGGGGGCCGGGCCCGGCCGGGGACGGCGGCGCCGCGCGGTCCCGGTCCCTACTCGGTTCGGCTGCGGCTCCCACGCGGTCCCAAGGCGCCTCCCCACGCGCCGCAGCACTAGCTCGCCCGCCGCGCCGGGGCGCCTTTTACCTTCTTTATATTTGCATAACAATGGCAGCCCGTGACGCGCGCGCCGGCGGCCCCGGGATTGGGCCGCGCCCACATGGGGGCGGGGCGTGGGCGGTGCCGTGCGCAGGGGTCCGGGGGCGGGTCCCGGCGGCGGCGCGCTTCGCGGCAGGGGGCGCTGGTCGCCGGCAGCGCCTGGGCGGGGGAGGCCAGGTGGCCGCCGGGGGGGTCCAGCTCCGTCGCCGCCGCCGTCCGCGCGCCCCCCGGGCGCTCCGCGTCTCTTTGCGGTCGTCCCGCCCCTTCTCCCTCCGGCCACCCGGGGAATTCCAAGCTCCCTCAGCAGCCAGACCCAGGCCTTGCCCGGTACCCGAGCGCGACCGCCAGGTGGCCCCGAGGGCGGCCTCTCCCGGGCAGGGGGTTCGCGGGCATCTCAGGCCCGTGGCGAAGGAGAGACCCCTCTGAGCGGAGAGGCGCGCGGCGACCCCGGCCAGCCCGCGCCTCCGGGCTCACCGTCCACGCGGGTGGCAACTCCAGGCCCTGACGTGGGGCCTTCAGCCACGCGGGTCCTTCCCGCGCGCGGGCAGCCTCATGGCCGCCGGCTCAGCCTATGTGTGCCCCAACCGTACTGATGCGAGGGGCCTCCGGCCGGCCACCGCGGCTTCTATCGCCTGGCGGTGAAGGGGGTTCCGCTGTCCTCTCGGGAGGAAGCCCCGGGCCGGGGCGCAGCGGGAGGGTCGGGACCGCGGCCTGCCTCCCTCTGCTGCCCACGCACCAGCATGCGGGACACATAGGTCCTGCCCAGGTGAGCAGGGCTAGGTGTGGCGCCAGGGCCAGAAGGGAATTCTGAAACGCCTGGCTTCCAAACTGTAAAACCCATTTTTATTGACCACTCTAACAATTGACCGGGAGGCACTAGCAGGGGAAGCACAGCGCATTTCCTCATTAGAGTTTTACAGTTTACAACTCGCTGTGGTCGTTGGAAATTAAGGAGGAGTGATTCTCAGGCGCGGAGCAGGAGGCCAGGCAGGCTGGGGCTTGAATTCCTTCTGAAGCCAAGCCGGGAATTCCGCGCAGGCAGCTCTGAGCTCGGGCTGGGGAGACCCCCATGCCAGGCCTTGTCTGAGGAGGCTTCCGCCCACCAGCTCCATGTCCCCACATCCGGCTCCCCACAGGGGTGTGTCCCCACCCCATGCTGTGCCCATACTGGCAGGAAAAACTGGGCAGGCTCCCTTCGGGACAGACCCTGGCTGACCGGAGCAGGGTCCTGAGGCCCTGGGGTCCTCCTGGTGGGCTGGGAACCTCTGTCCCTCAAAGGCACAGCTCAGAGCTCGCTCTGGTCTTCCTGGGGCCGTGATCCCGCTGGTTCTGTTCAGCTCTCTCCTTTGGGCCTCACTGCTTCTCCCAGGAGCTCTCAAGGGGGCCACGGAGGGTGGAGGGGTGCTCCCCAATATGCAGGTGAGGACACAGTGGAGTCCCGGAGTAGGCCCCCAGCAGAACAGAGATGGGCGCTGTGGAGCCCAGGCCCGGGGCAGGGATGGCATGGCCTGGCCTGCCGTGCTCTGCTGGGCACCTTTGGCCTCTTAAGGAGGGGGAGCCGCTGGGCTGCCTGCTGGTCCCTGGTGCTGGCTGTGTCTCTGGACCTCAGACCAGGGCTGGGTGTGCAGGGTGCTCTGAGCTCACTGTCAGGAGGGCAGGAGCTCTGTCCTGGGCATTGATGGATTTTGTGCATATGCCCAGGGCCCAGCCAGGCTAGACTGGCAAGAGGCAGAGGGCATGACTGGGGGGTGGGCAGAGCCCTTGGTGCTCAACAGGCACAGGGCCTCCCCTGGAGGGTGGGTGGTTTGCAAACAGGCCGAAGCCCAGGTGGGCTCAAGCCGGGCCTGGAGAAGGCATTTGGCTATGCTGTGGGCCAGGAGCAGGGCCTGGGAGAAAGTGCCGTCGGCATCCGTGGCGGCGGCAAACAAAGGGGCCCTGTGTGAGCTCGGTGTGGGAACGCGGGGCCCCGCCACGGGCGTGAAATCGGCAGCGGCCCCTGGCGAGGGCCAGGCGGTGCGGGCGCCCCGGCAGGCACAGTGAGGCTGGTGTGGCGGCCCTGCAGGGCGGGAACCTACCCCCTGCCCGGGGTCCAGAGCGGGGTCAGGCAGAGGTGGTGGGGCCTGCCACGGCAGTGTGGCTGTGGCCCAAGGCAGGTACCCAGGCTCATCTGTGGGACTCAGAGGCTGGCCACACCACACTGCCCACAGGGAGTTCGCTGAGTGGCCCTGGCTCCTGCTCCTCCACCGTGGCTCCCAGCTCCCCTGGGCACACCCACGGCCCTGAAGCTGCTCCATTTGAGGATGGGAAGGGGGGAGGGGCCGGGGGGGCAACAGCTCTGAGTCAGCACTTCCCGAATGTTTGCTGAGGGACATCCAAAAGGTGGACATCTGTTCCAAATGCTGGGACACGGGGGTCCACCTCCAGCCACCCAGTACTTGTGCTCGAGAGGACCCCCTGGTGTTTGCCGGTGTTGCTTGGAGCCTTCTGCTGTCTGGGAGGCCCTGCCCTGGGACCTGGCAACAGGCTCAGCTCCGACTGTGCAGCTGGGCCCTGTCCTTCCTCCCCTGCCTGTCCTGAGGATGCTGGCCCCGGGGGTGCCCTGCCTGTAACCCACCTGCCCCCAGAAGGCAATGGTGGGGCCCCTTCTCTTTGCATGCACCCCCTTTCCTTCCTTCCCTGGAGGCTCAGAGCAGTGGGCAACATGGGGAGGGAGGTCTGTGCGGGGTGGCCGGCCCGCCTGGGAGGGCCCAGGGAGGACAGCGCAGAAGGGGCAGCTGGCCAGAGCTGGGCCGAGGCCTGCGGCCACCTTAAAGGCGCTAAGCAGGGAGGGAGGGTGGCGGGCAGTGGGGGCGGGGCTTCCAGCTAATTCATTAAAATGTGTCGGGAGCGTGGGAAAGAGGAGAGTGTTTCTTCCCAGCAGCCCAGACACCTGGTAGAAGGGCTGAGAGGATCGAGATCAAATAACAAACACTCAGCCCGGGCCAGCACAGGCCGCGGCGGAGGAAGGACGCCCGGGCAGGAACTGCCGCAGACAATCCCTGCAACCGGTGGCTCCTGCCCGCCGGGATGGCTGCTCAAGGCATGGCCTGGCACTGGCAGCCTCGGCCACCCGGTCAGCCTGGTGTCTGTCCCCTAGCCCAGGAAGCAGCCTGATGGGTGCTGACCCCAGTGACCGAGGCGTGCTTCCAGCACCTGGACCAGGATGGGAACTGGGCAGAGAGCCTCACCCCCACCAAAGCCTGGGCCTGGGATGGACGCCGCAGAGCCAGGCCGAGCCTATGCTGGGTAGTGAGGGACGTGTGGAGGCGGGAAACACATATGGCACAGCACGGCCATGGCGGAAAGTGAGGGCGGGTGGAGGCGGGGCCAGCCGGGAGGGACGGAGGATGTGTGGTTCTGTCTCCTTGCGGCCTCTGCACCACTCTGCCTCCCTCTGCCGAGAGCCAGCAGCAGCACTTGGGCCTGTGTTGGGAGCAGGATGCAGCCAGGCCGGGTGGAGGGTGGGTGCCCTCAGCCACTCCCTCTTAAACCCTGCCAGGCAGGAGTTCGGTCCGGGGCTGCCTCCCCAGGACAGGAATGTGGAGCTGGGGTTCCCCTCCCGGAAGCAGATCCCGGTCCCAGAAGGCCCTGACCCTCTCCTGGGGTGCTGCTCTGCTCACCCTGGTGCCCCCACCTGACTCTCAGGCTCACGCCCTGCGGCTGCCCAGCAGGTCAAGGGGGCAGGTCAAAACTCGAGTTGGCTCTGACACAGGCCAGGCCCTCCCCGTCTCAGCCTCCCCCTCCCCATCTGTGAAATGACACCCCTGCTGGGGTTGCTGGGGGCTGAAGGGGTTGGGCTGCAGTCCTTAGGGGTACCCAGGGGCAGTGGCCAGCCCTGGTGTGGTCGGGACCCACAGGGAGGCCCCGACTGGGCCAGTCCAGGGATGCCCAAGGCCTTCGCACCCGAAGCCTGCTCCTTACTCTGGGCAGAGGCGGCTGCTTCTCCCCAGCCCGCCCCCAGGCCCCTGCTGCCCGAGGCTTCCGCCCACCTCCTCGGCCAAATCTGAGCTGATTTCCGCTCCAGGCAGGAAGCAGAGGAAAAGGATGTGGGTGAGGGGAGGGGGTACATTCCTGGGATGGTCCCTCCCCGGGCTTCTCCTCCTCTCCCACCTCTGGGACCCCCTGCCCTCCCTGCTCCACCTGACAGAGCACCCTCGGACCCTCAGGGTGGGCAGCAGTGGCCGCCTGGGCCTCAGCCTCCTCCCAGACAGGGGCAGCAGCAGCTACGTCCAGGCAGCTGTGAGGACGGAGACGTTGGCGTCCACGTGTGCAGAGCCCTGGCCATGGCCGGCTGCCCAGGTGCCTCTAGTGGGGGCTGTGGCTGCTGCTCTCCCGTGGGAATCACGCAGCCCTGACGGGGGTGATGGAGAGACCTCGTGGGTCCCACCAGGCTCGGGGTCCCAGCATCCTGACCATCTGGAAACCCTGTCTTCCCCCGACAGCGGCTCGGGCTGGGACCCCGCCTTGGTGTTCCCAGCGCTTGCTGGCACAAAGGGGCCCACGAGGGGTTTGTGGGGCGAGCATGAAACATGTGAGCCAGTCCACGGCCATGGGCCCAGCAGTCGGGCACTTTCCATGTTTATTGTCTGGCTGTCCTCAGAAGGGACTGCTGGCCGGGCTGGGGGCTGGGCTCGGCTCGCAGGGGCTGGGGGCGCTCTCCAGCATGTCTCGGAAGTGGGTGGCAACACGACCCAGGTGGGAGCCGTCCCAGAAGACCTTTCCACAGCCCGTGCAGCAGTAGAAGCACCGCAGCCCAGGTGTCCTCAGCACACCCACCGGGACCCCTGCCAGCTGCAGCCGGGTGCCGTCGGCCAGCATGTCCGGTGTCTCCGCCCGCAGGTCAGCCATCTGCAGCCAGCGGCAGGGGCGGTCATAGGTGCAGCCCTCAGGGGCTGCGTCTGGGGCTGGGCCTGGACAGATAGAAGTGGACTCCCTGAGCCCTCAGCCTTCGGGCACGGCCCCCAGGCTGCTCCCAGAGTGGTGCAGTTGGCGGCCCACGCTGAGCCCACGCTCACTCCTCAGCAGCTCCTCTTTCTGCTCCCTATCCGCTGACTCTGCGTCCTCCACTTCCTCTTCTGTGCCCACTTCTCCTATCCAGGGACCCCACCCCTCACCTTGCAGGCCCTAGGGCCTACAGGAGCCCCACAGAGCCCCCTCTGCCCGGCCGGGACCCAAGTCCCCCATTCTGGGGGAAGCCTGGCACCAGGGCCGCAGAGAAGCAGCTGTGTCCTTGGTGGGCGGTCCCGGGGCTCACCTGGCTCCTGCACCGCCTGGCTCTGGGTGGCCTCGTCACCTGTCAGTCAAGGAAGAGAGCTGGTCCGGGACTGTCCTAGGGATGGGGCTTGGCAGCCAGCGGGGTCCATGACGCAGCCATGCGGCTGAGCACAGTCACCTCATGGGGTGCAGCCTCTTCACACACCCCCCAGCCTTCGCAGACGGGCAGAGGGCAGGGGGCCAAGGAGCTGTGGTACCGGCCTGGTCCCCTCCCTTGGGAACTCACACCTCGGAAAGGTCTTGGGGCTCAAAGGTCCCTGGGAAACATGTTCTAGGCGCGAGATCTGCTGATTAGGGCTCTTGGGGGCCTGAGAACCGGCGGGCGGGGGCGGGGGCAGCCCATTTGTGGTGATGAGCAGATAAGCCCACTGCCAGTGAGTGAATTTCGAAATCAGCCAGCACAAGGGTGGGCGGGTGGGCAGGGCCCAGGGACTGCCAGGCTCAGGGTCTGTTGGAGACCCTGGGAAGTGGCTCGTGCTGGCCCTGTGAGGCCCCGAGCCCCCATTGAGAGCCCAGGGCAGGCAGGGCCGGTATCCACTCAGGGGTCACTGTGGGGCTGAGTGCACGGTAGCCGAGGGAACACTGGCCAGCAGGTGGGAGAAGCGTCTGCCCTGCTCCTGTTGACCCTCGTAATTTGCTCAGCAAGCATTTCGCTACAGATGGCTCCAGATCAGCTGCGGCCGGGGATGAATGCACCACGCCCCCACCCCAGCCCCAGCTCCTCCTTGAAGCCCAGGAGGCCATGACCCTCATCTGGCCCCTCCCTGGCTGGCCCCAGCTCTTACCCTGCAGTCCCTGTCACACTCGTCAGCCCATCTGGGTGTTGCCCACTACCCTCGGGTGGGGTGTGTGCCGTCATGTCCTGGGGCTCTGGTCTGAGTGTGTCTTTGCGAGCGGGGGACCTGAGGTTGGAGGCCACCTCCAGCCTCGCTCTCCGGGGTGTGCTCTGCTGGCCACCCTGGGTGATGGTCGCTCCCCGTCCTCCCACCCTGAACTTGGACTGACCCTTTTTTTTTTTTTTTTTTTGGAGACGGAGTCTCACTCTGTCCCCAAGGCTGGAGTGCAGTGGTGTGATCTCGGCTCACTGCAACCTCTGCCTCCCAGGTTCAAGTGATTCTCCTGCCTCAGCCTCCCAAGTAGCTGGGACCACAGGCGTGTGCCACCACACCCGGCTAATTTTTTGTATTTTTAGTAGAGACGGGGTTTCACCATGTTAGCCACCACCATTGAGATGGTCTCAATCTCCTGATCTTGTGATCTGCCCGCCTCGGCCTCCCAAAGTGCTGGGATTACAGGCGTGAGCCACCGCGCCCAGCCTGGACTGACCTCTTTCTATCCACCTCCATTCCCTTAGCCCCCGTGCCAGCCCCCGACTGAGGATGACCAGGAGCAGCACCCTTCACTCCCTCCCTGGGGCGCCTCCCTCCCGAGGGTAGGGGCCAGCAGTTCTAATGGCGGCGGGGCGGGGGCCATACTTCCAGCCCCCGTGCAGATCTAAAACTGCAAAGTCCTTGGGCGGCCTGCACCCTCCACAGGAGGAGAAAGAAGCCCTCTTTCTAGTTTCCCAGGCAGGGAAACAGGCTGGGGCCTTCCCTGGGGGGGTGGACATCTGGGGTCAGCTAGTGCTGTGTGCAGGTGTAGGTGCACGTGTGTGTGTGTCTGTGTGCACCGCATGCCTGGGCCCAGCAGAGAGAAGGAGGTGCACACCACTCCAGAGGGTCGCCAAGGGCCCTGGTGTCCTGATCTTCTGGTCTGCTACCACACAGAAGGGAGCAGAGGCCATCTGGGTACCTGACCCTGGCTGTGGTTTTTCCACCTGTTGTCACCTGGCTGTGGTTTTTCCACCTGTCGTCACCTGGCTGCCACCCTTATCTGAGGAAGCTCAGTGCTGGACGGGCCAGGCCCCTCTCCCTGGCTACCTCAGTAGGTCGACCCATCCCAGGCCCCCCAGACCCAGTGCCTGACCCTGACACACTCACCTGAGCTCCTGGGCCCCTCCTGGTGACTGCTGAGCCACATGAGCTGCTTCATCATGTCCCTGGAGACCTTTAGGTACTGGTCACAGTTACAGGCCTGGGGGCCAGAGGGGGTGCTGAGGCCCAGGCGGGGCTTCTCCGGGTGCCCCATACCCCAGCCCTCTGCTCGCTCCTCGAAGCTCTGGGTCTGGCCATGGGGTTTCACAGAGACAGATAATGGGTCCCCTCCTGTCCCCACGCATAGTCCTGTGGGGTTCAGGCCATACCGCCTCCTGGAAGCCCTCCCTGACTGTGCTGGCTTCTCATGGGCCCTGGGAAGCCTCTTCTGTTTTTTGAGAACTTGTGGGACTCTCTGCCCAGCTGCCCTCTCCAATCCCAGAGCCCTCGAGGGCAGAACCAGGTCTGGGTCCCCCGTGGGCCACCTCAGCTGGCGTGTTGGACACAGGGCCCAGCCTTAAGGGGTCAGCGTGGGCAGCCCCATAGTTGCCCCAACCCCTGACCTGTCCATTTCCACATCCACATTTCCCTGATACCTGCGCCTCCCACTGCCCTGGGGCAGGTGTGGCCCTGAAAGTGGCGAGGGGGCTGGAGCAACACCACTGTGTGCCTTGTCCAGGGCACAAAACGGGCCCCCATGGCTGCATTATTATTATTATTTTTGAGATGCGGTCTCATTGTCACCCAGGCTGGAATGTAGTGGCGCAATCACAGCTCACTGCAGCCTGAAGCCCCGGGGCTCAAATGAGCCTCCCACATCAGCCTCCTGAGTAGTACACCACCACACTCAGCTAATTTTTGTATTTTTCGTAGAGATGAGGTCTCACGATATTGCCCAGGCTGGTCTTGAACTCCTGGGCTCAAGTGATCTTTCCATCTGGGTTTCCCAAAGTGCTGGGACTCCAGGTGTGTGCCACGCCCAGCCCCTCTGGGTGGTTTCTGAGTATGACCAACCTGCCAGGCTTACTGCGATGCTGGGGGTGGGGGCAGGGAGGCCGGGAGGCTAGGACCAGCTTACACCCGAGTCCTGACTTGGAGCGGGGTGCACGGCCTTCCCAGTGGTCACTTCCTGGACAAAGAGACGGGTCAGATACCCAGGACTCCCCTGGCAATGCCAGGAGGGGGCTGGGTGCCCACTGAGAGCCAGGTCCCAGGCAGGCACCTGCAGGTCCTGTGGAGGTGTGGCCTTCCCGTCACAGCCCTTCTGATGTCAGAGCACCCTGGGGAGGAGGTGGGGCTTCCAGGCCATCTGTGCAGGGGAGCAGGGAAGAGGAGGCCGAGATCCATGGTCACATGGCTATTCCAGGACCCCTCCCCATGCAGGGGCTTTGGGTTGAGCCCCAGATGACATGGCTGCCGCAGGCAGGTGGCCTCGAGGCCCCTGGAGCCTCCGGGTGTGGCCATGTTGGGGGCACCGGCCCTGCCCCACACGCTGTCTTCCCCTGAGCCTTTCGAAACTAAGAGGCTGCACTACCTGCCTCCAGCATTGCAGCCCCCACCAGTTCAGGGCCCTGGGGCTGGAGGTGTTGGACAGGTGGGGCTCTTCTACTAGGACGCCAGGCTGGGCTAGGGAGACAGGACCCTCCCTTCCTCTTCCGCTAGCTCCCATCTCTCCCACCAGGAAGCTCCTTGTGCCATGATGGCAGGTCCTGTGACCTGGCCTCTGGGCCCAGCCCAGATCTGGGTCCAGCAGGCTTCCTGGGCAGGTGTGTGGGTGGAGAGCCCTGGCTGCAGGTCTGGCTGGGAAGGGCTGAGAACAAGCAGGTGGTCCACCCTCCACAGAGCCCCACTCTCCACTGTGCAGGCCACCTGTAGGGACAGTGCCAGTGGGTGTAGGAGAGGTGGCGAGGCTGCAGCAGTGCGGGATGGGCTCCCCACACCCCCAAATACTCCACATGGGGTCCGGGGCCTTCCCAGGACCTGGGCCAGGTGCGCACGCCTGGGCGGGGCCAGCCAGCTCGTGCTGAGTCACCGGGTGCCGTCAGTGAGGGCCTGGCCCCACCCTCGGGAACCACCGGTGCTGGTTTTCCCACGGCTGCTGCCCGCTGTGGGCCTTGCTGTCACCCACAAGGCCCTGGGAGGCCCTGCCCCGGCCAGGGCTGGGAAAGCCGGTTCTGGGCCCACTGGCTGTGCCCGCCCTTGGACCTGGGCTCCCCAGCCACAGGGGGGCCTGGCAGCGAGGGCCTCCCTGTCCATCTGTCCACTCCAGGGCTGGCAGCCCTTGCTGGACCGACTGCCCTGGGCGGGTGGCTGCCACGGGCTGAGGGAGTGAGTGGTGCTGGTGGCCCAGCGCACGTCTTGCCTTTGGACAGCGATCGTCCACCTGAGACCACCTGCCTGATACCCTGAGACCCGCCCCCCAGCACTCGGGGGCTGAGAGCCCCTGCCCTCCCATTTTGAAGAAAAGGGGCTTCTGAGGGCTTGCTGAGTCACAGGGCACTCGGCGGGCCAGGACTCCATGCCAGGGTTCTCACGCCGCCTCCTTCCATCAGTGTGGGACGCACAGACACCCACTCCAGGGTGCCGTCGGGTCTGGGCAGAGACAAGTGGGGCCTGACGGGGACCCTGAGCAGAGGTCAAGGCTGTGGGTCCAGAGCAGCACAGCGGGGTGCCTGGGCACCTCCACCCCACCCCCTCCAGTCTGAGAGCCCGAGGGCAGGCAGCCACCACCCCCAGAGCCTGACTGGGAGGGCGGGGTGGGAGGGCCCAGGTGAATGGGGGGCAGGAATGGCTGGGAAGGCTCCCAGCTACCTGCCCAGGATCCCCCGTGTGCCTGGTTCCCACGCTCCTCAGCCACTGGGTGCCAACAGCGCCGTGCCAGCCCTGACACAGGGCACTTCCGCCCGGGACTGTGCGGGCTGGGCCACGAGCCCGTGGGCGTGTGGCTGCCTCCTGGGGGCCGGGCCACCAGCCAGGCTGTCCTGGGGATGTTGGGGCCCATGGACCCACAGCCAAGTGGGTCTGAGTGGACGCCCACCCTCCAGGGCCCTCTCCTCTCCAGGCCCAAGGAGGAGTGAGGGAAAGAGCTGCTCAGCCACTGCCCCAGAGCTGGCCATCTGGGGAGGCGCACTCAGGACCAAGGCAGAGGCCAAGATGTGTTAGGGTGGGGTGAGCAGCTAGGAGGGCTCGAGGGGTCTGTTCCCAGGGTGTCTGGGGGCTCTGAGCATCAAAGCTGGGAGCCACACCCACGAGTAGGCCCAATTCCCACCCCCACCACCAAGGGAGCGACCACAGCTGAAGGGGCCAGCGCTGGGCTGCAGAATGTGCCTCCAGCAGTGTCTGTGTGCCCACCTGACCTGACCTGGTGCCCACCTGACCTGGTGCCCACTTGGGTGTAGGGGTCACACCCACTGCCCCAGGCTGCAGGCCTGCAGGTGTGCCAGCCTATGCATCCCAAGCAATAGGTGGCTGGTGCACAGGAGTGGTGAGGGAGGACTGGACGCTCCCAGGCAGACAGGACTGGGCAGCTGCACATAGCCCCTGCACACAACACCCTTGGACCCCACCCACCCCTGAGGCCTTGGGTCTCGACAAGTCGGAGGCTTGAGGGAAAGAGGAGGGCGAGACACGAGCCCTGGGACCTGCCAGGGCCACAGCATGTGGGGAACCCGTGTCCTGGGGTGTAGGGCAGCAGGCAGTGGCCTGTTGGGTTGGGAGCCTGGGAAGGGAGCTCTGCTCCTCCAAGAGACTGGGCCAGGTGTCTGCTGGGCCTGGGCAGAGGTGACCTGAGCATCCCTCCTGCCTGCCGGCCACCCTGGGGACTCCCACAGCCCCTGCTCTCCTAGCCCAGTGGAGCTCAGGTCCCACCACCAGGCTGGGAATGAGCCCAGGTCCCTCGGGTGATCTGGCCTGAGGGGTTTCTGCTCTGTGCCCAAGCCCAGCTAGACATGACCCCCTGAGAAGGTGGGGTGGGAGTGTGAGGGTGGCAGGGGCCTCTTTGGGGCCTCCTGCTTCTGAGCAAAGAGCAAGCTTGTTGCAACCTCAGCCCAGGCCTGTCTCCTGCACTCCTCCCTCTGGGCCCCATGGGGGGTGTGGCAGGTGGGGTCCGTCGGGCTGGGGCCCTGGCCTGGGTGGAACTCCTGCAGGAGTTGCCAACCTGGGATTTCCAACCCTGCAGGCAGGTCCAGGAGGAGTCAAGGCCTGAGGCCACCAGGCAGGGCGATGGGGCTGTAGGAGCACACTCTGGAGCAACAGGACATTTCTGCTCATTTAGAGCAAACTGGGAAAACGGCAAAGCATGAAAGAGCAAAGATAAAATCTCACTCCGTCCCACCACCCACCACACGAAAGGGTGCCCAGCACCTTCCCTGGACAGGCCTCTGCACGGCTAGGACTGTGTGCGGAGATCCTCACATCGGGAAGAGGGATGCTGGCGGGGGTCGCCAGTGTGCCGTCCCAGGATGGACATTGCACATTTGGTCCCTGGCAAGCCCCTGGGTGGGTCCTGAGGCCCCCAGGCTGCCCTGTGCACTCTGACCTCCCCTAGAGCCGCCCAACCGATGGTGGGGACTGGGGTGTGGGCCTGACACCTTGCTGGACAGGGCGAGCCAGCGGCCCAGGAAGAAGCAATCAGGCACCAACCTGCCCGCCGAGGCCTGGGTCTGGCCCACACCTCACCTTCCCACGCTGTCCCCAGAGTGCCTTGCAGCCCTGGGCTGCCCGCCCCAAAGGTGACCCGACACTGTCCCCTGCTGTGGCACTGTGAGCCTCTTCAGAGAGAAGGGAGTTGCGAGTTTGCCAAAAGAACCTGGCCAGTCCCGGCACTGACTTTCCACTGGAGACAGTGCTGGGGTGGGCGGAAGGCCGAGCCCCTGGCCCCTGGGGAGGTGTGTGCAGCTGGGGATAGCGGCCGTCTTTTGGGAAGCTTTTAAAACCCAGTCTATCCCCGTGGAGCAAGCTGGTAGCCACCCGCTCAGTGACCCCCGCCCTAAGGCCCCGGGAACGTCTGGAGCCTGTGACTGAGGGTGGCAGCCCTGGAGAGGCCTCGCCCCTGCCCCCTTGCCCCCTGTCCCCCCGCCCCCAGGGCCCCGGAAGGGCAGTTCCCACGAACCCCAGCCCCTCCCCCACCCAGCCGCTGCCCCGTCCCCTTTGTGTGGCCAGGACAATGTCTCCACAGACAGTGTGGGGGATGGGCCTCGGGCAGCGTCGGCGGCGAGAAGGTCCCTGGGGGTCGGGACAACTGGGCCCACAGCCCTCACCCCAGAGCCCCCAAAAGCCAGGGCCCTGAGTGTGGGAGAGGAGTGAAAGGGCACGTGAGTCTCCGGAGGCCGGGTCTGGGCACACGTGCGCAACAGCCAGCCCCTCGTGCGCGGGGAGACGTCTCTCAGAAGCACCAGGGACACGGGCGTCTGCATGTGGGTGGGTGTCAGGGTGTGAGCCAGGAAGCGTGTTACTGCCTCACGGTGTGGACACAAGGACATGTGGCCGCCCGTGTCAGGGTCTCCACTTCCTGCAGCTCCCTTGGAATGTGCCCCCTGGAGCCACCAGCCCTGCCTGGCCCACCAGGCTGCCCCCAAGGCTTGCTTAGCAGGGTGGGGGCTAGCGCCTGGCAGTGGGTCACCATGCGACACCTTGCCCTCCTTGGCCCAGCACCCCTCTGCACAGGTCACCCCAGACCAAGTTCCCGTGAGGGGCCTCAGCCTTTCCCTGGGCACCCCCCGACCGGGCTTTCGGGCCTGGGCCCTGATGAAGGAAGGCCACCCCACCCTGTGCCCTCAGACCTTGGTGTCCAGGCCTGGGGCTTGGCTGCCTTTGCCCACCTCCTCCCAGCCTGCACCCCCACCGCCACCGCCGGAGAGACCACGCGTGTGGGCCTGACCCGCTGGCAGCTCTGAAGCCTGTGGCCCCAGCCCCGGGTGTCTGGCACCCCTCTGGGTGTGGCCCCTGTTGCAGCAGACTTGGGGGCCCCCGGCTGACCCGGTCCAGGAGGGCTGGGGGTGAGCCACAGGGCCTGGGCAGGAGGCCGAGGCCCCGGCACCGGGTCTCCCACTCACATGGGATGGTCAGCCCCCACCCCGGGGGAGGGGGCAGCAGGACACAAAGCCCCGTAGTGTGAATTTCAGATAAAGTGCAGGATACTTTTTTATATGAAAAAATGACCGTTTTCTGAGATTCTTGTTAGCAAGCGCCTGTGTTTGTCAGATCCCCGGCCTGCCCTGGGCGGGCAGGAGGAATAAAAACAGGGTCAGGAGCCCCAGACCCCACTCCCCGCCCAGACCCGGGCCGCTCCCACCTGCCTTGGGTCAAACCAAACAGAAGCCGGGCCACACAGGGTCCCAACACGGTGCCCTGGGCCTCGGGCTCCCTCCGGGGGCTCCGGGGCGCCCCCACACCGTCCCCATCCCAGGGGATGGCAGCTCCCCCCTCCCCCTCGCTGTGGCCCCCTCCCGTCTCTGAGCCTCCCAAGGGAAGTCCCCCTTCTCCCCCTCCCCGGGGCTCCAGAGCTTCCCCTCCCCCCTCGCCCCCCAGCTCTCGTTCCCTCCCCCGGCCCCCCCCAGCCTCGGCGGGGCGCGGCGCGCTGGCTTTCCCAGACGGGGGAGGGGCGGCGGCCGTGAGAACCCGCCGGGCCGGGCCGCGTGGGAAAGTGGGAGGAGGGGCGGCGGAGGGCGGGGCGCGCCTGGGAACGGCCCCCGCCCCCGCGGCCGGCCTTGGAAACGGCCACTCAGGGCGCCCGGCGGAGATTCAAAAGCTAACGGCCGCCCGCCCGCGGCCTTCGCGCGCCGGCCTGGGGGACCCCGCCTGCCCGTCCAGGGTCGCAGGGGTGTGTGCAGGGGGCCGAGACACCCTCCTTCCCAGGGGCCGCGGGGTCGCTGGGGGACTCGGCCCCCCGCCCGCAGAGGGGGGTAGCCCGCGCGCCCCGGGCGTGCCCATTCCAACCAATGGGGCCGGTCCCGGCAGCAGGTGGCAGGCCCTGAACCCGCCCCAAGCGGCCCTGGGCCGACCCTCGCAGCTCCCAGTGCCCGGGAGGCAGGGCCCCAGTACTCCCTCCAGGAGCGGTGATGGTCCCGCCATCGACTGGGGGACTTCCTGGAGGAAGCGACGTCTAAGCTGGGGCCTGGCAGGCCAGGGGGAGACGGAGGCTGCTCCGGGCTGCAGGGGCTGGGGGACAACAGAGTGGGGCGAGGGCCCCGGGCTGGGCAGGGTAGAGCCGCTGGGGGCTGAGTCTAAGAGGAGGCCGCGGTGGGAGCCGCGTGGGCTGCTGGAGCCTGGGAGCCCCGCCCCGCACAGGGGCCTAGGTGTGACGGGCCTGCCTGGATGGAAGGGGAGTGGCCCGTTCAGCCCACCCTGCTCTGGTCCTTCCAGGGGAGCTCTATGTGGGAGGGGCACGTTGTGGGATCTTCAGAGGAGTTGGGGAGCTGGGCAGGGACCTCTTCTCCTCTCCCCACTTCAGCAAACCCATGTCATGAGGCATAGGGGTGCAGGGGGCAGCTCTCCTGCTCAGCCTGACAGGGCGGCCCAGGTCATTCTCTGAGCGTGGCGGGCCTGGAGGGGGTGGGAAGGAAAGGGTCAGGAGACCCCAGCCGGCCTGTGAGGAGGCTGAGGCTCAGGAGAGGCAGCCCTGCCTCTGTAGCTGCGGGCAGGGGAGGCGGCCCCAGGCGCGCACCTGCCAGCCCACGCGGGGCCTCTCCTGTTGGATGGGCAAAATGTGGCGACTGGACACAGACCCTACCTTGTCACCCTGAGGAGCTCCCCAGGACTCCCTCCCTTGAACCTGGCCATGGCCGGTCCCTCCTGCGTGCACCCCTGGCACCCCGAGGACAGCCTGCCCATCCCATCCATCCAGGCTGAGTGGAGCCAGGCCCCGGGGCCACCTGAGGAGGGCAGTGGGTCTCGGCATGCTGCGTGGCCCTCTGGTCCTCAGGCACTACCTCACGAACCTGTGGTCCCCAGGCCGGTGGGTCCAGGTCCTCCATCCCCAGGGGCCATCTGGTGGGAACCCAGGCTGGGCTCTGGCTGAGACCCACAGCTTTTCTGGAAGGCTGCTAGGAAAGGGGGGATGAGGGGGCAGTGGGGCCTTCTGGAGGGTCTCCAGCCCAGAATGCTGTGGAGAGGTGGTGTGGGTGGCCTCCTGGGGGAACCACCTGGACCCCTGGCTGACCACCCTCCTGTCAGCCCTGGGGGCTGCACTAAGCCCCCTCAGGTGCCATCACTCCCTCTTTGTCCCCAGCCTGGGTGTCGTGCTAGGCCCACCCGCTGCTGAAACTTGCCCTGCAGTTCCATGCCCTGGCTGGAGGGCCCGTCTTCCTCCAGAGCTCTGGGGCTGGGCCCCTACCGCCACCTTAGGAGCAGGGAGGAGGTCCTTCTGTACCCTCTGTGCCTGTGTGACATGGGGGTGCCAAGCGTGGGAATGGGGTCTGGGCTGAGACGGACAGAGCCTGGGAGGGGTGGGGTCTGTGGCCGCTGCACCTCTTCCTGTCTGTCCCTCTGTCTATCAACTGAGCACAGAGAATGTAAGGGTCTCCAGGCCCACGGCAGGAATGGGCGGCACTGGGGCCCCCAGGCTGGATCTTGGGTCTGGGCTCTGAAGCCCCTGTCCACGGCAGGCTCCAGGTGCTGAGTGTGAACGCTGGGGGCAGCTGTCCTGGAGCCCACTCTGTCCCCTCCTCGAGAACCCCCTCTTGGACCCCTGTCTGCTGGGCTGGGGTCCACCACCCTCCCCAGGGTCCCTGCCCAGCCCCACAGGGCTTCCCAGGCGCCCATGAGCTGGGCCCCGGCTGCCGGCACCCCCCCTCGTCCCCCCCATAATGGCCAGCTCTGCCCGGGAGCCCTCGGAGGCAGGGTCACCACAGCCTCCTGGGATGCCCACTTCCAAGGGGCTGACGCCACTGTTTCAGGACGTGTCCCCGTGGGGGCTGCAGCCCGCTCCTCAACCATGCTGGGGGGGTGGGGACTGGGACGGTAAAAATAGACGGTATGCCTGGCCATGTCAGGGGTTCATGGTAAGGGTTTTTTTTTAAGCTTGAGCTTCTTTGATAAAATATTTTCCCATGGTAGACGGCACTGGGAACGTTCCCCACCCCCACCCTGCCCCAGAGGGCACGGCCCTGCCCTCTACTTGAGACCCACAGCCACTGTGGCTTCTGTGGGTGGGCCGGTGGGCCATCCTCGCTCGAGGGGAGACCCTCCCTGCCTGGCTCAGGGGCACACGTGGGCAGATGCTACCAGAAAGCCGGCACCAGCAACCCCAGCGCCCAGGAGTCCCACCGCCTGGGGTCTCTGCTGAGTGGTGGGGCCGGCGGTGGCCACAGACCCCTGGCCAGGCCCCTGGCCCAGCTTTGGGCTCAGCCATGAGCGCTGTTGCTCACTCCCTGCTGTGTGCCCACCGTACCACCCAGAGAGCACCCCAGCCTCGCTCTGGGAACCCTGCACGTTGAGCGGGCTTTCCCTCCGGGAACGGCACCAAAATAGCAGAAGGAAGAAGAAAATGGAAAGTCAGCCCGGCGGCAGGCGCTCTCCAGGGAGGTGGTCAGCTCTGGCCGGAGCTAGGGGACAGCGGAGGCTGTGAGCCTCAGATCCTGTGACCAAGCCCAGAGCCAGGCCCCGTGGGCAGCTCCAGGGCGGAGGGCCGATCTCTCCTGCTGCGTCAGCCTGAGCGTGCCGCTCTCTGCTGGCTAGTGATGGCCAGCAGCCCTCTGGTGTCCAGATGGGTCATAGCCAGCCGAGCCCTGCACTGTGGCTGCGGTGGCAGGCCCGGGGTCTGCAGCTGCGTGGAGCTGGGCCTGCGTGGTCCCGGGGCCCGGCCTCCATTGTTTTGCCCGTGCCTACCTCTTTGGCCCTGAGGATGGGCCTCTCTTCACCTCTGGGGTAGGGATGGGGCAGCCAGTGTGTGGGGTGGCCGATCAGTGGTGTTCCCAGCTGCCTGCTCAGGCCAAGCTCCCAGGGTTCAGCTGGGAGCACTGAGGCTGCAGTGCTGCTGGAGTGGGTGGTGGGAACGTGGCCTGAGCCTGCCCAGCCCTAGGAAGAACTTTCTAGAGCACATGGTCATCACGGATGTGTGGCTTGGGGCCCTGGCCCTCCAGGCCCTGAGCACCTCTCGGGACTCCAGAGCCAAGGAGGCGGGTGCGCACATGGGACCCTGGGCTGTGGGCATTGGGCCACCACCCGGCTGAGGCACTTGTGCAAAGCAAGCTCCATTCTCCCACCTGGTGACCTGGAAGGCTGGCTTCAAATGTAGACATCTCAGCTTCTCATAGACCCCTTTCTTGCTCTCCTGGCCCCATCGCACTGGCCCTGAGGGACCCTTGTGCACATGGGGGGCCCTCTCCCAACAGCTCTCTGTCACCTGCCCAAGGGCATCCTGCTAGGGCCCAGCAGGGTCCCCAGCCCCAACAAGGGCCTCCCTCCCACCTGGGCTCCGACCTGAGGCCGCATGTGGCGCATACACGTGGGGCTCTGCATGGACCAGCACCCGCTCCTGCCAGCCCTGCACCAGGGGGTTCAGGTTCTGGTGTGGCTGCCAGCATGTGCTCTGCTCCCAGGCCGGGGCGGGCAGGGGGAACGCTTGGTTCTGTCCTCACCGCACACCACCCAGCATCTGCGGGATGTGCACACAGAGACGCATATGTCTGCAAGGCCCCTGGCCGGGCAGTCCGTGGGGCCAAGGCAGCCCCCCCGCCCCTTCCCCACGTCCTGCCCCCAGACAGAGGGGCTGGCACAGGTGGCAGGTCGCTGCCTGGGGCTGCAGCCAGGGCCCAGGGTACCCTCCAGGCCAAATTCCCCGCCGGCTGTTTGCAGTCTTTCAGATCCAGATGCTCCTTCCCTCACTGCCTTGGTCCTGGACAGCTGGCGCTGCCCTCTCCAGCCTGGACAGTTGCTGGCCCCCCACGGGGGTGCAGCTCTGGCCTTAGCCCCTCCCAGGCCTGCTCTACCTGCAGCCCCCCTGGGCCTGGCGCTCCTGCTTGCCACAGCAGGGGCAGCTTGGGGGTTGCAGGGTGTGGGTGGCAGAGTGGCATCAGCAGCTTGGAGCTGCCAGTAGCCAGCAAAGAGGCAGGGCGGACATGGGTCAGGGCGGCCCCCACTGCTCAGCCCCCGACGCCCCCATCCCATCCACTCAGCCAGGCCAAAGTCTGCCCTTCTGCCTCACACCCTGGACACCCTTCTCCATGCAGGGCTTGGCGGCCCCTCCATGCCTGGCCTGGGTCCTCAGGGGCACTCCCCAGCACCCGGCTGGCCAGGGCTCCAGCAGGGGTTTCCTCCCAGCTACCCAACTTCCTGTTTTCTCAAGAAAATGCAGCAGCCGATTCTGAACAGCTCATTAACATGCCTCCCCAGGCGTCCCGGACATCCTGGGGTCTTTACAGCGCTTGCTGGCCTGAGCACAGACAAAGAGAGGCAGCGGACGCGGTTCCTGCCGCCCCTGGAGCCCAAGGCTGCAGGAGAGGCCCCTGGAGCACACTTCCTTGCCACCTGAGGCAGAGGCCGCGGTCCCCGCAGGGCAGTGGGGTCAGAGGGTCAGACTGCACCCCCAGGCCAGGGGCAGTGGGAGGTCCAGGGGCCTGTGTGTACAGGTGCCTGGCCGGCTGCAGATCCGAGCCGAGCCGGAGCTTTCCCTCTTTCCTTCCTGCTTCAATCCCCGCCAGGCCCAGCCTGAGGCTGTGGGGGCAGAAGGGCGGTAGCAGAAGGCGCAGGCCTGCATCTGTTTCTGCTCAGCCAGGTGGGTGCCCTTGAGGACCATGGGGTGGAGCTGAGCTCAGGGCCCCTCCCTGCCCAGCCCAGGCACCAGCAGGGACCCTGACAGTGGCCTCCATGAGGGGATCTCCCTCCATGAGGGGGTCCCAAAACTTCCCCCAGAATTGGGCTTGGGAGGCTGGGATTACTCACGCCTGTCATCCCAGCACTTTGGGAGGCTGAGGCAGGAAGATCACCTGAGGTCAGGAGTTCAAGACCAGCCTGACCAACATGGTGAAACCCTGTCTCTACTAAAAATACAAAAATTAGCCGCCCGTGGTGGTGGGCACCTGTAATCCCAGCTACTCAGGAGCCTGAGGTGGGAGAATTGCTTGAACCTGGGAGGCGGAGGCTGCAGTGAGCTGAGATTACATCACTACACTCCAGCCTGGGCGATGGAGTGAGACTCCGTCCCACCCCCAAAAAACCCCAGGAAACAAAACTGGGCTTGTTGGAGCAGCCCCGACCTGCTGCTCCAGGCGGAATATTGATGTGGCCCTAACTGCGGAACGTTCTGGAAGCAGCCCGTACCCTCCACCGGGAACTGCCGAGAGCCAGCACAGCCCACAGTCCCCCTTGCTCCCGTGTCGCCCACGGAGACCCTGGCGCCTTGAGTGGAGGCGCAAAAGGCAGCATCAACTCCCCCCAGACTGGCCATGCCCAGGTGCCAGTTGGTGTGGGGCATAGCAAGCTTGGACAGTGCAGCCCTGGGCAGGTGCCTCAGCCCAGTCCCCCACTGGGGACAGGAGAGGAGGGAGAGAGGTGAGTTGGGCTTTGGTGCCCCCACCAGCCTCCTCTATGGATCTCCACCGAGGTGCGGCAGTTCCCACTCAGGGCTTCTGTTGCCCAGACCTTGTTAGACGTCACCAAGCAGACGCAGGCTGTCCTGCGTGTTGCCTTTGGAAAGTGGGACCCACCCAGCCTGAAGGGACTTCCACAATTTCCCTCGATTCCTTCTAGAAGCCCCATGGGAGCCAGAGGGAATTCCCCAAATCCAAGCCAATGCCTGATTGGAGCTGTCCCCGTGGCCATGCCAGCCTGCACTAGGGATGCTCTGCCGACGCCTCACCCTGGACCAGGGATTCTCTGCCGACACCTCACCCCGGACCCACAAGGGATTCTCTGCCAACATCTCACCCCAGACCCACGAGGGATGCTCTGCCGACACCTCACCCCGGACCCACGAGGGATGCTCTGCCGACACCTCACCCCGGACCACGAGGGATGCTCTGCCGACACCTCACCCCGGACCACGAGGGATGCTCTGCCGACACCTCAACCCGGACCACGAGGGATGCTCTGCCGACACCTCACCCCGGACCACGAGGGATGCTCTGCCGACACCTCACCCCGGACCACGAGGGATGCTCTGCCGACACCTCACCCCGGACCCCCGAGGGATTTTCTGCCGACACCCCACCCCGGACCCCCAAGAGATTCTCTGCCGACACCCCACCCCAGACCCACGAGGGATGCTCTGCCGACACCCCACCGCGGACCCCCGAGGGATTCTCTGCCGACACCCCACCCCGGACCCACGAGGGATGCTCTGCCGACACCCCACCCCGGACCCACGAGGGATGCTCTGCCGACACCCCACCCCGGACCCACGAGGGATGCTCTGCCGACACCCCACCCCGGACCCACGAGGGATGCTCTGCCGACACCCCACCCCGGACCCACGAGGGATGCTCTGCCGACACCCCACCCCGGACCCACGAGGGGTGATCTGCCGACACCCCACCCCGGACCCACGAGGGGTGATCTGCCGACACCCCACCCCGGACCCACGAGGGGTGATCTGCCGACACCCCACCCCGGACCCACGAGGGGTGATCTGCCGACACCCCACCCCGGACCCACGAGGGATGATCTGCCGACACCCCACCCCGGACCCACGAGGGGTGATCTGCCGACACCCCACCCCGGACCCACGAGGGGTGATCTGCCGACACCCCACCCCGGGCCCACGAGGGATGCTCTGCCGACACCCCACCCCGGACCCACGAGGGATGATCTGCCGACACCCCACCCCGGACCCACGAGGGGTGATCTGCCGACACCCCACCCCGGACCCACGAGGGATGCTCTGCCGACACCCCACCCCGGACCCACGAGGGATGCTCTGCCGACACCCCACCCCGGACCCACGAGGGATGCTCTGCCGACACCCCACCCCGGACCCACGAGGGATGATCTGCCGACACCCCACCCCGGACCCACGAGGGATGATCTGCCGACACCTCACCCCGGACCCACGAGGGATGATCTGCCGACACCTCACCCCGGACCCACGAGGGATGCTCTGCCGACACCTCACCCTGGACCACGAGGGATGCTCTGCCGACACCCCACCCCAGACCCACCACTGTCTAGGGTGGGGCCCACCTCCCTGGACACCCCCGTAGCTCCAGATCTTGTGCCAGCCCCAGGTAGGACGGGGTGCGCAGGACCCACCTGGCAGCGGCTGAAGATGTCTGCGTGGGTGACACGCACGTTGAAATGCTTGAGCACAGCCTTGGCCTGCTGCTGGGCCTTCAGGGAGCAGTCGACCGAGAGGCAGCGCCCAGCCCCGACCTGGGCCCGGAGCTGCAAAGACACGGCTCGGCTACTGAGGGGCAGTGCAGAGCCCAGCACCTGCCCAGGCCCAGCCCGCCTCCGCCAGCATGGGGCAGGAGCCTTCTCTCGGCCCACCAGGGGTACGGCAGAGGCGCTGGGGGTCGGCCCCACGGCAAGCTGACCCTGAGGTGGGGGTGGCCGAGGGGCTGGGGGCTTGGGAAGATGGGGCTCAGGCCCACTGAGCTTATCTTTGGGACACTCACCTTGTGGAATGGCTGCCCCGACGTCAGAATGATCCTCCCCTCCTGCCTGGCAACCTGTGTGGGAGGTGCGACCAGCACATAAAGGGGGCAGCTCCGTGCTCCTGGACTGGGCCACCTCTGCTCGCCACCCCCTAGCTCCCCGGATCGTGGCCCTGCCCCAGGCCCCTTTTGTCCTCCAGGGTGGCCTCTGCCTGGGGTCTTGGGTGGTGAGGAGCCCTCTGCCGGGTCCTGGGTGTCGCCTCATTGTATAGATTTAATCTTGGCACCACGCAAACATTTTTTTTTCATAATTAGAAACAAAATTGAATTTAAAAAGCCATCCCTCAAAAGCAGAAGAAAATGAAATACATAAAACATACACAGAAGTATTCCAAGAGACTCTGTAGAGATTTGAAAACACAGTAACTTGCCCCTAGCTCATAGGGAGCCAACTACACATCAAAAATGAAGAAAACCCTGCAATGACGATGCTCTGGGTGACAGTGTCGACGTGGCTCTTCCCAAAGCTTTGTATGAACTGTGGCATAAAACAGATGGATCATTTTGCTGATTTTGTGAGTATGAGAGTTTTCAGCTGACAAAGGAGATACAAAATTAAAATTAAGGATTTTTTTTGTTTTTTAGACGGAGTCTCGCTCTTTCGCCCAGGCCGGAGTGCAGTGGCGCTGTCTTGGCTCACTGCAAGCTCCGCCTCCTGGGTTCATGCCATTCTCCTGCCTCAGCCTCCCAAGTAGCTAGGACTACAGGCGCCAGCCACCGTGCCTGGCTAATTTTTTGTATTTTTAGTAGAGACGGGGTTTCACCGTGTTAGCCAGGATGGTCTCGATCTCCTGACCTCGTGATCTGCCCGCCTCGGCCTCCCAAAGTGCTGGGATTACAGGTGTGAGTCACCGCGCCTGGCCAAAATTAAGCATATTAAGCTTACAAGAAAACTCCAGATCTGAATAGAAAGCTTCAGTATGAATTTCTGATGTATGTTATATATATTTTTAAAAGTGTATTTCCACACAGTCCACTGCAAAGGCCTAGAGACAAGACCCAATCCCATCGCCGGGAGTGCCCTGTACCCAAAACTGGTTTCTACATACATTTTACACTAAAAGGAGCCCGAGCTTTTTGGAGAAATGACTGATTCCAGATCTAAGGTAGAAATGCAGACAACGAGGCCGGAGCGTCTAGATGCTGCAGAAAGCAACAGTGAAGAGCCAAGTGTCACATCCAAGGACTCAGGAGCCAGCAGGGCTCCCACACCACAGGGGGGCAACATGCCAGCCAGGGAACAGGTGCGGAGGAGGACACGGGACACCTTTCCATGCATTCAGAATGGTTCCTTAAAATCATCAGTTAACTTTTTTTTTTTTGAGATGGAGTCTCACTGTGTCGCCCAGGCTGGAGTGCAGTGGCACAATCTCGGCTCACTGCAAGCTCTGCCTCCCGAGTTCAAGCGATTCTCATGCCTCAGCCTCCCAAGTAGCTGGGACTACAGGCATGCACCAGCACACCCAGCTAATTTTTGTATTTTTAGTAGAGACGGGGTTTCTCCATGGTGGCCAGGCTGGTCTCAAACTCCTGACCTCAGGTGATCTGTCTGCCTTGGCTTGCTAAAGTGCTGGGATTACAGGTGTGAGCCACCGCACCCGGCCAAATCGTTAGTTATCTTTAAGAGTGCAAGACCAACTCAAAAACATCAGAGCTAATACTATAAAACTCTTAGAAGAGGCTGGGCAAGGCGGCTCGTGCCTGTAATCCCAGCACTTTGGGAGGCTGCGATGGGTAGATTGCTTGAGTCCAGGAGTCCTAGACCAGCCTGGGCAACAGAGCAAAACCCCATCTCTGCAATAAATAAAAAAACTAGCCAGGCGTGCCTGTAGTCCCAGCTACTTAGGAAGTCGACGTGGGATGATCACCTGAGCCGGGAGGTCAAGGCTGCAGTGGGCCGTGTTTGCGCCATCAGACTCCAGCCTGGGCTACAAAGTGAGAACCTGTCTCAAAAAAAAAAAAAAAAAGACTCTTAGAAGAAGACACAGGGGAACACTTCCTGGCGCTGTATTTGGCCAGGATTTCTTCGATATGACACCGCAGCAAAGGCAGCAAAAGAAACACTGGAGCGACTGGACCCTCATTACAGTGAAATGTACACGTAGGACACTCTGGAGGAATAAAACACCTCAGGGTGGAGACGTCGGTATTTGCAAATCACGTATCTGACGAGGGGTTGATATCCAGAGTATAGGAGGAACCCTATAATTCAACAACAGAAAAGCAAATAATCCAGTTTAAAAATTGAAGGGCAGGGCACGGTGCCTTACGCCTGTAATCCCAATACTTTGGGAGGCTGAGGCGGGAGGATGGCCTGAGCCTGGGAGGCTGAGGCTGCTGTGAGCTGTGATCGTGTCACTGCACTCCAGCCTGGGTAACAAAGTGAGACCTTATCTCAAAAAGAAAAAAAACAGTTGGCAAAGGACTTAAATAGACACTTCTTCAAAGATATACGCGTGGCCAATAAGCACATGAAAAGATGCTCTACATTATTCGTCATGAGCGACATGCAAATAAAAACCACAGTGAGACATCACATCCATTAGGGTGGCCTTTATAAAAAAAAAGGGAAATAAATGTTGGTGGGATGTGGATAAACTGAACTCTCATGCGTCACTGGCGGGAAGGTAAATGGTGTGGCCGCCGTGGAAAACAGTGTGAAGGTTCCTCAAGAAGTTAAACACAGAGTCAGTAGAGGATTCAGCAGTTTCACCTTTAGCTGTATATGCAAAAGAACTGAAAGCAGGAACTCAAGCACATCCTCATACATCAGTGTTCGTAGCAGCCACATTCAAAAAAAAAAAGGAAGGACGTTCCGACACAGGCTACGTCGTGAATAAACCCTTACGACACGCCGAGTGAAAGATGCCAGATACAAATGGGCAGATACTATATGATTCCACGTCTACGAGGTACCTAGGACAGGTCAATTCATAGAGGCAGAAAGTGGAACAGTGGCCACCAGGGCTAGAAGGAGGGGAGGGGAGATAACTATTGGTACGGAGTCTTTTTTTTTTTTTTTTGAGACAGAGTCTTGCTCTGTCGCCCAGGCTGGAGTGCAGTGGCACGATCTTGGCTCACTGCAAGTTCTGCCTCCCGGGTTCACGCCATTCTCCTGCCTCAGCCTCCTGAGTAGCTGGGACTATAGGCGCCCTCCACCACGGCCCGCTGATATTTTGTATTTCTAATAGAGACAGGGTTTCACTATGTTAGCCAGGATGGTCTCGACCTCCTGACCTTGTGATCCGCCCGCGTCGGCCTCCCAAAGTGCTGGGATTACAGGTGTGAGCCACCGCGCCCGGCCAGTATGGAGTCTTTGGGATGATACCCAGTTCTGGAAAGGGGTGGTGGTGATGGATATGTGATACAGTGAATGTGCTAATGCCACTGAATTGTACACTTAAAAATGGTTAAAATGGTCAATTTCGTGTTATGTATGTTTTACCACAAAAAGAAAGAAAAAAAGGGAAACAGAAAGTAGTTACTTCGTGGTAATAACAAATATACACCCATATGATGAGTAAAAACAACCAATATATACCTATATGATGAGTAAAAAACTGATATACACTCATATGATGAGTAAAAACAACAAATATACACCCACATGATGAGTAAAAACAACTAATATACTCCCATAGGATGAGTAAAAACAACAAATATACACCCACATGATGAGTAAAAACAACTAATATACACCCATATGATGAGTAAAAACAACGAATATACTCCCACATGATGAATAAAAACAATGAATAAACACCCACATGATGAGTAAAAACAACTAATATACTCCCATATGCTGAGTAAAACAACTAATATACTCCTATATGATGAGTAAAAACAACTAATATACACCCATATGATGAGTAAAACAACTAATATACTCCCATATGATGAGTAAAAACAACGAATAAACACCCACATGATGAGTAAAAACAACTAACATACTCCCATATGATGAGTAAAAACAACTAATATACACCCATATGATGAGTAAAAACAACGAATAAACACCGACATGATGAGTAAAAACAACTAATATACACCAATATGATGAGTAAAACAATTAATATACTCCCATATGATGAGTAAAAACAACAAATATACACCCACATGATGAGTAAAAACAACAAATAAACACCCACATGATGAGTAAAAACAACGAATAAACACCCATATGATGAGTAAAAACAACTAATATACACTCATATGATGAGTAAAAACAACGAATAAACACCCATATGATGAGTAAAAACAACTAATATACACTCATATGATGAGTAAAAACAACTAATATACACTCATATGATGAGTAAAAACAACTAATATACACCTATATGATGAGTAAAAACAAAAGTAAAAACAAACACAACTGGTAAATAAAGTAAATATACGGGAAAAAACCAAAGGAAACGGGTCAAAGGGAAGAAACAGACTAGTTACACAGGAGCTACACGGGACTACACGGGACTACACGGGGCTACACGGGACTACACGGGACTACACGGGGCTACACGGGACTACACGGGACTACACGGGACTACACGGGGCTACACGGGACTACACAGGGTCACACGGGACTACACGGGACTACACGGGACTACACGGGGCTACACGGGACTACACGGGACTACACGGGGCTACACGGGACTACACGGGACTACACGGGGCTACACGGGACTACACAGGGTCACACGGGACTACACGGGACTACACGGGGCTACACGGGGCTACACGGGACTACACGGGACTACACGGGGCTACACGGGACTACACAGGGTCACACGGGACTACACGGGACTACACGGGGCTACACGGGGCTACACGGGGCTACACGGGAGCTACACGGGACTACACGGGGCTACACGGGGCTACACGGGGCTACACGGGAGCTACACGGGGCTACACGGGGCTACACGGGGCTACACGGGAGCTACACGGGACTACACGGGGCTACACGGGACTACACGGGGCTACACGGGGCTACACGGGGCTACACGGGAGCTACACGGGAGCTACACGGGGCTACACGGGGCTACACGGGAGCTACACGGGACTACACGGGGCTACACGGGGCTACACGGGACGACACGGGGCTACACGGGGCTACACGGGAGCTACACGGGGCTACACGGGGCTACACGGGAGCTACACGGGGCTACAGGGGGCTACACGGGGCTACACGGGACTACACGGGAGCTACACGGGGCTACACGGGGCTACACGGGACTACACGGGAGCTACACGGGAGCTACACGGGACTACACGGGGCTACACGGGGCTACACGGGGCTACACGGGAGCTACACGGGAGCTACACGGGGCTACACGGGAGCTACACGGGAGCTACACGGGACTACACGGGGTCACACGGGACTACACGGGACTACACGGGACTACACGGGGTCACACGGGACTACACGGGACTACACGGGACTACACGGGGCTACACGGGACTACACGGGACTACACGGGGTCACACGGGACTACACGGGACTACACGGGACTACACGGGACTACACGGGGCTACACGGGACTACACGGGACTACACGGGGTCACACGGGACTACACGGGACTACACGGGACTACACGGGACTACACGGGGTCACACGGGACTACACGGGACTACACGGGGTCACACGGGACTACACGGGACTACACGGGACTACACGGGGTCACACGGGACTACACGGGACTACACAGGAGCTACACAGGACTACACAGGACTACACAGGACTATGCAGGACCACACAGGAGCTATACAGGAGCTACACGGGACTACACAGGACTACACAGGACTACACAGGACTATGCAGGACCACACAGGAGCTATACAGGAGCTACACGGGACTACACAGGACTACACAGGAGCTACACAGGACTACACAGGACTACACAGGACTACACCGGAGCTACACGGGACTACACAGGAGCTACACAGGAACTACACAGGAGCTACACAGGGCTCCACAGGAGCTACACAGGAGCTACACAGGAGCTACACAGGAACTACACCGGAGCTACACAGGACTACACCGGAGCTACACGGGACTACACAGGACTACACAGGACTACACAGGAGCTACACAGGAACTACACAGGACTACACAGGAGCTACACAGGGCTCCACAGGAGCTACACAGGAACTACACAGGAACTACACAGGAGCTACACAGGAACTACACCGGAGCTACACGGGACTACACAGGACTACACAGGACTACACAGGAGCTACACAGGAGCTACACAGGACTACACAGGAGCTACACAGGGCTCCACAGGACTACACAGGAGCTACACAGGACTACACAGGACTACACAGGAGCTACACAGGACTACAAAGGAGCTACACAGGAGCTACACAGGAGCTACACAGGACTACGCAGGACCACACAGGAGCTATACAGGAGCTACACAGGAGCTACACAGGGCTCCACAGGAGCTACACAGGACTACACAGGACTACACAGGACTACACAGGACTACACAGGAACTACACAGGACTACACAGGAGCTACACAGGACTGATGGACTTCTCGAGGGCAACAATGGAGCCAAAAGGTAGTGGAGGGTTTTCAAAGTTCTGTAGAGCTACAAGAATAAACCCGGCAACACTCTCTTTCAAGAAAGAGGAAACAGAGCTTATTAGAAAGGAAAAATGGCCCCAATTAAAGAACAAGGAAAATTCATTAACACGAAGGAGTTTGTCATTTCCCAGAGGAAGGTCTGCCATGCAACAAGTGGTCCACACATCATCAACACTAAAAGACGTCAAGACCATAAAACAAACATGATAATGTCTAATTTGCAGAATTAAGGAAGACAGCATCGTGTTAACATTCTGGAAGATGACAGCAGGGAAGGTATGAAAGACAAGTTGACCCTGCAAACGGAATCCAACAGCACATTAAAGCAATAATTCACCATGACCGAGTGAGTTTCATCCCAGGGATTCAGGGGGGTTCAACATGTGCCAGTCAGTAAGTTTGATTCATCACCTAAACAGAATTAAAAACAAAAACTACACGATCATCTCAGTAGATGCATACAAAGCACTTGACAAAATCTAGCATTGTTTTACGATAAAAATCCTCAACCAACTAGGCTTGGAAGGAACATACCTCAAAATGATAATAGCCATATATGACAAACCCGCAGCCAACATCATACTAAATGGGGAAAAGTGGAAACAGTCCCCCTGAGAACTGCAACAAGACAAGGATGCCCTCTCACCCTCCCACACTCACCCTCCCACCCAACATAGTATTCAAAGTCCTGACCAGAACTATCAGGAAAGACAAGAAAGAGAGGGCATCCAAATGGGAAAACAGGAGGTCAAACTATCTCTGCCAATGTTATGACTGTATACCTCGAAAACCCTAAAGGCTCCTCCAAAAGACTCCTCGATTTGACAAATGGATTCGGTGAAGTCTCAGGTTACAAAATAAATGTGCACAAATCAGTAGCACAACGACCAAGCTGAGAAGGAAACCAAGAACTCAGGCCAGGCGCGGTGGCTCACGCCTGTAATCCCAGCACTTTGGGAGGCCCAGGTGGGTGGCTCACTTGAGATCAGGAGTTTGAGACCAGCCTGGATAACATGGTGAAACCCCGTCTCTACTAAAAATACAAAAATTAGCGAGGTGTGGTGGTGCACGCCTGTAGTCCCAGCTACTCAGGAGGCTGAGGCAGGAGAATTGCTTGAACCCGGGAGGTGGATGTTGCAGTGAGCCGAGAGGGCGCCACTGCACTCCCGCCTGGGCAACAGGGTGAGACTCCGTCTCAAAAAATAAAAATAAATAAATAAAAAAGTGAAAAAAGAACTCAATCCTTTTTACAATATCTGCGCAACGACAACACACACACACACACAGAACAAACCTAGGAATGTACTTAACCAAGGAGGTGAAAGACTCTACAAGGAGAACTACAAAATACTGCTGAAAGAAATCATGAATGACGCAAACAAATGGAAATACATCCCATGGTCATGAATTGGAGGAATCGATATTGTGAAATAACCAAACTGCCCAAAGCAATCTATAGATTCAGTGCAATTCCTATCAAAGTACCAACATCGTTTTTCACAGCATTAGAAAAAACAATCCTAAAATCTGTATGAACCAAAAAAGAGCCTGAATAGCCAAAGCAGTCCTAAGGAAAAAGAACGAATCTAGGCCGGGCGCAGTGGCTCACGCCTGTAATCCCAGGACTTTGGGAGGCCGAGGCAGGTGGATCACAAGGTCA
The DNA here is from genome assembly GCF_000001405.40 of Homo sapiens. Taxonomy (NCBI): domain Eukaryota; kingdom Metazoa; phylum Chordata; class Mammalia; order Primates; family Hominidae; genus Homo; species Homo sapiens. The sequence continues at coordinate 137,332,379 of NC_000009.12, forward strand.
GGAGATCGAGACCAGCCTGGCCGACATGGTGAAACCCCATCTCTACTAAAATACAAAAAATTACCGGGCATGGTAGTGGGCACCTGTAGTCCCAGCTACTTGGGAGGCTGAGGCAGGGGAATCCCTTCAACCTGGGAGGCGGAGGTTCCAGTGAGCCGAGATTGTTAAAGGGTACATGGTATTGGCCAGGCGCAGTGGCTCACGCCTGTAATCCCAGCACTTTGGGAGGCCAAGGCGGGCAGATCACAAGGTCAGGAGATCGAGACCATCCTGGCTAAAACAGTGAAACCCCGTCTCTACTAAAAAGCACAAAAAAACTAGCCATGCATGGTGGCGGGCGCCTGTAGTCCCAGCTACTTGGGAGGCTGAGGCAGGGGAATCCCTTGAACCCAGGAGGCGGAGATTCCAGTGAGCCAAGGTTGCGCCACTGCACTCCAGCCTGGCGACAGACTGAGACTCTGTCTGTCAAAAAACAAAAAACAAATCTGGAGGCATCACATTACCCAACTTCAAATTATACTTGTGAGGGTTTATATTGAGTGTCAACTGGATTGAAGGATGCAAAGTATTGATCCTGGATGTGTCTGTGGGGGTGTTGCCAAAGGGGATTCACATTTGAGTCCATGGACGGGGAGAGGCAGACCCACCCTCAGTGGGCACCGTCTAATCAGCTGCCAGTACGGCTAGAATAAAGCACGCAGGAGAAGATGGAAGAGCAGACTTGCTGAGGCTTCCGGCCCCATCTTTCTCCCGTGCTGGATGCTTCCTGTCCTCGAACATCAGACTCCAAGTTCCTCAGCTTTTGGACTCTTACACGTACACCAGCGGTTTGCCAGGGGCTCTCGGGCCTTTGGCGGCAGACTGAAGGCTGCACTGCCAGCTTCCCTGCTTTTGAGGTTTTGGGACTCAGACGGATCCACCACTGGCTTCCTGGCTCCTTAACTTGCAGACGGCCTGGGTGAGACTTCACCTTGTGATCCTGTGAGTCAACTCTCCTTAATAAACTTCCTTTCGTATGCACATCTATCCTATCAGTTCTGTCCCTCTAGAGAACCCTGGCTGACACTATACTACAAGGCTCTGTGGTATAATTTGAATGTGTCCCCGCCCAAATCTCATCCTGAAATGCAAGCCACGGTGTTGGAGGTGGGGCCTGGCCTGGAGGGAGGCCACTCGATCATGGGGGAGGATTTCTCAGGAGTGGCTTAGCACTGTCCCCCTTGGTCCTGTCCTTGCCTGGTCGTTTAAAAGTGCGTAGCGCGTCCCCTCTTGCTCTCTCGCTCCTGCCTTCACCATGTGACATGCAAACTCTTGCTTTGCCTTCTGCCAGGACTAGACATTTCCAGAGGCTCCCAGAAGCAGATGCCAGTGATACGGTTCCTGTACAGCCTCCAGAACCATAAGCCAGTTGAACCTCTTTTCTTATAAGTTACCCAGTCCCAGGTATTTCTTTTTTTCTTTTCTTTTCTTTTTTTTTGAGACAGAGTCTCACTCTGTCACCCAGGCTGGAGTACAGTGCAGTGACGTCATCTCCGCTCACTGCAACCTCCGCCTCCCAGGTTCAAGTGATTCTCCTGCCTCAGCCTCCCGAGTAGCTGAGACTACAGGCGCCCACCACCAAGCCCAGCAAATTTTTTTTTTTGAGATGGAGTCTCGCTCTGTCACCAGGCTGGAGTGCAGTGGCGTGATCTCGGCTCACTGCAATCTCTACCTCCTGGGTTCAAACGATTCCCCTGCCTCAGCCTCCCGAGTAGCTGGGACTACAGGCACCCGCCACCACACCCGGCTAATTTTTTGTATTTTAGTGGAGACGGGGTTTCACCATGTTGGCCGGGCTGGTCTCGAACGCCCGACCTCAGGTAATCCGCCCACCTCTGCCTCTCAAAGTCCTGGGATTACAGGCGTGAGCCACTGCACCTGGCCTCAGGTATTCCTTTATAGCAATGTGAGAAGGGACTAATACAGTATAGTTACCAAAACAGCATAGTACTGGTATAAAAGTAGATACATAGACCAATGGGATGGAATAGAGAATCCAGAAATAAAGCCAAATACTTACAATCAACGGATCTTTGACAAAGTATAAATAAACATCCGTTGGAGAAAAAGACACCCTATCTAGTAAGTGGTGCTGGGAAAACTGGCTAGCCACATGTAGGAGAATGAAACTGGATCCATACCTCTCACCATATACAAAACCCAGCTCAAGATGGATGAAAGACTTAGATGTAAGACTCGAACCATAAACATTCTAGAAGGAAATCTAGGAAAGCTCTTCTGCACATTGGCTTAAGCAAACAGTTTTGACTAGAACCACAAAAGCAAATGCAACAAAAACAAAAATAAATAAATGTGACCTAATTCAACTAAAAAGCTTCTGCACAGCAAAAGAAATAATCATCAGAGAAAACACCAGCCCACAAGGCCGGTGGCTCACGCCTGTAATGCCAGCACTTTGGGAGGCCGAGGCGGGCGGATCACGAGGTCAGGAGATCGAGACCATCCTGGCTAACACAGTGAAACCCCATCTCTACTAAAAATACAAAAAATGAGCCGGGCATGGTGGCAGGCGCCTGTAGTCCCAGCTACTCGGGAGGCTGAGGCAGGAGAATCACTTGAATCTGGGAGGTAGAGGTTGCAGTGAGCAGAGATTGCACCACTGCACTCCAGCCTGGGTGACAGAGCGAGACTCTGTCTCAAAAGGAAAAAAAAAAACAAACAAAATAAAAACAAATAGCCCACAGAATGGAAGAAAATATTTGCAAACTATGCATCTAACGAAGAGGTAATATCAAGAATCTACAAGGAACTCAAACAAATCCGCAAGAAAAAAACAAAGAATCCCATCAAAAAATGGGCAAATGACACATGCATAGACATTTCTCAAAAGAAGATATACAGATACGCAGCAAACGTGAAAAATCGCTCAACCTCACGAATCATCAGGGAAATGCAAATTAAAACCACAATGAGATACCACCTTGCCCTAGCCAGAATAGACATTATTAAAATGTAAAAAAGACCAGGCGTGGTGGCTCATACCTATAATCCCAGCACTTTGGGAGGCCAAGGCGGGCGGATCACGAGGTCAGGAGTTCGAGACCAGCCTGCCCAACAAGGTGAAACCCGGTCTCTGCTAAAAATACAAAAAATTAGCCAGGTGTGGTGGCAGGTGCCTGTAGTCCTAGCTACTCAGGAGGCTGAGGCAGAAGAATCACTTGAACCCGGGAGGCGGAGGTTGCAGTGAGCCAAGATCGCGCCATTGCACTCCAGCCTGGCAACAGAGCTAGACTTCATCTCAAAATAAATAAATAAATAAATAAATTAGTACAACATCTGTGAAAACAGCATGGAGATTTCTCAAAGAACTAAAAGCAGATCTACCGTGTGCTCCAGCAGTCCCACTACTGAGTATCTACCCAAAGGAAAAGAAGTCATTATATCAGAAAGACACCTGCGCACATGTTTATCACAGCACAATTCACAACTGCAAAGACATGGAACTAACCTAAGTATCCATCAAGCAATGAGTGGATTAAAAAAATGTGGTATATATATACCATGGAATACTACTCAGCCGTAAAAAAGAACAAAATAATGTCTCTGCAGCAACTTGAATGGATCTGGAGGCCATTATTCTAAATAAAGTAACTCAGGAATGGAAAACCAAATACTGCATGTTCTCACTTATAAGTGGGAACTAACCTATGGGTACACAAAGGCATGCAGAGTGATATAATGGACACTGGAGGCTCAGAGGTGGGGAGGGCAGGAGGAGGAGTAAGGGATAAAAAGACGACATATTGGGTACAATATATACCATTTGGGTGACAGTGCAGTAACGTATCAGACTTCATCATTACACAATTCATCCATGTAACCAAATGCCACTTGTACCCCAAAAGCTATTGAAATATATGAAACATAAATCGATGTAAGATCCCTGACTTAACTGTAACTTTAGATATCGTTAACTCAAATATACGTGTTAACATTTCTCGGCCATGTGTGGTGGCTCACGCCTGTAATCCCAGCACTTCGGCAGGCTGAAGCAGGTGGATTACTTGAGGTCAGGAGATCGACACCAGCCTGGCCAACATGGCGAAACCTCATATCTACTAAAAATACAAACATTAGCTGGGTGTGGTGCTGGGTGCCTGTAGTCTCAGCTCCTCAGAAGGCTGAGGCAGAGCTGCTTGAACCTGGGAGGCGGAGCTTGCAGTGAGCCGAGATTGTGCCACTGCACTCCAGCCTGGGTGACAAAGTGAGACTCCGTCTAAAAAAAAAAAAAAAAAAAATTCTAGGGCAATCCCTACAAAGAAAAGAAATAAATCCATGGCAAAATATGCATATTTTAAGAAAACAAGGAAAGCAATAGCAATAGAATTTATAGCTTTCAAATTGACTGAAGGAAAAATAGAATGAAGGTAAAAAAGCTAAAAGCATGAAAAAAAAGAGGAAAAAGAATAGAAAAAGTTGTACAAATAGAAAGCACAAATTAAGATAGTACGACTAAACCCAAATTCTATCAATACTTAACAATAAACATAAAAGGACTAAACTAATAAGTTAAAAGGCAAAGACTGTCAGACTAGATTTTTTTAAAAAACCCAACTAGAAACAGTTTACAAGAAACACACCTACTATATAAAAGAAGGTTGAAAGTAAAAGGATGAAAAAGTGCTTTACGAGTAATAACCAAAGAATAATGGAGAAATGGTATTAATGTTAGTTAAAATATATTTTATAGCAAAGAGCATTACTGGAGTCAAAGAGGTTCACCACATAATTATAAAAGATTTCACACAACAGAAAGATATAAGAATTCTAATAATAATATGCATATGCACCTACTAACATAACTTTAAAACATATAAGGCAAACACTGACGTAACTGCATGGAAAATCTGATGAATGTACCATCACAGGAACCTTCTGTATGTCTCTCTTGGTAGAATCAGGCAGAAAAGTAAATAGGATAAAGATGATTTAGGCTGGGTGCGGTGGCTCACACCTATAATCCCAGCAGTTTGGGAGGCCAAGGCGGGCGGATCACAAGGTCAGGAGTTCCAGACCAGCCTGGCCAATATGGTGAAACCCTATCTCTACTAAAAATACAAAAATTAGCCGGGTGTGGTGGCGGACACCTGTAATCCCAGCTACTTGGGAGGCTGAGGCAGGAGAATTGCTTGAACCCGGGAGGCGGAGCTTGCAGTGAGCCGAGATTTCGCCACTGCACTCCAGCCTGGGCGACAGAGCGAGATTTCTTCTCAAAAAAAAAGATGTTTTGAACGACACATTTGGCAAGCTGGATCTACTGAGTGTGTGCATATGTTGGGGGGTAGGTGGAGTGGGAGGGAGAGAGGGGGAGAGAGATGAGCATGACTGGAAGGGAATACCATGTATCTTTTTTTTGTTTTGTTTTTTGAGATGGAGTCTTGCTCTGTTGCCCAGGCTGGAGTGCAGTGACGCAATCTTGGCTCACTGCAAGCTCCACCTCCCGGGTTCATGCCATTCTCCTGCCTCAGCCTCCCGAGTAGCTGGGACTACAGGCGCCCACCACCATGCCCAGCTAATTTTTTGAATTTTTAGTACAGACAGGGTTTCACTGTGTTAGCCAGGATGGTCTCGATCTCCTGACCTCGTGATCTGCCCGCCTCGGCCTCCCAAAGTGCTGGGATTACAGGCGTGAGCCACTGTGCCCAGCCAATACCATGTATCCTTTTACAGTCCATGTGGATCATTTATAAAAAGGACCATCTACTTGGCTACAAAGCAAATCTTAAGAAATTTCCAAAATTGGAAATATACAGACTATTTTCCTGAAGTTAGGTTAGAAATCATTTTTAAGAAGATAACTAAAAAGCCCCAAGATCCAAGCTTTCTAAAATTGAAAAACCTTCTAAAGAACGAAGTCAAATAAGCAATCATAATTGATATTCAAACGTTGTTAGAACTAAAAACAATGAAAACACTGTATATCAAAACTGATATAGCGCAGTGAAAACAATACTTTGAGAAAAATTTATGGCCTTAAACACTTATATCATAAAATATAAGAGTCTGAAAATTAAAGAGCTAAGCAACGCCACTTGGAAACAAACCCAAGAAAGCAAAAGGAAGGAAATTATAAAGATAAGAACAGAAATTGATGAGATAGACAACAAAAATGCAATAGAAAGACTTAACAAAGCCAAATACTGGTTATTTTAAAAGGCAGTAAGTTGGCCGGGCGCAGTGGCTCACGCCTGTAATCCCAGCACTTTGGGAGGCTGAGGAGGGCAGATCACGAGGTCAGGAGATCGAGACCATCCTGGCTAACATGGTGAAACCCCGTCTCTACTAAAAATACAAAAAAAAAAAAAAAAGCTGGGAGTGGTGGCGGGCGCCTGTAGTCCCAGCTACTCGGGAGGCTGAGGCAGGAGAATGGCGTGAACCCGGGAGGCGGAGCTTGTAGTGAGCCAAGATCGCGCCACTGCACTCCAGCCTGGGCAACAGAGCGAGACTCCATCTCAAAAAAAAAAAAAAAAAGGGCAGTAAGTTGACACATCTCTGCGAGAGCATGAGAAGAGTGAGAGCAAAAGGAAGCCACAATAAAAGAGAGGGAACCCAGCTGCAGACACAGCAGAGCCTTAAGAGCGGACACCGACAATCTATAACAATCTATACTTACATATTTGAAATGTCGGATTAAATGGACACATTCCAGAAAAATTATAAATTACCAAATGTGATCAAGAAGACACAGCCAGCCAAGTGGTTCTATAACTATTAATAAAACTCAGTATCAGAACATTCTCCCCAAAGAAAACATCAGGCCAGGAAGCCTCACAGGAAGTGAGCCAGTTTCAGGAGCAGATAATTTAAACATTACTCAGTTGCAGAAAAAAGAGGGAAAACTTCCCAATGTATTTATGAGGCCAGAAAAAAAGAGAAAGGAAAATTATATGTCAGATGTACCCAGAAAGATGGATGCAAACTTCCTAACAAAAATCACAGACCAGGCCGGGTGAGGTGCCACATGCCTGTAGTCCCAGCCATAGTCTCACTGAGGTGGGAGGATCACTTGAGCCCAGGAGTCTGAGGCCAGCCTGGGTAACACAGCAAGACGCCACTTCAAAAAAAAAAAAAAAAAAAAAATCACAGACCAAAGTCCGCAATGTATTAAGAAGGGTAATATGCGGGACCAAGTTGAATTTAACCCAGGAAAGAAAAATTAGTCCCAAATTCAAAGAGCTAATAATGTCATTCATCACATTTACAGATTAAAGGAAAAATAACCTTATGAGTATCTGAAAAGCTGCCAGGAAAGCATTAGGTAGGTCGAATTCAATGTTCATTCATAACAAAAACCTACAGCAAATGTGGAATCATGGAACTGCCTCAGCCTGGTACAGAATATTGAGCAACCACCTTACTTCATGTTAAAACATTCCTTTCTAAATCAGAAACAAGACAAGGATGGCTACCATCAGCATTTCTATTCGACACTGTCTTGGAGATCTTGACTAATGAAATAAGATAAAGAAGGAAAAGATATAAGGATTGGAAAGGAAGAAATAAAACCCTCATAGTTTGCAGATGACGTGTACGAACAGAACCCCAAATAATGGACAACCAATTCAGTAAGAGCCAGGGGCATTTAGCAAGTTTTCTGGACAGAAGACTAATTCATCAAGAGCAACCACAGTCCATGTATCAGCAGAAAATAAAACCCACACGATTTATAAAAGCAACAAAAATCTAAAGTTCCTGGGATGAAATCTAAGAAAAGACATGCAAGATCTTTATGGAAGTTATTAAATGTGTTTGAAAGAGGCGGGGCGTGGTGGCTCACGCCTGTAATCTCAGCACTCTGGGAGGCTGAGGCGGGCGGATCATGAGGTCAAGGAGTTCAAGGTCAGCCTGGCCAACATGATGAAACCTCATCTCTACCAAACATACAAAAATTAGCTGGGTGTGGCGGTGCGTGCCTGTAATCCCAGCTACTCAGGAGGCTGAGGCAGAAGAATCACTTGAATCCGGGAGGCAGAGGTTGCAGTGAGCCGAGATCACATCACTGCACTCCAGCCTGGGCAACACAGTGAGACTCCATCTCAAAAGAAAAAAAAAAGAAAGAGTTAAATATTCATGAATAGAAGACTCAATATCTTTTTTTCTTTTTTTTAATGAGGTCTTGCTGTGTTGCCCAGGCTGGAGTGCAGTGGCATGATCATGGCTCACTGTGTAGCCTCGACCTCATGGGTTCAAGTGATCATCCCACCTCGGTCCCCCAGGTGGCCAGGACCACAGGTGTGCACCACCATGCCTGGCTATTTTTTTTAAGAAATAATGTCTCGCTATGTTACCAGGCTGGTCTCAAACTCCTGGGCTCAAGCAATTCTCCCGCCCTGGCCTCCCAAAGGGCTGAGATTATAGGTGAGGCCACTGCACCTGGCCTCAATGTCTTAAATATGTCATTTTTCCCTAAATTGATTTATAGAGTCAATGCAGTTCCAAGCAACACTGAATTGGTGAGTTGTTTCTAAACCTATATAGAAAGGACAAAGGACTGAAGGAGAAGAACAAGGTAGATGCTCACCCTACCAGATATGAAGATGGGTGATAACGTTAGAGGGATTAAGACATCGTGGCATCACGTAAAACTCAAGGCCAAGCTGGGCAGGGTGGCTCACACCTGTAATCCCAGCACTTTGGGAGGCTGAAGCAGGAGGGTCGCTCGAGGCCAGGAGTTCAAGACCAGCCTGGACAACATAGCGAGATCCTGTCTCCATGAAACATTTTAAACATTAGCTGGGTGTGGTGGCCTGTGCCTGTGTTCCTGGCTACTCAGGAGGCTGAGTTGGGAGGCTCACTTGAGCCTACGATGTTGAGGCTGCAGTCAGCTGTGATCACACCACTACACTCTAGCCAGACAGAATGAGACCCTGTCTCAAAAAAAGAAAGCAAAAGACTGGACCAGGCATGTGTTAAGGGTCCCCAAGATCATCCTGAGGTGATTCAGTGTTACAGGACTCAGCACACAGTCACACTCTGGCTAAGACTCATTACAGTGAATAATACACAGCAATGTCAGCAAAGGGAAAAGGCACATGGGGCCTCAGGCACCCAGGAAACGGGGCTCAGGCACCAGGAGCCGTCTCCCAGGAGTCAGAGGAAACGGGGCTCAGGCACCAGGAGCCATCTCCCAGGAGTCAGAGGAAACGGGGCTCAGGCACCAGGAGCCGTCTCCCAGGAGTCAGAGGAAACGGGGCTCAGGCACCAGGAGCCGTCTCCCAGGGGAGTCAGAGGAAACGGGGCTCAGGCACCAGGAGCCGTCTCCCAGGAGTCAGAGGAAACGGGGCTCAGGCACCAGGAGCCGTCTCCCAGGAGTCAGAGGAAACGGGGCTCAGGCACCAGGAGCCGTCTCCCAGGGGAGTCAGAGGAAACAGGGCTCAGGCACCAGGAGCCGTCTCCCAGGAGCCGTCTCCCAGGGGAGTCAGAGGAAACAGGGCTCAGGCACCAGGAGCCGTCTCCCAGGGGAGTCAGAGGAAACAGGGCTCAGGCACCAGGAGCCGTCTCCCAGGAGTCAGAGGAAACGGGGCTCAGGCACCAGGAGCCGTCTCCCAGGAGTCAGAGGAAACGGGGCTCAGGCACCAGGAGCCGTCTCCCAGGAGTCAGAGGAAACGGGGCTCAGGCACCAGGAGCCGTCTCCCAGGGGAGTCAGAGGAAACGGGGCTCAGGCACCAGGAGCCGTCTCCCAGGAGTCAGAGGAAACGGGGCTCAGGCATCAGGAGCCGTCTCCCAGGAGTCAGAGGAAACGGGGCTCAGGCACCAGGAGCCGTCTCCCAGGAGTCAGAGGAAACGGGGCTCAGGCACCAGGAGCCGTCTCCCAGGAGTCAGAGGAAACGGGGCTCAGGCACCAGGAGCCGTCTCCCAGGGGAGTCAGAGGAAACAGGGCTCAGGCACCAGGAGCCGTCTCCCAGGGGAGTCAGAGGAAACAGGGCTCAGGCACCAGGAGCCGTCTCCCAGGAGTCAGAGGAAACAGGGCTCAGGCACCAGGAGCCGTCTCCCAGGGGAGTCCTGTAGGATGTGCTTAACTTCTGCATAAGTTGTAATGACATTTGTGAAGTGTTGTCTATCTGAGAAGTTCATTAGGGACTCATTGCCTGAGGTTTTTACTGGGGGGTGGTCACATTGATACCCGCTGCCTGGCATATACCAAAATTCCAGAGCCCTAGGAGGAAAGTGATGTCCAGCATACACCACATTGTTTGTAAAGATTAGGAACCGCAAACCACCTTCGTCATTAGGGAAGGTTTATATCAGTCAGGGAACTGTTTCCCAGCCGAGTTCCCAGCCTTGCAGCCAGGCCTTTCTTAGGGCAGCAGTGGCAGCCACGAGATGTTCCACAGAACATAAAGTGCAAATAGCTAGGGAACATATGGAAAGATGCTCAACTTCATCAAGAATCACAGAAACGGCCAGGCACGGTGGCTCATGCCTGTAATCCCAGCACTTTGGGAGGCCGAGGCAGGTGGATTACAAGGTCGGGAGATCGAGACCATCCCGGCCAACATGGTGAAACCCCGTCTCTACTAAAAATATAAAAATTAGCCGGGCGTGGTGGTGGGTGCCTGTAATCCCAGCTACTGGGGAGCCTGAGGCAGGAGAATCGCTTGAACCCGGGAGGCGGAGGTTGCAGTGAGCTGAGATCGCACCACTGCACTCCCGCCTGGGCGACAGAGTAAGACTCTGTTTCAAACAAACAAACAAAAAAAGAATCAGAGAAAAGCAAGTTCAAAGACAATGAAATGTAATTTTACATGGATAGGACTGGCCAAGTGGACAAAGTTTAATAACATCAGTTGTGAATTTAATTTCTGTTGTAATTCAGCTGCTCACAGGATTAAACTCTAGGCATGGTGTTCAGCAATTTTACTTCTGCAGCTACAGGGAATAAGGGCTTCTTCTGGGCCAAGATAGAAGCTTGCAGGTCCTTCGTGTGGAGCTGAGCTCATCTTTTTCTTTCCCACCTTCTCCAGCACAGTTAGGAGCAACCAGCCCATCCCATTATATCCATTAGTTTGACTGCAGTGCTTGGAAGTAGCAAATACTTGTTATGTCAGAATCTGTGCTTCTATAGGTTCCCAATTAAGGGTATCCCATGGCAATATTTTGAATAATTTTGCAACATCTCACCATGGACTACTGTATCTTTTTTTTTTTTTTTTTTTTTTTTTTTTTTTGAGACGGAGTCTCGCTCTGTTACCCAGGCTGGAGTGCAGTGGCGTGATCTCGGCTCACTGCAAGCTCTGCCTCCCGGGTTCATGCCATTCTCCTGCCTCAGCCTCCCGAGTAGCTGGGAATACAGACGCCCGCCACCATGCCCGGCTACTTTTTTGTATTTTTAGTAGAGATGGGGTTTCCCCGTGTTAGCCAGGGTGGTCTTGATCTCCTAACCTCGTGATCCGCCTGCCTCGGCCTCCCAAAGTGCTGGGATTACAGGTATGAGCCACCGCGCCCGGCCTTTTTTTTTTTTTTTTTTTTTTGAGACAGAGTCTCACTTTGTCTCCCAGGCTGGAGTGCAGTGGCACGATCTCGGCTCACTGCAATCTCCACCCCCTGGGTTCACGCCATTCTCCTGCCTCAGTCTCCCAAGTAGCTGGGACTACAGGTGCCCGCCACCACACCTGGCTAATTTTTTATATTTTTAGTAGAGACGGGGTTTCACCGTGTTAGCCAGGATGGTCTCGATCTTCTGACCTGGTGATCCGCCCACCTCGGCCTCTGAAAGTGCTGGGATTACAGGTGTGAGCCACTGCGCCCGGCCTGTATCCTCTTTACTACTGGAAACTAGGCCCTTAGTGTCTCTAAATCTAATAATGTAGAGAACCAATTCCAGAAGTCCCAGAACCAGTGCAGACAACTCATCTGTAAGACTTTCCTCTGCAACAACTTCCGGCACCAAAATTGGTCAGTTGGGCCGATCTAGAGAAGCAAACCAGTGGGAGATAAATATTAAGAGATTTACTATCAAGAACTGGCTTCCATGCTTGCAGTGGCTGACGAGACATGTCTGGGAAGATTGTGAGTGGCGTGGAACTTCGCTGGCACGTTTCCTGTCCACTTCAGCATCTGCGGAGGCGGCCAAGGGCTGATACCCCTGCGCTTTCTGGAAGCCTCGGGTTTGCTTTCGAAGACTGTTTCTGACCTCACTCCTGCACAGATACACACTCAGCTTTTCAGGTTACACTTTTGGGAATGATCACTTATTCTTAGCATCTTTTGCCATCTGGACAGGATGAGAGTTTCCCAAATCATCAAGTCCTAGTTCCTTTCTGTTTAAGAGCGCTCCCCTCAGTCCCTCCTGCTCACATTCTATCATAAGCAGCAGGAACAGGCCAGGCTGCACCTTCCACTGTCTGGAGATCTCCTCAGCTGAATGTCCAGGTCTTCTGCTCACATTTCACCATAAGCAGCAGAAACAGGCCAGGCTGCACCTTCCACTGTCTGGAGATCTCCTCAGCTGAATATCCAGGTCTTCAGCTCACATTTCACCATAAGCAGCAGAAACAGGCCAGGCTGTACCTTCCACTGTCTGGAGATCTCCTCAGCTGAATGTCCAGGTCTTCTGCTCACATTTCACCATAAGCAGCAGAAACAGGCCAGGCTGCACCTTCCACTGTCTGGAGATCCCCTCAGCAGAACACCCAGGTTCACCTGACAAAGTCAGCTTCTCTCTGACAGCAGGACACAGCCCCATGGCGTTTCCCGCCACTACCTGGATGTGACAGGCACTTTGCCTCCCTCCACTTTGTCAGGACATTCTCCTCACATCCTCTGGGCTCTCGCCCGGAATGCTTTCTTTCCTTTTCCTTTTTAAAAAATGTTTGTAAATTTATTAGTAATGCTCCTTTTGAAAGGTATGGAAAATGAAACTCAAGGTATAATCCTTATATGAAACAATTAACTCATTTCTCCAGGAGTCTTAGTAGAAAACACATGATTTGGAAAGATCCTGCCGGGTGTGGTGGCTCACGCCTGTAATCTCAGCACTTCGGGAGGCCGAGGTGGGCAGATCACCTGAGGTCAGGAATTCGAGACCAGCCTGACCAACATGGAGAAACCCTGTCTGTACTAAAAATACAAAAATTAGTTGGGTGTAGTGGCGAGCACCTGTGATCCCAGGTACTCAGGAGGCTTAGACAGGAGAATCGCTTGAACCCGGGAGGCGGAGGTTGCAGTGGGCCCAGGTAGCACCACTGCACTCCAGCCTGGGCAACAGAGTGAGGCTTTGTCTCAAAAAAAAAAAAAAGGAAAGAAAAGAAAAGAAAAAGATAGCAAAAGCTCCATAGAAGCCAAAAGGATACCAAAGCTTCCCTTCTTCAAAAATGTTCTCTCCAGAAAATGCATGAATCTATGTCTGCCTCTGTGAGATCACTGCACCTGTGAGTAAGGTGGTCACAAATGTGAACACCTGTCTAGAACATCCTAGACCGACATAAACAGACAATCCTTGAAGCTGCAGAAAACAAATGAGGGTGAAAATAAAGCTGTACTATTTGTAGAGCAAGTCCTAAAAATACAGAATTCACTAAGAGCTTGGAACAGAAGACCTAGGAGATAAAAACCAGGGAAAAGTAATTAGAAAAATACTTCACTCCTTGATCGAGACCATCCTGGCTAACATGGTGAAATTTTTAGCCGTCTGTACTAAAAATACAAAAAATTAGCCAGGAATGGTGGCAGGAGCCTGTAGTTCCAGCTACTCGGGAGGCTGAGGCAGGAGAATGGCATGAACCTGGGAGGCGGAGCTTGCAGTGAGCCGAGATCGCACCACTGCACTCCGGGCTGGGAGACAGAGCAAGACTCCGTCTCAAAAAAAAAAAAAAAAAAAAAAAAAAAAATTCACTCCTTACTGAAGGAAAAAAAGAGGGAATAAATGTTATTAAAAAACTATATGGGTAAGATTACCCATAACTAGTATTTAAACAAATCGAGGGTTCAGGATGGATTCCGCCCTCTCCATGAAGAATAAATACCAACTAACCCCACTTCTTACACCCCTGAAGGAGAAAACTGGTCCATTTGGCTTTGATCTGACACCCTCACACTCTTGCCGTTTAGGTCGAACCATCTCGGCTCCATCTGTTTCAGCTGCATTGACCAGCATCCCACTTCTATTTCCGAACCTTCGACACTTTTAATGTCCGTATTTCCACAGATGGTCAGTTTCAGCTGCATTTACCAGCATCCCACCTCTATTTCTGAACCTTCGACACTTTTAATGTCCGTATTTCCACAGACGGTCGGTTTCAAGGCCCTCTAGGCTTTTCATGTTGTGATCCTCAGGACTCTCCCACCCTCCACTCATCCCCTGATTCTAAAACTACTTCCGCATGTTTAGCTGTGTGTTACACCAGCACCCCACTCCTGGTACCACAATCCACATTCTTTTTTTCTATTGTTTTGAGACGGAGTCTTGCTCTGTCACCCAGGCTGGAGTGCAGTGGTGCGATCTCCACTCACTGCTGCCACCTCTGCCTCCCGGGTTCAAGCAATTCTCTGCCTCAGCCTCCCGAGTAGCTGGGATTACAGGCGCCCGCCACCACGCCCAGCTAATTTTTGTATTTTTAGGAGAGACAGGGTTTCACCATCTTGGCCAGGCTGGTCTTGAACCCCTGACCTTGTGATCCACCCGCCTCGGCCTCCCAGAGTGCAGGGATTACAGGCGTGAGCACCCAGCCTCCATGTCATTTTTCTAATGCTGCTGTCACAATTTACTAAAAGCTTAGCAGCTTACAACATAGTTCTGTGGAAGTCCAGAAGTCCGGTGGACTCAACCAGGTTCTCTGCTCAGGGTCTCATGGCTGAAATCACAGTGTTCGCGACGGCAGGCTCCTCTTAGGAGACTCCGGGGAAGAACCTGCTTCTGGGCTTGGTCAGGTGTTGGCAGAATCTGGCTGCTTGTGGCTGTTGGACTGAGGTTTCCTTGTGCGGCGTCCTCCATCTTCAAGCCAACAATGGGACACTGAATCCTTCCTGTGCTTTGAATCTCTCTGTCTTCTGTGTTCCATTCCTGCTTTTTTTCTTTTTTTTTTAAGATGGAGTCTTGCTCTGTCAGCCAGGCTGGAGTGCAGTGGCGTGATCTCAGCTCACTGTAACCTCTGCCTCCGGTGTTTAAGCGATTCTCGTGTCTCAGCCTCCTGAGTAGTTGGGATTACAGGCGCCCGCCACTACGCCTGGCTAATTTTTCTATTTTTGGTACAGACGGGGTTTCACCATATTGGTCAGGCTGGTCTCCAACTCCTGGCCTCAAGTGATCCACCCACCTCGGCCTCCCAAGGTGCTGGGATTATAGGCATGAGCCACTGCGTCCGGCCCCATTTCTGCTTTTAAGGGCTCATGTGATTACACTGGGCCCACCCAAATAAGATAGACTCTCTATTTTAAGTTCAACTGATTAATAGTGTCAATTACATCTGTAAATTCCTTTTGTGGGACAATGAGGGCTGAGGCTGGGACCATCTCAGCCACTTGGCCCCCAACCGCTCCATCCTTGGCCACCCCGTCCTGTTCCCAGAGCCTGCCTGGCACAGCTGGCAGCCATGGATGAGCTGGAGGGAGGAGTTTGATGCTAGGGGTGGGCACACCTGTGCTAGGGGCAGCTGCACCTTGGGAGGACCCCAAGACCCTCCCCGCAAACTCACCTCGGCCGCCCTGCGGTGGTCTTCACCATTGCCCAGCATGCGTGCATCCACACCGAGACAGCGGAGGCTCCGTGCCAGCCCCTGCAGCATGTTGTCACACACCACACGGAAGGCCCTGGCCGGAATCTGAGGGGCAGCGCCCTCAGACACAGCCACAGCCACAGGGACCTGCAGTGAGGCCCTGGTCAGCAGTCCCACGGTCACCCCCCAGCCCCTCACAGCCTCAGAGAGCCAGGGCCCTGAGGCTGTGTGGCCAGCACTCTGTCTCTGTTTTATCTTCAAAAGATAAAACTGTGTGTGCTGTGCATAAAACAGCAGAAACGCAGACAAAATGCAGTGAAACCACCCCTGGGGGGCTCTAGTGCTCATGCTGGGGGGGCTCCACGTGTGTGTCTGGGGTGGCGTGTGTGCCCAGAGAGGGGTGGGGATCACGGGGAGGGGGCTAGATAGAGAGGGGTGGGGATCACAAGGAGGGGGTTAGATAGAGAGGGGTGGGGATCACGAGGAAGGTGCTAGATAGAGAGGGGTGAGGATCACAAGGAGGGGGTTAGACAGAGAGGGGTGGGGATCATGGGGAGGGGGCTAGATAGAGAGGGGTGGGGATCACGGGGAGGGGTTAGATAGAGAGGGGTGGGGATCACAAGGAGGGGGCTAGATAGAGAGGGGTGGGGATCACGGGGAGGGGTTAGATAGAGAGGGGAGGGGGAGGGGGCTAGATAGAGAGGGGTGGGGATCACGGGGAGGGGGCTAGATGCTGCCTTGGGCCATGGGAGGGGCCTGCCAGGCCAAGTATCAGGAGGGGACTGGGGCACTCAGGGGCACGGCTGCCTCCTGAGCAGTGACCCCCCAGGCAAGCGCAGCCCCCGTGACAGTCATGCAGGAGGTTCACCAGGACTTTGCTCCCCTCTCGCTCCAGGAGCTGGGCCCCCTCCACACGCTCTGACCCAGTGGCCTTGTCTCCATGCAGGTCCTTGGTTTATGGACAGGGATCTCCTTCCCCAAGAATGCTGACAAACGGACCCTGCGGGGCTTCACCCACCTGCCTGGGTGCGGCCGGTGCTGACGCTTTCTGCAGGCCGGGTGGCTTCCGTGCCCCTGGTCTCTCTCTGTGCCTGGGCCTCCGGCTCCCAGCCAGGTCCTCCGACAGGTGGAAGCGGGCGGGCTCTCTGCACAGGGCTTGGTGCACCTCCAGCAGGCAGTAGGCGTCGGCAGCTGTGTGGGGAGTCGGCCTCAGCCTCCCGGGACAGAGGGCGGGAGGGGCGTGAGGAGGGGTCACTCCCACCCGCCGCACCGCACACCTGCGTAGATGACCTGCTCCTCGCAGAGCGGCCTCCGGTCCCAGTTGGACAGCTGCTGCGTCTTGTCCAGGGCTGTGCCCAGCACCTGCTGCACCAGGAGGCTCAGGCCCCTCAGCTCCCTGGCCCTGTCCACGGCTGGGGCTGGCACGCTCGCCACCCGCATCTGCTAAGACAGTGCCCTGCAGGGTAACGCGTCTGGCCCTGGCGGCAGCACAGTCACCGTGCCCACTCACACCAGCCCTGCGGGGGCTCTGGAGGAGGCCCCGCCCCCTCCACCAGCGGCCCCCACAGCAGAGACGGGGAGAAGGAGCGGACACATCCGAGGAGAGGCTCCACGTGGGGGTCCCAGGCTGCAGGCACTGCACACCAGGGCCAGCTCCGGGGGCCCTGGTCAGCAGTCCCACGGTAACCCCGCCCAGCCCCTCACAGCCTCAGAGAGCCCGGGCCCTGAGTCTGTGTGGCCAGCTCTCTGTCTCTGTTTTATCTTCAGAAGAGGAGCACTGGGTGTGCCGTGCATAAAACAGCAGAAACGCAGACAAAATGCAGCGAAACCACCCCCGGGGGGCTCTAGTGCTCATGCTAGGGGCGCTCCACGTGTGTGTCTGGGGTGGCGTGTGTGCCCAGAGAGGGGTGGGGATCACGGGGAAGGTGCTAGATAGAGAGGGGTGGGGATCACGGGGAAGGTTCTAGATAGAGAGGGGTGGGGATCACGAGGAGGGGCTAGATAGAGAGGGGTGGGGATCACGGGGAGGGTTCTAGATAGAGAGGGGTGGGGATCACGGGGAAGGTTCTAGATAGAGAGGGATGGGGATCACGGGGAAGGTTCTAGATAGAGAGGGGTGGGGATCACGGGGAAGGTTCTAGATAGAGAGGGATGGGGATCACGGGGAAGGTGCTAGATAGAGAGGGGTGGGGATTACGGGGAGAGAGCTAGATAGAGAGGGGTGGGGATCACGGGGAAGGTTCTAGATAGAGAGGGATGGGGATCACGGGGAAGGTGCTAGATAGAGAGGGGTGGGGATCACGGGGAGGGGTTAGATAGAGAGGGGTGGGGATCACGGGGAAGGTTCTAGATAGAGAGGGGTGGGGATCACGGGGAGGGGGCTAGATAGAGAGGGGTGGGGATCACGGGGAAGGTTCTAGATAGAGAGGGGTGGGGATCACGGGGAAGGTTCTAGATAGAGAGGGGTGGGGATCACGGGGAAGGTGCTAGATAGAGAGGGGTGGGGATCACGGGGAGGGTTCTAGATAGAGAGGGGTGGGGATCACGGGGAGGGTTCTAGATAGAGAGGGGTGGGGATCACAAGGAGGGGGCTAGATAGAGAGGGGTGGGGATCACGGGGAGGGGGCTAGATAGAGCCCCAGGGGCTCCCTCCCGCAGCTCCTCCAAGTGGAACCCAGGGCTCAGGTCTGGGGGAAGGTGCCCTCACACCAGATAACGGCCCCACAGGGGCTCAGGGATGCCTGCACCAGGAGGCCCTGCTCCCTCCCTGGAGATGCCAGATCCAGCTCTGCCAGGCTCTGCTCTGGGGCCCTGGTGACTGAGGCTGTGCTGACAGGAATCCGGCGGGAGAAGCCCAGGGCCGCTGGGAAGGTGTGGAGGGGCCCCAAGCAGCCCTCGAACCCCAGGCCCACCCGGCATCTTGTGAGCGGCTCAGTGGGTGCCCACCTGTCTGTGCACCAGCAGCAGGTCCATGCCGCCCAGAATCTGCTTCTCCACATGGGCCAGGGCGGGGCAGGACGTGCCCAGTTTTTGCAGGTCCCCCACCATCCCGTAGCCTGTGGGCAGGAACCATCGTGGGAGGGGCGCCTGCAGGCAGGGACCGCACTGTCCCCTGACCCCAGGGTGCACCCAGCACCCTCCCCGGGGCACACGGAGGGAAGGGTCAGGCAGGGGTGCGGGCTGCTTTCTTTCTGGACTGGGCAGGGGGCCCCAGGGCTTCACTCACCCAGCTTGGTGATAGAGGGGTCCGAGAGGAGCTGGGCCACCAGCCGGGAAAAGGCCTGGGCTCCCTGCCCTGTTGGTGGCTGCGAGAGTGCCAGGACGTCCAGAAGGAACACGTGGCCCTCCACGGCCACCTGCAGGAGTGACGGCCGAGGCCGGCCCCCAGCAACAAACACAGGTGTCCACTCCACGTCTACACCAACCACTTGGTGGCACTGCGGGCAGAGAGGGGCAGATGTGATCATCAGGGCCAACTTGGCTCTGCAGGGACCACAGCCTGGAGGTCCTGAGCAGCTCTGTGAGCTTGGGCTTCGGGGAGACGCCCCTGCACCCCTGCATGTTTATAGGGCTGGGGCTGTTGGGGGCACTAAGGCCTGTGCTCCAGCTGCCCCCTGCTTTCTGTGGCTGCACCAGAGAGGGAGGCCTGGCTGTTGTGAGCAAGAGCCTGGCCTGGTGCCCACGGCAGTGCCCGTGTCAGGGAGGCACCCCACGTCTCGGGCACCATCTGTAAAATGGGGATTCCACGGCACCTTCCACAGGCTGGCAGCACTGGGTAAATGCCAGCAGCCAGCATCCTGGAGTCTCAGCAGCACAGTGTGGGGAACGGCTGCCCTCACAGCAGCCCTGGGGCACCTGGCGGGCTCATGCCCAGAGGCCTTGCCTCTCTCCGAATGCCATGCCCCTGATGCTCCTCCAGTGCCTGGCAGGGGGATCCCACCACCGGGCGCTGCCCCAGCGGCCGAGGGAACCACCTGCAGGAGTGCACCCTCGTGTCTGGTCAGGTCTTCCCACGAGGCCAGGAGGTGGACGTTCTCCCTGGGGATGGGCAGCTGGTAGTAACGGTCCTTCATGTCCTTCACCTCCAGCCTCGAGTCAGCCTCAGTCGCCCTGGGAGGAGCAGAGCTGGTAGCGCCCCCATGTCCCTGGTCCCCCACCCACTCTGACCTCGGAGCAGGAGGGGAGCATTCAGGGCCTGTTTGGTGGGGGCATCTCAGGTCCTGGCTCCTCCTCCCACACCGGCTCAGTCCAGCCCAGCGTGACCCTTGCTCCTGCCTCTCCTCCCAGTGGCCCTGGTGACTGTCCCCCCAGGGTCCCTCATGGGTCGGGCTGGCCATGGATCTGGCAGCAGAGGAGGAGGGCTGGGCCCTGCTGTCTTGTCTGCTCTGTGTATAGCTGCGCTCTTTGTTTTGTCTTGATTTCTAATTCTCAAGCCACTGGCGTGAAGACTGGTGAGCTGTCGTCCCAAGGGTAGGGGCCACCCTGGGCGGAACCCACCCCTGGCTGGGGTCACCCTGGCGGCGCTCACCTCCCCTGGAGCCTGAACCGGCGGAGTTCCACAGCCACCGCAGCCGGCAGCCGCTCCTCGGGCAGCAAGAGTTCCATGGCACACTGGGCGGCCGTGACTGGGTCACTGTGGGAGACCAGCAGCTGAGACAGCTGCTCCTGAAGCCACGGGCTCTGCCCCACCAGGCCCTGTGAGGAGGGTGGCCGTGAGGATGGAGATGGGGACATTGCTGTGCCACAGGGCCCTGCCCCGAGGGACCCCCGTAGACCCCGACCTTGCAGACTGGCTATGAGCACTCGGGGAGGAGGGGCAGCCGTCCACCTGAGGCCTGCAGCATCTGTCCTGCCTGAGGTCAAGGTTCCACAGGACCAAAGCGGCTGAGATAGAGGTGCTGAGGCAAAGGCTGTCCACCCCAGTGTAGCCCCGGCTGGCCTTCCGGGTCTCCAAGCCTGAGGTGAAGGCTGCCCACCTCAGTTCAGCCCCAGCTGGCCCCTCCTGGCCTCCAAGCCTCCGCTGACCTTCCCGGCCTCCAAGCCTCCACCGGCCCTCCTGGCCTCCAAGCCTCTGCTGACCTTCCTGGCCTCCAAGCCTCCACCAGCCCTCCTGGCCTCCAAGCCTCCACTGACCTTTCCAGCCTCCAAGCCTCCACTGGCCCTCCTGGCCTCCAAGCCTCCACTGACCTTCCCGGCCTCCAAGCCTCTGCCGGCCCTCCTGCTCTCACCAGGCATCTGCCCCCACCCCGGGTCCCAGGAGCCCGGGCATGTTTTCTGGAGCACCTGCCCAGCCTGCCCCATCTCCACGCTCCTCCTCTTGCCAGGGGAGCCCCTCTGCCCCTTCCCCTCCTCCTCATTATGTGGGGTTTGGCTGGCAGGGCTCAGGAGGCTATTGGGCACCCATTCACCCATGGCCCAGGAGCAGACAGAGGGGTGCCCTCTGGGTGGCAATGACCAAGGGGGTCCTGAGAAACCTCATCCTCACCAGGGTGAGCTCTCTCCCACCCCGCAGCCACCGTGGCAGCGCCCAGCCCAGGAGCAGAGGCACCTACAGGCCTGCGGGACCCTCAGCCCCCGCTGGGAAATGCAGGGCCCAGCACAAGCGAGGGTCTCCCTCCCCGCAAGGTCCTGGAGTCCATGGGTCCAGGATGGCCTTGAGTGTCAGGCGGGAAGGGAGGGGACCTGCCCAGCAGGCTGAGCTCCTGCACGACCTCCCACCCCACGGCCTCGAGGAGGGTCCGCCTGCCCCGCTGGCTTCAGGCCCAGCAGCCTGAGGCTGCTTCCCCGGCGTGGGTTCCCACGTGGACGACAATACGTGGAAGCCGCCCGCATTCTTCAGGACGTCCGCTGCCCTTCCGGCCGGCTCTGCGCTGGCACCGGGCTGGGGGGGCCTGGCCTTCCTCCTTCCGGCCTCGCCCAGGCGCCTTGCACCTCTCTGGTGACTCTCAGCCCCCACCCGGCCCCACAGGCAGCTCCGCTGGGTTGGTTCGGGTGGCACGGACGCTGCCGTCTGCCTGGAACGAGGCCCAGTCAGGCTCTACTGATGCCCTCGGCTCCCGCTCAGGCCTCCCGGGCCTGAGGACCCTACACCCGCCTGCCAGCCACACGCCCCAACATGGGGTCTGGGCTCAGCAGCCCCAGCGAAGGCCTCAGCTCTGCGCACTTCCACCAGGAGGCTCCGGGCCTGTGCCCCTAGGACAGCCGCCCAGGCCGCCCTGCCGGCTTACAGGCAAGGGCACGAACTCACCTGCACATGGTCGGTCCAGTTCTCCTGTGACAGGCTCTTCTGCAAAGGCAAACAGGAAGGGGCGGTTGCCAGGCAGCTCCAGAGGCTGTATCGGGGCCTGGTGGGAGTTTTCCTCGACCCCTGGCAGGGTACATCCTTGGCAGAGCCCAGGTGCTCACCCGCCCTGGTGCCACAGCCCAGAGCCAGGGCCCCATGGCCTCCCCTTCACCCAGGCCTGGCCCAGCTCACCCAGCTCTGGGGCAAGAAGCAGCTCCTACTTGATATGTCTGTGCACCCTGCAGTGCGCAGTGAGTATCCCAGGCCAAACTCTGTGGCTCAGGCCGCGGCTGGCTGCCCCCAGGACCCCCTCCTGCTCACGAACCTCCACAAACCGCTTGTGGCACAGGTGCCGCAGGGCCGCCAGGCGCTGCTGAATGGCCGCGTTGGGACACAGCGCTGAAAGGAAAGGCCAGCTCAGCACTGAGGGCTCAGGGCAGCCTCACCACGGCCTCCTTCTGGGGCGGGCTGGAGACGGGCAGAGGGGCTGCGCCTGCCCCTTCACCGTCCTCCACCTCTGCCCCGGAGCCCACCCCCTCCTCACCACCTGGGCCTCTGCTGGGGTCCACCCCACTCAGCCTGGGGGTCCCGCCGGCCCCGGGGTCTCCCTTGCACTTGTGTGGCGGGCCCTTTCGTCTGGCCTCCCTCTGGGGCCTCCCTGTCTTTCCTCAGGGAGTTTCCTTCTTGGCGTTGGCATCTGCGTTTGTGCCCTGCCCTTCTCTCACTGGCACGTGGAACCCTCGTGGACAGAGCCGGCTGCTCACTGTGGGTCCCGTGACTGAAGCCCCATGAGCGGCAGGGACTGAGGCACACGCACGTCCACACCCTCCGTCAGCCTCACCTCCATACTCCACTCCAGAGCCTGAGGGGGCCCCGGGGAGGGCACCACAGTCTGGCTGAGCCCTTTTCCCCCAGGGTGCGGCAGCCAGTGGTGCTAACGGGCTGGCTGGTCCTCAGCGGGGTGCCGACCTTTCAGGGCCCCACCCCCCACGCCCAGAGCGCAGCCACGGGGAGCCGGGCGACCATCTGCCCTGAGGCAGGGAGGAAGGAGGAAGGAGGATGGAGGAAGGGAGGATGGAGGAAGGAGAAAGGAGGAAGGAGGAAGGAGGAAGGAGGATGGAGGAAGGAGGAAGGAGGAAGGAGGAAGGAGGATGGAGGAAGGAGGAAGGAGGAAGGAGGAAGGAGGAAGGGAGGATGGAGGAAGGAGGAAGGAGAAAGGGCGGAAGGAGAAAGGAGGAAGGAGGAAGGGAGGATGGAGGAAGGAGGAAGGAGGAAGGAGGAAGGAGGAAGGAGAAAGGGAGGATGGAGGAAGGAGAAAGGGAGGAAGGAGGAAGGAGGAAGGAGGAAGGAGGAAGGAGGACCTAGAAACACTGCAAAATCCAGATAAAATTCAAACTTCCGGCCAGGTGCCAGCCTGTACCCTCCTGAGATTCAAGGGCCCCATGGAAGGGGCCTCAGTGCATCTTCCCGGCCCTTGCAGGGGGTCCTGGGAGCAAAGGGGACCTGGCTTCCCTTGGTGTCCAACGACACAGGCAGGTGTGGCCATCAGCCTGTCCAGAGGGGCCTGGGAGGAGTGGCTGGAGTCCTGCGGACTTGGACTCAGCACTCACCCTCAGCTCTGCAGCCAGGCAGGAGGCAGGAAGCCCTCCCGGAGCCGCCTAGGTGGGCAGAGGAGCTCATAGACCCGTTGGCTGCTCAGTCGCAGGGCCCAGGCCAGGCCCACCTCACAGCCACTCTGGCACGAGCTGGGCAAGAGGCAGGGAGGGGCTCTCTGGGAAGGTTGGTCTTGGTTGGCACCTGAACAACGGGCAGCCCCAGTCACAGAGGATGTCCCTGGCCACGCTTGGCGGCTCTCCCTGGCCTGTGGGGCAGGAATGTGGGGGCTGGACTCACCTGGGGCTACGCCGTACCGCTCCTGCAGACGCAAGACCTGCCTGCTCAGCGCCTTCGGACTCAGCTTCTCCAGGCTCAAGGAGGTCACCTCAGGGTACCGTCTGTGGGGAGAGAGAGGCACAGCCTCTGTTGCTGTTTTAAGTTAATACATTTTAAGATTTTCATTTTCATCATAGTCATATGCATGCATAGTTTAAACCTCAAGTGAGGTTTATAAGAAAATGCAGGCGTCACCGCCCCCCGCCCACCCCATCCTTAGCACTTGGAGGTCGACATTGAAATGGTTGTGTATTTGCCTCCACATTTCCAGATAACATCCTTGGATTGTGATCTCTTGATTGTTGACTTCTGGGTATTTGGTATTGACTTCTCCCCACGGAAGGTGGACTCCCGAAATAACAGTATTAGAGTTTTAGCTAAATCAGCACCTTCCTCACTGGTGATATTCTGGCTGTGCAACGGCCTCAACGGCCCAGCCTTCTGCTGCTGCTTTCAGGGTTAATGCTTATCTGGCTCTGTTGTTTCTCAGTTACCCATCCTGGTCCCTTGATACTTGGCTCCTCCTGCCCCTCCAGCCACTCTCTAGCTCCTGCCCTGCAAGGTCCTGGGACTGACACCCCCATGCCCTGGTCCACACCCTCCGACCTCCAGGTAGTGGTGAAGCACAGCCGCTGGGTGTTTCCCAAGATAAGGTCCACGGGGTATTTTTGGAGATGTGCACCTCCAGGGTCTGTGCCCGCTGCACACCAGCTTGAGAGTTCAGTGGAGCCAAGACTTCTGGGTTGAGATAACGTTCCCTTAGCACAGGCAGGCTTGGCTCCCAGAACTGCTGTTGAGACCCCAGAACCCATTCCTATTCCTGCCCCTCTGATGTGGCCTGCTCTTCTGGAGGTTTTGAGGCTCTTCCATTTTCACTAGTGTTGAGAAACTTCATGACAACGTGCCCCACAGGGGGTCTCTCTCCACCCACCTTTGGCCACTCCACAAACCTGTTAAGTCCGGCTCCTGTGGGGGCTCCCGTGGCCTCACATCTGGAAACCTGTCAGCGATGAATTACTTAGGAGTTTCCTTCCCTGCTCTCCCTTCTTCCTGGAATCCCAGTTATTTGTATGTTGGACCTTCTTGACAGAATCTCCAATTTTAAACATCTTTTCTCTTTGATTTTCCTTCTCTTTATGTATTTTGTACTGCTTTTTGGAAGACAACTTCAAATTATTTCCAAACCTCCCACTGAGCTTTCATTTCCCATCCTGTCCTTCATCCACCAAGTTCTGTCCTACAGTCTGAAAGCTCTTTCTGTGGGGCCCCCATCTCCACTTCACAGACGCAGTATCTTAGTTACAGCATTTGTGCTTTTAAGGTTTCTTTTGCTTCCTCCAAGCTCCAGCTTAGTGTCTGTATTAGGGTTCTCTAGAGGGACAGAACTCATAGGATATATATACATATATATATTATATACAGGATATATATATATGTGTATATATATATAAAGGTGAGTTTATTAAGTATTAACTCACACGATCACAGGGTCCCACAATAGGCCATGTGCAAGCTGAGGAGCACAGAGAGCCAGCCCGAGTCTCAAAGCTGAAGAACTTAGAGTCTGATGTTCGAGGGCAGGAGACGTCCAGCATGGGAGAAAGATGTAGGCTGGGAGGGTAGGCCCATCTAGCCTTCTCATGTTTTTCTGCCTGCTTTATATTCCAGCCTTGCTGGCAGCTGATGAGACGGTGCCCACTGAGATTAAGGGTGCGTCTGCCTCTCCCAGTCCACTCAGTCGGAGGTGAATCTCCTTTGGCAACACCCTCACAGACACACCCAGGATCAATACTTTGCATCTGTCCATCCAATCCAGTTCACACTCAGTGTTAACCATCCCAGTGTGTTAGTGTTAGCATGCGTGTGGCTGGCGAGAGGCCCCACAGCCCTAACTGCTCCTGCCCAACACTGCCCTGCAGAGGAACCACCTCCCTGTGTGCACGGCGTGGCCTGGTAGCCCTGGAAGGCCAGAGGTGCTGTGGGCTGAGAAGCGTCTGTGCACCTCCAGCAAGGGTCTCACCTGTGTCCTCCTGGTTTCAGCACGGAGCCCCAGCCCTGTCCTCAGCTGTGGCCAGAACACCGTGCCGCTCACAAAGACCCCCTGGAGACCCTGTTTCCAGCCCAGCTTCTTGGAGGAATCTGGGCCTCCACTTCCTGTGCCTCCCGGGGGCTCCGAAGCCAACTGGCTCCTTGCATTTGCAGGTTCAGCACTCTCAGGCCTCCGAGGACAGTCGCTGCCTGGACATCTGTCTTCCGGGTTCCAGCTCCCGTCTCCCCTCTTATTCTCTTGAAATTTTTGTCTTCATTTTAAAGCAAAGAGGCAATAGATGCTTGTGTTTAACTGCCACTTTAAACTGTAACTCCTACTTAAAACTTTTTTAAAATTAAATGTATATATTTGACACAGGATCTCACTCTGTCCCCCAGGCTGGACTGCAGTGGTGTGATCAAGGCTCACTGCAGCCTCAACCTCCTGGCCTCAAGTGACCCTCCCACCTCAGCCCTGAGTAGCAGGACTATAGGCATGCCCCACCACGGCTGGCTAATTTTTGTATTTTTTGTAGAGACGGGGTTTTGTCACGTTGCTCAGGCTGGTTTCAAACTCCTGGCCTTAAGCGATCCTCCCACTGCACCTGGCAAGGCCTACTTTTTTTTTTTGAGGCAGAATCTTGCTCTGTCGCCCAGGCTGGAGTGCAGTGGTGCCATCTCGGCTCACTGCAAGCTCCGCCTCCTGGGTTCATGCCATTCTCCTGCCTCAGCCTCCAGAGTAGCTGGGACTACAGGCGCCCGCCACCACGCCTGGGTAATTTTTTGTATTTTTAGTAGAGATGGGGTTTCACTGTGTTAGCCAGGATGGTTTCACTGTGTTAGCCAGGTTAGTCTCGATCTCCTGACCTCATGATCTGCCTGCCTCGGCCTCCCAAAGTGCTGGGATTACAGGCGTGAGCCACCGTGCCCGGCCAAGGCCTACTTTTTAAGATAAACTATTTACTGAGGTATAAGTGACACACGGTAAGGTATGCCAATCATGGGTGCAAATGCACCGGTAAACCCACTGCCCAAATCTCAACATAGAACGTTCCAGGCCAGGTGCGGTGGCTCACGCCTGTAATCCCATCACCTTGGGAGGCTGAGGCAGGAGGATCGCTCGAGCCGAGGAGGTTGAGTCTGCAGTGAGCTGTGGTTGTGTCACTGCACTCCAGCCTGGGTAACAGAGTGAGACCCTGTCTCTAAAGTAAAATGTAAATAAAGGACATTCCAGCACCCCAAAGTTTCTCCCGTGTCCATCTCTGTGTATCCCCATCCCACACTTCTCTGACTTCTATGGCCAGAGATTATTTGCCCGATTTTGAACTTGATGCAAATGGAATGATAGAATAGGGACACTTTGCCACTTTTGGATCTGGCTTCTTCCATGCAGTCTCTGTCCACGCTGCTGAGTGTGACGAGGTTCAGTCTCTCACAGCTGAGTTTGTGAACCGTGATCACTGCATCCACTGCTGCTCTGGGGACTAGGGCTGCTCCCGTGTTTCACAGATGATGATTAAGCTGCCATGACTGCGATCTTTTGTGGATAATGAGCTCATTTCTCTCGGGCATATGCTAAGTGGACTCGGACAACATATGTCATAGGGTTGGCATACTTTTTTTGCTTTAGTAGAAACTGCTAAATAATTTTCTGAAGTGTCTGCACCAGTGCACATCCCACCAGCAGTGCGTGAGGGTTCTGGTTGCTCCATGTCCTTGTCACCACTTGGTATGTTCGACTTTTAAATTTTAGCCTTCCTGATGGGAGGTGGTGGTATTTCTTTGTGGCTTAATTTGCATTTCCCTGATATTAATGGTGCTTAGCAACTTTTCCTACATTGGCTATCTGGATATCCTCTTTTGTGATGTGCTTATTCAAGGCTTTTGCTCATTTAAAAACTTGGTTTGTTTTGTCTTTTATTGTTTATTTGCTTTGTAGGTTTTTTGCTTAAAAATACTCTGGATACAGTCTTTTGTAAAATATGTACTGTAAATAATCTTCTCTTGGTCTGGAAGTTGCCTTTTCACTCTCTCAATGATTTCCTTTGACGTCCAGAAGGTATTAAGTCAAATTTGTCAATCTTCTTCTGTTATTCTCTTTCTTTCATCCTTCCTTCCTTTTCTTCTTCTTTTTTTTTTTTTTTGAGATGGAGTCTCGCTGTGTCACCCAGGCTGGTGTGCAATGGCACGATATCGGTTTACTGCAATCTCTGCCTCCCAGATTCAAGTGATTCTCCTGCCTCAGCCTCCTAAGTAGCTGGAACTACAGGCATCTGCTACCATGCCCAGCTAATTTTTGTATTTTTAGTAGAGACGAGATTTCACCATGTTTGCTAGGCTGGTCTGGAACTCCTGACCTCAAGTGATCCGCCTGCCTCAACCTCCCAAAGTGCTGGGAATACAGGTGTGAGCCACCGCACCCAGCCTTTATTCTTAGTGATTTTATATCCTATTTGAGAAAGCTTTATTGCAAGTATAAAGAAATACAATTGGCTTTTATAAACTTACCTTGTAACCAGTGATCTTGCTAAATTTACTTATTAATTCTAATAATTTATCTGTAGATTTTTTGGTTTTCCTTCCCTACATATAAAAACATATCTTCTGAGAAAATGACAGTTGTTTCTTTGTACCCGGTCTTTGCACTTATTTTCCTGCCTTCCCGCCTGGCATGGGTCCTTGGTACAGTATTGAATAAAAACAGCAGTTCTCAGACATTAGGCAACAGGTGGCTCAGGGCAGTGATGCCCGAGTGATGGGAAGCGAGGCTGCCAATCGCTCCATCTTCCCTCCTGGAGAAACTTCCAGCAACATGCGAGGGAAGGGGAACCCAGGAGACACTGGGTGCTTCCCTGAGTTCGCAGAGAAGAGATGCCCAGAAAAAGAGCTGTGGAGCTCTGCAGGGAGCGCCCTTGAGAATTCGCCCAAGTAAAGAGCACCCTGCGTGTGAGGAACTCACACAAAGCAGAGGAAGGGCCACCTGAACACATTACAGGGAAAAGTTTTCAAGCCTTACAAAGAGCTGGGAACAGGATCTGCTCCCAAGACCCAGAGTTTTAAAAGCTTCCTAATTGGCGGGGCATTGACTATAGTTCTAAGAAGGCTCTTGCCTCAGAAATAGGGGAAAGTTAGGCCGGGCACTGTGGCTCATGCCTGTAATCCCAGCACTTTGGGAGGCCAAGGTGGGTGGATTACGAGGTCAGGAGATCGAGACCATCCTGGCTAACATGGTGAAACCCCGTCTCTACTAAAAATACAAAAATTAGCCAGGTGTGGTGGCAGGAGCCTATAATCCCAGCTACTCTGGAGGGTGAGACAGGAGAATTACTTGAACCCGGGAGGCGGAGGTTGCAGTGAGCTGAGATCGCGCCACTGCACTCTAGCCTGGGCGACAGGGCGAGACTCTGTCTTAAAAAAAAAAAAAAAAAAATTACCAGGCATGCAGAGAAGAGGAAATATGAGGCCAAATGTGATGAGTAGAAACTGACCTAGAAATGACATAGATCATAGAATTACTGCAGGACAAAAAGACACAAATCACCAGCACTGGGAATGGGAGCATTGACATCACTACAGACTCTACAGATAATAAACATATAACAGGAGACTATTATGAACAACTTTAAGCCAATAAGTTTGACAACTTAGATAAAATGGACAAATTCCCTGAAAGACAAAAACAACCAAAGCTCATTCAAAAAGACATAGGCAATCCGAATAGCCCTATTTTAAGGAAAATGGTTTTCGGTTAGAGGTTAGAGGTAATACCAACTACACACAGTTTTCCCAGAAAATGGAAAGGCAAGGGAGTAATTCCAAGCTCATTCTATCAGGCAAGCATTTTTCTGATACCAAAAGTAAAAATATATTACAAGAAAAGACAATGACAGACCAAGATCCCTCATGGACATGGATGCAAACATCCCTAACAAAATTTAAGCAAATGGAATAAAAGTTACCCCAAAGGAATACATAATGGTCAAGTGCAGTCCATCCCAAAAATGTAAGGTTGGTTTAACATAGAAACATTAAATGGTGCAAATGCATCATACTAACTGATTAATAAAGAAAAACCATGTGTTCATCTCAATAGAAAAGTCATTTTTATAAATTCCAGCATACATTCCTGATAAAAATTCTAAACAAACTAAGCATAGAAAGGAACTTCCTCATTTTTTTTTTTTTTTGATAGAGTCTCACTCTGTCCCCGGAGCGCAGCAGTGCAATCACAGCTTACTGTAGCCTCGACCTCTTGGGCTCAAGTGATCTGCCCCACCTTGGCCTCCCAAAATGTTGGGATTCTGGGTGTGAGCCACCGTGCACGGCCCCTTTGCCCATTTTAACTTGGGTTGTTCATTTTCTTATTGCTGAGTTTTGAGAGATCTTTGTATATTCTGGATAACAGTCCTTTATCCCACATCTTTTTCAGATATTTTCTCCCAGTCTGTTGGTGTCTTCTCAGTCTTTGTTGTTGTTGTTTTTGTTGTTGTTTTGAGATGGAGTTTCACTCTTGTAGCCCAGGCTGCAGTGCAATGGCGCAATCTCGGCTCACTGCAACCTCTGACTCCTGGGTTCAAGCAATTCTCCTGCCTCAGCCTCCTGAGTAGCTGGGATTATAGGCATGAGCCACCACACCCGGCTAATTTTTGTATTTTTAGTAGAGATGGGGTTTCACCATGTTGGCCAGGCTGGTCTTGAACTCCTGACCTCAGGTGATCCGCCTGCCTCAGCCTCCCAAAGTGCTGGGATTACAGGCATGAGTCACCACACCCAGCCCTCTCATTCTCTTAATTCTTTAATATGTTAGTTGACTTGATTGCTAATATTTTGTTTTGTATTTTTACATTTATCCTCATGAAATATGTTGGACTTTAGTTTTCCTTCCTCCTAATGTCCTTTTTGAGTTCTGGCTTCTGAGTTTAAGCTGAATAAAGTGAGTTGGGCTGCGCTTTTTTTTTTTTAATTCTCTATAAGAGTTCATACAGGATTGGTGCAATTTCCTTTTTTTTTTTTTTTTTTTTGGGACAGAATCTCCCTCTGCCACCCAGGCTGGAGTGCAGTGGCGTGATCTCGGCTCACTGCAAACTCTGCCTCCTGGGTTCAAGTGATTCTCCTGCCTCAGCCTCTTGAGTAGCTGGGATTACAGGTGCCTGCCACCATGCCTGGCTAATTTTCGTATTTTTAGTAGAGACGGGGTTTCACCATGTTGGCCAGGCTGTTCTCAAACTTCTGACCTCAGGTGATCCGCCTGCCTCGGCCTCCCAAAGTGGCTGGGATTACAGGTGTGAGCCACTGCATCCAACCATGGTGCAATTTCTTTCTTAAATGTTTGAAAACTTCACTACTGAAACCATCTGGGTTCTAATAAAGTTTTCTCTGTGATAAAGCTTTAAACTGTGGATATAATTTACTTAATAGATATATAGGACTATTTAAGTGTTCTGTTTTTGCTAGTGTCAGTTTTGGTAAATTGTATTTTTCAAGAATTTGGTCTATTACATCTAAATGGTCAAGTATATTTGCATTAAGTTGCAAACAATATCCCCTTACGACCACTTTAATGTCTATACGGTCTGTAATAATGTCCCCCCTTTCATTCCTGATGTTCATCACTTATATTTTTATCTCTTTCTTTCTTAGCATCCCTTGATGATCTATGCCTGAATCAGTTACTTTATTGAGAGTTGCAATATGGTGATTTTTCATTTTGTCATTCCTTTTCCATCTGTTAGCTGGAAGATGTTGTAAAGAAGAGCTTTCCTCCCTACTTCCCTTAGGCATCACTGTGGACTCGTGGACTTTTAAAAGTCAAGGTGTTCTACTCCATTACCATTGTCATTTTTGTGCTCAGTCTATTCTCTGAAAAGCCCTTGCTTCTTTCAGCGGAGAATGGCATTTGGTGACTAAGAGCTGGCAGCCAGTCATGCTCATGGCTATGGGGTATCATTGCATCCAGGCCCTTTCAGAGCACAGAGCTAGGAAAAATTTTAAAAATCATTAATTTAGGCCAGGTGCGGTGGCTCATGCCTGTAATCCCAGCACTTTGGGAGGCTGAGGTGGGTGGATCACCTGAGGTCAGGGGTTCGGGAGCAGCCTGGCCAACATGGTGGAACCCCGTCTCTACTAAAAATATAAAAATTAGCTGGGTGTGTTGGTGCATGCCTGTAATCCCAGTTACTTGGGAGGCTGAGACAGGAGAATCACTTGAACCCGGGAGGTGAAGGTTGCAGTGAGCCTAGATTGCGCCACTGCACTCCAGCCTGGGCGACAAAGGCTTCATCTAAAAAAAAAAATCATTAATTTAAACCAATATCTGCAATGAAATCTAACACTGCAGGGTCTTCTTCACCCTCCCAGTTTCCGTGTATATTTCTTTTCTTCGCAATGAGACCCCTGGTTCCCACCTCCATCAATGCATTCACTGTTTTGTTCTATGTTTTTTTTTTTTTTTTGAGACTGAGTCTCGCTCTGTCGCCCAGGCTGCAGTGCAGTGGTACTATCTCGGCTCACTGCAAGCTCCGCCTCCTGGGTTCACGCTATTCTCCTGCTTCAGCCTCCCGAGTAGCTGGGACTACAGGCGCCTGCTACCGTGACCAGCTAATTTTTTGTATTTTTAGTAGAAACGGGGTTTCACTGTGTTAGCCAGGATGGTCTCAATCTCCTGACCTTGTGATCCACCCGCCTCGGCCTCCCAAAGTGCTGGGATTACAGGTGTGAGCCGCCGAGCCCGGCCCTATGTCTTTTTTTTTTTTTTTAAGTAATAGGATCGATGGCAACCGACTATGTGCTCACCTGTGCCTGGCCTGACGCTGTGCGGCTGCTGCCTGCTCCCTCTGATGAAAAGTCTTAGCAAGCTTTGAGTCAGGTGGACTCAGCCCCATTGTGCGAATGAGGAAACAAACTCAGAAAGTGGAAGTGACTTGGAGGACAAGTGGAGGAGGATGGGCCCGGGACGGCCTGACGTCCAAGTCCAAGCCTGTGACTCTCCAGTGAGACAACCCTGGGGCTGTGTGGGGAATGGAGGCCGGGATCTGCCTGCCAGTGGATGGGCCCTGGAGCCTTCACAGACCTTTCAGCTTGCTTCACTCTCGGGGCACCTTGACCAGATATAGAGCAGGAAGCCCCTCCCCTCCCAGATGTCATCCCTCATATCTCACACACACACACATGCACACCTGCAGGCACACACACGTACACACACATGCATGCACACACAGACCTGCACAAACATGAACACAGTGCACACACAGGTACACACGCACACACATGCACACACACGCACACCTGCAGGCACACACACGTGCACACACATACATGTACACACACCACACGCACACACATGCACAGGCACACATGCACACACGTACACACCCATGCACACACACATACAAACACACACCTACAGGCACACACATACATGCACACACACACCACATGCACGAAAACACACGTACACCTGCAGGCACACACATGTACACATCATATGCACGCAGACATACACACCTGCACAAACGAACACAATGCACACACAGATATACATGCACACACACACACCTGCAGGCACACACATACATGCACACACATGCACACCTACAGGCACACACAAACGTGCACACACGCACATATCACGTGCACACACAGAGACACACACATGCACACCTGCAGGCACACATGCACATGGGCACACACATACATGCACACACATGCACACACATGCACATGGCTTCCCTGAATCCATACAGGCACCATATGGGCTCCTTGTCAGGTGCTGCCTTTTCTCTGTAATTGCTGACAGACGTCACACACCAAGTGCTTCCAAAAACTTTATTAGATGAAAGAACAAAGGAATGGATGAACAAGAAAGCAGTACGGTTGCCATGCCTGCATGAGAAGAGCCACCACGGAGAATTATTTTCGTTCTTCTAAGAGCAGTTAACTCTTTTCACTCGGGAGAAGAGGGCTGTGCTCCTGCCAGCCCCAGCCGCTCCTCTCCAGAGGCAGCTGCTCCAGCTGCAGTCACATGGCAGCTGTGACCCAAACACCAGAACTTCCTGGGGAGAGCTCTCCCACGCGCCTGCTGCCCCCCTACACTCCCTTCCCTAACCAGGGCTCCCAGGATGCCATCTGGTGCCAGCTGCCAGCGCCCCACGGGACTCACCTGGCAACGTCCTTGATGTCAAAGCCGGGCTGGCACCAGGAATCCATGAGGACCAGCAGCCTCCTCTGGAGGTCCGGGAAGCCGGCCACATAGCGCTCCACGAGGGCCACCTTGTCCTGGAGGAGCAGTGGGATGCTCATCTGCAGGGGGACACACGGTCAGGCCACAGCCTCCGCCACCTCAGCCAAAACCTGACTCACCTCCAACCCAGAGGGAGCGGCCAAAGTGTCAGAACGAAAGGGGCCCAGAGGCCGTCCAGGCCCAGCAGTGCTCGCCCGGCCAGTGCTCACGCTCACACACACTCGCCCAAGGCTCCTGCTGGGCTCTGTGGC
This sequence comes from Homo sapiens, assembly GCF_000001405.40. Lineage (NCBI taxonomy): Eukaryota > Metazoa > Chordata > Mammalia > Primates > Hominidae > Homo > Homo sapiens. The sequence goes on from NC_000009.12 coordinate 137,366,825, forward strand.
CATCCCCATCTCCATGATGAAGGCCTGGAGGCCCTAAGAGGCAAGGGGGACCCTGGGGAAGCTCATTTGTCACCAAATGTGGGGAGGCAGGACCAAGACAAACCACTGGCAGTAGCCCTGGTAGTCCGGAAATGCCTTCTCGTGGCACATGGTACCAGCACTGCCTCCCGAGCAGGTCTGCAAGACCCACACGCTGTCGGTGCCTCCAAGAGGCCCTGAGGGAGTCCCTGGCTGTGGCGCTGGGCCTTGGGGCACACCAGCCATTCCCTCAGCAAGAACGAATTCCCGTAGACAACGCCCCTCGAAGAAGACTCCTCACCTCCCTTCCCCCACCTCCTCTGCCCCACAGGTGAGGCTGCCTGGCGCCGACTGCATGGGGCCCACCTGCCCAGCAGTGCCTTGGGGGACAGTCCTCGGGCAGAACGCGAAGCCCCAAGAGCCCTCTCTGGCCCCAGCTCTTGTAGACCTGGAGTCTGCACCCATCGCCCGGAGCACAGCCCTGCAGGCTGTGTAGACACCCCTCCCTCTTTAGGGAGACCAGGATGCGTCCCGTCCCCACCTGGCTCTGCCCGAGGGGTGCTCACTCCCCCACCCTGCCCCTGCTTAACCAGCAGGTTCCCCTTGTGTCCCTGTGATGTGCACGAAGTCCCATTGTAGAAGCTTGGATCTGCCATCCCTGCAGACACTGTGGGTTCGAGGACTGTGTCATCTGTCCGGAAATTCACAGTTAGGTGACTGCTTCCCCCAGCCCACTGCACGGTGGAGGCGTGCAGCAGAGGAGGGTCCCAGAAGCACATGGGCTGCGTGTCCTCGAGGCAGCTGGTGCCCACTCCAGGGAAGGGGTGGCCCCAGCTGCTGCACGGAGCACACTCAGGGCTTCAGGGGACAGCTGGACACGGGGTTCGTGTACGTGCGGCTGCGTCTGATTTGGGGTCAGCCCATGAGGAGGATGGTGGTTTAGGGGGCTCTGGAGGCCCTCGCCGGCCCCCGATGGCCCTGCTGTCCCCCACTGTGGCTTGGTGGACTCCCGACCTCCAACAAACACTGTTTATAGAGACCTGGGCGTTATCCAAGTTTGAACCTAAACAATTTACATGAGAAAGACGTTCACCTTTTCAACGCCAAGCTCCGACTGCAGCTTCAACGTCGCGCCCAGCGTGGCTGCCTGGCAAACACAAAGGCGGCAGATTACTCAGGGCCTGGGAGGGGCCAGGCAGCACGGCGGGTGAGGGGGCTACCACCCTTTTGCACCAGCACCTGGTCACTGAGGCCGGAGTGCAGGGCCTTCCCGTGTTCAGCCACGTGGCCCTCAGGCCGAGGGGCCTGGCCTGGCAGACAAGCCCCCCCGTGCTGAGCCAGGCCTTGCATAGGCTGGGACAGGTGGGAGGCCTGGGCTTGGCCTGGATGGGGCAGCAGGGACTCAAGGGGGTGGCTGGCCACACAGCCTGGGTCCCAGGGCCTTGCTCGGGGATTGCTGATGAGCCAGAGGAAGGCTAGGAGGTGGGGTCAAGGCAAGGCGCAAAGCCGTGACCTCCCACACGACCCATCTGCGGGCCCCAGAACACAATGGTGCCTGCAGTGGACGGGCCAAGGCTGAGGACCCCCAGCCTCAGCGCATCCTGAGGCCTGGGGGGTCCTAGCCCTTCCCACGAGGCGGAGACGGGCACCCCGCGAGCGCTCCAAGGCCACACTGGCTGCGATCGGGGCACGGCCGGGCCCTGACCGCCTGCACGTACCACGGGCCTGAGCTGCTATTAATAATTTCCATAAGCCGCGCTCCCATAGCCAGCAAAAATGACCCACGAGAGCAGCCCGCGGAGCATCGGCGCCCCGCCCCCGCGCAGCCCAGAGAAAGGACCAAAATAGCGGCCTGGGAAAGCCTCGAGCCGGCTTCCAGCCCCGGTGCGCAGGGTGGGGGCGCAGGGCCGGGGGCCTTTCCCTGCGCAGCGCTGACCCGGCGCCTCTACTGTCTGGCCAGGGTCCAAGAGGCTAGGCCTCCACCAGGCCCATGGGGCGCAGGGCCCGGGGCGGGGGTCTCAGGGCCGTGGGGAGGGGCGAAGGTCCGGGGCGGGGCCCCAGGGCTGTGGGCAGGGGCGCCTGGCCCGGGAAGGGAGTCTCAGGCCCGTGAGGAGGGGCACAGGGCCGGGGGACGGGGTGCAGTGCCCGGGGCGGGGTGGGGGGGCTTCTCAGAGCCGTGTGGGGAGGGGCGCAGGGTCAGGGGAAGGGACGCAGGACCCGGGGAGGGGGTCTCAGGGCCGTGGGGAGGGGCGCAGGGCCCGGGGCGTGGGAGTCTCGGAGTCGTGGGGAGGGGCGCAGGGCCGGGGCGGGGCCTCAGGGCCGTGGGAAGGGGCGCAGGGCCGGGGAGGGGCACGGGGCCACCACATGGGGAGGGGCGCAGGGCCTGGGAGGTGGGCTTACGGCTGTGAGCATGGGCGCAGGGGCCACCACATGGGGACCACCCCAGCAGTGACACCCGCAGCTTCACACAAGGGCTCTGATCCCTTCTGGATCAGGGACCCCCTGAGAAGCTGCCAGAGCTCCGGAAGGCAGGGGTGCAGGGCCGGACACCTCACCCCGTTCAGAACCGCAGGGTGGTCACAACCCGCCCGCCCTCTGCTCCTCCTGCCGCATGTGGTTATTGTCAGGTGCAGGGAAGTGGAGGATGGGGCTGCGCCCGGCACCTCCTTGGGACCAGGCCCTGAGCAGGTGACGCTGGGACCAGGGAGGCTGGGGACACAGCAAGGGGCAGGTGGCCAGGGCCTTCCCTCACCGCTGCTGTCCCCAGCCTCCCTCCGAGGGACAGACTTCAGGCTCCAGTCCCAGCCCTCGGCGGGCCCCACCCAACCAGGAACCCCTCTGAGCCCAAGAAGGCCGCCTCAGGCTTGCAGAGGAGCCTGGGTGGGGCTGGGTACTGGCCGTGCTCCCCAGGTGGGTGGCTTCTGCCTCTGTGTCCCGCACGCTGCGACCCCGTCAGAGGCAGTTCAAAGTGCCCAGCTCAGCCCTTCTCTTCACCACGGCCATTCAGAGCCCAGGGCTAACAGGTGTCTGGACCTTTCTTTCTAGGCCCACAGAAGCTCTCTGGGCACCCGGGGCCTCTTGAGGCCAGGTGGGCTTTCTGGACATGCAGGCGTCCTGGGGCCCCCAGCATCTGTGTCCACATTTTGTACCCGGAGCCCAGTGGGGGCTCTGTGGCCTCGCAGCTTGGGGGACAGGACGAGGATGGAGCTCCCCTAGCTCCACCCTGGTAAGGGCAGAGCCCAGGCTTGCTCATGGGCAGCCCTGGTGACAGGGGTGGGGGGCTGGGGGGTGGCTAGTAGCAGACCCACCCCTTCCAGGAAGCTCCCTGGCCTGACCCCTGTCTCAGGCTTTGGGGGCCCTGCTGGCCCTTTCACTGTGGTGGTGCCTGGCTTAGAATCAGCGTCTGGTCATTTCTGTCTGAACTTCCCTGAGAGGACGGTGTACAGCTGCCCACTGTCCATGCCTGGCCACTTGGGAAACTCAGCAGGCACAAAAAGGTCACCTGGCCCCAGAGCCAGGCCCAGGGAGCAGACAGCAGAAGGTGAAGAGTCCTGGACCCCGTGGGAGGAACGAGCCCGGGGCTGGGCCATGAGGACAGATGGGGCAAACTGGGCCCCTCTGCACCAGGCAGACCTTCCCGACCTCTGCTGCCAGAGGATGGGAGGCATCCACCAGGAAGAGAGAGACGAGGCTGTCCAGCTGGCGGGGTCGGGGTGGGGCTGTAGAAACCTCTAGACAGGCCCAGGAGCTGCTGCTTTCAGGAAAAAAAAAAAAAAAAGAAAATCAGGAGGGGCTGTGGTATCGACCATCGGGAAGGGCATTCCCCGGCTCCCCTGGGCCCCCCATTCTAAGGGGCAGGAAGGCTGGGCAGGTGCCCAGGCTCGAAGGCCGAGGACCCCAGCGACAGCCCTGCCTCCCACCTCTGCGTGGGCCTGGAGCCAAGAGGGCCTTTTTTTTTTTTTTTTTTTTAAAGCAAAGCTATCTTTTTACCTTGATAAGCTGTTTAAAAAATGTAAATAAAATAACTCAGCGGACAAAAGCAGGCATTCATCCTGCCCAGGGCCAGCCGCTGCCCTCGACATGAAATATCGCAGCACATTGAGTCGTGAGTCCCAGCTAATCCGAGCGGACAGGCCTGAATGCGGCCTCTTTCGGCCGGGCGCGGCGGTGAGCAGTGGAGCATGCATCGCCTGCCGGGCGGCCCCGCTCGGGGACAATGGCTTTCTTCGCAGAAGGGGCCTGTGCGGGACAAGACCCCCTTTGTGTGGGGATTCCTGCCTCGGAGCGCGAGGGAGGCGCATTCAGCCGGCCCCAGACAGTCTTTGAAAGGCTCTGTAACAGAAGACGGCCCGAAACACTAGCCTGCCTTCTGCCTCCCTGCACTCTCCGCAGGCACGGCCGCCATTCAGCGTCGCGCCACATGAGGGGGACCCTCCATCCTGCATTGTCCTGTGCCGGGACATGGTGGCTTCTCAGCGCCATGCACCCGCCGCGAGACGACGGCCCCGGGCGTGGCAGGTGACAGCGCCAGGGGTGGGGCCCGCGCGGCCCACACAGGGGACACTCCTGTGAGGGCCCGGCCAGGGCAGCCCCCGATGCCCGTGCCCAGGTTCCAATGCACCTCCTCACGGTGAGGGGTCTTGCTGGGAAGAGGAACCCAGGGTGCCATCGGGACGGCGTCTCAGCAGCAGGGTCCCACGTGGGCAGGCAGCGGGGTGGTGGCCTTCACGCTCGGCCCTGAAGTAAGGGGGCCCTAATGGGGCGGGGAGTGGACCAGTGCCCCTGAGTGCCGGCCTCCTCATACATGATCAGTGCACCCTGAGCTGAGCACCCCCAGGCCAGGCACCCCCGGGGCTGGGCACCCCCAGGCAGGACACCCCTGGGCCAAGCACCCCCGGGCCGAGCACCCCCAAGCAGGACATCCCCTGGCAGGACACCCCCGGGCTTCTTTGCCGCACCTCGTGCTGCACCCTAGAATCTGCACTGGGATCTGGAATCTCAGGGCACCGAGAAGTCATGGGGGCTCCCCTGCACCTGCAGGAACAGCTCAGAGCCACCCCACGCAAGACGGCCGCCTCCCTACCCACTGCAGGCCCCACTGCTCCCTACTGTTCCACACAAACCCAAGTCACAGCTTGGCCAGGCTCAGGACGACGGGGCTGTGATGCTAGACCTGGTCTTCCTCTTGGAACCTTCTGGGCTTAAAAATCAGCCTTGTTCACAAAGGAGACTCAGCAAACCACTGTGATTCCAACAGCTCCACCAATTCTCATCCAGACACCTTTAGCTGCCAAGCCCACACTTCTGCGACACCACTTAAGACCTGGCCCGGGACCGAAAGGGACCGAAGCCACCTCTCCCGCCAGCAGCCAGTGAAGGGTTGGATACTGATCCGACGCATCTCGCACCTGGGCGACTGTGCCGAGGTGCGACTGGTGCCCTGGCCCTGAACCTTGTCCTGTGTCCCAGGCGCCGGCACTGCCCACTCTGGGCTTCTGTGAGTGGGCACCACTCTGGGGGTGCTGTGGGAGGCGGGGCCGGCACCAGCTGCTCCCACAGCTCTTCTGCTCGGCCCCTCTGGGAGCGTTTCCTTCCAGGGCGCTCACTGCCGTGCCGGGGACTCAGTCAGTGCCCAGTGCCCAGGAGGCAAACTCACCCACAAAGGACAGCCTACTGGCTGATTCTGTGAAGGTTCCGGAGGCGCAGAGGCTAACAGACATGGTGGGGCGTGGCTGGACCAAAGCTCAGGCCCAGGCCCACCTAGGACCCTGTGAGTGTGAGGGCCCAGTGCATGCTGGGAGACACAGGGTCGGCAGGGGGAGACCCAGGCCTGGGACCAGGCTGTGCCCTGACATCTCTGTTGGCTCAGGCAGCCTGAGGGCTCCTGGGACCCGGCACCCCGCACACAGCTGATGGCTGCCCACGGCCGGGTCCTTGATACCTCCATGTAGACCAGAAGCCCCAAACAGCCCCCACACAGAGGCGGCCCTGAGCCAGGCGCGTCCTTGCCCCACCGCCCGAGAAGCCGTTTCCCCATGAGCCCGGCCACGTGGGCCACTCACTTCTCTGAACCTGCCCTCGTGGTGGAGGCGGTGGACGTGTGCCAGCAGGCAGCTCCTGTCTGCATCCTGCAGCTGGAAGATGCTGGCCAGTGGTGCCGCAAGGCTGGGGGGGCTCTCAGTGAGGACTTTGACCGCTCGGGCCTGCAGCTGCTTCAGCCTCAGGCTGTGCTGGAAGAGCAGGGACCCAGACTTACTGGACGCAGCACCCAGTGGCTGGGCCATGGGGCCGATTGAGGCAGGCCTGGCTTAGGAAGCAGCGCCTGCCACTGTGGCCATGTGTGGGCATCGGGTGGTCTGCAGGGCTGGGGCACGGGAGGGGCGAGGCCGGTCTCAGCACGTGACTGTCAGGGGGCAGAGGGTGAAGCCACGGGCTGAGTCTTGGCCATAGCCCCCAGCATCCCCCTCCCCTTCCCTGGCTTGCTGAGCGGGCTGCAAAGGCCTGGGCAGGTGGATGCCGGGTCCACTATGCTGAGGGGCAGGGGCAGGAAGGGAGGTGACTGTCACAGAACCCATGGGCTCACCTGGGCCAGGCTCGGGCATGGCTGTGCCTGTAGCCAGCACTGCAGCTGGTGGGAGATCCAGGCCGCCAGGGAGGGGCCCTCTCCCCGCTGGCCCCGGCAGCTCTCCAGCATGTCCAGAAGCCCGGCCAGGGGGTCGTCCAAGGCAGCAAACCCCCGCCAGGCTTCCTCCCGGAGCTGTGGAGACACAAAACCACACTGGCACTTTGTCTTGCACTCAAAGCCTCCTGGCAAGGCCTCCCCACCGCAGAGAGGTTTTTTAAAATTTAATCCATTCAGAAGGTAGCTGTGGCCATTCAGCCGCCATCTGCGCCTCCGTGACTTTTCATGCCGCCGTTCTGGTCCGCTGCACCCCAGGCCCCCAGGGGCGGTGGTCATTGTCTGCACTAATTATCCCATAAAGACAGAGGGCCTGTTCTCCAGGCAGACAGAGGGCCGCTGGCCTGGGAGGCAACCGTAGCCCGAGCCACAGGTTCACAAGTCACTTTACCTGCGGCACTCGCGGGACACGGGCCTGGCCTGCCCTCAGCAGGCGAAAGAAACTGAAAGGCAAGAACCGAAACCCAAACTGAAAAATGCCTTTTATGTACTTTTCTATCCCTGACCCGCAGGAGATTTGGGAAACGGATAAGAGGTGGACGAAGAGAAGCAAAGCATCTGTTTTGGGCTCTGGCTTCCGGAAGATTCTACAGCAAGTTGGCCCTCGCTGCTGTGCAGCAGCCTCAGCGGCGCCGTCCTCTGTGGATTCCTGCAAGTGAGTCAACCGCTATAGACTTCAAGCCATAACGACTGCTTGCAGGTCATTCCGCAGGTAGAATCTTAACAGCTAAAGGGGTGGACGGGTTCACAGCTCAGCGCTCGGGACAGGGCGCAGCAGCCGACACCCGACCTGAAGCCGACGGCCACGCAGGTGGGCAAGAGGGTGAGTTCCCAGCTGCTGGCTCCAGCCACGGGATGCGCCCCCAGAGGCCCAGGGAGGCTGCAAGCCGAGAGCGTGGGCCGCGCTGTTCTCGTCCCTGCGATGTGGATGGTGTGCTCTCCACGGGGCTCCAGGAGCAACATCCTGAGGCTGCCGCGCAGCTTTGAAAGCACTTGCTCCGGCGATTTGAAAGCTTACCGAAACAAAAGGCTCCCAGCACCTGACAAATCTCCCCACAAACACCCAGGAACAGCCGTGGAGCACACGCACATGAGTGTGTGAGGAGACCTCAGCGCTGTCCAGGAGGGTGCCATGCCCAAAGGCGCGGGAGGCAAGGCTGCAAAGTCCAGACCCTCCAAAGGATGCCCCTCGGGGAAAGTGGCCAGACAGGGTGAAAGGCAGCTTCTCTGTCCCTCGGGACTCTGGGAAGAAAAGGAAAGCCGCCCTTAAACAAAGCCTGAGCATCTCAAGCATCTGGAACTTGAAGCAACTTGAAGGAGCTCCAGGAACTTAGTCCTAGCCCTAGTGAGTTCTAACTCTAGTGAGTCCTGGCCCTAGTGAGATCTAGCTCTAGTGAGTTCTAACTCTAGTGAGTTCTAGCCCTAATGAGTTATAGCTCTAGTGAGTTCCAGCTCTAGTAAGTTGTAGCTCTTGTGAGTTCTAACCCTAGTTTTGTTTTTTTTTTGAGACGGAGTCTCGCTCTGTCGCCCAGGCTGGAGTGCAGTGGCGCGATCTCGACTCACTGCAAGCTCCGCCTCCCGGGTTCACGCCATTCTCCTGCCTCAGCCTCCCGTGTAGCTGGGACTATAGGCGCGCGCCACCATGCCTGGCTAATTTTTGTATTTTTAGTAGAGACGGGGTTTCACCGTGTTAGCCAGGATGGTCTCGATCTCCTGACCTCGTGATCCGCCCGTCTCGGCCTCCCAAAGTGCTGGGATTACAGGCGTGAGCCACCGCGCCCGGCCCTAACCCTAGTTTTAACCCTAGTGAGTTCTAGCTCTAGTGAGTTCCAGCTCTAGTGAGTTCTAGCTCTAGTGAGTTCTAGTTCTAGCGAGTTCCAGCCCTAGTGAGTTCCAGCTCTAGTGAGTTACAGTTCTAGTGAGTTCTAGCTCTAGCGAGTTCTAACTCTAGCGAGTTCTAGGTCTAGTGAGTCCTAGCTCTAGTGAGTTCTAGGCCTAGTGACTTCTAGCCCTAGTGAGTTCTAGCTCCTGTGAGTCCTAGCGCTGGCAAGTTCTAGCTCTAGTGAGTTCTAGGCCTAGTGAGTTATATCTAGTGAGTCCTAGCCCTAGTGAGTTCTAGCTCTAGTGAGTTCTAGCTCTAGCGAGTTCTAGCTCTCATGAGTTCTAGCTTTCGTGAGTTCTAGCCCTAGTGAGTTCTAGCCCTAGTGAGTTCTATCTGTAGTTAAGTTGGCAGAAACAAAACATCATTCTTTAATCACTTTGCCGGGACACGTGGGCCCTAGGTCACCAGAGGGAAAAAGTTCCAGTAAATGAGCTCACAATGAAAACTTAGAAAACACACAAGGAAGCAAGCCACCATGAGTGACACCCACAAGTAGGTTGACTAAAGCTCTGAGAATGGGGAGTAACGGGACATCGATTTGGGAATGTGTAAGCAACTACCCCCATTTTACTAAACGATTGTTCACTTATATTTTACTCTCTCTTCTCTTTCCTCCTTTCCCCACTTCTTACTTATTTCTTTAGAAATGCAATGATAGTGGCCAGGCACGGTGGCTCATGCCTGTAATCCCAGCACTTTGGGAGGCTGAGGCGGGCAGATCACGAGGTCAGGAGATAGAGACCAGCCTGGCTAACACAGTGAAACCTCGTCTCTACTAAAAATACAAAAAATTAGCCGGGCATGGTGGCGGGCGACTGTAGTCCCAGCTACTCGGGAGGCAGAGGCAGGAGAATGGCGTGAACCCAGGAGGCGGAGCTTGCAGTGAGCCGAGATTGTGCCACTGCACTCCAGCCTGGGCGACAGAGCAAGACTCTGTCTCAAAAAAAAAAAAAAAAAAAAAAAAAGAAATGCAATGATAGCCTTCCACCTCCTGTTCACCAGACACTCCCTACAGGGCAAGCTCATCTATCCATGTGCTTAGAGGCTCAGAGCAGAACTCGCCTGCAGGAGGCCGCCTCGAGAGACAAGTAGATTTACGGCCCAAAGTGTGCCTGCTGGAGTTTCCGGCCACCTTCACAGCCTCTTTCTGCCCATGGAGATGCCAACTCAACTTCCAGGTAGATAAGGCACAGAGACCCCCCCACCTGCTCGCTTCCTCCCGACCTTTTAAAAATGCCTCTTTTGGCCGGGGATGGTGGTTCACGCCTGTAATCCTAGCACTTTGGGAGGCCAAGGTGGGCGGATCAACTGAGGTCGGGAGTTGGAGACCAGCCTGACCAACATGGAGAAACCCCGTCTCTACTAAAAATACAAAATTAGCTAGGCATGGTGGCACATGCCTGTAATCCCAGCTGCTCGGGAGGCTGAGGCAGGAGAATTGCTTAAACTTGGGAGGCGGAGGTCGCGGTGAGCCGAGATTGCGCCACTGCTCTCCAGGCTGGGCGACAAGAGAGAATCTCCATCTCAAAAAAAAAAAAAAAAAAAGCCTCTTTCTGCTCCAAAAGCTAAGCCATACCCATACCCTTCAGGCATGAGGCCTGCGCTTCTTCCCTCAAGCCAGCTACGGAATAAAAAGTCACTTTCTTTCTACCAGACCTCATTCCTCTGACCTGGACTCTGTGAGCAGCAAGCGACTGACTGAGCGTGCAACGTGGTTACAGCCAAACACAGAGAGTCGGTGGGCAAATGCAGGAACAACGCATCAGCCAGGCGCAGTGGCCACGCCCGGAATCCCAGCACTTTGAGAAGACGAGGCAGGCCGATGGCTTGAGCTCAGGAGTTCAAGACAAGTCTGTGCAACATAGCGGAACTCCGTCTCTACCAAAAATACAAAAAATTAGCCAGCATAGTGGAGCCTGTAGTCCCAGCTACTTGGGAGGCTGAGGCAGGAGAATCCTTTGAACCCGGGAGGCGGAGGTTGTAGTGAGCTGAGATTGTGCCATTGCACTCCAGCCTGGGTGACAGAACAAGACTCTGTCTCTAAAAAAAAAAAAAAAAAGGGAAAGGCAGATTTCAAAAAGGACCTAAGGCTGGGTGTGGTGGCTCATGCCTGTAATCCCAGCACTTTGGGAGGCCAAGGTGGGAGGATCGCTTGAGGTCAGAAGTTTAAGACCAGACGTGCTGATGCGCACCTTTAATCTCAGCTACTCAGGAGGCTGAGGCAGGAGAATCGCTTGAACCTGGGAGGCGGAGGTTGCAGTGAGCTGAGATTGCGCCACTGCACTCCAGCCTGGGTGACGTAGAACCAGGCTCTGTCAAAAAAGAAAGGAAGGGAGGGAGGGAGGAAACCTAAGAGAACTTTGAAAACAAAAAATAGTCGTTGAATTTTTTTTTTTTTTTTTTTTCCTGGGACAGAGTCTTGCTCTGTCGCCCAGGCTGGAGTGCAGTGGTGCGATCTTGGCTCACTGCAATCTCTGCCTCCTCGGTTTAAGTGATTCTCCTGCCTCAGCCTCCCAGGTAGCTGGGATTACAGGTGCAGGCCACCACGCCTGGCCAAGTTTTTATATTTTTAGTAGAGATAGGGTTTCGCTATGTTGGCCAGACTGGTCTCAAACTCCTGACCTCGTGATTCGCCTACCTTGGCCTCCCAAAGTGCTGGGATTACAGGCATGAGCCACTGCACTTGGCTGAAATTTTTAATAAAAGTAGTAGTTTGACAGTTCCTCAAAAAGATAAACATGATTACCACATGACCCAGCAATTCTATTCCAGGCAGTTTCCCAAAGATTTATTTGTTTATTTATTTTTATTTATTTATTATTTGAGATGGAGTCTCACTCTGTCGTCCAGGCTGGAGTGCAGTGGCATGATCTTGGCTCACTGCAACCTCCGCCTCTGGGGTTTAAGTGATTCTCCTGCCTCAGCCTCGCAAATAGCAGGGACTACAGGTGCATGCCACCACGCTCGGCTAATTGTTGTATTTTTTGGTTTAGATGGGGTTTCGCCATTGTTGGCCAGGCTGGTCTTGAAGTCCTGACCTCAGGTGATCCTATCACCTCAGCCTCCTAAAGTGCTGGGATTACAGCCGTGAGCCACCACACCCGTCCTCCCCAAAGATTTAAAAACAGGGGCTCACGCAGATGTTTGTAGATGAATTTTCAGAGAAGTACTTATTTACAACGGCCAGAGGTGGAGATGGCGCAGATGACCCTCAGCTGTCTATGAAGAAACAGCATGTGGCCTGGCCACGTATTACTCAGCCACGGAAAAGGAGGAAGCTGACACAGACATCCACATAGACAAGCCTTGATATCGTGCTAAATGAAGAAGCAAGTCACAAAAGACCCCATGTTATGTGACCGCATGTGTGTGAACTGTCCAGAAGTGGCAAATCCAGAGGCAGAAAGCGGGTGAGCAGTGGCTAGGGCCTGTGTGACAAGGGGAATGGGGCGTCTGTGTGAGGGGTACAGGGTTTGTGGGTGACGGTGACCGTTGCCTGGGGCCGAGGGGAATGGGGCATCTGTGTGAGGGGTACGGGGTTTGTGGGTGACGGTGACCATTGCCTGGGGCCGAGGGGAATGGGGCATCTGTGTGAGGGGTACAAGGTTCGTGGGTGACGGTGACCGTTGCCTGGGGCCGAGGGGAATGGGGCGTCTGTGTGAGGGGTACGGGGTTTGTGGGTGACGGTGACCATTGCCTGTGGCCGAGGGGAATGGGGCATCTGTGTGAGGGGTACAGGGTTTGTGGGTGACGGTGACCGTTGCCTGGGGCCGAGGGGAATGGGGGCGTCTGTGTGAGGGGTACGGGGTTTGTGGGTGACGGTGACCGTTGCCTGGGGCCGAGGGGAATGGGGCGTCTGTGTGAGGGGTACGGGGTTTGTGGGTGACGGTGACCGTTGCCTGGGGCCGAGGGGAATGGGGGCGTCTGTGTGAGGGGTACAGGGTTTGCGGGTGACGGTGACCGTTGCCTGGGGCCGAGGGGAATGGGGGCGTCTGTGTGAGGGGTACGGGGTTTGTGGGTGACGGTGACCGTTGCCTGGGGCTGAGGGGAATGGGGCGTCTGTGTGAGGGGTACGGGGTTTGCGGGTGACGGTGACCGTTGCCTGGGGCCGAGGGGAATGGGGCGTCTGTGTGAGGGGTACGGGGTTTGCTTCTGAAGCGATGAACCATTCTGAAACCAGAAGAGGTGCACAGGTTGTGAAGATGTAGAAAGATTCACGAAGCACGACTGGGCGCTCCAGGCCATTGAGTCACTCATTGTGAAACGGCTGGTTTTATATGTCGTGCATCTTACCCCAATAAAGCATTCGATGAAGCCGACGCTCCGTGGCTCTGATTTGGGGTGCGCTCTCGCCCAGGCTGGTTTCTGTCACCCCCGGAGTTCTGCAGCACCCGTTCTAACCACAGCCCGCCTTCCCTCACTCCTGCTTCAGTCCCGTAAACCTTCTGCAAAATCCTGGCCCTCCAGACCCCAGCTGGGTCCTCCCCTCCAGGCCCCCAGTGGCAGCTGTGCCCCTTGTGTGCCCACGTCGGCCAGCGCAAGCCACACATGGACCCAGTGCCCACTGCACCCCTGCCAGCCTCAGGGTCCCAGCCCGTTGTTCCGGGAGACTTCAGTCCTGGCCCAGGCATCTCCTTCCAGCTCCTGTCCTTATCTTGGTGGCCTCAATGAACGTGCCAAGACCCTTGGGACCCATGGCTCTGAGACTGGGCTCCCCTTGCGCTGCCTGCCTCCCTCCCGGGGTCCCTGTGAAGGAAGCCGTCCCACCCACCCTGCCGGTCCCTCCTCCCTTCGAGCCCTTCACTGGTCTTCACTCCTCATTCCTGGTCCCCTCAGCTACAAAGAGCCTCCTGCTGTGCACGGAGAAAACAATGTGAGCTCCCCCACCCCAATGCCCCTCTGGGCGTCCCCCCCAATCCCCCTGCCAGTATCCCCCCCCACCCCAACCCCCGTCCGGGCATCCCCCTCAATCCTCCCGCCGGTATCCCCCCTCCTCCCCAACCCCCCTCCAGGCGTCCCCCCCAATCCCTCCGCCAGTATCCCCCGCACCCCAACCCCCCTCCGGGCATCCCCCCCAATCCCCCCACCGGTATCTCCCCCACCCCAACCCCCCTCTGGGCGTCCCCCCCGATAACGCCCACCAGTATCCCCCCTCTGGGCATCCCCCCCAATCCCTCCACTGGTTCCCCCCCACCCCAATGCCCCTCTGGGCATCCCCCCAATCCTCCCCACCCGTATCCCCCCTCCTCCCCAACCCCCCTCTGGGCATCCCCCCCAATCCCCCCGCCGGTATCCCCCTTCCTCCCTGCTGGCTGGCATCCCCTGCACTGAGCTGTTGGCTCCACTCACGGCTTCAGTAGTGGGGCTGGGGGGGTCCCATGGGCTCAGCAGCACCAGAAGGCCCCCCCGAGGGGCTGTTAGGATAGGACCACCCTGTTACAACAGGACCATCTTGGGAAGCCGAGGCAGGTGGATTGCTTGAGGTCAGGAGTTCAAGACCAGCCTGGCCAACATGGTGAAACCCTGTCTCTACTAAAAATACAAAAATAGCCAGGCGTGGTGTTGCACACCTATTAATCCCAGTTACTCATGAGGCTGAGGCAAGAGAATCACTTGAATCTGGGAGGCGGAGGTTACAGTGAGTCGAGATCATGCCACTGCACTCCAGCCTGGGTGACAGAGCAAGACTCTGTCTCACACACACACACACACACACACACGAAAAGCCTGGGTGCGGTGGCTCACACCTGTAATCCCAGCACTTTGGGAGGCCGAGGCGGGCGGATTACCTGAGGTCAGGAGTTCGAGAACAGCCTGGCCAACATGGTGAAACTCCGTCTCTACTAAAAATACAAAAAAAAAATTAGTCGGGCGTGGTGGCGCGCGCCTGTAATCCCAGCTACTCCGGAGGCTGAGGCAGGAGAATCCCTTGAACCCGGGAGGCGGAGCTTGCAGTGAGCCGAGATTGCACCACTGCACTCCAGCCTGGGTGACAGAACAAGACTCCTTCTCAAAAAAAAAAAAAAAAAAAAAAAAGACAGGAACACCCCACCACAGGCTGCTGGGCAGTGGGGCTGGGAAGGGCCCAATGAACCAGGGGAGCCCCACTCTGGGAGTGCGCCTACTCCAGGCCCTCACCCCGCCCCAGCCCTGCCTCCTCCTCCTGCCCGTCTCCCAGGCTGCTCTCACCCGCCCGGTGTGCTGGCTCCTCTCTCACGTTAGAGGAACACCTAAGCCCTCCCAGACGGCCAACAGTCCCATTGCCCCCTTTATACTGCAGACCGCCCCAAGGAGTTCTCCAAAATCCTGGTCTTCATCTCCCTCCTCTGGGGGCACCCGGCGTCTGTGCCACCATATGGGGGTCCCCAAGACCTCCATGTGCAGCCGGCTCTAGGGTTGGGCTTCTCCTCAGCACCCAGGACCCCCAAGGACCCCATCTTCAAGGCTCCTGGCCCACCCAGGGCCACTGGGCATGTGGCATTCGCCAGCTTGCTGGAATCCGGGAATGTGATGGAGGCGCGAGGAGGAGGTGAGAGCACGAGGAGGAGGTGAGGGCGCAGGGAGGAGGTGGGAGCACGCAGAGGAGGTGAGGACGCGGGGAGGAGGTGAGGACGCGGGGAGGAGGTGAGGGCGCGGGGAGGAGGTGAGGGCGCGCGGAGGAGGTGAGGGCGCGCGGTGGAGGTCAGGGCGGCGGTGGAGGTCAGGGCGGCGGTGGAGGTGAGGGCGCGGGGAGGAGGTGAGGGCGCGGGGAGGAGGTGGGAGCATGCGGAGGAGGTGAGGGCGCGCGGAGGAGGTGAGGGCACAGACACAGGCCCACCCCATGAAGATGAAATGCCTGACGGCCTCATGGCTGTCAGCGGAGCCCGGAGCAGATCTCAGCCCTGTCTGTGTATAAACAAGCGCTGCTCCAAGGAGACGCCAGGACGAATGTCAGGACATAGGGAGGAAAGGACAGTGGAATCCCACAACTCAGACACGTGGGGGGCGGGGGGCAGAGGGCGGGACCCGGGGAGGCTCACACCACACACGCAGGTGCCAAAGAGCGAGGAAGACTGAGCGTCACAGACGAAGGTCCGACAAGAGAGCCTGGAAATGGAACGGCAGAGGGAAATCTCAAAAGCAAGGACAGAGATTCACAAGCTGGAGGCCCAAGAAGCCACCGAGCTGATGGACAAACGAAAGCTGGCAGAGGTGGGTGCAGGAGAGAGGCAGACACAGGAGCAGGCAGCGCCAGGGCTGGGGTCAGAGGGCATCCCCCGGGCCTGCAGGGGTGACCTCAGGCCAGTGGATGTGGCACTCAGAGGAGCTGGGCTGGGGTTGGAGGGCGTCCCCCGGACCTGCAGGAGCGACCTCGGGCCAGAGGACGCGGCACTCAGGACTTGGCAGCTTCCTGTGCACAGGCCATTGCCACTAAGGAGCCGGAATCCGCGTCTGCCCCCACAGGGGGCCGGCCCTCCCTCTGTAGCCTCTCCCCTGGCCTCTCCCGCCCAGCCTCCTGCCCTGCTCAAGTCCCACCCCTTCCTAAGGCCTCCCTGTCCTGGACACCTGCCCCAGTGGCCACCCGGGCCTGGGTGCTCTGGCGGTGGCAGGACGGGGCCTCAGGCCTGGCAGTGCTGGCGACAGCTGTGTCCCTGCAGGTGAGTGGCCCCTGCGCCTCCCAGAGGTGACCTCAGAGGGGCTGCTGGGGCCAGGCAGTGCCTTTACCACCCTGGGGACTTGAGGAGGACCGCCCCCTGCCCCACACAGGCCACCCTGGAGGCGGTCTGGGGCAGCAGCTGTGCAGGACCCTGTGGCCGTGGGGGGCTGTGCAGCTTCCTGACCAGGGAGGCCTCCTGTTAGGCCAGTCTCTGCCCAACAGTCAGTTCTGCTGGCTGTGACTTGGCACGTGGTGGCTGCCACGTCCACTCACCTGCTTCCGCTCCCGCGTGGACCACAGGGTCTGCAGGGCCTGCAGGAGCAGGAGGGGGTCCCGGCCTGTGGAGATAAGATAACAGCCGTGGGAGGGAGAGGCAGGTGCAGGGGCTATCGCACAGCCCGCCGGGAAGTCCCTCCCACTGACCCGCAATGCCTGGGGCTCCTCTGGACCCGGGGGGCCGGGAACCCTCCCCCACCTCTGTCTGGCACACACACAACACACCTGCCAGCTGCGGCAGCACCCACCCTGTTCCTTCCCTGTGGCCCGTGGCCGCCCATCCAGCTGAGTCCGCCCAGCAGCACTTCAACCACGCTCAGCCCTGGGAGCTGGGCCTCATCTTTCAGCTGCAGGTGCAGAGCAGCCCTCGTGGGCCTGAGCCTCTACCTGCTCCGCCTGGCGCCCTCGGCAACCTCATCAGCATCTTCTCACCCAAACCCTGCACCGCAGTCCTGGCACCACGAGGACCCCAAGCCCCTGCCCTCTTTAGGTTTCGGTCCCCGGCCCTCCCGCGCCGCCCCCTCCCTCCAGCCCCGCCTGGGAGGCCCCCGACCTCACTGCAGCAAAAGTGCCAACCAAAGACGCTGCCCCACACGGACAGGGCCACCAGAGCGAGACCCGAGGGAGGTTTCCAGACAGAACCCAGGGGCTGCGTGGCTTGGCTTGGAGGCCGGTGGTGCAGGGGAGTGGAGACCCACTCAGGCCTGGTCATGTGGTAGGGTCAGGGTCGGAGGCCAGGGAGGGGCAGGTGCCAGCAGGGACTCCACAGGGGAGGCCTGAGGACAGGAGCCTGGGTGGATTCCGCAGTGAACTCCCCCTGGACCTGGGGGGCTGTGGAAGCTGCTGGGCCCCCCTGCAGGGCAGGACGGGAACAGGGAAGGCCCCGTGTTGCTGCGAGGGAGGCTGAGGACTCACATGAGATCAGATCAGACCTCAGCAGCTGGATTCTGCCACACACGCCAGAGAAGCGTGTGTGACGGGGGTCACCCCAGAGAGCCAGGCTGACTTAACAGGAGAGTCCAAGGTTATGATTCAGCCCAGGACCGGAACGGAGGAGAGAACCACGTGGCCCTTTCGGTAGACACAGAGCAAGTGTTCTAAAATTCAGTTCAGCTCACAATTTAAGAAATAACTCACCTGGGACGGGCAGGGAGCGCCCTGAACTGGGTAAAAGCCATGGGCGAGCGTGAGACGTGGTGCTCAGGGCAGCACGTAAGGATGCCACAGCCCGGCCTGGAGCCGTCCCAAGCAGGTGGCATCCAATGCAGAAGGAAAACAGAAACATCAGGACCGGCCGACAATGTGATTGATTACACAGAAAGCCACGAAGGATCAAAACTACGCCGTTAGAATTAACCAATGGGTTCGGCATCAATGCTCAGCACAAGCCAAAATGAGAAAATCAGCAATAAACAGAAATGGCCATTTCAAAAATCACTTACAACAGCATCAGCAATGTCAGATTCCCTGGGAGAAATGTAACAAAAGCAGCTCATGCAAAACAAAACCCAGCCGGCTGTCATCTCAGCACTTTGGGAGGCCGAGGCAGGTGGATCATTTGAGGTCAGGAGTTCGAGACCAGCCTGGCCAACGTGGTGAGACACTATCTCTACTAAAACTACAAAAGCTAGCTGGGCATGGTGGCGGGTGCCTGTAGTCCCAGCTACTCGGGAGGCTGAGGCAGGAGAACAGCATGAACCCGGGAGGCGGAGGTCGCAGTGAGCCGAGATCGGGCCACTGCACTCCAGCCTGGGCAACAGAGCGAGACTCCGTCTCAGACAAAAACCAAAAAACCATAAAACACCGTGGGGCGCCCAGGCTCCACCATGGCGTCTCTGCAGCCACCTGGGCCTGGGTGGCACAGGCCAGTGTTCCCGTCTGCGCTCAGAACCGTCCCACCATCGTGCACAGTGTGCTGCATACAGAGGCTGAGAACACTCAAATGTCCACTGTAGGAGGACGGAGCAAGTGCATCAGCCCCGGGACGATGCCCAGGTGGGGAGGACGTACCCCACCACGTGGCCATGGCAGGCAGTGTGACTGGCCCCGCATTCTGGGTGCTGCATGCTGGGCATGGCTGGCGATGGGGCCAGGGTGGGCTGGGCGGGGCGTGCTGTGGTGTGTTCACGATCATGTGCCGAGCCGCATCATGTGCTCTGCGTTCCTTCCTACACATGGGTTGCACTTCACAATAAACAAAAGAGACTTTTATTTTGTTATTTAAGTTAATATTTTATTTAGAGACGGAGTCTCACTGTCACCCAGGCTGGAGTGCAGTGCTGTGATCTCGGCTCACTGCAACCTCCACCTCTCAGGTTCGTGATTCTCGTGCCTCAGCCTCCGGAGTAGCTGGGAGTACAGGCGCTCACCGCTACGCCTGGCTAATTTTTGTATTTTTAGTAGAGACGGGTTTTCACCATGTTGGCCAGGCTGGTCTTGAACTCCTGAGCTCAATTGGTCCGTCCACCTCGGCCTCCCAAAGTGCTGGGATGACAGGCGTGAGCCACCGCGCCCAGCCCAGATTTTCTTTTAAAGCAGAGTTTCAGATGCGTGAGATGAGAAGGTTCTGCAGGTGGACGGTGGTGGCAGCTGTGCAGCCACATGAGTGCCCTTAATGCCACTGAGTGTACACAGGAAAGTGGTTAAAATGGTAAATTTCATGTTATGTATATTTCACATATTTTTAAAAGCAGGGTGAAGCTGGGCAAGGTGGCTTACACTTGTAATCCCAGCACTTTGGGAGGCTGAGGTGGGTGGGTCGCTTGAGCCCTGGAGTTTGAGACCAGCCTGGGCAAGACAGCAAGACCCCATCTCTACCAAAATAAATAAAATTAGCTGGGCATGGTGGCGCTCCTGAGGTCCCAGCCACTTGGGAGGCTGGGGTGGGAGCATGGCTGGAGCCTGGGAGGTTGAGGCTGCAGTGAGCCCTGATTGTGCCACTGCCCTCCAGCCTGGGGGACAGAGTGAGAACCTGTCAATCAATCCATCCATCAATAAGCAGGGTGTCCTTATTATTCTTTTTAAGTTCTCCAAATCGAGATCCACCTTTCCAGGTGGGAAGTTGGTGATGCCGGCCCTCCTACTCCCCAGTCAGTGTTGCTGGTCTTTGCCCTGCTCAGGTCCTGCTGGTTCTGCCCTCCAGGTGGGCAGGGTCTGCCCCCTCCCACCGACCTGGGCCACTCCAGATTCCCAGGGGACTCCCTGCCTTGACGCTGTGCCCTCAGACAACACCCAGCCGCGCAACACGGCACAGCCCTAGCATCCTACAGAAATATGGGGCAGGCCAGGCCACTTTATGGACTCCACCGTGGCCCCTCAGCCTTGAGAGTCAAAGCCAGGGCCCACCACATCCTCCCAGCCTCCAACCTCCGTGTACCTGGACCCTGCCCCTTGGGCCTGAGGCTGCTTCTCGAGCACCCAGCAGCCTGCCCGGAAGCCCCCTCAGCACCCCTGCTCCCTGCCTGCCTCCCTCAGCACCCCTGCTCCCTGCCTGGCCCCCTCAGCACACCTGCTCCCTGCCTGCCTCCCTCAGCACCCCTGCTCCCTGCCTGGCCCCCTCAGCACCCCTGCTCCCTGCCTGGCCCCCTCAGCACCCCTGCTCCCTGCCTGCCTCCCTCAGCACCCCTGCTCCCTGCCTGCCTCCCTCAGCACCCCTGCTCCCTGCCTGCCTCCCTCAGCACCCCCGCTCCCTGCCTGGCCCCCTCAGCACCCCTGCTCCCTGCCTGCCTCCCTCAGCACCCCTGCTCCGTGCTTGGCCCCCGGCCCTTGCTTCCTGCCTGGCCCCCGGCCCCTACTCCTTGTCTGCCTCCCTCAGCGCCTCTGTTCCCTGCCTGGCCCTCGGCCCCCGCTCCCTGCCTGGCCCCCGGCCCCTGCCCTTCTGCCCCTGTCGCTTCACTGTGGCCTCAACGCTGAGCCCCAGGGCAGTGACCGCCTGGGTCTCCTTCCAGGCCATGGCCGGTGCACGATGGACACTCCACGGTGCCCGCCCCAGCCATTCCAGGGCCAGCCGTGCACACATGGTGCTCACAGCCCACGCAACTGGGGAGCCCTGGGGAGCCCTGAGTCTCTCGGGCCAGAGCTGGAGGGACCCATGGCAGGTGTGGCGGGACAAGTGTCTGCCGTGCCGGGCTCAGACACGGCCATGCTGACACTCATCCCACACAATTGCTGGCTTCCTGTTCATACAACAGAAGAAAAACAGGATGTCCAGGGGCGGCTTCTGTCTGAACGAAGAAGACAAGCGAGCTCTGTGAGCCCCAGGGCTCAGCAGTGAGAGGACAGGGTGCCTGGGAGAGCCCTGGGGGACACACCCCACTCAGCACACAGCACCCCACGCACCCCAACTCAGGGATACCACGCAGGGGCACGGGGTCCGAGAAGGGCGGGTGGGGCTTGGAGCTGACACCGAGGGACCTCCCAGACCCGCTCTCCGGCCCCAGAAGCCCCAGCCAGCCCTCCCTGAGGTCGCCTCCTCGTGCAGTAGCTTCTGGGGGCCTTTGGTCCCCAGCGTGGATGTTTGGCCGGAGCTCCGTGGGTGGCCTCTGGCCCCCACCTCCACACCCAGGCCCAAGTTCCCTGAATTCGCCAAGTTCATCAGTGCTGCACCGATGCCTGGGACCTGCAGACAGGCAGGTCTAGGACGCTGAGACAGATGGCCCTGGCCAGGAGGCTGGGCCCTGACCCTGGACCCTGCCCCTTGGAACCATGTGGGTGGGGGCAGAGCGGGGCAGCTGTGTATTAGGAGGACACCTAGAAAAAACTCAAGCTCAAGAATAAAAGTCCCACAGTCCCCCGAATGTGGATTCACATCCAAGAGCTGGGCTGCTTCTCTCTGGGGGGCTGAATCATGGTCCCTGCCCAGCACCAGAGCCTGGTGCCCACACTGGCTTCCCCCCCAGCCACCCTCCCCAAAACGTGCCTGGGAGGGCTCAGGAACTCTGTGGGGTTGGCCTGAGGGTGTCCAGGCAGAGGCGGCCAGGACGGCTCCACCATCTGTCCCCAGGACGGCTCCCCAGCTGACACCCCCGCGCCGGCCGACGGGAGGACGGATGGTTGCAGGGACGCAGGATGGGCAGAACACAGGGACGCCACTTCCTCCAAACGACACCCGGCTAATGGGGCTGCCTTCACCTTGAGACACAGACGCACGCGGGAAACTGTGGGCTGTGGAGTGGGTGGCGCCGAAGGCTCTGTTATTCCCGACACTCTACCATAAAGCGGGGATGAGAAACACAGGGGGCTTTTTATCCACAGGGTTGGGGGCACAGAAGCCCCAGGAACTGAGGCCGACCCCAGCAGCGGGCGCCAGGCAGAGGACACCAGGCAGCGGATGCTGGCAGGGGACACCCGGCCTCCAGGCAGGAAGTCTGTGACGTGGTCTTCACAAAGCCCCCGAGTGGGTCTCCCCGGCAGCTGGCTCTCCTCTTGGGGCCTGGGTCACAAAGCTCACAGCCCGTCTCCAAGGCCGTCCCACACCTGCCAGCAGCATCAGACCCCGCGGCAGTGAGTGTAGAAGAGCCCGGCCGCCCAGACCAGACCCCACGCGCTGTGGTGACCTGCATGTCCACGGGTCCAGGCACCTGCTATCAGCACAGCACCCCGCCTGGGTCAGTCCTCTGACCGCCCACGGACAGCAGAAAGGGCCAGCCCACGGCCTCAGCTCCCCTCAGAGACCCCATGGCACCTCCCGCAGGCGTGTCCTGAGAGGCCACGCCCACCCACCACGCACTGGGGCCTCCGTCCCTCTGCCACGAGTCTGTCTCCTGGTGGCCTTCTGGCGTCCGGGGGCAGCTGAGATGGGGCCACCCCCTCCAGCCCAACCGTCTCTGGTCTCAGATTCCACCCACATCTGCCTGTGCTCAGCTGCAGGCAGGGCGGGGGACGTGATAAGGACAGAGGCGGCAACGAGACCCCAAGCCCGGCGGACAGCGTGTGCCCTCCACCTCGGCTCGCCGCAGAGGACCGCCCGTGTCTGGGGAGTGAGGTGAAGGGGCTCCCGGAGGTCCAGCATCTGGCACGGAGCCCCTTGCTCTATCAACACAGCGGCCCACAACCCCAGCACAGCACCGTCTCTCATCGGTCATGGGTCCCCTCACCCTCAGTCCTACTCACTTGCCTCATCCATGAAGCCGAGGGCCTTGGAGACAGAACCTGACCCAGCCTAAGCCCAAGCTGCCTCTGCTGGGAAAGCGGGATGAGGGGGAGAGCCCACCGTTCGATGCTGTGGACCCCACAAGGAGGCAGAGAGGGAAAGGGCGGTACCAGCTCAGGGGGCATGAGGCGGACGCCACTCAGAGACAGTGAGTACGTCGAGGTGCTGGGACGCTCGGAGCGAGAGGGACAGAGAGGGACAGTGAGACCAGCAAGGAGCTGGGACGCTGGGAGCCAGGTGGATGCATGCAGAGAGGGACAGAGAGATCCCCAAATTTCATTCTGCAACCGCAGGTCAGAAAATCTGCTGAAGAAAAGATCCTACCTACAACAGAAATATTGGAAGATGAAATGCCTATTTTTAAAAAGTAACAGACCCGGCACAGTGGCTCATGCCTGTAATCCCAGCACTTTGGGAGGCCGAGGCGGGCAGATCACCTGAGGTCAGGAGTTCGAGACCAGCCTGGCCAACATGGCGAAACCCCGTCTCTACTAAAAATACAAAAATTACCCAAGCATGGTGGTGGGTGCCTGTAATCCCAGCTACTCAGGAAGCTGAGGCAGGAGAATCACTTGAACCTGGGAGGTGGAGGTTGCAGTGAGCCAAGGTTGCGACATTGCACTCCGGCCTGGGTGACAGAGCGAGACTCTGTCAAAAAAAAAAAAAAAAAAAAAAAAAAAATGGCCGGGCGCGGTGGCTCACACCTGTAATCCCAGCACTTTGGGAGGCTGAGGTGGGCGGATCATGAGGTCAGGAGATCGAGACCATCCTGGCTAACATGGTGAAACCCCATCTCTACTAAAAAAATACAAAAAATTAGCCGGGAGTGGCGGCGGGCACCTGTAGTCCCAGCTACTCGGGAGGCTGAGGCAGGAGAATGGCGTGAACCCGGGAGGCGGAGGTTGTGGTGAGCCGAGATTGTGCCACTGCACTCCAGCCTGGGCGACAGAGCAAGATTCTGTTGCCAAAAAAAAAAAAAAGTAAATAAATAAAAATTACACAAATAAATAAAAACTAAAAAGATAACAGTATGTTCTGGGTGGTTTCACATAAACTAACTCCTTCAATATTCACACAGAAATGAGGCCCGGTATTGGCGTTAGAATCATCATTCAGATGAGAAAACAGGTTAGGCAGCGTGGCCCGGTCACACAGTGAGGAAGATGAGCCCTCTCTGCTGGCAGGTGTGGAAGGGCGTTTTCACGGTTTTATGAGGCCAGCTGTGACTTCCCTCCGGTCTCCCTCATGTCACCCTCATGTCACAGCCCGAGGTTTGGCTCCGCAGCCTTGGAGGCAGAGAAAGCACCACCCCCACTGCCAGCTGGGCCTGGGCAGGCGCCGGGCCAGGCCAGCTCAGCCTCCTTCAGTGGAGCCGAGGAGAGAAAGGCCCGGGAGCCTCCTGGCCAGGTCAAGGCCAGTGGACGCTGAGGGCAGGGGGTGAGGACACAGTGAGGGTGGCTCAGAGGCTGCCACAAAGTGCCTGTGACCTCGTCGTGGGACAGGGACAAGCCCGTCCCCAGGGTCCTGGAGGCAGATCTGGTGTCCACACCTCTGGGGGACCCATGGTGGGGCGGGGGTGGCCTGCTCGGCATGGAGAGGGGCAGGGCAGCCTCGGCAGCTTCTCCTTACCCCCCTCCCAGCAGGGCCTCGGCCGCCGCCCTTCCTCAGGTGTCCCCACGTCCACCCACAGCCACAGCCCACCAGTGAGGCCTGAGAGGGAGGCGTCTCCAGGAACCCGCACGTTCACGGTGCATTACGAGAGCGGCATGCGCTCATCACGGAGCTTCGTAGGAAAAGTGGCCTCTCCTGCGGGCCCTGCCCTGTTCACCGCCGTGTCCACACTGGGCGGGTGCCGAGGAACCCGTCTGGAGCGTGGACGCTGGATGTGAGGCTGGCCACGTCCCCAGCCCCAGGCACCTCAGCAGGCCCAAGCTGTAGGGCATGGGTCTCCTCCGGGAAGCCAGGGCAGCCTCAGCCTTGGAGGCTCCCATTGTCCGGAGCCCAGCAAGATGGGGAGGAGCGGCGGATGTGGAGGGAAAGGGAACCCAGGCCGGCAGGCTTCCTGGAGCTGCTGCATCTGCCAGAGGGCCGGCCTCCCCGCCCCACCCCACCGCCCGCCGGCCCTGGTGATTCCTGGAGCTGCTGCCTCTGCCAGAGGGCCGGCCTCCCTGCCCCGCCCCGCCCCGCCTCGCCGACCGCCGGCCCTGGTGCCCAGCTGCAGTTTAATGCCGTCTGTGGGACTCTGAATTTCCCAAGGAAGGCTCAAGCGCCGCCTGGAAACCCCGAACCAGGTGGACGTGGGCAACGTGGACTTTCTGACCTCAACTGCGCCTGCTCATGCAAAAGCTGAAGTTTTTTATTTTTTTTGAGATGGAGTCTCGCTCTGTTCCCCAGGCTGGAGTGCAATGACACAACCTCGGATAACTGTAACCTCCGCCTCCAGGGTTCAAGCAGTTCTACTGCCTCCAAGCCATTCTCCTGCCTCAGCCTCCCCAGTAGCTGGGAATACAGGCGCCCGCCACCATGTCCAGCTAATTTTTGTATTTTTAGTAGAGACGGGGTTTCACCATGTTGGCCAGGATGGTCTCGATCTTCTGACCTCGTGATCCTCCTGCCTCGGCCTCCCACAGTACTGGGATTACAGGCGTGAGCCACCATAATCCTGGCCGTGAGCCTGGCCAAGGCTGAAGTTTTAGGAGGAAAGGAATCTGTGAGCGCAGTGGACATTCGGATGGGAATGTTTCTTGGCCTCGGGGGAGGGAGAGAGGAACAGGAGCTCAGCCCCCTTCTCCTGTCCCGATGATGCCTCCTGACCCAGCGCGGGAGGGCCTCTCTAGAACACGCCAGAGGTGGCCATGTGGACTCTCCTCCAATGACCTGGACCAGGCACTCTACCTAAAAGGACAAACCCAGGCCTGGCTGTCGGGGGCAGGGTCCCAGGGGCCACAGACGCGGATGTCCTGCTCAGTGACCAGGGTGGCACGGACAGGTGTCCAGGCAGCGAGGCGGGGCCAGCACAGGGGCCAGGACACCTCCTGGGAAGAAGCTGACCCAGAGCCTGAGTAGGGGAGCCCACTGGGGAGGGCTGAGCTGGGGCCTCTTGTGGAGCTGGCCTTGTTGACAGAGCTGGACACGAACCATGTAAGGGCAGATGCCTAAAGCAGCACAGAAAGGATGGGGGGATGTGGCCATTCCAGGAAGCGCCAGGCTGTTCCAGGGGGTGCTGTGTCTGTTCTGGGGGGGCTGTGTCTGTTCCAGGAGCACCAGGCTGTTCCAGGGGGCACCGAGGCTGTTCCAGGGGGCACCGAGGCTGTTCCAGGGGGCATCGAGGCTGTTCTGTGGGGGGGCGCCGTGTCTGTTCCAGGGAGGGCCATTAGTGTTCCAGGGGGCACCGAGGCTGTTCCAGGGAGGACCATTAGTGTTCCAGCGGGCACCATGTCTGTTCTGGCGGGGGGCCGTATCTGTTCCAGGGAGGGCCATTAGTGTTCCAGGGGGTGCTGAGGCTGTTCCAGGGGGCACCGAGGCTGTTCTCGGTGGGGGTGCCGTGTCTGTTCCAGGGAGGGCCATTAGTGTTCCAGGGGGTGCTGAGGCTGTTCCAGGGGGCACCGAGGCTGTTCTCGGTGGGGGTGCCGTGTCTGTTCCAGGGAGGGCCATTAGTGTTCCAGGGGGCGCCGAGGCTGTTCCAGGGGCCCTGCTAGCTGGGGTGTTGCACTTTGAAAACATCCCACTCTGCTTAGGTGGAGAAGAGGCTGTAGAAGCCTGTGGGTGCCTGTGCAGGGAGAGTCAGCTCTGTGCTGAGGCGAACCCAGGGTCCCATGCGCTCCCCGGCCCTGACGGCGGTCTCCAGGGGAGGTAACAGGGCCTCATCCCACACAGGTGCAGGCCCGGGGCCCGCAGATGGCCTCAGAGGAGGCGGTGGATGAACGGAAGGGTGAGGGGGTCTGGGCCCATCCCCAGAGGGGCAGGTGTGTGGTCAGGGCCCCACAGGACAGCCAGGGTTGTGCCTGCTGAGGGGGCCACATCCACACCAAGCCCCGCCCAGCTCAGAGGTGGCCCCTCCCCGAGCACACGCTGACCTGGCTACATCAGGGAAGGCGACATGCCCGGAGGTGCCCCCACAGCCCTCAGCACCCACTGGGACACAGAAGAGGAAGGCAGAGAGGAAGCCCCTGGAGGGGTCCAAGGCCCGAGGAGGCAACTGCGTGGGATAGGGAAACTGAGGCAGAGAGCCTCAGCTGCTGCCATGTGGGAGCAGGGCTTTCACAGAGGGGAGGGCCATGGCCCTGCCCCATGGAGGGGCTGCCAGGCAGGGCATGTGTAGGGTGGAACTGGGCAAAGGCCAGGGGGCGGTGAGTGAAAAGGCAGTAAACCCACAACAAACTGAGGGCCTGCAGCCCAGGGCGAGGCGGCTGGGCCAGGGCCTTACAGCTCTCACTGCTGTTTACAAGGACTGCAGGGTGAAGGATGTGAAGGGGCCCCGGCACCCCCTTCTCACCCTCTGCCCACAAAGCCATGGCCCCGGACAGCTCCCACTGGGGCCGAGCCCCTGCCAGGAGGCTTCCCGCCCCAGCCCGTCCCCGGCACAGAGAGCAGCTGAGGCTCGGGCTGACCCCTCTGGCACTAGGCAGCTCCACTCCTTCCCAGCCGCCGCTTCCCTAACCCCAGCCTCCCAGCCTCCATTTCCCTAACCCTGGCCTCCCAGCCTCTGCTTCCCTAACCCCAGCCTCCCAGCCTCCGCTTCCCTAACCCCGGCCTCCCAGCCTCCGCTTCCCTAACCCCGGCCTCCCAGCCTCCGCTTCCCTAACCCCGGCCTCCCAGCCTCCGCTTCCCTAACCCCGGCCTCCCAGCCTCCGCTTCCCTAACCCCGGCCTCCCAGCCTCCGCTTCCCTAACCCCGGCCTCCCAGCCTCCGCTTCCCTAACCCCGGCCTCCCAGCCTCCGCTTCCCTAACCCCGGCCTCCCAGCCTCCGCTTCCCTAAGCCCGGCCTCCCAGCCTCCGCTTCCCTAACCCCGGCCTCCCAGCCTCCGCTTCCCTAACCCCGGCCTCCCAGCCTCCGCTTCCCTAACCCCGGCCTCCCAGCCTCCGCTTCCCTAATCCCGGCCTTCCAGCCTCCGCTTCCCTAACCCTGGCCCAGTCTTCAGCTTGCAGGGTCTCGATCTGTAGGAACAGGAGGGAGAGAGGCTGCACCTCCCCTCGGGCTGTTTATCCTCAGCACTGAATCTGGCAGGGCAGCCGAGCGAGCGGGGATGCGGCCTCCCCGGCTTTGCCCACAGGGAAGGTGCCTCTCATTTCTCTTTTTTAACCTGAAAAAGCTGCTGGGAGGGCAGATGTTCTTCTTAACTCGAAGGGATGAAAAATGCCTCAGTTTAAAAAACTAGGGACCCTGGAGGCCACCCTGGAACCGCCCGAGACCCAAGAGGCTGTGGGTTCCCTGAGCCCCCAGTGGCGGCGCTAAGCCCCCAAGGGTGTTCCGGGCCCTCCGCCTGGCTCCCCGAGGGACAGAGGGGACCAGAGCTCCCACCTCTGCGGCCAGCCCTGAGCAGCTGCACTGTCCCCGCCACCTCCCCCGGATCCTGTCACAGGCCCGGCGCCAGGCCACCCACGCTGGGGCCCAAGGAGGCGGCCTGTCCTGACCCCCGAGGACAACAAGGCCACAGTGGGGCCTCCGGACTCACAAGGTCCCAAGCCGTGGACACTGTAGAGAGGCCCGCAGCTAGGGGCCAGCAGCCTGGCCCTCGTCACTGAGTACACAGTGGGCGCCACCACCCCCCATGCACACCCACGCACCTCCCCCCACAGCCCCAGGGAGACTCGGCACCATCAGGCTCAGACTCACCCATGCGGTGGCGCTCGCCAGCGGCAGGGTCACCAGCGGGATCTCCTGGGTCCATCCTCAGGGCCGGGCCGAGGACGCTGGCAGGCAGCTAGGAACGAGGATCTGCAGAAACAGACAATCAGGTGAATGCAGAGCCCACTGCAACAGGCAGCCATGCAGAGCCCACGCCCACAGCCCCTGGAGGTGGTGGAGGGAGCTGGTGCCTGGGGGGGCCCAAGTGGGACCCCCAGTCGCTGAGCATAGCGGGCAGCTCCACACTCCTCTCCCAGCTGGGGTGACGGCTGCCAAGTTTGGACCCTGCATTCCAGTTCCCTGCCAAACCGTCCCAGCTTTCAGCAGGGAGGGCAGGGGGTGGGAGGGGCCCTGGGGGGGGGCACAGTAGACAGACCCTCGCGGGAGTGCAGAGGGGCCTGTTCTTGAGGACAGCGTGACCCCCCTTGCCATGTCCCCCTCAGGCTGTGTGTCCTGCCCTGAGGGAGCCACATGGGAGAGAGGTGCTCTCCTCCAGAGGGCAAGGGCGCCTGCAGGACCAGGGACCTCGGAGTGACGCCCTCACGGCTGACCCAGTACGCAGCTCCGTAAGACTCCAGGCGGCCGCTGACAGCTCTCATCCCAGGCAGACCTCAGTCTCCCTCAGAGTGTTTTTTTTTCTTTTCTTTCTTTCTTTCTTTTTTTTTTTTTTGGAGACAGAGTCTCTCTGCAATGCCCAGGCTGGAGTGCAGTGGGGCCATCTCAGCTCACTGCAACCTCCGCCTTCCGGGTTCAAGCGATTCTCCTGCCTCAGCCTCCCGAGTAGCTGGGATGACAGGCATGCGCCATCACGCCTGGCTAATTTTTGTATTTTTAGTGGAGATGGGGTTTCCCCATGTTGGTCAGGCTGGTATCGAACTCCTGACCTCAGGTGATCCACCCGCCTCAGCCTCCCAAAGTGCTGGGACTACAGGCGTGAGCCACCGCGCCTGGCCCCTGGGAGTGTTTTTGATGCAAAACCCTTATCTACACTTACGAGGGTCACCCTTCTCCTTCAGTCTGCTTACGCAAGGCTGCATAAAAAGGCTTTCTCTGAGTGCATAGCTTTAGTTTGAATCACACACAGCAGTTACACAAAGCTCAGCATGTGAACTCCGAATCCTAACACAGGCGTGCAGGAGAGAGCTGTGCCGCCCTCCCCCAGGCAGCCCTCACGGTGGCCATTCCCGGGGAGACGGACCTGTGTGTGTTTCTCAGCCACACGCGGCACAGTCACTTAGAGGCCTTCAGTTTTACACATTACTGACAGCTCCGCCCAGGCAGGGTAAGAATCTGTCTCACCTGTCGGCCAACACGCACCCCTAAACACACAACAACACAACCTCCTGAAAAAAGTTACGTGGACATCGTCTGTGGACTCAGGACGGACAGAGGCCGTTCCCAGCCGCGTCACATGGAGGTTAGGATGCCTTTTCCTTTCTCACGCAGGCTGCTCCAGACTCCTGCTCCACCGTCGGGGAGGGACTGTGGCTCTCCCACTGCAAACGACGTAAAACTGGATGATATATCTTAGGAAACCAGTTTCTGGGCAACAGGCAGTGTGAGGCCACGTTTCCCGACAGCAGTCAGTGCCCAAGGCAGCCCCAGGACAGCTGCTCCCCACGCTGGAGCCTGGGCTGGGCACAGTGTCCCACCATGCCGAGGGGGCCACTGGGGGACACACACCTGCAGGAGGGGCTGCTGGGGCAGTGAGTGTGTGGGCAGGAGGACCCCCGAGCCTCCCAGGACCCGCGGCCCCAGGGCTGAGAATACAGTGGAGACACCAGAGGCCACACAGCGCCTGACACACTGCAGTCCAGGCCAGCCAAGAGGAAGGACCCCATCAACACACAACCAGGACCAGACGGCCACAGCCGAAGACCATGCTGAGAGGAAGGCCTGCTCCAGAGCCTCTCGCCAGATCCAGACCAAGCCCACGAAAGCCGGAGGACAGATCCAGACCAAGCCCGTGAAAGCTGGAGAAGGTTGAGTCCCACCCAGCTTAGGAGGCTTGAGAAAGGCCCTAGGCTCTCCGAAGAGCCCCTGACAAAACATCAAGACACAACCCCAAGTTCAAGGGACTCAGCCAGAAGCTGAACAGCCCACCGGAGCGAAAAACAATGCTCTTCAGAGGATGATACCTAAATCCAGAGTTTCCACAATGGATAATTCACGAAACTCAGCACGTAATAAAAATCACAAGACCTAAAAAGAAACAAGGAAATATGACCCATAAACAAGTGGAAAAACACAAAAAACAGAGAACAGAAAGCAACTTCGAGGAAGGCCTCAAAGTTATTGGTGTTAGCAAAGACTTTAACACAACGATTTCAACTGCGTTCACAGAATGAACAGAAAACATGTTCAAACAGTTCAAGGAGGCCGAGTGCAGTGTGGGAGGCTGAGGCGGGAGGATCACTTGAGCCCAGGAGTTTGAGACCATCCTAGGCAACATGGTCAAACTGTACAAAAAAATTAAAAAGTAGCCGGGTGTGGTGGCTCACGCCTTTGGTTCCAGCTACTCAGCAAGCGGAGGCAGAAGAGTCGCTGGAAGCCCAGAGATCAAGGCTGCAGTGAGCCGAGATCGCACCACTGCCTTCCAACCTGCATGACAGAGCGAGACCCTGTCTCAAGAAAACCCCAAAAAACCATGAATAAAGTTAAAAAATATGGTTTTAATGAGTAAAAGGAGAGAAATGAAGATTATATGAAACTACATAAAAGAGCTAAATGGAAACTCGGCAATAAAAAGTGTCATCACTGAAATGTGTTTGACTCAGTGGCTGTGCTTCACAGCAGGTGGATGGCAGATGAGTCAGTGAATCTGAAAACAGATCAAAGAAGGACCAGATTGAAAGAACGAGGGGGAAAGACAGAAGGAACTGTGGCTCCACGGTCCACAGCCGGGCGCCCTCTGTTCCCCTGGTGAACGGCCCCGTCTGCAGCACTGCACGCCTGGCTCTGGGGTTCACACGCTTTGTGGAGACACCCATTCCCCAGCCTCTGCCTGCCTCCGTCTGGATGGCTGCACTGCAGCCCTGCTCACCCTGGACCCCCTTCCCTCTTGTCCCCTGTGCTCCCCGAAGTTCACCTCCTAGTTCTAAGGGAGCACCTTTTCCAGGAGCACCTCAGGCAGAACCGCAAGGGAGGAGCACTGAGTAGCCCTTTGCTTGTCTGAGAACGTCCCCATGACACATGTGCACCCATGTCCCCAAGACACACAGGCAACCGCGTCCCCAAGACACACAGGCAACCGCGTCCCCAAGACACACAGGCAACCGCGTCCCCAAGACACACTGGCACCCGCGTCCCCAAGACACACAGGCACCCGCGTCCCCAAGACACACAGGCGACCGCGTCCCCAAGACACACAGGCACCCACGTCCCCGTGACACACGTGCACCCGCATCCCCAAGACACACAGGCACCCGCGTCCCCGAGACACACAGGCACCCGCGTCCCCGTGACACACAGGCACCCGCGTCCCCGTGACACACAGGCACCCGCGTCCCCGTGACACACGTGCACCCGCATCCCCAAGACACACAGGCACCCGCGTCCCCGTGACACACATGCACCCGCGTCCCCAAGACACACAGGCAACCGCGTCTCCGTGACACATGTGCACCCGCGTCCCCAAGACACATCCCCAAGACACACAGGCAACCATGTCCCCGTGACACGCGTCCAACATCCTCGTAACACGTGCACACCGACATCCCCGTGACATACACAGACTGTCCCTGTGGCACAGGCGCATCCACGTCCCCATGACACACGCACACTGCACCTCCACTGGAAGCCTGGCTGTGCGTGGCTGTGGGGCAGGGGTCATTCTCCTGACGGTCATGGTAACGCCCCTCTACTGTCTTCTAGCCTCAGGGGTTGCTGAGAAATCTGATGCCCCCTGACTCGAGTGCCAGCATCTTCTGGGGAGACCCCGGGGCCGTGGCCGGATCCCAGCAGGACGGACATGGTGTGGTCCCCTGGGGGCTCCGTGGCCACCCTTCTGCATGTGGCTTCCCGATGGTGTCCTGCCCTCCACGCCCTCAGTTCTGTCCTCAGGAACTCCTGCTGTTTAGAACTTACACTTCCTGAGAATTACTTTGTCTTCTCATCTTTCCTTCTCTGCCTTTTTGGGAGATTTCCTGAACTTTATTTTGCAACCCTCTCACTGAAAGGTTCATTTCTGCTATCACAAATTTAATACTATCCACGAGTTCTGGTTTTCTGAAGCTTTTTACAAGGGTCTCCTCTCTTATTCCTGGCTTCTCTTCCTAACCCCCATATTAGTTCATTTTCACGCTGCTGATAAAGACATACCTGAAACTGGGAACAAAAAGAGGTTTAATTGGACTTATGGTTCCACATGGCTGGGGAGGCTTCAGAATCATGGTGGGAGGCGAAAGGCGCTTCTTACATGGTGGTGGCAAGAGAAAATGAGAGCCGGGTACAGTGGCTCACTCCTGTAATGCCAGCACTTTGGGAGGCTGAGGCGGGCAGTTCACCTGAGGTCAGGAGTTCATGACCAGCCTGCCAACATGGCGAAACCCTGTCTTTACTAAAAATACAAAAAGCAGCCAGGCGTGGTGGTGGTGCCTCCCAGGTACTCAGGAGGCGGAGAAAGGCGAATCACTTGAACCTGGGAACAGGGGTTGCAGTGAGCTGAGACTGCACCATTGCACTCCAGCCTGGGTGACAGAGCAGAACTCCATCTCAAAAAAAAAAAAAAAAAAAGAAAATGAGGAAGAAGCAAAAGAGGAAACCTCTGATAAACCCGTCAGATCTCATGAGACTTACTCACTATCAGAAGAATAGCATGGGAAAAACTGGCCCCCATGATGTAATTACTCCCCCTGGGTCCCTCCCATAACGTGGGAATTCTGGGAGATACAATTCGGGTTGAGATTTGGGTGGGGACACAGCCAAACCACATCATTCCGTCCCGGCCCCTCCAAATCTCACGTCCTCACATTTCAAAACCAATCATGCCTTCCCAACAGTCCCTCAAAGTCTCAACTGATTTCAGCATTAACCCAAAAGTCCACAGTCCAAAGTCTGATCTGAGACAAGGCAAGTCTCTTCCGCCTATGAGCCTGTAAAATCAAAAGCAAGTTAGTTACTTCCTAGATACAATGGGGGTACAGGTATTCAGTACATACAGCCATTCTGGGCCGGGCATGGTGGCTCATTCTTATAATCCCAGCACTTTGGGAGGCCGAGGAGGGTGGATCACCTGAGGTCGGGAGTTTGAGACCAGCCTGACCAACATGGAGAAACCCTGTCTCTACTACAAATACAAAATTAGCCGGGCGTGGTGGCACCCACCTATAGTCCCAGCTACTTGGGAGGCTGAGGCAGGAGAATCACTCGAACCTGGGAGGTGGAGGTTGCAATGAGCCGAGATCGCGCCATTGCACTCCAGCCTGGGCAACAGAGCGAGACTCCATCTCAAAAAAAAAAAAAAGTTCCAAATGGGAGAAATTGGACAAAACAAAGGGATTACAGGGCCCACGCAAGTCTGAAATCCAGAAGGGCAGTCAAATTTTAAAGCTCCAAAATGATCTCCTTTGACTCCAGGTCTCACATCCAGGTCATGCTGATGCAAGAGGTGGGTTCCCATGGTCTTGGGCAGCTCCACCCCTGTGACTCTGCATGGTACAGCCTCCCTCCCAGCTGCTTTCACAGGTGGTGTTGAGTGTCTGCTGCTTTTCCAGGCACATGGTGCAGGCTGTCGGTGGATCTACCATTCTGGCATCTGGATGACAGTGGCCTGCTTCTCACAGTCCCACTAGGCAGTGTCCCAGTAGGGACTCTGTGTGGGGGCTCCCACCCATTTCCTTTTTTTTTTTTTTTTTTTGAGATGGTGTCTCACTCTGTTGCCCAGGCTGGAGTGCAGTGGCGCGATCTCAGCTCACTGCAAGCTCCACCTCCCGGGTTCACACCATTCTCCTGCCTCAGCCTCCCAAGTAGCTGGGACAACAGATGCCCGCCACCACACCCGACTAAATATTTTTGTATTTTTAGTAGAGACGGGGTTTCACCGTGTTAGCCAGGATGGTCTTGATCTCCTGACCTTGTGATCTGCCTGCCTCGGCCTCCCAAAGTGCTGGGATTACAGGTGTGAGCCACCGTGCCCGGCCCCCACCCATTTCCCTTCTGCACTGCCCTAGCAGAGGTTCTCCATGAGGGCCCCGCCCCACAGCAAACTTTTGCCTGGACATTTAGGCATTTCCAAACATCTTCTGAAATGTAGGCAGAGGTTCCCAAACCTCATTTCCTGACTTCTGTGGACCCACAAGCTCAACACCACGTGGAAGCTGCCAAGGCTTGGGGCTTCCACCCTCTGAAGCCACAGCCCGAGCTCTATGTTGGCCTCTTTCAGCCACGGCTGGAGTGTCTGGGACATGGGGCACCAAGTCCCTAGACTGCACACAGCACAGGGACCCTGGGCCCAGCCCACAAAACCACTTTTTCCTCCCGGGCCTCCAGGCCTATGATGGGAGGGGCTGCCATGAAGGTCTCTGACATGACCTGGAGACATTTTCCCCATGGTCTTGGGGATGAACATTAGCCTCCTTGCTACTTATGTAAATTTCTGCAGCCGGCTTGAATTTCTCCTGAAAAAATTGGTTTTTCTTTTCTACTGCGTCAGGTTGCACATTTTCTGAATTTTTATGCTGTTTCCCTTTTTAAACATAATTCTTTTTTAGTTTTGTTTTTGAGATGGAGTCTTGCTCCGTCACCAGACTGGAGTGCAGTGGTGTGATCTCGGCTCACTGCAACCTCTGCCTTTCTGGTTCAAGTGATTCTCTTGCCTCAGCCTCCTGAGTAGCTGGGATTACAGGTGCGTGCCACCACGCCCGGCTAATTTTTGTATTTTTAGTAGAGATGTGGTTTCACCATATTGGTCAGGCCGGTCTTGAACTCCTGACCTCGTGATCCGCCCGTCTCAGCCTCCCAAAGTGTGGGGATTACAGGTGTGAGCCATTGTGCCTGGTCCCAGAATGCTTTTAACAGCATCCAAGTCAGCTTTTGAATGCTTTGCTGCTTAGAGATTTCTTCCACCAGATACCCTAAATCATCTCTCTCTCAAGGTCAAAGTTCCATAAATCTCTAGGACAGGCACAAAATGCTGCCAGTCTCTTTGCTAAAAGATAACAAGAGTCACCTTTGCTTCAGTTCTCAACAAGTTCCCCATCTCCATTTGAGACCATCTCAGCCTGGACATTATTGTTCATAACACTATCAGCATTTTTGTCAAAGCTATTCAACAAGTCTCTAGGAGGTTCCAAACCTTCCCACATCTTCTTGTCTTCTGAGCCCTCCAAACTGTTCCAACCTCTGCCTGTTACCCAGTTCCAAGTCGCTTCCACATTTTTGGGTATCTTTTCAGCAATACCCCACTCCACTGGTACCAATTTACTGCGTTAGCCCGTTTTCACGCTGCTGATAAACACATACCTGAGACTCAGAACAAAAACAAGTTTAATTGGACTCACATTTCCACATGGCTGGGGAGGCCTCAGAATCACGGTGGAAGGCGAAAGGCACTTCTTACATGGTGGCAGCAAGAGAAAATGAGGAACCAAAAGTGGAAACCCTGATAAAGCCATCAGATCTCGTGAGTCATATTCACTACCATGAGAACAGCATGGGAAAGACCGGCCCCAGGATTCAATTACTGCCCCCTGGGTCCCTCCCACAACAGGTGGGAATTCTGGGAGATACAATTCAAGTTGAGATGTGGGTGAGGACACAGCCAAAGCATATCACCCGCCACGGGAGACCCTGTGGCTCGGCTTGGCTCATTTCCTGCAGGATCCCCGGCGCTGACCCCTCTCCCCTCCATGGCAGTGTGGGGACTGCTATGCATATCTGAAAGTGAGGCACTAGTCATCTGCTTGGAAATGGGTTGGGGGCACCCCAGGAGTGGGGCCCCACTGTGAGTGACCTGAGGGGCCCCAGAAGATGCAGACCCGAACGCGTCTCCTCCCGGCTGGTCTGTCCAGGAAAAAGCCCTCCCAGCCGCACCTGCCAGCCACTGAGTTTGGGGGCACAGGCAGGGAGCTGCAGACCCCGTTCCTCTGTAGCCCTCCCCACCCCCAGCCCAGCAGCAGCAGCAGCCAGCACACCCTGGCCCAGGGTCTCCGAGGGTCGGGGGCCGCAGGGTCTGGCAGCACCCCATGAAGGCCGCCCCAGGTCCGTTTCAGCCCTCCAGACGCCCGTACCCAGGAAACCTGGGCCTCCATTCCCGAGCCCCCCAGTTTTCGCCTCTCTCCTTCTCTTTGCCCCTAAGGGGTTTTGCCTTTTTAATTCTTTTGCTGTCACCTTAATTGGCCTTGGGGGAGATGGACCAGCAGGCCCGAGATCCAGGGTCTTAGGGCTCCTCCCAGCAGGGCAGACCCAGCCACGCAGAGCCCACCGCCAGCTTCCAAGGGCTCCAGAAAGTGGTCGCTGCCCTTCTCAGAAGGCCCTCTCCACCATGCCCAGAACCGTGGATGCCCCAGCCTGGGCTCTTCACCAGGAAATGAAGGGGAAGACAGACCTGTGGGATAGGGATGGGTCCCGAGGCGGGGCAGTCACACCCCCACGCCATCTCTGCATAGACCCCGAAGGATGTGGAGTGTCCTCCAGGGCCGTACAAAGCACCACACACAGGGCGCGAGTGACAGGGACGTGTGTCCTCACTGTCCCGAGGCTGCAGCTCTGAGACTGGGTGGGGAGGGTGGGCCCCACTCCCTGGGTCTCCTCCCTGGGTCCTCACGGGTCCCCCCATGTGCGTCTGTGTCCTGATCTCCCCTTCTTGTGGTGACACCAGTCCTACTGGATTAGGGCCCACCCCAACGACCTCATTTTACCTCTGCCAAGACCCCATCTCCAAATACAGTGACATGGCGCCTAGGGCTTCAACATGGGAATTTGGGGGGAAACAACTCAGCCCACAGCAGATCGCGGGTCCTTCCCCAACAGAGGCAGAGGCTCCCCACGCCAGCTCTTGGGGAAGGGTCAGGGAGCCCACAAGGCCTCTGCACACTATTCCCTCCGCCTTCATGAAAGAGGCGTGCCCATCTCCCAGATGAGAAAACTGAGCTCAGCCAGGATCAAAGCAGGTCTCGTCCCAGTCTCCTCACTCTACCACTCTCCACTTTTATTTGCTTTTTATTGCCTCAGCTGCCTATAAAGGCAATTATGCATGTAATACAATATTTGGAAAACTACATTTGCAAATTCTGAAAAATCATGCAAAAAAAATCACTAAAAGCCGGCCAGGCGCGGTGGCTCATGCCTATAATCCCAGCACTTTGGGAGGCCAAGGCCGGAGGATCACCTGAGGTCGGGAGTTCGAGACCAGCCTGACCAACATGGAGAAACCCCATTTCTACTAAAAATATAAAATTAGCTGGGCGTGGTGGCACATGCCTCTAATCTCAGCTACTTGGGAGGCTGAGGCAGGAGAAATGCTTGAACCCGGGAGGCAGAGGTTGCAGTGAGCCAAGGTCGCACCATTGCACTCCAGCCTGGGCAACAAGAGTGAAGCTCTGTCTTAAAAAAAAAAAAATCACTAAAAGCCACAGTCCCCTCCTGGCCACGCCTGTCTCCTCCTTGCTCCCAGTGCCACCTCATCTGCCTCAGCCCCTACCTATCCCCTCAGAGCTGTTGCCACAGCCCTCCCAGGTGCTCGAGGGGACACAGTGCTATCCCCCAGGCGAGCCGGGTGCTGGGAGGGGACACGTGCTGTCTCACAGGTGAGCCAGGGGCTGGGAGGGGACACAGTGCTTTCCCACAGGTGAGCCAGTGGCCATTCCCAAATTCCCAGGGCCTCTGCCAGCGGGTGTCCAAAGACCCTACTTGGGAGCCCCGCACATCCGCACATCCCACCCTTGGACCTCCTAACTGCGCTGGGGTCCGGCACAGTGGGCTCTGACCCACAGAGGGCTGGGCCAGCACCCCCGGGGGAAGGCGGTGGGCACCCAGGGCCAGAGCAGGGGCCAGAGCCCCAACCCCCGCTGCTTCCCCAACTGCTCCCTGGGGACCCCTGGACCACAGGACCAACGGGGGCAGGGTGGGCCCCCCACACAGGTCCTGGACTCATTCGTGCTGGTGTCCGTGGCCCAAGGATTTGCAGAGCCGCGGACGGAGCCCAGGGCGGCCGTCGCAGGCCACTCACCCGTCCCCAGCCACTCACCCGTCCCCAGCATCCACAGTTTCTCAGGCTCTCAACAATAAACTTTACGTCTCATGGTTCAAGAAATGCCAGGCTCTGGGCTGAGAGGCAGAAGGCTCAGGCACAGCTCCCACTCTGTAAGGCAGCAGAAGCCACCATTTCTCTCTATTGTTGGTTTCCTCCCTGGATCTTCTGCTGAAAGCACATTTGATTTTCTTACATCACATTGAAGTAGATCAAGTTCCTGATAAATGTTAGAGTTAGCCTGACTCAGCATGAGCCTGGCTTCTCCTGCCGGCCGGCACAGGGGTGGGTACCATGCACATGGTCTCCCCGCCCTGCCTACCATCTGCTGCCCTGGAACCCTTGGTGGGACCCGCTGCCCACAGACACCTTGCCCGTGCCCCAATGCCAGGCAGAGGCCTCTGTGCTCTGAAGAGTGAATAAAACGTGAAACTGGCTGGGCACGGTGGCTCACGCCTGTAATCCCAGCCTTGTGGGAGGCCGAGGCGGGAGGATCACTTGAGCTCAGGAGTTTGAGACCAGCCTGGGCAACATAGTGAGACCCCATCCTATGAAAAAAAAAATCAGCTGGGCGTGGTAACATGCACCTGTAGTCCCAGCTACTCAGGAGGCTGAGGTGGGAGGACCGCTTGAGCCCAGGAGGTCAAGGCTGCGGTGACCCAAGATTGGGCCACTGCATTCTAGCCTGGGTGACAGAGCAAGACCCTGTTTCCAAAAAAGAAAAAGAAAAGAAAGAAAAGAAAAGAAAAGGAAAGGAAAAGAAAGAAAATAAAAGGCAAGGAAAAAGGAAAAAAAAAAGAAAAAGAAAAGAAAAAGAAAAAGAAAAGAAAGAAAAATGAGGCCCCTGCACAGAACCAGGGTGGCTGGCAGCAAGTTATCTGGAGCTGAGAGCTGGGGGCTGAGTGCAGCCAGGGCGGGGTGAGCCTCGTGACACCCCCATCGCACAGGGAGGCCCTGACAGGAGGCCGCT
Organism: Homo sapiens; assembly: GCF_000001405.40. Lineage (NCBI taxonomy): Eukaryota > Metazoa > Chordata > Mammalia > Primates > Hominidae > Homo > Homo sapiens. The sequence goes on from NC_000009.12 coordinate 137,406,474, forward strand.
CCACCTCTGTTTGTCTTGTCCCAAACGGCAGAGGCGACGGCTGCTCTTGGCCAACACTCCTGCCCCTGGCGTGCCCCGTGGCCGTCTGGAGGGTGGACTTGGCTTCCTGCACCAACGCACCCCTCGACCCCCAGACGGCAGCGGCATTAGTGGCGCTGATGGTGTCTGATGAGCAAATGAATAAAGGCAGCAGGTCCCCCACCACCACCTCCATTCCCACGGGCACTCCCAGCGGCTTCTGGAAACTTCCCTGGGCTCTCAGTACTCCCCCGGCCACAGCCTCAGTGGGCGGTAGACCCTCTCCCCAGCCCTCCTCTGGGGTGTCTGTGTCCCGACCCCCACCCCAGGCCGCTCCTCAGCCCCCACCCCTCCCTTCCAGGAGTGCAGCCCGTCCCCCCTCAGCAGGCTGGGGACGGCCTTGCGCGCTGCGGGGACCCGACGGGGCAGCCCCAGCCAGGCCGTCAGGCTCCGAGAGAGGTGCGGAGCCAACACTGCCTCCCAGCGTCCCAGGGTCCTGTGACCGGGAAGGCCCCGCATCTGCTGCACCCGGAGTGGTGGAGGCCAGAACGCTCGCCAGCAAACCCGCCCGTTCACAGAGGCACCGGAGCGGGCGGGCGGGGGCGGCCTGCGGAGCAGCCAGTCCCGGGCACCCCACGCCGACCGCCGCGCGTCCGGGCCGGTCTCTGGGCCCCTCTGCTGGTGGAACCCGGCAGCGCCTCCTCCGTCTCAGCCGCGTCGGTCCCAGGCGCCTCCCCTACCCGCACGCCCAGGCTGGGTCTCCGTTTCCCACCAGGCCAGCGCTGCAGGCAGAGCCCAGCCCGGCGGCCGCGGCGAACACGGGGCGGCCCCTCCACCTCTGTCCGCCTGCCCTAAATACCGCAGAGGTGACTGCTCCCCCGCGAAGCCCACCCACCTGAGGTCCTGGCCCCCAAGGGGCCATCTGCCCCCGGCTCACCGCAGGCCCTTTCCTGGGGGCCTCTGTGCCGTGCAAAGGGCAGGTCTGGCCGCTCTCGGGCTCTGCCCTGCCAGCCCCACAACCCAGAACCCAGCGTCCCCGCCCCCATCTCCCGGGATCCCTTGGCTAAGGGAGGGTGACTGGTGGCCCGCAGGCCCTTCAGAGGGTCCCTGACAGGGAAGGATGGAGACGCAGCTCCAGACCCCAGAGTGCGGCCCCCCAGACACACCCACGGCCGTCCACCATCCAAGCATAAACCCCAACGCAGCGGCTCCTGGCCTGGTTCTGAAGACGGCCCAGCTGGAGTGGGAGAAGTGCCCAGTGCTTCCGTCACTGGAGCCCACGGGTCCACAGGCATTCGAGGTCTTGGATGCGCCGGCTGGACCCAAGGACACACGCGGGAGGCGGGAGGCGGGAGGGGCACAGCAAAGGGTCTGGGGGGAGGCCGGAGGGGGCTTTCCCCTTGGGCACCATGGACACCCCAGGCCCCGCAGCACACAAATGCGGAGCCTCAAGCCTCCAGGGGTTTTCCAGCCTCACGCCTCCGGGGGTCTCCCCAGCCTCATGCCTCTGGGGATCTCCCACCCTCATGCCTCCTGTGGTCTCCCAGCCTCAGGCCTCCAAGGGTCTCCCTGGCCCAACCTCCTTGCTGTGTCTCCAGAAAGCTCTGAAGCCCAGCCCCTCCTCCTCACGTTCGACTGCGCTGCGTGGGTGTTTTACTAAAACCCAACAGTGACTCTTCCTCTGGGCGCCTGGATGTGTCTCCTCCAACATTTGGCCGGCCCTGCACGTGCCCCAAAGCTCCCAAGGGGCTTTTAAGAGGGCTTTGGGGTGGGGGGGCCGGGCATGGTCGCTCACGCCTGTAATCCCAGCACTTTGGGAAGCTGAGGCGGGAGGATCACGAGGTCAGGAGATCGAGACCATCCTGGTTAACACGGTGAAACCCCGTCTCTACTAAAAATATAAAAATTTGCCGGGCGTGGTGGCGGGCGCCTGTAGTCCCAGCTACTCCGGAGGCTGAGGCAGGTGAATGGCGTGAACCCGGGAGGTGGAGCTTGCAGTGAGCCGAGATCGCACCACTACACTCCAGCCTGGGCGATAGAGTGAGACTCTGCCTCAAAAAAAAAAAAAAAAAAAGAGGGCTCTGGGGGAGACAGCAGCCCCTACGGCCCCCACACCTCCCCCCAGCTGCTCAGCAAGGCCCTCCAGGGACGTCCAGCACAGCTGAACCGGCCCCTCAGACCAATGGTAACCCCAAATCTGAGACTGGGGGCCTTTTATCTGCGTCCCTTGAGTGGGCTGTGAGTTCCAAGATCCTCTTTAAAAAAGGTGGAGCCTCGAGCCAATCGGAATGGACAGACCCACCCTGTACAGGGAAGCCAGGCCAGCGGGCGCACAGGCCCAGGACCCGGGCGCAGCTTGTCTCTCACCATCAGGCTGGGTCAGCCCCTCTCCACAAGTCTGCAGGGCTGTTTTTATCCCTGAGCTCAGGATGAACTTGTACAAGGCCCCGATGGCACTCACTTTGCTGATCAGCCTGGGAAGGGGGCAGTCGGCCTGTCCCTTCTGTGGGAGGGCGGCTGCTATAATTTAAAGTGTGTCCCTCTGAAACACGCTGGAATTCCATCACCATGCTGCGGCGTTTCAAGGTGGGGCCTTGGGACGTGCCCGGGGGGTGAGGATCCTGCCCCACTGGAGGGATTAATCCATTCATGGATTCCTGGGTTATCACGGGAGTGGAACTGGTGGCTTTATAAGAGGAGGAGGAGAGGCCTGAGGCCTGAGCCCGCATGCTGGGCCCTCACCATGGCTGCCCCGAGCCGCCTCAGGACCCTTCGGAGTCCCACCAGCATGAATACCTCCTCATTCAGAATCCCGCCAGCATGAACGCCTCCTCGGATGCTCCCCTCACCCTTAGACTTAGCCTCCAGAGCTGTAAGAAATAAATTCCTTTTCTTTATAAATTACCCAGTTTTAGATATTGTGTTTTAAGTTAACAGAAAACTGGCCCGGCGTGGTGGCTCACACCTTTGATCCCACCACTTTGGGAGGCCAAAGCAGGCGGATTGCTTGAGTCCAGGAGTTTGAGACCAGCCTGGGTAACATAGCGAGACTCTGTTTCTATGAAAAAAACAGGTATCTATCCAGGCATGGTGGCATGCGGCGTGTAGGGAGGGAGCTGTGTCTACAAAGCCCTGGACCTAAAAATGGCCAAGTGGAGACATGGGCTGATGTGACTGAGAATGGAAACGGCTGGCAAGGATTCAGTTCACATTCCCTCGCTGCACACTCTCTGTAACTGGCCTCATTTTAGGATGAAAAAGCCTGTCTGGATCTCTCAGCATCTTTCTCGGAACGTGGTGCCAGGTCCCAAGCCCACACCAGGACAAGCGGGGCTCCCCAGCTCCCTGATGGGGCGACACCACTCACCAGTTTTGCAGCTTCCACTTAAAATTAACAACTGCTGGCTGGGCGCGGTGGCTCACGCCCGTAATCCCAGCACTTTAGGAGGCTGAGGCGGACGGATCACAAGGTCAGTAGTTCGAGACCAGCCTGGCCAACATGGTGAAACCCTGTCTCTACTAAAAATACAAAAAATTAGCTGGGCATGGTGGCAGGTGCCTGTAATCCCAGCTACTCGGGACGTTGAGGCAGGAGAATGGTGTGAACCTGGGAGATGAAGGTTGCAGTGAGCCGAGACCGTGCCACTACACTCCAGCTGGGCAACAGGAGCTAAACTCCGTCTCAAAAAACAAAAATAATTAACAACCAACAGCTGGGCACAGTGGCTCATGCCTGCAATCCTAGCACTGTGGGAGCCTGAGGAGGGCAGATCACTTGAGGCCAGGAGTTCAAAACCAGCCTGGCCAACATGGTGAAATCCCGTCTCTACTAAAAATACAAAAATTAGCCAGGCGCGGTGGTGGGTGCCTGTAATCTCAGCTACCTGGGAGGGTGAGGCAGGAGAATCACTTGAACCCAGGAGGTGGAGGTTGCAGTGAGCTGAGATTGCACCACCGCATTCCAGCCTGGGCGACAGAGCGAAACTCTGTCTCAAAAAAAAAAAAAAAAAAAAATTAACAACCAACCCTTTTAAGTGTCTTCATTTCTTCTGAAAGGTGCTAACTCAAGCCAAATTGTTGCCATGAGTCCTGTGACCACAGAACGTTGGGTTCTGAGAACCCCAGAGGCTCTTGTTCCCTGGCCCCACGATCCACACCCAGGGAGACGACACAGCTGGGTCCCTACCCACACGGGGCAGAACTGCACAACGAGGAAGCCCCCCTGGGGGCGGCCTGGCATGGAGGAGGTGACCCACGGGGGACGTGCCTGACTCACTGTGGAGGCGACGCTGCTGAGGGCGGGGGGCAGGGCGAGGGCTGTGTCCTTTCCCACAGAGCCTGGCAGACCCCCAGGGCCTGAGTGAGGTCCAAGGCTCTGCAGGTGACTGTGCCTGGAGCCCCAGCCCCCGGCCTCAGTGCTTTCCCACAGAGCCTGGCAGACCCCCCAGGGCCTGAGTGAGGTCCAGGCGTCTCAGGGGACTGCAGGTGACTGTGCCTGGAGCCCCAGCCCCCAGCCTCAGTGCAGATTTCGGTCATTGGCTGTGGCTGCCCTGTGCGCTGAGCAGGTGTCCAGGTGGGCATAGGCTGGCACCTCTAGGGCCCCTGGACCACCGCAGAACCTGTAGCAGATTCCGGCTGAGGCCCCGAGGCCGGCCCCCCGGGTGGGGAGTCCCAGGCCTGGCCGTGAGATGGAGTAGATGATGCCGAATGGAGCGCAGGCGTGGGAGGGGCACGCACGCCCAGAAAGGCTCATCTTCACCCCAAACCCAGCTGAGCCCAGGATGCCCCCTTCCCAGAGAAGGAAACCAGCGAAGGCACAGCTGCCCCCGAGCCCTGGGCATGGGGCTTGCTCCGGAGATGGGCTCTGAGGCAGGATGGGGGGCAGCCCTGCTCCTCGGTTTCCTGGGAGGCCTGGCCAGACACCCGGCGGCCTCCCAGGGAGCCTCCACAGGAAGGCGGGACCGGCGGGACCAACAGGATGTGCAGGGGCCCCTCCCTCGAAGCTTCGCCCTCAAGTAGGACCCAAAGCTCCCTCAAACGACCCCTGAACAGGCCGACCTTGAAGGACCCCACAAGAACCCAGGTTGCTGGCAGAGGCTCAGAGGTGGCCATGGCAGGCCAGCGGCGGCCGTCAGTCTCTCCATCGGTGCCACAGCACCACCAGCCCCGGGACCTGGAAAAGGAGCGGCAGGCGGAGGCGGGGGTGGGGGAGGTTGGGGGGAGGGGGATGGGTGGGGGAGGGGGAGGGGGTGGGGGAGTGGGAGGGAGTCGGGGAGGCGGAGGGCTTCCTGTGGCCGCGGTGCACAATGGTGTTTTCTGCACACCGCAGTGAGTCACCCAAGACGGACTGGAAGCCGGGCCACCCTGCATTCTTGTCCGGGCGCCAGGTCACGCTTCCTCTGCGGTTTTTCTGTGGTGTTTCCCTGAGGACCGGTGGGCCCTCCAGGTGGGCCTTGTGCCGCCAGCAGGCGTGGCCAGGAGGGCGGGAGGCGGCAAGAGAGTGGGCTGTGTGCCCCCCAGGTCTCCCTGGCACCCCGATGGGGGGCTCCCAGGCTCCCCCACCCCCACAGAGCCGGCCTTACTGCCCTCTTCTGAGAGCGCCAACCTTGAGGGCCCTGCAGCCGCCACCCCCAGGATGCGGCAAGGACAGGGGGCTGGAGGCCGGCCTGAGACCCAGAGCGAGTGGGCGGGCAACACTGGCTTCAGAGCCCCCAGAAGCTGTTGATCCCAAAGGAGGCCTCCAAGGCCTGTCCCCTCCCCACCTCATATTGTCTGACACAGCAGCCACAGCTGAAAGTGCAAGACACGTGATTAGAGAAGGGTCAATATCTCTGTGACAGCTTTTTATATCGACTGCATGTGGAAATGGAAATATTTTGGGCATACTGGAGTTAAATAAAATATATTATTAAAATAAATTCACTTGTTTCTCAGTTTTTAAATGTGTCTACAAGAAAACTTAAAAGCCTCCTCGTCATAAAGCTCCAGGTGCCCACCGGGGCCCTTCCAGGAGAAGCAAACAGCCCCGCGGCCACCACTCCCCAAACAGTGTCAGTGGGAACCAGAAACATTCCACATGGGACAGGGTGGATACCCCAGAGCCCCCCGGGAGCAGCCCCCAGAGGCACGAGGGCACAGCAGGATGAGCTGATGCTGGCAAGATGGCCACGCACAGCCGGGGCCCCTCGGGAGGGAGTTCAGGCCTCCTCAGTGAACAGCAGCCTTGACTCACACACTGTGTCCACTGGCTTCAAAGGGAATTCCATGTGTTTACCATCTCAGTGACCATTTTTATTTAATTTTTTTGAGACAGGGTCTCACTGTCGCCCAGGATGGAGTGCGGTGGGGCGATCACGGCTCACGGCAGCCTCAATCTCCAGGGCTCAAACGATCCTCCCACCTCAGCCTCCTGAGTAGCTGGGACCACCGGAGTGCACGCTACACCTGGATAATTTTGGGAGGGGTATTTTTTGTAGAGATGGGGTCTCACTACGTCACCCAGACTGGTCTCAAACTCCTGAGCTCGGTAATCCTCCTGCCTCAACCTCCCTAAGTGCTGGGATTACAGGCGTGAGCCACCACACCCAGCCTCAGTAACTGCTCTATAACTTTGAGATATAATTCACATACCATAAAATTTACCCTCAAAGTTACAACTCGGTGTTTTCAACATGTTCACATACATGAGTCACCATCACCACTATCCAACTCCAGAACTTTTTTTTTTGAGACGGAGTCTCACTCCGTCGCCCAGGCTGGAGTGCAGTGGCGTGATCTTGGCTCACTGCAAGCTCCGCCTCCCGGGTTCACGCCATTCTCCTGCCTCAGCCTCCCGAGTAGCTGGGACTATAGGCGCCTGCCACCACGCCCGGCTAATTTTTTGTATTTTTAGTAGAGACGGGGTTTCACCGTGTTAGCCAGGATGGTCTTGATCTCCTGACCTTGTGATCTGCCCGCATCAGCCTCTCAAAGTGTTGGGATTACAGGCATGAGCCACCGCGCCTGGCCTAGCTTTTTTTTTTTTTTTTTTTTGAGACAGGGTCTCGCTCTGTCACCCAGGGTGGAGTGCAGTGGTGCGATCCCAGCTCACTGTAACCGCCTCCTGGCTCAAGTGATTCTTGTGCCTAAGTCTCCTGAGTAGCTGGGACTACAGGCGCCCACTACCACACCCGGCTAAGTTTTATATTTCTGGTAGAGACGGGGTGTTGCCATGTTTGGCCAGGCTGGTCTTGAACTCCTGACCTCACGTGATCCACTTGCCTCAGCCCAGAACATTTTCATTGCCCCAAAGACAACCAACCATGTGCCCATCAACAATTACTCCCTCTGCCCCTCCTCAGCCCCTGGCCATTTTGTGTCTCTGTGAATCTTTCTATTTTGGGCATTTCCTATAAAGGAGACCACACAGGTTCTGTTGTTTTTTTTTTCTTTTTTTTTTTTTTTGAGACGGAGTCTCACTCTGTTGCTCAGGCTGGAGTGCAGTGGTGCCATCTCGGCTCACTGCAAGCTCTGCCTCCCGGGTTTACGCCATTCTCCTGCCTCAGCCTCCCGAGTAGCTGGGACTACAGGCGTCCGCCACCACGCCCGGCTAATTTTTGTATTTTTAGTAGAGACGGGGTTTCACTGTGTGTTAGCCAGGATGGTCTCGATCTCCTGACCTCGTGATCCACCTCCCTTGGCCTCCCAAAGTGCTGGGATTACAGGCGTGAGCCACCGCGCCCGGCCAAGGTTCTGTTCTCTTGTGGCTGACTGACCTCACTTGGCATGGTGTCTTCAAAACTCATCCCTGCAGCAGCATGTGCTGGAACTGCCTTTCCGTGGCTGAGTCCTGCCCCACTGTGTGCACAGACCACGGGCTGTTTGTCCAGCAGACATTCGGGCCGCACCCCCTTGTCTGGCTGTTATAAACAGTGCTGCTGTGAACAGCTGTGTGCATGTTTCTGTGTGGAGTGTGTTTTCACTGATCTGGGGACACACATTCCTAGGACTGGAGCTGCTGAGTCTCGGTGTTTCTATGTTTAGCTTTTTGAGGAACTACCAGACTGTTTCCACAGTGGACGTGCCATTTTACGCTAGCATCGATAACACACGAGGGTTCTGATTTCTCCACAGCCTCACCAACGCCTGTTGCGGTCTGTCTTTCGTTTTTTTAAACTTACCAATTTAACTTAAGGATTGTTCCTTTCCTTAACAATTAACATGACCAATTTTAAACACAAAAAGTAACTTTCCAGGGATATTGCACAGGAGATGGAGAAGGAGGCCAGCAGGTGTGACAGGTGTGGGGTCCCACACCGCCACTCCAGGGGGGTGCTGGCATGTTTGGCCCCCGTGGGCTCCACGTAGGTCGCAGGGTTTCTTTGTATGTTTGTTTTTATGTTTTTGAGATGGAGTCTCGCTCTGTTGTCCAGGCTGAGACGGAATCTCACTTTGTCGCCCAAGCTGGAGTGCAGGGGGGCGATCTCGGCTCACTGCAAGCTTTGCCTCCAGGGTTCAAGTGATTCTCCTGCCTCAGCCTCCCGAGTAGCTGGGATTACAGGTGCCTGCCACCACGCCCAGCTAATTTTTGTATTTTTAGTAGAGACGCGGTTTCATCATGTTGGCCAGGATGGTCTTGAACTCCTGACCACAAGCAATCCGCCCACCTCGGCCTCTCAAAATGCTGGGATTACAGGCGTGAGCCACTGCGCTGGGCCTGTCACAGGTTTGTTTTTTTTTTTTCTGTTTTTTGAGATGGAGTCTTGCTCTGTTGCCCAGGCTGGAGTGCAGTGGGGCGATCTCAGCTGACTGCAACCTCCGCCTCCCGGGTTCAAACCGTTTTCCTGCCTCAGCCTCCTGAGTGGCTGGGATTACAGGCATGCACAGCTAATTTTTGTAATTTTAGTAGAGACAGGGTCTCTCCATGTTCGCCAGGCTGGTCTCGAATTCCTGACCTCAGGTGATCAGCCTGCCTCGGTCTCCTAAAGTGCTGGGATTACAGGCAGGAGCCACTGCTCCTGCCCAGGCTGCGGTTTTGAAGGACACCTTCCCTGTTCACCGTGTTGGTTTTAGCTCTGCGGCAAGCTTCTCTGTGCACCCCACCTCCCTGCAGCTCACTGCCCACAACACATGGATGTACCATGGGACAGCTGCAAGGACGGGTCAGGTGGCCCATGGGCTCTGGGGAACCCTTTCTGGGAGGTGCCAACAGCACATGTTGGGGTCACCATCACAGACGGGGCTGGGGCCAACAGTCCCCCATCAAGGGTGGGCTTTCCCAAGGACCCCAGTTCTGATCACACAAGGTAGAATCTGATGAATGATAAACAGCATTTAAAAACCATGTTTTATAAAAATACTTAATGGCATGGGAAAGGGTTCACAGAGCAGCATAAAGTCGCGTTGCCCTAAGGGGATCACGCTGCACGGTGCAAGGTCCCTTCTCAAAACCAGGCAGATGCACGTGTGAGGGCCTGGCTGCTCTGCCGACGGTGCCTCTGTGCTTTCTGTTTTGTATTTTCTGAATACTACACAATGTATACACCCTGGTTTGTATTCATGAACAAAGAAAAAACCATGAATGATATTTTTGAAGGTTAAAACTAGGATGGGATCTTAGCCTTAGCACCTCCACACCTCACCCATGGTGACAGGGCCTCTGCCTGCCGCCGGCCACTGCCAGCCACACCTGGGACCCACAGCCAGGGCTTTCGCTCTTCTGCAGTGCCTGAGGGCCAAGAATTCTGCGGTGGCTGGCTGGGTGGCCGCTCCACCAGGGGGAGGGCACTGCACGTCTCAGTCCTCAGCAGCCCGAGGTTCCCAGAGTGAGGGACCCACAGGGACAAAGGGGCGGACTTGGGGCCCTCACGACCTATCTCCATGTCACACAGCCTCTGCCACCTTCCCATCAGGCCGGGCACCCCCAGGTCCAGCTCACACTCCACCGCAGCTTCTGCACAGCCAGGGAGGGACCGCCGGCAGCCCACCGCCTCACCTCCCAGGTCTCCACCAGAAACATCCGGCCGGCCCAGCTGACCCCCGGGCAGGCGCCCGGAACCTCGCTGGTCCCCGGGCAGGCATCCGGACCCTCGTCAGCCCGGCTGCTGCTTCCCAAAGGTCCTCTCCACCCAGGACCCTAACACGTGCTGGGCAACCCGGCTCAGAGCATCATCCTGCGCCACGCCAGGCGGCCACCCTCTGAGGAGGATGGGGACGGGACACATCCAGGTCACACCGAGGTGGCACCAGGCGGTTCCAGGACCTGGTTCCCCGTGACACAAGGATCAACACCAAGGGTCGGTAGGCCGTCCCGCAGCCTAGCCTGGGGCTGTCGCGAGCTCGCAGGGGTGCTCTTGGAGGCGCCCCGGGCAGGAGCCGCTCCCACCTGGAGCAGAAGGGAGCAGGCCCTCCCTGAGCTGGGCTCGGGACTGATGACGGTGCGGCCGTCAGGAGGCCAGGAAGCCCCGACACCTCCCCGTTTCCCGACAGACGCGGCCAGAACACGCCCAACTCCACGGGAGGGTCTGACCAAGGGGACCCCACCTTAGGATCTCCTCGGCCTCCCTGTGGGCCTCAGAACAGGCGGAGGCGGCAACGGCAGGAGAGGGCGACCCTCGTGACGACCGAGCTCCCGGGCAAAGCCGGGGCCGCGTTGCGGGGTTTCATCCCCGAGGGAGGGGCGCCCACCAGACGCCGGGGGAGAAGTCAGGTGGGCGGTGGGAGACACACGGGTCTGGACTCGCACAGAGGACGCGGCCACGGACTCACGCGGGCGCCGCAGGGACGGGGATGGCCAGTTTCCCACGGCTTGTCGTGAAAATGGGAAAGGCGGCGGGTGGTGAGCACAGCACACCCCGGCAGCGCCCAGGCTGCCAGGAAGCGAGCGCGCCCGCAGAGGCGCCAGACGGGTCCACGGGTGAGGCCGAACCTGACCACGGGTTCCGCGGCGCGGAGGCCCCTGCTGACCGCATCTGCACGGAGCCAACGGCGCGAGGGGCGGGAGGCGGCGTGGCCACACCCCACAGCCCACCCGTTCCTCGGAAAGTCGAACACAGCGACCACGGGCTCTGGCAGTTCCTCTCCCGGGCAGAGACCACGGGGACCAGCAACGCGCGTCCGCACAAACTACCCCAGCCGCGCTGCGCGTGGCGGCCGCAGAGGAGGAACGGCCGAGCGGAGGAGGAGGCGCGCGGCCACCACGCGGCGGAGCAGCTTCCGCCACGAACGGAACAGGAGGTCGGCGCAGGCGACATCACCGACACCACGTGTGCGCCCCGGGCACACCGGCCACTGCGCTGGGCCCTTCCCGCCTCCTTCAAGCGCAGGCCGTGCCGCGGGCCGGTCCTGCCCAGGGCGCCTGCGGGGGAGGCCGGGCCGTCAGGCGGGGAGGAAAGGACAGAGCCTGAGGATCTGAGGAGCCCGTGGGTGAGGGGCTGGCGGGGCCGGAGGGGGTGAGCTGCAAGGACTGGGGTGGGACCACGGAGGGGACGGGTGAGCCTCGGGGACGCACGGTCACTGGGAGGCCGAGGACCCCCGGGGCTGGCAGGAGGTCTGTGCCCTGGGTGATGCCACTTCTCCTATTAATCTCCTTTTGTGGCCGGGCGCAGTGGCTCACACCTGTAATCCCAGCACTTTGGGAGGCCGAGGCGGGCGGATCACCTGAGGTCAGGAGTTCCAGACCAGCCTGGCCAACATGGTGAAACCCCATCTCTACTAAAAATACAAAAATTAGCCAGGCGTGGTGGCATGCACCTGTAGTCCCAGCTAACTCAGGAGGCTGAGGCAGGAGAATCGCTTGAACCCGGGAAGCAGAGGTTGCAGTGAGAGCCGAGACTGCGCCACTGCACTCCAGCCTGGGCGACAAGAGCGAGACTCTGTCTCAAAAAACAAACAACAAACAAACAAACGTCTGAGTCATTTCTAAGTAAAACACTGAAACATTAATTACTAAGCGTAAGTTTAAGCTTATATACTTTAGTATCTTATTTTTATATGGCATAGGAAAGCTAAATATATTTACATCTGTTAACAAAAAAATTTAGGAGATGCATCTCTGTAAAACATGATGAAATGGTTTCCATCTACACATACAGTTCAAAATTACTCGCTGAGTTTTTAACGGAAAATTAGGGTCACGAAGTTAACACTGTAATTAATATATGTAACTGAAACTACTAAATATAAGAGAAACAATTCTGTACGTGAGATGTATAAGAAAAGCAGAGTTTGTTTTTCTTTTGAACAACATTTCGTGTAGTAATAAGAGATTGTAAAATATTTTTATCTTCTGAGTAAACAGAAAAAAAAAAAGGGGAAAGAGGGAGAGACATTCTGTTTGCCTCACGCTGTCTTTAGTAGGTCTATTGATTGCTTGGGAAACTAAGTCTCCTCTCTGTCATAGTAAAGGTTTTTGGTTTGGGAAATCTCTGAATTACCAATTTGATTAAATGAATGGCTTATTTTACAGTGACCTGTGGTCCTATTTTGAGATTGTTTTAAGCCTCTGATATTTGACTTCCCAAAACCAAATTTCAAGTCCTAACATTAAGGGTTTTTTTCACCTGAACTAACTTGGATATAACAAATAGGAACCCCGAGAAGTCCAAGGGAGATGTACGAGGCTTATGTGGTATGTTAAAATCATACAGGAAGCATTGTCAAATGTGGAATGCTGTTGGAGTTATATTGGTATAAATGTATTATTAACATATGTTCCAAAATTGTATGAGATTCCTAAAAATTCTGACATGTCTTGGTATATGTTATCAGTCGTGATTACGATTATATGTTAAACTGTTTTAACCTCAGAAGTAACCAAATTCCCTGCCAATCGCGTCTTCACCCATGGCTACTCTAAGTCTTTTGTCATCTGCAGAAAATTACTGTTTTACTTTGATTCTTCTCAAAATGCAGTTTAAGGCCGGGCACGGTGGCTCATGCCTGTAATCCCAACACTTCGGGAGGCTGAGGCGGGTGGATCACTTGAGGTCAGGAGTTCGAAACCAGCCAGGCCAATGTGGTAAAACCCCGTTTCTACTAAAAATACAAAATTAGCTGGGCATGGTGGCTCATGCCTGTAATCCCAGTTACTTGGGAGGCTGAGACAGGAGAATCGCTTGAACCTGGGAGGCGGAGGTTGCAGTGAGCCAAGATCGCACCACTACACTCCAGCCTGGGCAACAGAGCGAGACTCCATCTCAAAATAAATAAATAAATAAAATAAAATAAGGTACAGTCCAAAATTTGCATTTTCTTCAAGGAAATTCATGGAAAGGACATTGACAAGTATACAGACTTCCGATAACCTGGGAGATCACACCAGTAGACCAGATAAAAACTTCCAGGACTCTTATTTAAAAGCTGATGCATTCATGAGGATTGTTAACCCAACATCATACAGAAAAAAGCGGCCGGGCGCGGTGGCTCATGCCTGTAATCCCAGCACTTTGGGAGGCCAAGGCGGGCGGATCACGAGGTCAGGAGATCGAGACCATCCTGGCTAATACGGTGAAACCCCATCTCTACTAAAAATACAAAAAAATTAGCCGGGCATGGTGGCAGGTGCCTGTAGTCCCAGCTACTCGGGAGGCTGAGGCTGGTGAATGGCGTGAACCCGGGAGGCGGAGCTGGCAGTGAGCCGAGATTGTACCACTGCACTCCAGCCTGGGCGACAGAGGGAGACTCCGCCTAAAAAAAAAACAAAAAAAACCCCAGCAAATTACATAGAACTGAACTGATAGAGGCCTGAAATGCTTTTTATGATTTTTTGTTGTTATCGAAACCTTGCTGACTCTTTTTATATTTTGTTTTCCAGAGTCAGAAAACCTTTTTCTTTTTGAGCTATTTATAGCTATAGCAATTGAGTGACATATACTTTTGTGAGCAAAACTGAAATATTTGTCTTTTTCTCTACCTGATTTCTCAAAAATCTGGAAGCGATTCATGAGTATTCTTATTTTATGGCAATGTAGTTCTTTGCATGAGTTCAGTAAGAATCTGTTGTCCTTGTAACAGGACACAATTGGAGACCCTGGTTATTCTACCAAGGCTTGGACTGGGATGACGTATTTTTGGATATGACGAGACTGCTTTGAGGAATCGAGGTTCGCTTTATAGAGCCAATAAAAAGCCCCTTGGGATGACTGGACTGGTGCCCTGTTTACATAGTTCCCTTAAAAGGTTCTTGGCCTTGAGGTAAGGAAAGAATGTCACTTTCCGACAGATCCAGGAACTTCAAGATAGTTTGGGACCTGGAGGACAGACATTCACCCCCCCCCCCAAATTCATACAGGTATTATACATACACTGTGATGGGGAGCCACTGGCTTGGCTTCCTAGACATGGGAAGTGTTTGTTTTGTTTAGAGACAGGGTCTCGCTCTGTCACCCAGGCTGGAGTGCAGTGGTGCGATCATAGCTCACTGCAGCCTCAATCTCCTGGACTCAAGCGATCCTCCCATTTCAGCCTCCTGAGTAGCTGGGACTACAGGTGAGCACCACTATGCCCAGGTAATTTTTAAATTTTTTGTGGAGACAGGGACCTCGCTATGTTGCCCAGGTTGGTCTCAAACTCCTGGGCTCAATGAATCCTCCCACCTTGGCCTCCCAAAGTGCTGGGATTACAGGCATGAGCCACCATGCCCAGCCCTCAAGTGGCTTTTAAAGGTCTATTCTGACCCTCTTGTAGTTCATAAGCATGATGATTGCCTCATGTGTAGGGTCTGTCTCCTTCAAACGCTGTTATGACGCCAGCACATTACCTGTCTGATGTGGGGAAAAAAAGTCTGAAATTCCTTATGGCAAAGTTCCAGCCAGTTTAGAAAGGAGCCTATATGGCCAATCACCACTGTTGTACTTTAGGCAAATAATCAGGCCAAATATAATCCTAAAATTTATTTTACAAGTAAATTGGTCTTACCAAGATTTATCTTTGGTAGAAATGGGGAAGTAGAGAAAAATTATGTTTCAGAGAAAAACTACAGCATACCTGTTACTGGATTCTAGCCCTGATCATTGTATTTTTTATTTTCCTACAATCTGGACTAAATCCTGAACAATCTTCTGGCTACAAGTCTCAAAGAAGAACCTGGCTGGGCAGAGGTTCACACCTATAACCCCAGCACTTTGGGAGGCCCAGATGAGAGGATCACTTGGGCTCAGGAGTTCGAGACTAGCCTGGGCAAGGTGTCAAGACCTAGTCTCTACCAAAAAAATTTAAAATTAGCCGGTCCTGGTGGCAAACACCTGTATTCCCAGGTACTCAGGAGGCTAAGACAAGAGGATCATTTAAGCCCAAGAGTTCAAGGCTGCGATGAGTGGGAATCGTGCCTCTGCACTCCAGCATGGGTGACAGAGCAAGACCCCATTTCTAAGTAAACAAATAAATAAAAAGAAAGAAGAACATGGATTTTAGTTTCTTCATGTTTTTAGTTGTCTCCCTAATGGAACAGGTTTGTTTTTTTCATCCTGGCATACAAATTGGTTATAGTCCTATGTGTTACTTCTGAGAAAATTAAAATTAATGGTGTTTCTAAAAACTAGAGATGATTCAACAGGTGACAGCAGTTGTATAAATTAATGACTTCACTGAGACCTCATGTTTGCCACCCTGTAATGCCATTCCAATTCAGTTTGTGGTGTTCTTAAAAAAAAAAAAAAAAAAAAAACTCCCTGAAATGTCTCCTCCTTCCCTGCTTGGCATGGGACAGGACTATGTGGGAATGAGCCTTCCCAGCAAGAGGGGACACTCTGACCCTCAGATTTTGATAATCAATGCTTTCAAGAAGAAAGATTTTGATCAAAAGGGGGGCAAATGAGAAAGAAAAAAATCATTTATCTGAGGAATGTAAAGCCCTTTTAAACTGTGGGCCCAGAAAGCTTGATGTTAAGTGCCAGAAAGCATTTCAAATGAAACCGCAGCCCCTCACTACCCCTCGAGCCAAGTAACTATCCACTGATGACACCAAGCCGTGGTCAATCGCGAACCAATGCCATTTCTACAAGCCAGTGAGCTCCTGGGCAACGTTCGAAACCACCTGCTCTCCGATGGGCTCTGTTTTCTTTAAAAACCTGAGCCTCTGTTTTGTTCTCCGTTGCACCTGGTGACCCAGGCCGCCCTCGACCTCTGTGCCTGAATAAACCCACCGGGCACCACATTCTGACCCTTTTAATTATTTTAGGTTGACAACTAATACAGGACTCAGCGCCGGTGGACAGGAAGCCAGGGCCCCTGCAGGGAGGCGCCCGTCCCTTCTCCCGGGGAGGGCAGGGCGGGCGCGCGCGCGTCCCACCGGGAGCGCCTCCTCCTCGGCGAGGGAGCGAAGGGCCTCCGGGTCCTGTGATGTCCGTGCTCGGAAGGCGCGGAGGAGGGCAGGCCCTGCGGGACAGGGCGGCGGGGTCGCCGGGGTCGGCTCAGCTCCCCGCGGCGTCCGGCTGCTCGGCGGCCTCCGGAGCGGGGCCCTGCGGGAGAACGCACCTTCCCCGCCCCATCGGGGCCTCAGTTTCCCCACCCCGGGAGAGCCGGCGGCCCGCCCCCGGCTCACTCCCAGCTACGGCCCTCACCTCAGGACGCGCACCCGGCCCGGCCCCGCTCTGCCCCCGGCGCCCAGACCGCCCACCTGGCCCGCGCGGCCCGGGGTCGCTCACCTGCGGGGCCGGGACCGCCCCACACCGTCCACGCCCGGCGCGGAACCTTGGCCCGACCGCAGCCGCTGGCCCGGAGGGCTTTATCCGGCGCACCAAGGCCAGCGCGGGCGGGGCGAGGAAGCCGGGCGCACAAAGCTCCCGGCGGAAGTCCGGCCGGGGCGGGGGCCGAATGGGAGGTGGGCGAGGCCTGAGGGTCTGGAGTGGGCGTAGCCGTTTCTGGCGGGGGCGTGGCCTTACCGGGGAGGGGCGGGCGCCTGCCGCCAGGGGGCGCCGCGGGGCAGCGGGGTTGCACCTGGCGCTTGGCGCCCGCACCTCTGCCCGCCTCGGAGACCCCGCAGCCCCGCGCCGCCGCCTGGCCCCGGCCCCGGCCCCTCCGCGGGATCCTGGCCCCTCCTCGAGCGCCGCCACCGGCCGCCATGGCCTCTCTGGGGGACCTGGTGCGCGCCTGGCACCTGGGCGCGCAGGCTGTGGATCGTGGGGACTGGGCCCGCGCCTTGCACCTCTTCTCGGGCGTCCCGGCGCCGCCCGCCAGGCTGTGCTTCAACGCGGGCTGCGTGCACCTGCTGGCCGGGGACCCCGAGGCCGCGCTGCGGGTGAGCGGGGCGTGGGGAGGCCGGTGCGGGCGACGCCTCCGCCTCGAGCCCCTGGGGAGGGCCCAGCGCCCCTCCCCGACCGTCACGGGGTCGCCCTGCCGCCCCCGACCCAGCGAACGCCCCGGCAGGTGGGAGCCGAGCAGGGGGGCCGCACCTGAGCTAAGCGAGGCCGCGCTGGGGGGCGCGGCGGTCACCGGGAGAGGCCGGGGCCCGAGGGTGACTCACACCGGGAAGGGGGAAGCTGCTGGGCTGGGTCAGGCCCGAGGGACCGCCCTGCCCTAAGGGGAAAGCGTTGCGCCTGTGGTCATGGCCGGGAGACCGGGTCAGTCTCCTCCTCAGAGCCCTCAGCCCTCCCCCAGCCCACTCCCCGAAACAGCCAGGAGTCCAGGGTGCCAGGGTGCAGCGGCCGAGGCCCTGCACGGAGCCCGGTGCCCTTCTCGTGCCCCCTCGCGTTCCGGGGCCGCCTGTTCCTGCGCATCCCAAACGCCAGCGCTGCCCACCCCCGCTCAGTCCCAAGCACCCCGCAGAAGCAGGCAGGTGCCCACGGTTACTGAAGGCTCGGTGACAGCAGTGATTTAAAGGAGAGGGAACTGCGCGCTGTGGGAGGGTCTCCACGCCCCTGACTGGCAAAATATCCCCCTTGGAGGAGACTGGGCAAAGCGCATGAGACCCCCCTCTCTTGTGTCTTAAAGCTGCGTACAAATTTACAATCACCTCCATAATGATTTCATTTTTTTGTTTGTTTCAAAGATGGAGTCTCGTTCTGTCACCCAGGCTGAATGGAGTGCCGTGGCCCAATCTTGGCTCACTGCAACCTCTGCCTCCCGGGTTCAAGCAATTCTCCTGCCTCAGCCTCCCTAGTTGCTGGGAGTACAGGCGCCCACTACCACGCCTGGCTAATTTAGTATTTTTAGTAGAAACGGGTTTCACCATGTTGGTCAGGCTGGTCTTGAACTCCTGACCTCAGGTGATCCACCCTCCTCGGCCACCCATAGTGGTGGGATTACACATGTGAGCCACCTTGTCCGGCCCACAATGATTTCATTTTAAAATGTTATCCAAGAAAGGGAATGTAATCTTTAGACACCAGGTGGTTCAGCAACAAATCCTATGTCCGGGGCTAACCCAGTCACTTGTGCTCTTGTGCCTGGTTTCACTACAGAGAGGGGACGCAGTGAAAGTCATACGACTAACCCACAGCATATGCATGTTAGGAATATGGGAACTTAGGAAAGCAGATGGAACAGCTATGATTCATAAAGCCGATCACGTGAGGGGCAGCCCAGGGTGCAGAGGGTGTCGCTGGAACTGCTGTCTCTTGTTAGGAGCCTTGCGTGACGTTTGGGGCAGACAGGTGGGTTCTGCTGGCCCTGAGCCGCCACCCCACATCAGGGCTGCGTGCCTGTGCTCAGCCGCCACACTTCACACCTGTGTGAACTTGGTTCAACGACAAGCCCCCACTCAGCCAGATTTGTGAAAGAGACCGTAGCACCCTTCCTGTCACACACATTTAACTGATGGCCACGGTCCCTGTTCAGAACCTTCTGTGTCCTCCTGAGTCTGGTTTAAGGAAGAGCTGTGCTTTACACACAGATAAACACATGAAGACGTGTGTTGTTCTTTCTGATTCTAATAGATTTCTAGGGTGTCATTTTGCATGAACTATCAAAAAAGGATTTTTATTTTATTTATTTTTTGAGACGGAATCTCGCTCTGTCTTGCAGGCTGGAGTGCAGTGGTGCGATCTTGGCTCACTGCAACCTCTACCTCCCGGGTTCAAGCGATTCTCCTGCCTCAACCTCCCGAGTAGCTGGGACTACAGGCGCGTGCCGCCATGCCCAGCTAATTTTTGTATTTTTAGTAGAGATGGGGTTTCACCATGTTGGCCAGGCTGGTCTCAAACTCCTGACCTCAGGTGATCCGCCCACCTCAGCTTCCCAACATGCTAGGATTACAGGCGTGAGCTAACATGCCCGGCCTGTAATGCAGTTCTTTAGCTGCTGACTCTGGGATCTGGACTGCGTTATCTCGTCTCCAGTATGTGACAGCCAAGGTTGCCTGAGGTCAGGAGTTTGAGAATGTCTTGAACCCAGAGGCGGAGGCAGCAGTGAGCCAAGATCGAGCCACTGCACTCCAGCCTGGGTGACAGAGCGAGACCCCGTCTCAAAAAAAAAAAAAAGGATTTTTAAAAGACAAAAATCTTGCATAACCCCACTCCCCAGAGGTAACTATTATTAACATACTGGAACACTTTTTTCTGGCCTCTGTCCTTGTGCTCATGGTAAACACATTGGTTTTAGCAGCACCTCAGTGGGCTCTGCGCCTTGGACGGGTTGGGGTTGGGTGGGCTGTGGCAACCTGAGTGGCGACAGCCCTGCCCAGGCAGGGGCTCCGAAGGTTCCTGGACAGGAGCAGGAGGGGCTGTGGGGGGTCCCCAGGGGCTGACGGAATTCCGTGGCCCTGTCACCCATCACGCTGTATCTGTGATGCTGCGTGACCAGGTTACAGACCTTGGCATCCCGTGGGCATTTTTGTCCCCAGGCATTTGACCAAGCCGTGACCAAGGACACCTGCATGGCGGTTGGCTTCTTCCAGCGAGGAGTGGCCAACTTCCAGCTGGCAAGGTGAGTACAGGGGTGCCTTGTTCCTTCTCTGACGGCCCTTTGTCTCCCTGCAGAGTCCACTCCTGCACCTCCTCCTCCTCCCTCTCCATCCACTCCCTCCTCTTGCCCACCCCCTCCTCCATGGTTCCTGGCTCCAGGGAAACCTGAGACTGTGGCCCTCGCCTCTGCTGAGCGCCACCCTTGGACACAGGTCGTGGGGTCCTCACTGCTTACCTGGGCTCTCTGCACCATGTCCCTTCCTAAAGGAGGAATGAGGGAAAGGAGACCATCGGGACTGCAGACCAGGCCATGCCTCGGCCTCTCTGCTAGACACTCACAGGCCCCATCCCAGGAGGGCAGGCTCTGTGGGGAAGTGGATCACAGTCCCGAGAGCCTCGCAATCCTGAAATATCAAAACCCCTCAAATCTAAAATCCCAAAAAATATAATTCTAGAAAAAATAAAATTCTGTAAAAGATATTTATTTACTTTTTAAAAATTGTTTTGAGAAGGAGCCTTGCTCTGTCATCCAGGCTGGAGTGCAATTGTGCGATCTCGGCTCACTGCAACCTCCGCCTCCTGGGTTCAAGCGATTCTCCTGCCTTAGCCTCCCGGGTAGCTGGGATTACAGGCATGTGCCACCACGCCTGGCTAATTTTTGTATTTTTAGTAGAGACTGGGCATCACCATGTTGGCCAGGCTGGTCTCGAACTCCTGACCTCAGGTGATCCACCCGCCTCGGCCTCCCAAAGTGCTGGGATTACAGGAATGAGCCACCTCGCCCAGCCTATTTACATATTTTAAAGGGATTTATTTGAGAAACATAAAAACACGACGGAACCCTTCATTGGCCGATAAAATAGACAAAAATAACATACATATTTTTTCAAGCACAAATTCATGCACGCTAGCGACAGGCTCACGGGTGTGAGAACTACGAGCAGATGAACAGTGCTCATGAGGAGCTAGGTCAGAAGGGGTAAGACGTAGGTGCGTAGACTCTGGCTGGTGACTGTGTGCACCTGGCTTTATAACTGGTCATCAAAACACCAAGATGAACAACCCACCTTCTAACAAGATCCATCAAAGGCTTCAGGGACCACCACATACGCAGTCGCCCAGAGAGCCCGGATCTGGAGATATTTTACCTTTCAGAAAGGCAGATGAACGAAAAAGCCATCTCTTCCTTTACTGAAGAGTCCCAGCATTCGGGATTATGGCTGTGGGACTGTCCCTTTCTGGATTACGATCCAGACCCCTCTGGGGCAGCCTCTCCTTCACATCGGCGCGGGAAGCCCGCCTGGAGGAGAGGCCTCTCCGGCAGGCGCTGGGGAGCTCCCAGCAAGGCTTGGAAGGAGGCTCAGAGTTTGGAGGGGGAGCCCCCATGGGGTGGGGGGCCTGAGAAGCAGGAGGGAAATAACCAGGGCTCTCTGCACGGTTCAGAAGAGAGGCTTGGGGGCGGGCAGGGGCCCAGGAAGCTGAGTCTGAGCTGGGAAAATGGTGGAGCCCCAGCACACAGTGACCCCCACACCCACTCAGCACACATGTGCATGGACCCCTGGCCCACCAGACCTGAGTGTGCAGACCTAGGCACCGCACTGCCCTCCCTCAGGTCTCCTTGGAACCAGGTGTTGGGGGCGGCTCGAGCGGGGCTGGTGTGAAAGCTGCCTAACCACAGCCCCATCTCCGCCCTGTGCTGCTGAGGGGACCCCGGCTGCCCACAGGTTCCAGGAGGCTCTGTCTGACTTCTGGCTGGCCCTGGAGCAGCTGAGGGGCCACGCTGCCATCGACTACACGCAGCTGGGCCTGCGGTTCAAGCTGCAAGCCTGGGAGGTGAGGCCGGGCAGGGCTCACTGTGCTGCTGGCTGTGGGGTGTCCACGGGCGGTGGCACTGTCACAGGAGGGCCCTGTGGACTGGGGAGCGCCTCTGGCCGAAGCTCTTGGTGCCATGGAATACCCTGGCCACTCCTTGACCCGCAGGAGGTTCTGGTGGCAGTGGAGGTGGAGGGACCATTTTGTGCCATTTCAGGCCACCAGGGGTGGCTCCACCCAGAAGGAGGGCAGAGGCGAAAGGCTGCTGGGTGGGCAGGGAGCAGGCAGGGGGTTGTGCCCACCCTCCACTGTGCCCCCAGCCCTTTCCTGGCTGCCTGGAACGTGTTGGCACCGAAGGAGGGGTGCTGAGAGGCCCCCCCACCAGACCCCGGAAATGCATCGCCCTGAAGCCTTCTGGGAATAGCATTGTCTTTTAGGACAAAAAGATGGAAGGGAAAGCCCACTGGTGTGGGTCTGGAGTCAGGGTTAAAGCCAGGTGGGGGCCCGCCAGCCCAGGACACAGAACGGTGCAGGGGAGGGGCCGGGTGGGGGGATTGGGAGAGGAGCTGGGTGGGGAGACGGGGGAGAAGCCAGGTGGGGGGACTGGGGGAGAGGCTGGGTGGGGGGATGGGGGAGGGGCCAGGTGGGGGGACTGGGGGAGGGGCTGGGTGGGCAGACCGAGGGAGGAGCTGGGTGGGGGAACCGGGAGAGGGCCTGGGTGGGGCATCAGGCCCCTGCCATCACCTTGGCCCCACTCCCAGGTGCTACACAATGTGGCGTCGGCACAGTGCCAGCTGGGGCTCTGGACAGAGGCGGCCAGCAGCCTAAGGGAGGCCATGTCCAAGTGGCCGGAGGGGTCCCTGAATGGCCTGGACTCAGCCCTGGACCAAGTGCAGGTGAGGAGTGCCAGCCCGGTCATGGTTTTGGGCTGGTGCCTACCAAAGCTCCTCAAGACCAATTTCATGAGATGAAGAAGCTTCCGGAGGGAGATGGCCCTAGTGCCCAGTTTCGGGTGCCAGGCGGGGGCTTCCTGTGACCTGCGGGAAGGGGGTGGGGGGCCCAAGCGGCCCCTTCTGCTCCAAGGCACAGGGGCTCTGCGGCTGCAGGCCTGGTTGGTCACCCCGTCTGCATCTGCTGGATACCCACCCCCTCCAGAGACGGGGCTCACTGCCGCCACGGCAGGTCCCCAGGGGCGAGGTCTTCCGGCCCCACCGGTGGCACCTGAAGCACTTGGAGCCCGTGGATTTCCTGGGCAAGGCCAAGGTAAAGGTGGGGACGGCGTCCTGGGGCATGGCGGCTGGTGCTGAGCCCTCGAACTGTGTTCCCAGGGATGGGGGGAGGTGCAGTCCAGGCCACCGTAAGGGCCAGGAGGGTAGAGAGTGGGCCCACAGCCATCCTCAAACTGGCGCCCACGGTAGGGGGGCGGTGCCCCAAATGGGGCTGTGAGCTTGAAGGCAGAGCCCACTAGAGCCGGCTGCATAGGAGGGGGCTCCAGCTCTCTCAACAAGGACCCTGCAGGTGCCACCCCGCCCCCAGACTGGGCCATGGCCACAGCCACAGCCTTGCAGCCTCCCAGAGTCCCTGCGTCTCTCTGCGTCCTTTCATGCCTTTGTGTCTCCCTGTGTCCCTGCCACAGACAGCGAGGTCCCGGGGGGGTCCCTGCGTCCCTGCCACAGATAGCGAGGTCCCGGGGGGGTCCCTGCGTCCCTGCCACAGATAGCGAGGTCCCGGGGGGGGGGGGTCCCTGCGTCCCTGCCACAGATAGCGAGGTCCTGGGGGGATGCCTGTGTGCCTGCCACAGATAGCGAGGTCCCCGGGGGGGTGCCTGTGTCCCTGCCACAGACAGCGAGGTCCCAGGGGGGTGCCTGTGTCCCTGCCACAGGTAGCGAGGTCCCGGGGGGGGTGCCTGTGTCTCTGCCACAGCTAGCGAGGTCCCGGGGGGCGGGGGTGCCTGTGTCCCTGCCACAGATAGCGAGGTCCCGGGGGGTCTCCCTGTGTCCCTGCCACAGATAGCGAGGTCCCTGGGGGGGTCCCTGTGTCCCTGCCACAGATAGCAAGGTCTCACGGGGGCAGGGGCTGCAGTCCGACGGTCTGGGCCACGTCACGCCCACACTTGGGTCAGAGCCAGGCAACACCCCTAAAGTCACAGGAATGGGGAGCTGCTCACCCCCAAAGGCAGCGGGCGAAACATGGCGGAGAAGAAGAACTCCTGGTGGGCAAAGACTGGGTCACCCTTGGCTGGCCACGCCCCGGACTGGCCACGCCCCATTGGCTGGCCACGCCCCCTCGGTCACCTGCGCTGCGCCACGGCCGACTCCTGGGCCCAGTGCAGCTGCCCAGCAGGGGAGGCCTGGGGTGGGCGAAGCCGGGCTCTGAGCTGTGTTAATGCATTAACTTAGAGTCCGCATATCACAGTAGAGTGCTGTTTATAAGAAACCAAAATGTTTTTAAAGTTGTGCTAAAAATAAGTTAACATTGCAGCAGATGTTTTTCTCCATCAGACATTTCCCTCCATGGTGGTCTGGCAGACGTGGGCCGGGCATGGGCAGCTGTCACCCAGCCCCCGGGGACTTAGAGCTGCGGGGCACGGTGGGGCGGGCTGCAGGGAGCAGACCCTGCTGGGCCGCTGATCCCTGACCCAGCGTCCCCACTGTCCCCGCCAGGTGGTGGCCTCTGCCATCCCCGACGACCAGGGCTGGGGCGTCCGCCCTCAGCAGCCACAGGTGGGTTTGCGGCCCCTCAGACCCCTGCCTGGCCTCACCCAGCTTTCTGGGAAAGAAAATGCTGCACAAGCTCTGAGCCCTCCTGGGGCTGCGAAGTTCCTCTGATGGGAGGTGTGGGGTGGCCATCCCATCCCTGTGTAAGACCTGGGGAAACCACTCTTCAAGGTTCAGGAGGAGGGAGGGCGGCCCCCGACCCTTAACCAGAGCGAGGTTGTTGCTTTGTGTCCACAGGGACCAGGAGCGAACCATGATGCCAGGTAGGAGGGGCTGACTGGGCCCTGCGAGCGCGTGCCTTTCCTGCTGGGCAGAGGCCCTCCACATGGGGCCACGCGGGCCGGGCACAGGAGGGCAGTCAGATGGGCAGGGCCTGAGAGCCTCCCTCCTCTCCCTAGGTCCCTAATCATGGACTCCCCAAGAGCTGGCACCCACCAGGGCCCCCTCGATGCAGAGACAGAGGTCGGTGCTGACCGCTGCACGTCGACTGCCTACCAGGAGCAGGTGCGTGGGCCTGGGCCTCTTCCCCTGCTGGGGGTCGGTGCTTCTGCTGCCTCCGCAGACTGGGGACCACAATGGGACCAACATGAGGGTGGAGGGAGCAGCTCGCTGGGGGGTAGACGGGGCCGGGCTCACCCGTGGTCCTGGCCCAGCCCAGCCAGATGGGAGGATGCCTGGCTGTGCCCGAGGCGAGTGGGCATTGGCCATCAGGACAGGAGAGAGGTGGTGTCCAGTGGAGACATCCACGTAGCCCTGCAGGCCCTCAGCCCCCAGGACCACCTCAGTTTGGCCATTGCCCCTCCCCTCCCACTGGGGTGCGAGTGACCAGGAGTGACCCAGCTGGGGACAGGCGGGAGGCAGGACAGCTCTGGAGGGGCCCCAAGGCTCCCGCCCCCCATGGGGGCCCAGCAGCGACTCCATCCCCCGAGTCCTCCCGGACACCCCGGCACCTGGGGAGAGGCGGAGGAAGGCAGGAACCCCAGCTGCTCCCAGGGTGGCAGCCGTGGGCGGAGGCTCTGCTGCAGGATCCGGGAGGCCCAGAGAAGGCACCTGCATTTCACGCTGAGCGCATCTGAGGATGCGATCAGGAAGCAGCCCCGGCACTCTCTCTTTATGGATGCCCACTTCCAGTTTAACCGTGGCATCCCGGGGGCAAGGGCGCCCTCCAAGCTGTGCTTCACTAATTCCCTCAGGGTTTGGAACTATTTGCCCAGTTCCCACGATGGGCCTTTAAGCTCTCGTCCTTCCTAACCTAAGGCAACTTCAACCATCTGATAAATCTAATAATAAGTTACAATCGAGGCCGGGCACAGTGGTCTGTAATCCCAGCACCGTGGGAGGCTGAGGTGGAAGGATTGCTTGAGCCTGGGAGGTGGAGGCTGCAGTGAGCCATGACAGTGCCACTCCACTCCGGCCTGGGCAAGACAGCAAGACCCTGTCTCAAAAAAAAAAAAAAAAAAAGCCAGGCGAAGTGGCTCACGCCTGTAATCCCAGCACTTTGGGAGGCCTAGGCAGGCGGATCACAAGATCAGGAGATCGAGACCATCCCGGCTAACATGGTGAAACCCTGTCTCTACTAAAAAATACAAAAAATTAGCTGGGCATGGCGGCGGGCACCTGTAGTCCCAGCTACTCAGGAGGCAGAGCCAGGAGAATGGCGTGAACCCAGGAGGCGGAGCTTATAGTGAGCCAAGATGGCGCCACTGCACTCCAGCCTGGGCGACAGAGCGAGACTCCCTCTCAAAAAACAACAGCAATGCCTGACCCTCAGGGTCTAGCCAGCGCTGGGCTGTGACTTTGTGACTTGCAGCTGGTGAACTGGTCTCCTGCTCAGTGCCCAACTCAGGGCACACGGTTAATGTCGAGCCCACACAGAGGCCGGGGCCCAGGGACTGGGTCCTCAGCTTCCTGGGGTCACTGGGGAGCCCACCCACCTGGAGCTGCCACCTCGGTGGGCCTTGGGGGACGGGGCGCTCCCTCCTGGTGACAGGCAGCCTCTAGGTCTGCAGGGACCCAGCCCCATCCTAAGGCAGCCGACTTGTGGCCAGTGCCCTGAATTCAACACCCACAGACCACCTGCTGGGTGCTGGCCGGGCACACAGGCCACACCCTTGGTGTGGGCTCTGCGAGGACAGTACCGGCCTCCAGCACCTGACCGCCCCAGCCCACCCAGCCTGTGCTTCTCTTGCAGAGGCCCCAGGTGGAGCAAGTTGGCAAACAGGCTCCTCTCTCCCCAGGTATGGGCGTCCTCAGCGGCGGGGTCCCCGGGTGAAGGAGGAAGCTGCTGGTGCATGGGTGCCGGCTGCCCTCCACCCACAGGGCCCACTTTGGTGGTAGTGGCTGTGTCAGTCTTGCTCTGTCCTACAGGGCTGCCGGCAATGGGGGGGCCTGGCCCCGGCCCCTGTGAGGACCCCGCGGGTGCTGGGGTAAGAGGCTCTAGACCCTTCACCTGTCAGTCACCTGAGGGAGGCTGAGGCCAAGCCCCATCCCTCAGAATCAAGGCTTGCAAGCCCCCCTCACCTGCCCAGTCTCTGTCCACACCCCTCGGGCTGAAGACGGCCCTGACCAGGCCCTGGGCCTCAGCGACCACCCCTCCCCCTCCTGCCTGGACCCAGGGAGCAGGTGCAGGGGGCTCCGAGCCCCTGGTGACTGTCACCGTGCAGTGCGCCTTCACAGTGGCCCTGAGGGCACGAAGAGGAGCCGACCTGTCCAGCCTGCGGGCACTGCTGGGCCAAGCCCTCCCTCACCAGGCCCAGCTTGGGCAACTCAGGTGGGCCAGAAAGCCCCCGGTGGCTGCGGTGGAGCTGGGCACCGCCCCGACTGAGGCAGCTGCTGGAAGAGGGGGTGGCAGAGGTCACTGCCCTCCCTGCAGGCCCCACCCAGGAGGCCCCCTCTGAGGAATCTCTTTGCAGTTACCTAGCCCCAGGTGAGGACGGGCACTGGGTCCCCATCCCCGAGGAGGAGTCGCTGCAGAGGGCCTGGCAGGACGCAGCTGCCTGCCCCAGGGGGCTGCAGCTGCAGTGCAGGGTGAGCCAAGGGCGAGGCAGGGGCAGGGGCACCCTGAGGGGCGGTGGAGGCCCCTCCTCCCAGTGCCCGGCCCGACCTGCAGCCCACTCTCCTGCCTCAGGGAGCCGGGGGTCGGCCGGTCCTCTACCAGGTGGTGGCCCAGCACAGCTACTCCGCCCAGGGGCCAGAGGACCTGGGCTTCCGACAGGGGGACACGGTGGACGTCCTGTGTGAAGGTAGGGTGGGCATGGCCCTTCCCAGGCAGCACCGTGGTGCCCGGGGTGTGGGGGGCTTAGAGCTCGGCCTGTGCTGTGAGCAGACGTGGCACCCAGAGGCCACGCCTGGGTAACGCCCTGCAGAGCCCGATGTCCCCCTTGCAGTGGACCAGGCATGGCTGGAGGGCCACTGTGACGGCCGCATCGGCATCTTCCCCAAGTGCTTCGTGGTCCCCGCCGGCCCTCGGATGTCAGGAGCCCCCGGCCGCCTGCCCCGATCCCAGCAGGGAGATCAGCCCTAATGATGCTGTGTCCATGATGCTTTTAATAAAAACAACCCCCACTGCAGTCTCACCCTCCAAGTGGGTGTGGGAGGCCGGGCTGGCCCAGCAGAAGCCCCCAGGCCTGGACTCCATCCATCTGCTCAGACAACAGCAGGGAGAGCGGGGGTCCAGGTGGGGCAGCTCCCTCCCTTCCACCCCTCTCCGCCCCTCCTGAGGCCCCATCAGGAGCAGGACCCCTGTGCCTCCGTGGTCTTGCCCTGTTTGCAGGCAGCATGTGGCCCTGCAGTCACACAGCCTGGAGACACCACGAGTCCTGGCGGCCTGTGTGCAGAAAGGCACCTACGGCCCTGGAAGCCCAGTTGCGGAAGGAGGTTGGGGGAGGGACGCCGGGAGGGGAGGTCATGCAGCCTCTGTGGCCAGCACCACCCTGACGGTGCCCTGGAGGTGGCTGTCACCTGACCGTGGGCAGAGCCACAGAGCAAGGCCCCACGGCGCTCAGGGCTCAGGAAGCCTCCAGCATCCGGGACGCAGCTGCCTGTGGGCTCTGTGGGGGCCCACCTCCGCCTTCCCACTAGTCCTGCAACCAGAAGAGCTGGACCAAGGCAGCCCCCACCACCGCCACCAGGGCCAGCACCATGAACACCACTTTGGCCACCCAGACGCCGTAGCTCTCTGCCCGCCACTGAGCCGGCGCATCGGCCGGGATCATCCCGGTCAGGTTCAGCATGTAGCCCAGTGTCCAGCCAATGTCCACACCGCCCGCCTGCGGGACACACGGCTGCTCAGGGCTGCGGGGCAGCTACCCCAGGACCACGACCTGCCCACGCCCACGCCCCGCCCACGCCCAGGGGAGGCAGTCACCTGCTTTCGGAACTCGAGGCTGGGCCAGGTCTCCTCGCTGAACCCGTAGCCCTCGTGCAGGAGGGTGAGGATGTACAGGCCTGAGGCACAGTAGTCCCGCAGCCAGCGGTCCTGCCCAGGGTAGCTGGCCTCCACCTGGGGCCCAGGAGACCAAGAGGCGAGGTGAGGGCCCCTGATCCCCAGTCATGCGGGGACCGCCCCATCTGTCCTGGCCAACCTGAGCACGCAGACAACAAGAGGGTGCCGGGCAGTGGTAGAGAGCCCCTCCCTGGCCCCACCGACCAGTTACGTGGTGCGGGTTGCGGCCCCTTCTTGGCGGGCCAGAGGCTGGGCCCAGCTGCGGCCGTGGCCACAGCCTCCTACCTGGAGTGGCACGGCCTGGAGCTGTCCTCTGCCCTTGCCTCCCCCGGCCCTGCTGGCCGTGCTGCCCAGAATGAGGCTCCAGCATCCTGCCCGAGGCAGCCCTGTACCCTCAGGGACCCTCGCTGCAGCCAGGGAGCCCAGGGCCCACCCACCAGTTTCCAGGGCCTCTGGCAAAACTCCCAGATGGTGGCGTTGACCGTGCTCAGGGGCTGCCTGGAGGTGAGGTTCAGGAAGTGGAAGGTGTAGTAGAAGTTGGAGAAGGCCTGAGTGAGAGGGGAGGTGGCTGTGCCTTCGCTGTGGCCACGCTGGGCCAGATCCACCCCACCCGGGCTCCCAGAGCCCCTAAGAGCCAGCCTGGGCCCCTCCTGGGCCTGCTGGAGTCAGACAGGCACCTGAGGCCTCACAAGGAAGCCCGGACCCCTGGTGGGGGCAGTGTAGGTGCTCACATAGAACTGGCCCCGCAGCGGGGGCTGGTAGACCCCGTCAAAGGCGCAGTCCTCCTGGCCCTGGCAGCTGGAGAAGTTGAAAAGTTCCCGGATGGCTGAGACGCAGGCTCCAG
The DNA here is from genome assembly GCF_000001405.40 of Homo sapiens. Taxonomy (NCBI): domain Eukaryota; kingdom Metazoa; phylum Chordata; class Mammalia; order Primates; family Hominidae; genus Homo; species Homo sapiens. The sequence continues at coordinate 137,436,126 of NC_000009.12, forward strand.
GGTTGCCTGTCCCTTCAACTGTGAGGTTCTGGGGGAGGCTCAGCGGGGGCGTGGCGTGGACACAGGGTGACTCATACAGCGGGCCCAGGGCCAGTGTGGTCTGGTAGCCGCTGAGGTAGCACGGGTGACGGAGCAGGGCAGCCGGGCGGCTCTGCAGAGGGCAGGGAGGCCTGAGCACCAGCCGCACACCTGCGGCCCTGTGCCCCTCCCCGGGGCCGGATGACCCACGCCAGCCCCGCGCCCATACCCTGTGCGCCCTCCCCGGTGCCGGATGACCCACGCCAGCCCCGCGCCCATACCCTGTGCCCCCTCCCCGGGGCCGGATGACCCACGCCAGCCCTGTGCCCATAGCCCTGTTCCCACAGCCCCATGCACCCTCCCCAGGGCCAGCTGACCTGTACCAGCCCCACGAGGAGCCTGCTCAGCATCTGGTCCCGTCCAAAGCACAGGTAGCTGTGAGTGTAGACGCTGTAGTCGGAGCCGTAGAGGCGAAAATCGGCCTGGGTGCTCTTGTCCAAGATGGGGCCCCCAGGCACGAACGTGATCTGGGTGGAGGCCCCTCCCATGTCCAGGGCACCCACCAGCATCTCCTCCGGAGGCTGGATCCATTCTCCAGTGAAGGAGTACTGGGCACAGAAGGGGCCACTCAGCTGGGAGCAGCCACCCGGACCCCGTCCCGGTCAGCCAGCCCCAGACACCAGCCCCTCGCAGACCAGCCCCCGCCCTCAGGCAGCCTGTGGCACCTTGACCAGCGTCCCCAAGCCGTAGTTGACAGTGATCCAACCAAAGGCACCTTCGGCCTGCCCGGCCAGGAGCTCGGCACCCCAAAAGTCCACGGGAGACCGGCCCAGGACCTGGGTGACTGCTGCAAAGATGTCCCTGGCCTGAGAGCTGTTCTTCCGGCTGGGCACAGAGGACCAGGGGCTGGAGCTGGCTGGAAGCCTGGGCCCGGCCCCACCCTGCCTGCCACGCTGGCTGAGACCATGGCTTCTGCAGCCACTCCCCGTGGGTGCCAAGGCCATGCCTGCCTCACCTGAGCAACCTCATGCCAGCCGTGGCCCCCAGGAACGTGGGTGTTTTCCGATGCTGGGCCTCTGGGATCAGCACCAGCGCCTCCTCCAAGCAGCCCTGCAGGCTCTCACCAGCCTGTGCAGCATTAGAAGTGTAGGAGGAGATTCCAGGCCCTGGAACAGCAGCCGGGGACAGAGCTCCAGACCCCGCAGGCTGGCTGGGCTGAAAGGTAGCCCCCAAAGACATGACCACCTCATGCCCCCTGGTGCAGCCACCAGCCAAGGGCTGCGTGGAGTGCTCAGGCTGAAGGAAGCAGGAAGGACCCTAACCCAGAGCCTCTGGAGGGGGTGCGGCCCTGTCCACACCTTGTTTTCAGACTTCTAGAATGCTGAGAAATAAGCTGCTACTGTTTTAAGCCCCCAATTTGTGGTAATTTGTTACCAGAGCCCCCAGGAAACAAATTCGGGGCCTCCTGTTTTCCCCTCTCAGGATCCTGGAGTGCAGGCACCCCTGTAACTACCAGCCTCGGCTGCCAGCACCACGTGGTGCCAGGGTGGGGAGCACCAGGGGCCAGAGAGGGTCAGGGCTGGAGGCAGCAGATGCTGGGCAGACCCAGGCCAGGCCATGAGAATCTGACTGCTCACCAGGATCAGGCAGGGAGGTCCCCAGAGTGCCACCGCGTGAACGCAGGCTCCGGCCCAGCACCCATGCCCGGCGTGTGAGCTCAGCCAAGTCACTGAACCTCTCCAAACCCTTTCCGTGCAGCTGGGAATCCCAGCCAGGCAGCAACAGGCAGGTCCCAGCACCGGGCTGCAGAACAGCCCACTAACCTTCCACCTGGCAGGCCAGGGCCTGGCTGACCACACCCGTGCCATTCTCCTTGTTCGCCAGCCACTGATACAGGAAGAGGGACGTGTGGGAGGAGCCCGCATCAAACACGATCCCAAACTGGGGAGACAGTGGGATGAGTGGGAGGCAACACCTGTGGACCCGGCCCGGCCTCCCCTGCCGGCGGGGACGCACCTTGATGTCTGTGGGCAGGAGCACGCTGGTGGCCTCCACCAGGAGGAGAATGAGTGCCGTGAGGCCTGAGACCCCCGAGGCCCCCAGCAGGGCCAAGAAGACCTGCTCCTTCCGGGACAGCCCCATGGTGCAGGTGGTACTGGTTCCTGTGGGGGGACGGCCGTGGGCACCCAGGCTGCACTTGGTGTCCCCATCCCGCCCTCCAGAGGCAGAGGCTTCGCTCCCCGTCTCCCTGGAGACGCACCCCTGGACAGCCACTTGCCTTAGAGGCATCTCCGGGGCTCAGACGCCTCCCGTGGCCATAGAGGCATCCCCGGGGCTCAGACGGTCTCCCGTGGCCTTAGAGGCATCTCCGGGGCTCAGGCGGCCTCCCGTGGCCATAGAGGCATCTCCGGGGCTCAGACGGCCTCCCGTGGCCATAGAGGCATCCCCGGGGCTCAGACGGCCTCCCGTGGCCATAGAGGCATCCCCGGGGCTCAGACGGTCTCCCGTGGCCATAGAGGCATCCCCGGGGCTCAGACGCCTCCCGTGGCCAAGGACCACTCCCCAGGAGCCACGCCTGCCAGGGGTGCCATGGGCATCAGAGGGCCCTGTGGGAGGGGGGCGGGGGGCAGCAGAGGCCTCGTCTGGGGACACAGCCCCAGCAGGATCCAAGTAGCCCCCTCGGACCCCCTCGGATGGGACTCGCGGAGCTGCCCCCACCATGTGATGGGGCCACCCTGTGTCCCCACCCCTCGGTCCTGCCTCTCCCGTGCCACCCTCCCCAGGAGCAGCCACAGCTCCAGCCTGCACTGGGGGCCCAGGGCTCTGCCTCCTCTCTGCGGCCCCCACCCCAGGCACTCCTAGGGTGGGGGTTTCTCTCTGGAGCCCTGAGGGGACTGTTGCCGAGGGGCTGTGGGTGAACCCAGGGTGAGGCCAGCCATCCTAGGAAGCCGAGTGTGAGGCTTCTTAACAACATCGGTTTCTCTGGAAATCCAGCCCAAGGCTTCCCTAATCTGACTCTGCACCTTCTTAGCTGGTGCCAGATGGCGCCTGGTCGGGAGGTGGACCCAGGGATGCCATCTGAGGGGCCTGGGCTTCTCTAGCCCTGTGGCCGAGGTGTCCACCTCCTCCTCTGCCCAAACGCCCAGCAAGGGTCTCAGCTCTCAAACTACCCCAGGCCGACCCTGTGCCCCATACAGCCCCACTTCACACGGGTACCACTGCCAAAGGAGTGGTCAAAGCCAGAGGCTGCCTGCCAAGGTCCCGGCACCTGAACCCCATGTGACCGTGTCCTATCGTGTTCCCCCGGGAAACGTTGCACCCACACTGAGTGGCAGGCGCGGGTGCTGCCCTGGTCCTGACCTGGGGCTCCTGGGCACGTGGAAAGTGGGACACGCTGTGGGGTCCTCACGCAATTCTGTATGTCCGGGGGATATAAGCCCATTTTAAGGAGGGTAGATGACAGAGGCTCAGAGAGGACAGGAGGCCGGTCCAGCCCAGACAGGGCCCAGCCTGTGTCCCCAACCAGCACCCAGGCCATAGGCCACCTCATAGGGACAAACAGGTGACAGGGGCCAGGAACACAGGGACTCCACACCCAGAAGATGTAGCCACCTGAGACCCCCAGGCCTGAGCCTCCAGGTAGGCAAAGAGGTTGGGGCAACCTCTCCCACACTCAAAAGACCCCCAAGACCAGAACAGCCTCCCAGATCAGAACAGCTCCTCAGACCAGGAAAGCGCCCCCCAGACCAGAACAGCCCCCCCGAGACCAGGACAGTGCCCCCAGACCAGGAGAGCCCCCCAGACCAGGACACCCCCTCAGACAGAACAGTCCCCCAGACCAGGACAGCCCCCCAGACCAGGACAGCCCCCCCCAGACCAGGAGAGCCCCCCAGACCAGGACACCCCCTCAGACAGAACAGTCCCCCAGACCAGGACAGCCCCCCCAGACCAGGACAGCCCCCCAGACCAGGACAGCCCCCCCAGACCAGGACAGCCCCCCCAGACCAGGAGAGTCCCCCAGGCCAGGACATCCCCTCACACAGAACAGTCCCTGAGACCAGGACAGCCCCCCCAGACCAGGACACCCCCTCACACAGAACAGACTCCCAGATCAGGACAGCCCCCCAGACCAGGACAGCCCCCCAGACCAGGACAGCCCCCGCCAGACCAGGACAGCCCCCCCCAGACCAGGAGAGCCCCCCAGACCAGGACACCCCCTCACACAGAACAGATTCCCAGACCAGGACAGCCCCCAGACCAGGACAGCCCCCCCCAGACCAGGACAGCCCCCCAGACCAGGACAGCCCCCCCCCAGACCAGGAGAGCCCCCCAGGCCAGGACACCCCCTCAGACAGAACAGTCCCCCAGACCAGGACAGCCCCCCAGACCAGGACAGCCCCCCCCAGACCAGGAGAGCCCCCCAGACCAGGACACCCCCTCAGACAGAACAGTCCCCCAGACCAGGACAGCCCCCCCAGACCAGGACAGCCCCCCAGACCAGGACAGCCCCCCCAGACCAGGACAGCCCCCCAGACCAGGACAGCCCCCCCCAGACCAGGACAGCCCCCCCAGACCAGGACAGCCCCCCAGACCAGGACAGCCCCCCCAGACCAGGACACCCCCTCAGACAGAACAGTCCCCCAGACCAGGACAGCCCCCCCAGACCAGGACAGCCCCCCAGACCAGGACAGCCCCCCCAGACCAGGACAGCCCCCCAGACCAGGACAGCCCCCCCCAGACCAGGACAGCCCCCCAGACCAGGACAGCCCCCCAGACCAGGACAGCCCCCCCAGACCAGGACACCCCCTCAGACAGAACAGTCCCCCAGACCAGGACAGCCCCCCCAGACCAGGACAGCCCCCCAGACCAGGACAGCCCCCCCAGACCAGGACAGCCCCCCAGACCAGGACAGCCCCCCAGACCAGGACAGCCCCCCAGACCAGGACAGCCCCCCCAGACCAGGACACCCCCTCAGACAGAACAGTCCCCCAGACCAGGACAGCCCCCCCAGACCAGGACAGCCCCCCAGACCAGGACAGCCCCCCCAGACCAGGACAGCCCCCCAGACCAGGACAGCCCCCCAGACCAGGACAGCCCCCCAGACCAGGACAGCCCCCCCAGGACATCCCTTTGGACCCTCACCTGGGCTGGCTGCCCACTTCCCGGAGCGGCAAGGAGGAAGCTGTGCTTAGACGCTTCTGTGTCCGCGCACCTGGCGTCCAGCCTCTCCCTGCCCCTGGGTCCAGGACAGCTGGGGTGGGCGGGGCAGGGCGGTGACAGCCTCGGGCGATGCGCTGTGCACCTGGCTCCAGGGCCCGCAGGCTGAGGCCAGCGCCCAAGGTCGCCCCGCCCACTCCACCCTCGGGTCCCCCGCCCAGGGTCTCCCCGCATCTCCCACCCGCGGGTCTGTCTCGGTGCCCAGGGTCGCCCCGCCCCCGGGGGGGTGGGAGGCAGGAGAGGGAAGCTGAGGAGGAGCCTGGAGCTGCGAGGGGCAGAACTCCGGGACCCCGCCCCCCACGGCCCGCAGCCGCGCTCCTGACCCCGGCCCGGACTTTACCCCCCGTGCCGCCCGGCCCGGGCAGGTCGGAGTCAGGTGACCCCGAAGGTCCAGGCCCGGGGCGGGGGCGGAAGCGCCTGCAGCCCCGCGGCGCCCGTCGTTTTCCATTTGCAGCCACTCTGCCTTTCCCGCTCGCCGTGGGTCCCGGGGCCGCCGCCGTCGGGGTCCGGGCCTCTGAAGCGGGGCGGGGCTGGGGGAGGCGCGGAGCCAGGGCCGGGCTGGGTGGGGCTGGGGGTGTTGGGGGGCGGGGAATAGGGTGGGGGAATGCGGGGGGGCGGTGAATTCCTTTCTGTGTGAGATCCAAGAACCCTCTTGGGGTCTCAATCGGGACTCTCTTTACTGGTAGCATATTTGGTGTCATGTGTGTGCATTTTTGTGCTTTTTCTTGGTGATTTCACTGTTTATAATGGCGTCTCAGCATAGTGCAGAAATGCAAGAAGGCTGAGATGCACTTTACAGAGAAAACACACATTGGATAAGCTTCATTCGTGCAAGAGTTAGCGCTGTTGGCCATGAGTTCAATGTTAGTGATACAATACATATTAAGTAAGGTGCCCTTAAACAAAAATACACATAAAAGAAGGTTTTATTAATATATTGATCATTTAACAAAAATGTGACCAGAAGCTTGCAGGAACAGAACTTTGCATTTCCCTTAGGAGCAATAGTTTAGCATATTCTTTAATTCAGTGTTTGCAGCAACTTTATACACTAGCTGCCATGGGTCATAAGAGTCAAATGTGTTTGTTGAGGATTTTTGCAGTTGTGTTCAACAAAGTTGCATAGTTTTCTTTTTTAGTCCTGGTTTCTGTATGGGGATAATGCTGGGCTTATAAAATGAGTCTGGGAAGTTGTCCTTTTTTTTTTTTTTTTTTGAGATGGAGTCTCGCTCTGTCACCCAGGCTAGAATGCAATGGTGCAGACTTGGCTCACTGCAACCTCCACCTCCCAGGTTCAAGCGATTCTCCTGCCTCAGTCTCCGGAGTAGCTGGGATTACAGGTGCCTGCCACCATGCCTGGCTAATTTTTTGTATTTTCAGTAGAGATGGGGTTTCACCATGTTGGCCAGGATGGTCTCAAACTCCTGACCTTGTGATCCGCCCACCTCGGCCTCCCAAAGTGCTGGAATTACAGGCGTGAGCCACCGCGCCCAGCCAGCTGTCCTTGTTTTATTTTGTGGAAGGGATTTGAAGAATTTGTATTAAATTTCTTCTTTAAATATTTTGTATAATTTGGTGGTAAAACCATCTGAGCCAGTACTTTCCTTTTTAGAAAAGTTTTAAAGTACAAATTCAGTTTCTTTAATACTTAATAGGATTGTTCAAGTTGTCTATTTAATGAGTTTTGGTAGTTTGTGGCTTTCAAGGAATTGGTCCATTTCACCTAAGTTGCTAAATTTATGTGACTACAATTATTCATAGTACTTCCTGGTTATCCTTTTAATGTCTGTAGGGTCTGCAGTGCTAACCCTCCCATTCCTCATATTGGTAATTTTGTCCTCTGTGTCTCTCATCAGTGTTGCTAGCTAGAGGTTTATCCATTTTATTCATCATTTCAAAGAACCTGCTTTTTGTTTCATAATTTTTTCTTTTTGGTTTTTGAATTTTTAAATTTAATTTAATTTAATTTAATTTTTTTGAGACGGAGTCTCTCTCTGTTGCCCAGGCTGGAGTGCAGTGGCCGGATCTCAGCTCACTGCAAGCTCTGCCTCCCAGGTTCACGCCATTCTCCTGCCTCAGCCTCCTGAGTAGCTGGGACTACAGGCATGTGCCACCACGCCCAGCTAATTTTTTGTATTTTTAGTAGAGACAGGGTTTCACCGTGTTAGCCAGGATGGTCTCGATCTCCTGACCTCATGATCCGCCCACCTCGGCCTCCCAAAGTGCTGGGATTACAGGCGTGAGCCACCACGCCCGGCCGGTTTTTGAATTATTTTAATTCTGCTCTTACTTGTATTTCCTTTCTTCTGCTTGATTTGAGCTTATATTGCTCCTCCTTTTCTGGTTTCTTAATGCAGAAGGTTAGATTATTGACTTGAACCTTTCTTTTTTTCTAATGTAAGCATTTGTGCTATGAATTTCCCTCTTAAGCACTGTTTAGCTATCTCTCTCAATTTTTGATATGTTGTATTTTCATTTTATTCAGTTAAAACATATACATATATATAAATTTTTTTTTTTTGAGACGAAGTCTCACTCTGTTGCCCAGGCTGAAGTACAGTGGCACAACGTAGGCTCACGGCAACCTCTGCCTCCCAGGTTCAGGTGATTCTCCTGCCTCAGCCTCCCCAGTAGCTGGGATTACAGGCATGCGCCACCACACCCGGCTAATTTTTTTGTATTTTTAATAGAGACAGGGTTTCACCAGGTTGGCCAGGCTGGTCTCGAACTCCTGAACGCAGGTGATCCGCCCACCTCGGCCTCCCAAAATGCTGGGATTACAGGCGTGAGCCACCGGGCCCAGTGGCAGGATCATAGCTCACTGCAGCTGTGAACTCCCTGGCTCAAGCAATCCTCCCTCCTTAGCCTCCCAAGTAGCTGGGACCACAGGCATGCACCACTGTGCCCGGCTGATTTTTGTTTTTGTTTTTGTTTTTAGTAGAAACAGGGTTTCACCATGTTGCCCAAGCTTCTCTCAAACTTCTGTGCTCAAGTGATCCATCCGCCTCGGCCTCCCAATGTGCTAGGATGACAGGCGTGAGCCACTGGGCCCAGCCTTTGCTGAGACTTTCTCTTCTGACATTTTAAGTGCTCACGATGGCTCAGTTAGGCACCGCTATAATAGCTACTTTAAAGTCTTCAGGCCGGGCATGGTGGCTCACACCTGTCATCCCAGCACTTTGGGAGGCCAAGGCAGGAGGATCACTTGAGGCCAGGAGTTCAGGACCAGCCTGGTCATTCCAGAACCACCACTGGGGGGCATACGTGTGACTAGACCAGAGGGTGCCCCAAAATCTTGGAGAAAAACTGACCTTGGACCAATAGCCACTGAGGCTGAAACTAAAACAGCAATGTTCACCATAGGATAAAAGGAAGACTCCGAGTCTCATATTAAGTAAGATTCAAAACATTACAAACCAGGCCAGGCGTGGTGGCTCATGCCTGTCATCCCAGCACTTTGGGAGGCCAAGGCACGTGGATCACCTGAAGTCAGGAGTTCGAGACCAGCCTGGTCAACATGGTGAAACCCCTGTCTCTACTAAAAATACGAAAAATTAGCCAAGCGTGGTGGTGGGTGCCTGTAATCCCAGCTACTTGGGAGTCTGAAGCAGGAGAATTACTTGAACCCGGAAGGTGGAGGTTGCAGTCAGACGAGATTGTGCCACTGCACTCCAGCCTGGGCAACAGAAAGAGACTCTAAGAAAAAAAAAAAAATTACAAACCAGAATTCCTCCACACCCAAAGAACTGTGAGAATCCTGACCAGCAGGGAAGAGGCCATCAGCAGACACCAAGGTTGAGAAGGCGTTGAAATGACAGAAAGACTGACAAAATCTGTTTTTTAAAATTTTACTCATTTAAAAATTTTTTCTTGAGACAAGGTCTTGCTCTGTCACCCAGGATGGAGTGCAGTGGCGTAATCTTAACTCACTGTAGCCTTGAATTCTCGGGCTCAAGTGATCCTCCTGCCCCAGCGTCCCAAGCAGCTGACACCACAGGCACGCACCACCACCACACCCCATTAATTTTTTTTTTACTTTTTGTAGAGACAGATATTCGGGCGCCCCCAGTCTAGCCACACGTATGCCCCCCAGTGGTGGTTCTGGGAATGACCAAGGTTGGCTGCTGAAGTCAGTTGTCTGGGTGAGTCAGAGTGAGACACACAGACACACTCACAGGCACGCCTGAGGGTTGGGGGGCGTTGGGGGTGGTTTTTGGGTACTTCTCAGCTCCTGGGCTCCCCAGACCTCCCTTCCCAGCCCTCAGGCCAGAAAGCAGGGGTGACAGAGCGCACAGAGACGTGGGAGATTTGGCAGCGGGAGGGGAGCTGACCCGCCTGCCTGCAGGCACCAGGACAGGTGCAGGGAGCCATCGGGGCCATCTTGCCCCTTTCAGGGACAGGTTTTATGTTTGCTGTCTCCTGCCCCCACAGAGGCAATGCTAACAGCAAGGGTGTGACCGCCACAGCTCCCTCCACCATTCCGATCATGTCTACATTATTGATTCCTGCTCACGGGGGTTTTACCTTACAGACAGGAATCACACCTCTGCTTGCCCTTAGACACTCCTGCACCCTGGCGGGAGGTCTCCACACAGCCCCCAGACCACACCCCAGGTCTCAAGGGTGGCTGCTCTGCTGGGTGCACATCCGGCCACGGGGCCACCCGGGGGGCCACTTGGGGTTGTGTAGTGAGCGTGGAAGTGCAGACCTGGGGGTCTGCACTTGAGAGCAGGGCAGGCAGGTCGCTGGGGCAGGCGGGGGCCTCCCCCGTGCTGTTCCCAGCCTGCCAGGTAGTCACGAGAGTGCATCCAGGCAGGTGGCAGGAGACATTGCACATCGATGTGAAGCGTGACCCAGTCACTTGGAACAGCTGGACCTGTTGCATCTTCCTCCTTAGCAATAAGCCTCGTGAGCATCGGATCCTTCCAGAAAAGCCATTGTGCGATCGGGCCACACCCAGATTAGCGGGCACAGCACAGCGGGGCAGTAGACACCCTCAGAAAAGGTGCCAGGGGGCGGCTGGGGCTGGACGGGCTTGTGCACTCATCAGTCACACTACTTTTAAGAGCTGTTACCAGATTACCTTAAAAAAAAAAGCTGTAACAGGCTGAGGAGGCAGGAGGATTGCTCGAGGCCAGGAGTTTGAGACTAGCCTGGGCAACAGAGTGAGACCCTGTCTCTACAAAACATAAAAGAATTAGCCAGGCGTGGTGATGCCTGTAGTCCCAGCTACTCCGGAGGCTGAGCGGGTGGGAGAATCGCTTGAGCCCAGGAGGTCAAGACAGCGGTGAGCCCCAGCCTGCGCGACAGATCAAAACCCTCTCAAATTGAAAAGGGGGTTACCTCGTCGCTTTCATTGGCCTTTCCATGATTCCTGATGGGATGAGGACTTTCTTCATGGAATTACCAGCCAGTTTCCTGCTCTGCGAATGATTTCTCCACATCTCTGCTCACTTTTCCATATCGGTTTTTGTCATTTTCTTTAGCAACATATAAAAACTCTTTAAATATTAAGGACCTTAATCACTCCCATGTGTGGCAAATATTTCTTATTTCTTCCCCAACTATTTCTGGCTGCTGCTGTTTTTGTATTTCAAGGGAGGCGAGGGCGGGTGCAGCAAAGTAGCCGAGGTTGCCCTGGTCACCGGCCCCCCGCCCTGGCCCAGCCTGCCTCCACTTGGGGCCACCTCCTTCCCCGTTGGCACTTCTGCGTCTGCTCCTGTGGGGCCACCTCCTTCTATGTCTGCTCCTGGGCCTGCTGGCTTTGACGTGTCTTCCTCCTTTCACTTCCCCCGGTGGTCATGGCATGAGGAATGGAACCTCATGGACCATACATAAGGCCCCCCAGGCCTTACTCACTCCAGCAGACCCTACGGACCGGACTGTGTGGGACAGGCATGCGGCTGGCAGCAGCCCCAGGAGCCACCTGACGGGTTAGGACTGCAGGGTCCCTGTGGCTGTTCTGGGTCTCAGAGCTCAGGTGACGGACAGATGTGCCTTTGGAGCAGTGCAGTGTGTGGGCACGTGGCGACCTCGCATGCTGTCCTACTTTGAAGAGTGCCACCCTTGAGGCCTGCACGGCAGCGTCAGCAGATTCCAGGCGGTGGCGACTTGTCTCATCAACTTTGCAGAAAGGAGACTCGGATCCCCCATGATTTCACGATATGTCACTTTCAAATAGTAACTGAATAACACAGAGTCTACAGGCATTTGGTATTTACCTAAAACTTTATACACTCAAATTGGCACCAAAACCTGCCCCCTCCCGGGACCCCATCTAGAATGCCCTGGAAGAGCTGGAGGTGGCTGACGGCTGTGTGACCACCCCCAGCACACTGGGCCTCAAGCCTGCCAGGCTGTGCCAGGCTGCGCACCAGTGGCCCCCTGACCCTAGCCCAGCTGATACGTGCTGCTCTGTCCCCCAGCCACGGGGCAGGGAACCAGCTGGCAGCCAGCCTGGCTGTGCCCAGCAGCGGTCTGGGCCCTGAGGACACCTGAGGTTGAGAGAGTGGCCCCCATCTGTGGCCACACTGCTGACTGCACACACAGTGTGGCGTGAGGGACATACAGCCCTCTCCCTGGTGCCCTCAGGCGGCAGGGGGAACGGGCTGTCTCTGCTGTCCCCTCCAGACCCGGCGAGGCCCCCCTCCGAGACTGCAGCCTCCCCCCAGCCCTCCTGCAGCTCCTCTCCGTCCCCTCCTGTGCTGGTCCCCCTGGCTATGCCCTGTGGGGTGGTCTAGTGGCCTAGCTCCAACTCTGTCCAGGCAGGAAGGCCCTGCAGCAGTGACCTCACAGGAGTGGGCCCAGAAGCTGGGCACAGGAAGGCCCCTGGAAAGCACTGAGAGGACAGACCCACGCGGCGGCCGCGGTGGAGGATCAGGTTTAATGGTCACTATGAGGGTATCGTACATCGTTCCAAGCCCGGCCCCCGCCCCAGCCCTCCCTCAGCTGGGAACACAGCCAGGTGCCCTCAGACCCCTGGCTCTGCACAAGGGGGGCCTGCCCCCTCGCCCCAGCTATATACACGACAGCCCATCCTGCTGGCCGTGGACAAAAGCTGGGAGCTCCTGTGCCCAGTCAGGAGCCCCTACAGTCCACCAGCTGCGCGGCCGGGTCCAGGGGCCCACTGTGGTGCCAGCGAGTTTCTCAAAACCCAGGGCCCAGCCCCAGCTGGGCCCCTGCCAAGCCCCAGGCCTGTGTGCTGGGATGGAGCCTCCACACTGAGGCTGGTAAAAGCTGAACTCAACAGCAGCAATGAGAGTGCTGGGTGGGCTTGGGGGGATGGGGAGCAGGCCCCACCCAGAGCCTCCTCTGAAGGAGGGGACGCTGCGCCCTTCCTTCCTGCTGCCCAGACTGCCCCTACCGGGTCCGGCGCCGGCTGAGGTCTAAGTAAGCAGGGATGGGGGGTGGCAAGAGGAGTGTAAGTGAAAGCACAGACAGTCGGAGACTCGGCCAGTGTAGACAGACCCAGAGACTCGGCCAGTGTAGACAGAGCCAGGCTGGGCAGCCCGGCGACGCTGGCCCCACGCACACGGGCCACCCTGGTGCTGGTGATCGATACGGCAGGGAGGGGGTGGGCAGGGAGGGTCCTGAACACATGTGGGCTGCTGGGCTGCTGGGCCGGGGTGCCTACACTGTAACTAGCAGCATAGTGCTTAACTAGTTAACAAGAAATGCTGCTTCCCTTTGAATTGTTTCGGGGGTGTAGAAATTGCACTTATTTCTATGAACCCCATGGAGGGATGCCCACAGCTGAGCCTCCAGGCGAGGCATGGCAGGTCAGTGCCTGGCCGCTGAGCATCCACGGGCCACAGGGCGGGATCCTCCCGGCCCCCAGGGACTGCAGCCTCTGCGGCCACGGGTGCAGCGAGGACCGGAACCCACAGGGGGAACCTGAGCAACGTCTGAGGTGCCCTGAAGTGGCTCCAGGCGAGACCGGAGCCACACAGTCCCGGGGAGCACGAGGCGGCCCAGCCCCAGGTCCCGGTGCAGAGGGAGTGGCCTGATGGTGACTGGGCGGAGGCCTCTGCCCCTCACAGGACGTCGTCAAAGTCCAGCAGCTTCGAGTGCTGGCGGCTCTTCCACAGGCGATACAACCGGAAGTCAAAGTACGTCTCGATCATCTGCTTCCCTGGGCGGAGCGGGGGCAGGAGGCTCAGGCCTGGCCGGCCCTGGGGATCCCACCCCACCGTGGCCCCGCAGTGGCTGCAGAGCTTCGGCCCAGCCTGGGTAACTCACCTTGGGCTGAGAGCTCCAGGGGTGACTCGAAGGTGACCCTATAAGGAGTCATGAGGGTCCTGAGGTTCTGGAACAGCTGGAGGAAGCGGGGTGCCATGAGTCCGAGGCAGAGAGATGGGGAAGGAGGAGCGGGGAGGAGATGGGGAGCAGGGCCCACCCTCTTTTTTCAGACCCCCCAAACCTGGCTGGGCTCAGGCATAAAGGATTTCTAGGGGAATGCCCGGGGGAAGGAAAAAAAATGCCAGGAAACATGGAAGGCTCTGCCCTGTCTGTCCACGTCGGGGGTTTCCAGAGGTCTGGGGTGGGGCTTGGGGGTCACTGTACCTTCTCTCCATTGGGGTTCCCCAGAATGTAGCAGCCCATGATGTGGATGACGTTCGGCTCTGGGTTCACTTTGCTCATCAGGCGGCTCAGCCGCTTCCAGAAGCTGGTGGAGAGGGGTGGGTCACCCAGTGGCAGGGGACAGGCACCCCACTCCACAGAGCGGACCGTGGAGGAGGGGCTGTGGGGGAGGGACATGCCAGGGCCTGGACTCTGCCTCCAGCCCTCCCCGCGCCCAGGGCACCCGGCTTCTCACTGAATCATGTCCTCTTCCTTCTCCACTTTGGCAAAGGTGGCCACCTTGTTCTTGAGGAGATAGAGGTGTCCAGGACCTCCCTGTAAGAAGCTGTGGTCAGGCATCTGCTCCTCCTTCCTCCCCCTCTCCGACACACATGCACCCACGCACATGCGTGGGAGGTAGTTTTGGTCTTCATCCCCCGGCCACGCTTCTTCCCCTTGATCTCCCCCACCACACGTCTTTCCCTTGATCTCCCCCACCACACGCCTCTTCCCTTTGATCTCCCCCCCACGCCTCTTCCCCTTGATCTCCCCCACCACATGCCTCTTCCCTTTGATCTCCCCCACCACACGCCTCTTCCCTTTGATCTCCCCCACCACACACCTCTTCCCTTTGATCTCCCCCACCACACGCCTCTTCCCCTTGATCTCCCCCACCACACGCCTCTTCCCTTTGATCTCCCCCACCACACGCCTCTTCCCTTTGATCTCCCCCACCACACGCCTCTTCCCTTTGATTTCCCCCACCACACGCCTCTTCCCCTTGATCTTCCCCCGCCTCTTCCTCTTGATCTCCCCCCCTCGCCTCTTCCTCTTAATTCCCCCCAATGCCTCTTCCCCTTGATCTCCCCCACCACACGCTCTTCTCCTTGATCTCCCCCCAATGCCTCTTCCCCTTGACCTGCCCGCCACGCCTCTTCCTTTTGATCTCCCCCCCACACCTCTTCCCCTTGATCTCCCCCCCACGCCTCTTCCCCTTGATCTCCCCCTCCACACGCCTCTTCCCCTTGATCTTCCCCTGCCCCTCGTCTCTTCCCCTTGATCTCCCCTGCCACGTCTCTTCCCCTTGATCTCCCCCACCACGTCTCTTCCCCTTGATCTCCCCTCCACGTCTCTTCCCCTTGATCTCCCCCTCCACACGCCTCTTCCCCTTGATCTTCCCCTGCCACACGTCTCTTCCCCTTGATCTCCCGCGCCACACGCCTCTTCCCCTTGTTCTGCCCTCCACGCCTCTTCCCCTTGGTCTTCCCCACCACACGCCTCTTCCCCTTGGTCTCCCCCGCCACGTCTCTTCCCCTTGGTCTTCCTTGGCCACACGCCTCTTCCCCTTGATCTCCCCACCATGCCTCTTCCCCTTGATCTCCCCCTCCACACGCCTCTTCCCCTTGATCTTCCCCTGCCCCTCGTCTCTTCCCCTTGATCTCCCCCGCCACGTCTCTTCCCCTTGATCTCCCCCGCCACGTCTCTTCCCCTTGATCTCCCGCGCCACACGCCTCTTCCCCTTGTTCTGCCCTCCACGCCTCTTCCCCTTGGTCTTCCCCACCACACGCCTCTTCCCCTTGGTCTCCCCCGCCACGTCTCTTCCCCTTGGTCTTCCTTGGCCACACGCCTCTTCCCCTTGATCTCCCCACCATGCCTCTTCCCCTTGATCTCCCCCTCCACACGCCTCTTCCCCTTGATCTTCCCCTGCCCCTCGTCTCTTCCCCTTGATCTCCCCCGCCACGTCTCTTCCCCTTGATCTCCCCCGCCACGTCTCTTCCCCTTGATCTCCCCCGCCACACGCCTCTTCCCCTTGGTCTTCCCCCGCCACGTCTCTTCTCCTTGATCTACCCCCCAAACACCTCTTCCCCTTGGTCTCCCCCAGCCACACGCCCCTTCCCCTTCATTTCCCCCCCGCCACACGCCTCTTCTCCTTGATCTTTCCCCCTCAATGTCTACACCTCTTCTCCTTGGTCTTCCCCAACCCCAGCCTCTTCCCCTTGGTCTCCCCCAGCCACACCTCTTCCCCTTGGTCTCCCCCAGCCACACGCCTCTTCCCCTTCGTTTCCCCCCGCCACACGCCTCTTCTCCTTGATCTTTCCCCCTCAACATCTACGCCTCTTCTCCTTGGTCTTCCCCAACCCCAGCCTCTTCCCCTTGGTCTCCCCCAGCCACACCTCTTCCCCTTGGTCTCCCCCTCAAACACCTCTTCCCCTTGGTCTTCCCACCCCAGCCTCTTCCCCTTGGTCTCCCCCAGCCACACCTCTTCCCCTTGGTCTCCACCCCCACGCCTCTTCCCCTTGGTCTCCCCCACAAACACCTCTTCCCCTTGGTCTCCCCACCCCAACCTCTTCCCCTTGGTCTCCCCCAACTTGACTTCTTCCCCTTGGTCTTCCCCTGCCCCACCACGATTCTTCTCCTGGTCAGGAGACGAGCACTGAGCCCCACCTGGCAGAAAATCAGCATTTTCCAGATCTTGGCTCCCTTGTGGTAGACGTTCAGCTTCCTCTCTATCTCCTCTGTGGGAGAGCGGGTGTGAGTGCTGCGGCCCCCACCCCAGCCCCAGGGGCACCCCCACCTGTGTCTGCCCCTCCCAGGCCTGGAACCAGCAGAGAGAAGGCCAATGAGGCACATACCAAGGATGTCCTCGAAGGTTGCGTGCTCATGGTCCTGGGGACAGACACAGGCCACAAGGCCACATCAAGGCTGCGTCAGAGCCAGCAGCGCCACAGCACCCTGGGGACCTGGGGTGCCGGCGCTGGCCCAGGGTGGGGCCGCAAGAGGGCATCTGTTGGGGGCAGGCCCGGGGCGGGACTCACGTAGAGGATGGGGATGATGGAGGGGTCATCCCGGCGGATGATAGTGGGGATGTACTCAGCCTTGGGCACCTTGGAGGAAATGAGCTGCGGAGACAAAGAGCTGCTCAGGGGCCCCAGGCCCATCCAAAAGCCAAGGGGCTGTGGGAGCCCCCATGAGGCTACCTTCTGGCTGCCAGGCAGCCCAAGGGTATAGCCCTGTGAGACACCCTCCCCCAGGCAGCTGGAGAAGGCTGCGTGGTCCCAGGCAGAGCTGGCTGGACTCGGGTTGGGGCGGAGTCCTGCTCGGGGTGTAGAGGAGCACTGCCCGGGCTGGGCCTCACCATGACCTTTGGTGGCACGAAGCCTTCGGTGTCGCAGGCCACAGCCTCCAGGCCCTTCTCAGTGTCCCAGTCCAGGTCCTCGAAGGCCTCGTCCAGCGTGCAGTGGGAGCTCTGCAGGTCACTGCCTGGGAAGCAAGAGGGTCACCAGGACAGCAGGCCCGGCAGCACCTCCTATCCTGGCCATGGCCCCAAGGCCCACAGGGCCCGAAAGCCCCATCCCGGAGGGTCCTCCAAGCAAGTGGGAGGACCATACAGAGGTCGCCGCCAGCCCGGCAGGACAGGCCTGTGGACACCACTGGGCAGCGGCCTGATGTGGGAAGGGAGACCCTGGTGCGAGGCCGGTGGAAGGCGCGTGCAGGCATCAGCTCCAGCCAAGTCCGCCGGGCGCCTGGGAGGGAGTGGGGGCGGGCACCGCAGCCCCCTGCCCCTGAGGGCCTCTTGCGAGTGGCGGTGGGCACGGCCCTACAGGCGCCCCCGGCCAGCACTGCCGCGGCCGTTGTTAGCCCCGCCTTTGCGATCGGAGATGCTGAGGGCGTCCCCATCTCACAAACAGGTAAACCAAGATTCAGGAGTGCAAAAGCGCAGCCCAGCGGCCCTGGCAGGGGACCCCCAGCAGGGGTCTGGGGTCTAGGGGAGGCTCTGGGGAAGGTGGGCGGGCCTGTGCGGGGCACCTACTGTCTCGGGAGTCGTGGGAAGTGTCGGCTTTCATGGGGGTGGGGTCGCTCCAGGACCGGCTGAAGCTCCGCTCGCGCCGCTCAGCGAACGCTGCAGAGAGCAAAACCCGCATTAGCGAGCGGGTGGGGCGGGGCCTCGGGAGTCTCAGACCCCAGGCGAGGGGACCACAGGGGCCCTGGGCAGAGGAGGAAGCTAATGTGGGTGGGGTCTAAGGCACATGAAGCAGACACGGACCAGAGGCTCGGTTGGTTCAGGGGCAGGATCTGAGAACACTGGGGCAGGGCCAGAGGCGGAGTCTGGGAAGGGAGGAGCCTGGGCCGGGCTGGGGGCGTGGCTGGGAGGGGAGGAGCCTGGGCCGGGCTGGGGGCGTGGCTGGGAGGGGAGGAGCCTGGGCCGGGCTGGGGGCGTGGCTGGGAGGGGAGGAGCCTGGGCCGGGCTGGGGGCGTGGCTGGGAGGGGAGGAGCCTGGGCCGGGCTGGGGGCGTGGCTGGGAGGGGAGGAGCCTGGGCCGGGCTGGGGAAGTGGCTGGAAGGGGAGGAGCCTGAGGCAGGGCCCGATTGGGGTTGGGGCGGGGGTCGTTCTTATCGCAGCTAGCAGCAAGCAAAGCCCCAACCAGCCAAGCGCAACGCCGCCCCCCCACCCCCGCCGCACGGGGTCTTACTCTGGGCCTTCACCCTCCGGCTGCCGACCATGCGCAGGTGTTTGCGGAAGTTCCTGGGGGAGGAAGCCAGGGGCTGAAGAGGGCCGTGAGAGGGTGACGGCAGCCCCTGCCCACCTAGCCCCCGTCGGGTCATGGCTCTACTCTCACCCCTTCGGTGTGGGAAGCCAGTGCTCTCCCTGGCTCCTGGCACCACCTCCCACCCAAAGGCAAATCCCACCCAGTGCTCTTCCCGCGACAGCCTTCCAGGGCTCCCCTTCAACTCCAGAACAAAGGTGCAGTGCCTGGCGCTCTGGATCAAGTCTCCTCCCGAGCTGCATTCCCAGGCTCTGACCTTCCGTCCTCGCCCGGGACTTACGCCCTGAGCCTCCACGCCCATGTGGCAGAGGATCCAGCCTGCCTGCGCTGCAGCAGAGCGGGGCTCCTGTCTGCACCACCCCATGGCGGGCTGGGGGCCTGCAGGAGCCCCCTCTCCTGCTCTGTGTCCTTGAGCCACCTCAGGGGCAGGTCCTCTCCTCCACCAAACTTTGGACCCTGCCAAGGCCCAACATCCAAAACGGGCAAAAAAGCTTCCCAGACACATCTGTGTGATTGGAGTGGGGGAGGGGGGCCTTGCTGCTGGCCCCAGCCCAGACAGAGACACGTGCCCTCGGAGTGCAGGACTGAGGGTGAGATGCTTTCCTGCAGCCCGGGCCACATGGCCTCTCCTGCCTGCCACGTCCCCAGAGCAGGGCCAGGCCAGTGGTCGCCACCACCCTTCCCCCATCAGGTCTGCCAGGGCCGAGGGGGCCCAGGCCAGGCCAGCACAGACCAGAGATGGACCCTGGTGGCGAGTGGCTGGCAGGCCCTACCTCTGGATTACAGACGCGGAATCATTCTCCCGTTTCCGGCGCTTCCTCTCCGCGTAGCCCCTGAACACCCTGGGAAACCACCGCGAGTCAGCACTGCCCTTGGCCGGAGGCAGGAGGGACACAGACGTCGGGACAGTGGTGCGAGCAGAGGGCCCAGCAGGGCGTCTGGGGCACGGGGCCCGGCAGAGGAGTCCCAGCCTGCCTCACCTGTCGAGGCCCAGCTCCCAGCAGGCCCTGCTGCGACCTCGGTGCCCGCTGGGAGCCAGGCCCGCAGAGAGCGGCACTCCCTCAAGACCCAGGTCCCTGGCCTGCCCAAACCTATTTGGGGTGGGAGGGTCTCCCCAGGGACAACAGCTGTGCCCTTAGGCACCAAGTCATACAGGTACTTACGAGATGCTGAAGCCAGGGCCAGAAGGGATGGCGTGAGAGAGAAGACACAGTGAGCTCAACCCCGGGCCTCCCCTCAGCCCCCACCCGGTCCCTACAGTTCCCTTCTTGTCACTGACCCAATAGGTCCCTCACAGGTAACCCAGCCACCAGCAGGATGCTGGCTACACTGCTGGCCAGCCCTGAATGGGCAACGGAAGCTGATGTCACTGCAGCCCATGCCACAAGGACTGGTTGCTGAGACCAGGCAGCCTGAGGCTGGGTGTGGGGTGGACTCCCCCGGGCAGGACACTTCTTTGGTGTGGGGACCAATGCAGCAAAGGGAACTTCCCTGGAAGGAATCCCAGAACAGAAAAGCCAAATGTATGTCAAGACAGAGAGGAGCAGGTCCCTGCGGGGACCCTGAAACTGTGATGACCTATGGCACGTATGAAACAGAAGTAGGCTTCTATTTGGGGTTTGAGGGAGGGCAGACACAGGCTGAGGAGAGTGGATAGGAGCAGGAGAACCTGCCACACCCCACACCCCACTGAGAGCTCATCAGCTGCAGCCCTGGGCCAGGTCCCCTGACTGTGTGTGTGTGGGGGGGGGGGCTGGGCACCAGCCATGGGAGGGGAAGAGCAGTCAGCCCTGGCCTCCCTGGCAGGCCTGGCACAGCATAGGCACGTGGGTCTGTTCAGAAGCAGCCCCCCTGGTAGGCCCAGAGACTGGGAAAAAGTGCTGTTTCCTGAGCAGCAGAAAGAGACCACCCAACCCTGACCCCAAGTCGTGGGCACAAGACTCACGCTTGCATAGTTGTGGTTGCTGTCTGGAAGCTGAAAAGATTTTCCTTGGGGAACCAGGTACGAATAGGGATGTCGTCTAAGAGAGACAAAAAGGAGCGGTGGCTGGGTGAAGTAGGGGTTCCTGAAGCCTCTCCCTCCCTGTTGGGAAGCAGATGCTTCTGGGTCCAGGGGTCAGCAGAAGCTGGCAGCCAGGGCGGGTGGGGGGAGGGTGGCATCCCCACACGGGCACAGAGGGCAGTGCTCGAATGTCTGCTGCTCACTCACCAAGACCACGCTCTTGGTAACTTGACGCTTTGATTTTTTTGGCTTAACTTTCCCTTTGGCCACCCAAAGTTTGAGAAACATTCCTTTGAAAGCACAGTCTGTCTCCAGGAGGCCCAGGAAAACAATGCGTCTGTTTCCCTTGGGCAGAAGAGGCTCTGAGGCCTTCTCTGCAGCCCCCATGCTCTAGCTGGAGGCCCTCACCGAGGCTAGAGACCACCTTGCTGAGGGCTGTCCCCTTCCGAGGGCCCCCACAGCCTTTCCCTGATGCCCAAGTGTGGGGACAGTGGAGTGACTTTCTGCCTGGTGGACAAGCTACCACACAACTCAACAACCCTGGGGAAAGATGCCCACTGCCTGGCTGGGCCCCAACAGCTCCCCAGGACTCTCGGAGGGCAGCCCAGTCTCCTGATTAAGCGGTGCTTCCTCCCTACATATCCCTTAAGATCCTCCCAGGCCCCCTCCTCCAGGAAGCACTCCTTGATTGACCTGGTGCTAGCAGGGCGAAAGCGGACTGTGAGGCCTGGCAGATTTTGCTGAGGAGCTGAGGGAGCTCACAGCTCATAGGGTGTGGAGGCCGCAGCAGAAGCCTGCCGGTTTTAATCTTGAGTCCGCTGGCATGCTGTGACCTGAGCACCTGTTCTCTGTTCCAAGCCTCACAGTGGCTGCTGCTGTCAGACCCTGGCAGCGGCATGCACCCCCAAACCTGTCTATGCCCTGACACAAACCCCTCACCAGACACACGGTCAACGCTGTACATCCTCTCCAGCTTCTTGCGGCGACCGGAGGTCTCAGGCAGAGGTGGCTGGTCCAGCCCAAAGGCCCGAGGGGTGGGGCCAGGAGCCAGCTGGGCACATCCGGGGCACTCCTTGGAGCCCTGGCGGCTGCCCGCCCAGCTCTGGCAGGGCCTGCTGACGTCCTCCCGGCTGCCACCAGGGCTGGCGCGCAGGGGCTGGCTGTGATGGTGAGGGTGCCGCTGCCGCCGCCCCTTCACCACCGCCAGCTCAATGGCCTCCGCCTCAGGGCTGGGCAGCAGGGCAGGCTCCCCAGAGATGGTGTACACTCGAGGCTGAGGGCCCTCGCCTGCGGGCTTCCTAATGCTGGGCTCCTCTGAGAGGCTGCCCTCGTAGCAGCCGTTGGAGACGAGGGACAGGCGGCGCTTGTTCTGGGGGGCCGGCTGCATCTCGGGGGACCCGTCGTGGCCAGAGTAGGCATCAGCCAGCAGGTGATCTAGGAGAGACACTGAGTGAGCCTGCCTGCCGCGTGTGGGCCCCCCGCTGCCGGTTTCATAGCAGGCCGAAGGCAGAGAACACCCAGTGGGCACCTGGCCTCTGTGGGGGACTAGGGCTGCCCAAACCCTAGTCACTGGCGTGTTTCTGAGCCCCTCACTCCTATCTGGGCCTGAAGCTCTAGCATGTGCGTGGGGGCTGGGTGACGCTGTGCTACCTGTGTGCGGTCCTGCCGGGTAGGAACACGCAGGCCATCCCCCAGCCTGCGATCGCACCGTTTGCCTGGTGCCAACTTCCCCCTCCCCCCACCAGCTGGCCCCCAGAGGCAGTGGTGCCAGCCCTGGGGGAGCCAGGAGGCCTGTTGCCATGCCAACGGCCCAGGCGGGGTGGGTGCCATGGTGACGAGCGGCTGGGAACTGCTCCTGGGGCTCGGGCAGGGAGGGCAGGGGATGTAAGGAAGCCAGGCCGGCAGGGCGCCGGGCCCACGCGCAACCAATGCCCCTCACGCTCCACCCCCGGAGGCAGGGATCAGCATCCCTTGGGCTGGGGGGTCTGGGCGGCCCTGGCACGGCCTCGCGTGCCCCTACCTGCGCCGTTGCGGTTCTCAGGGTGACTCTGGGACAGGTACTCTCCAAACGCTCGGGCTGCTCTGAGGGTGGACAGAGGGCACGGTCAGAGGCCACGGCACGACCCTCCCAAACACCGGGCCGCGCAAGAGCCGGGGGTCCGGTCCCCAGCCAGGCCCTCGGCGTCTGGAAGGAGGGTCGGGGTCGTCCCCCTCCGGGAGCCCACACACCCTTGGTCCTGGTGCGCCCTGGCCAGGCCTGCAGGCCCGGCCCCTGCCCGTCGGACCGTGGAGAGGGGTCGCGAGGCCGGTCGGCTGCTGTTCCCCGGGGGAACCGAGGCCACTCCCGACCTGGGGGGTGCGCTCGCCCACCACGCGCTCGCGAGGGGAGGGGAGGGAAGAGCAGGGCAGGGGACCAGGAAGAGGGAGGCGCGGGGCGCGGGGAGGGCGCCTCAGTGGCAGAGGCCGGGGCCCGGGAGCCCGGGGAGCACCGCGGGGCAGGGGCGGACTCGGGCGGGGTCGGAGGTCCAGGGCGGGGTGCGGGAAGGCGGCCCCGCCGCACTCACCGCACTTTGGCCGCCACCGAGGACATGGCCTCGCTCCTCAGCGCCCTCCTCCTGGAGGCGGCGGCGCCCATGGTCGAGGCGGCGGCGCATCCCCCGGGCCTCAGAGCGCGCCCCGCGCCCGCCGCCTCCGCCGGGGTAGCCGCGCCGCACCGGGGGTCGCGCTCGGGCTCGGGCTCGGGGTCTCGCTCGGGCTCCGGCTCGGGCTTGGGCTCGGGGTCGGGCTCGGGGTCGGGCCCGGTCCCCGCATGGCCGCACCCGGCGCTCCGCGCGTGCCGCCGCTCCCGGGAGAGCGCTGCCCGAACCGAGGGCCGGCCCCGCCCATCGTGACGTCAGGGCCCGGGCGGGCCCAGAGGGGCGGTCGGCCCCACCTACCGTGACGTCAGGGCCCCGGAGAGCTCGGAGAGGACATGTGGCCCCGCCCACCGTGACGTCCGGGCCCGGGTTGAGTTGGGGGCGGGGCCGGGCGGCCTGGCTCCGCGCCCTCTCGTCCAGGCCTCCAGAGCGGGGAAACTGAGGCCAGCGGCCCCCTGGTCGCAAAGTCCTGGGCCCTCGGCCCTCACGATCTGCTGCTCAGACCTGCAGGATCACAGGGAGGCCGGTTCTCCCTCCCCTTACACAAAAGGGCTCCCTGTGCAGTTTGGGAACTGGAAACCGAAGGGGAAGCCAGTTTAGGGGGCACCCAGTTTGCACGAGGCCAGAGAGAGACAGAGGGGCCCGTCCTGGTCCTGGGGGGCCACAGCTCTATGCAGACTCTGGACGCCCTACCTGCCTGGCCTGCATTTGCCGCCCTAGGGCTCTCAGGCCCCAGCAGTGGGGTCCTTTGAGGAGGACTGGGGACTGCCCAGCCTCAGGGACCACCCGCATCAGGGAGAACCAGTAGTGTTTCTTTGCCACAGGGACCTCGGCCCGGGAGACACGTCCAACAGTGAGATCCACCTTTATTGAAACATCACACGGCAGCATCAGGGCTCCCACACCTCACAGGGCAGCAGGCAGTTCACAGGACAGCAGGCAGTTCACAGGGCTTTGGGGGCCTCACAGGGCAGCAGGTGGTTCACAGGGCTTCGGGGGGCCTCACAGGGCTTCGGGGGGCCTCACAGGGCTGCAGGGGGTTCACAGAGCTTCAGGGGCCTCACAGAGCTTCAGGGGCCTCACAGGACTGCAGGGGGGCTCACAGGGCCCTGTATGCAGGGCTGCTGGTACAAAGAAGAGGCCCAGAGAACCCTAACACAGCCTGGGGCCCCGGGGAAGTCAGGGCTTCCAGCAGGGCAGGTACAGAGGCCCCTAGGACTTGGCAGGAGCCTCAGCCTTGGGGACAGTCCCACGGAAGACGCTGCATCCGGGCTCTTTAGCAGAGGCCTCTACCCGTCCTGGTCAGAGGAGCCCTCAGACAGTTTTGGGAAAGCCAGACTGGGGTGTCGATGCCGCAGTGAGGACTCGTCCTCCTGCAAGCAGACCGCATGTTCCAGGTGAGGACCAGGCAGGGCAGGGGCTCTGCAGCGCTGGTAACCCGGTGGGACCACAGGGAGGGAGTGGCCGGCACAGGGCCAGGCACCAAGGCTCAGCTGTGGGCACCAGGTGGGACCATGCCCAGCTCCTCACCAAGTCTGAGCCCTGCTGGGCTGAGGTGCTCTGGAAGTCTGCGTATGCATCCCTGGGGACGTCCAGCAGCTCCTCCTCGTACTCCGTCTGGTAGTCAGATTCGTCTGGCACCGAGGGTAGGGCTGCGTCAGTCCCCTCCCAAGGAAGGGACCGTACCCAGCATAGCCACACTCAGAGGCAGAACCGGCCACAGATGCCCACCCCCGCCTCCAAGGTGGCCCGGGGCCCTACACGCAGCCACCTGGTCCCAGGGCAGCCCTGCACACCACCCCTGGTTCTGTCTGGCTCCAGCTTTGCCCCAGCACATCACTTCGTGGGTCTTCCACAAGGACAAGGAGCGGGCAGACACTCCTCCCCTTGTCAGCCAAGCACCCTGAGGGCTCCAGCACCCCAGACCTGGCAACTGTGGATAGGGGCTGCCTTGCCCAGGGCCCTCTCGGCCTGCGGCAGCCATGAAGACGTCTCCCAGGAGAATGTCCAGTTCTGCTGTGAGGAGGCCACTGGCTGAAGGCCCAAGCGCAGGGCCCTGGATGGAGCATGGAGGGTAGTGGACCCGCCCTTCTTGTCCTGCGGCCCCTCCAACAAGCAGCCTTCATTCCCATTTCCCACTGGGTGGGGTGGGAGGCAAAACGTGGTTCTACTTCAGGCCTGAGGTGTGGCTGGGAGTTGAGGTGAATGAAGGGCAGGGGCTGGGTGACCCGGGGTGGTCACAGTCCCACTGCTGTGGGAACACGTGGTGCCCGGGACGGAGGAGTGCCACCAAGCACCCCAGCTGCTGGAGCCTGGGCGTGGACGTGGGCGGGAGGGGAGGCCGTGGGCCTCTGGGGTGGGGGGGTTCAAGCCCAACACAGCATCAGGAGGTCACGCACGTCTCCACGGCTTCGTCTTGCGCCTCCACTCACCATCCACCATGGCGGGCTTGGCGGGCTCAATGCGAGACACAATTTCGGCAAGGTCCGTGAAGGAGGCGTTGGGACAGGTGAGGACCTAGGGGTGGGGTGAGGACAGCACGTTGCCTGTGGACACCCGCCTGCCAGTCCCCAGCCTGCTTCCTGTGGGGAGGCCCCACCCACCCTGCGCCCTCTCTGCAGCCTCCGCCTGCCCCCCAAGTAAGGGCAGGGACCGGGGAGATGCGCAGTCCTGAGCAATCCTTGTCCTGGCCCTGGAGTCTTTGGCCAGGGGGGCAGGGCCTGTGGCCTGAGGAGCTGGGCGTGGCCTGATGAACTGGGCGTGGGCGTGGCCCGAAGAACTGGGCGCGGTCCGGGGAGCTGGGCGTGGTCCGGACGCCCGTACTCACCGCACTCGCGGGCTTCTTGCTCGGCCCCTGCTGGTCGCGGAGCATCTTCTCCAGCACGCCGCTGCGGCCCCAGATGTCAAACACCGTGCGCCCGTGCTGGTAGCCCACTTCCTGTGCACACCCCCAGGGCCCCGTCAGGAGGTGTGGGGAGCCCCCCACTTCCTGTGTTCTCAAAAGGGGGAAGCGAGGAGGGGCAGCCACCAGAGTGCCTCCGCCCGCCTCCGCCGCCGCGGGTGGCCGGCACTCACGCAGATCTCGTTGAACTTGCCGAAGTCCAGGGTGCTGTAGCTGTCGATGGGGGGGCGCAGGTACTCGCAGTAGTCACTGCTCTTCACCACCTCCAGCTGCCGCACGCAACACACGTAGGCCAGGCGCGTCTGAATCTCTGCCATGTTCAACACCTGCTGCCGTCACAGCCGCCTGAGTCTCCTGCCCCGGCCCCTACCCCGTCCCAGCCTGGCCCGTGGCGCAGGACAGGTTCTGGGGACCCATCCTCTGGGGTAGGTAGGTTCTGGGGGGAGAGGGTAGCAGCACCCGGCCGGGGGTCCTCCCTGCGGGCTGCCACAGCCTTCAGGCCCGTCCGGCCTCGTGCCTTCCTTCGCCCGAGTTGGGCTCAGGCAGGGGTGGTGAGGGGTGGCCCCAGACCTGCTGGCCTCAGAGCCCAGGAGCGACCCCCACTCCCCTGCCGCAGGACAGGTGTGGAGCTGCAGGGAGGAGCAGCAGGGACAGCCCAGCCTGCCCGGTAGCACCCCACCTTGACTTTCGTGGCCAAGGGGTTCCAGCGTTTCCACAGCAGCCACCACCCAGACAGCGCATCCCCATAGTTGGTGAGGTCCGTCTCATCTCGGCTGCCCACGTCAATGGCGATCACCACTTTTGCCCCCATGGACCGGGCCACATCCGCTAGGGAGAAGCCAGCCCTGGTTACCCCCTGGACAGGCATGCAGAGCCAGGGGACGGGGGCAGAGCCTGCCTCTCCGAGCCCTGACGTGGGGGTTGTGGGGTCTCCTCTCCGCCATTACACCTTCTAGAGGCAGAAGACCCACATGCCCAGCTCGATGGGCAGCTGTGGGCACACGGCTGTGTCCTGGGCCTTTCTGACCGTATATCCCACAGGTGACAGGAGTGGCCTGGCCTGGCCCCCAGCAAGCTCGACACCTGCAGGCTGTTAGTTTCTGACTGTGGGCACAGATGGGGCTTAATTGCTCCCAGTTCCTCGACTTGGCCTTTGTTCTGCATGCTGCTGAGCTGACAAACAGGGCCATATGCTGGAGCACATGCTGCCGGTGCCTGCGTGTGCATGTACACGCGTGTGCATGTTCTCGGAGCTCTGATGCCAGCCTGACATTTTCCCTTGGCATACTCTAAGGAAAACGTGTTCCAGCCCAGGCTTCTTGGAGCGGAGGCAGCTGTGGCAGGGGCCGTGGGGCGGCGTGACCCAGGAGCCTGTGCTCCTGCCGGGCGTGGTCCCCCCACCGCAGTACCTGGGAGGTTGTTGATGTAGCCCCCGTCCATCAGCAGGTGTCCGTCCTTCGGGTCACAGAGAGGGGGCATGTAACCGGACAGGGACATGCTGGCACGCACGTACCACCACAGGGAGCCTGGGGAGGGGGCCCGGAGCTGCTGGTTACCCGGAGGAGGCTCCTCCTGGGTCCAGGGTTCAGGGCCTTGCCACTGCAGTCCTGGAGCTGGTAGGTCCCAACTCTCTGAGGCCGCCTCCACAGAGGGAAGCTCATGGCCCAAGGGCTGAACAAAATTGAGTTCTTTCTCTGGGGTCGCACTGCATTACATGTGCCCAGGACTTCGAACTGCTGTGACCCCCTCACCCCAGGACTGAGGGAGCCCCTCACCCCATGACCGAGTGAACCCCTCATCCCCCTGAACCAGGTGAGCCCCTCACCCCAGGACTCAGGGAGCCCCTCACTTTGTCCTCTCACATGGTATCCATCAGTCTAGCCCAACATTGCTGATTCTGTGAGGGTCTCCTCCAGCCTTCTGAGGTCTCTGGCCCAGGCCACGCCCCCTCCTGTCTGTGCCCCTAGTAGGGGCATCCTGTGTCCTCCATGGACAAAGCTGCCCATACGTCTGCATCCTTCAGGAGACCCCGCGGCCTTCCCAACCCCTGGGGCTGCTGAGCTCTCCCCCTGCCCACACCTCGCACCCAAGCGGCCGCCCTGCGCAGCAGGAGTGCTCACCGTCGGTGTGGACCCGCATGGCCGAGGCTGTGATGTCGGTGGTGATGGCGAAATAAGGAATCCACAGGTCCTGCGGGCGGACGGGGCTCAGATGGGCCCTCTCCCATCACGCTCCTGTCCTGTGTCTGGGGAGGCTGACCCAGGGCCAAGAGGTGGGGGGCCAGGAGGGGACAGGCACTGGGGGCTGCATGGGCTCCTGAGGGTGGGGGTGCACCTCGATCTGCTGGTCCTTGAAGACGCTGAAGATGCTGCTGTTGAAGCCGGCTCCGGAGAACATGGACGTGATGGGGTAGGTGAGGTCCAGCGCGGCCTTCATCAAGGACGTCATGCCCTGGGGCCACATGTGGAATTTACAGAAGGCTTCCACCCTCCCTGCGGGCTGCCACAGCAGACACGTGGCGTGCTGAGGGCCTCTCATGAATGGAACGGGGGTCCAGAGTGTCCTTGGGCCCCACCCACGGTCCTGAGGCTTGGCGCCCTGGCTGGAGCCTCAGAGTGAGCAGAGGCTGGTGGTCGCCCCAGGGCCTGAAAGCCAGGACACAGCCCACCCTCGGTCCCTTCCTGATCCCTAAGCCCTCGCTGGCCCTACCCTCGCAGGCTCTGCAGCGCCCCCATGCCTGGGGCCTCCTCGGCTTTGCCTGCTCAGCTCTGGGGCAAGGCCTGCCCATGCCCGTGGCTGGAGGGTCAGCGAGGAGGAGAGCTCGGGGCGGGCTGCTGGGCACATGAGGTTCCTGGGCCAGGGGGACACAGTGGATTGCTTTCGGGAAGGTCAGAGCCACCCAGCCCTGGCTCACATGCCACTGCGGTACTCCATCAGGGGTCCCGGGGAAGCCGGGCTCTCTTGGGTTCCTTCTGGGTGGGCCTGGGGCCCATCCTTCCTCAGTGAGGCAGGCAGGACTCGAGACTGACCTCAAACTAGCCTCAATGCCCAGTGTGGATGGAGAGGAAGGGTCTTCCCTGCCATAGTGAGCCAGGGCTCAGGGGACGGAGGCTGGGAGGGAAGCGCTTGGAGTGTGGGCTGGACGTGCTTACACCGTGTGATGCAGGCAGTGAGAACGCCTCGGCCACAGGCAGAGGAGACCCCGGTCCTTCCCTGAGGAAGCCCCTGCCCAGTACCAGAGGGGCTCACAGAGATAAGCCAGACCACACGCCCACTGTCCCCTCTCCTCAGCATGAGGGGCAGGCACACAGCCCCGGCCTCACCTTGCCCCGGCCAGTTCCCAGGGCCCAGTGATCCCAGCACGGAAAGAGGACCAGCCCAGAGAGCTCTGGCCATTCCCACACCTGGCCCCCCAGCCCCAGACCCACAGACGGAGGGACAGGGAGAGGGCCACCAGGTGACTCTGGGACAGGACCGGCTCGGAGCCACCTCTGCCCATGGCGGGTTCTGTCCCGAGGACGCTGTCCCTGGGGCCGT
The DNA here is from genome assembly GCF_000001405.40 of Homo sapiens. Classification (NCBI taxonomy): domain Eukaryota; kingdom Metazoa; phylum Chordata; class Mammalia; order Primates; family Hominidae; genus Homo; species Homo sapiens. The sequence continues at coordinate 137,465,543 of NC_000009.12, forward strand.
CCTGCTGCATGCCAGTCCCCAAGCCCTCTTTTGAGCAGCCACGCTGAAGGTGACTAGGTGACTCATTTTAGGGAAAGAAACATTTCTGAACAGAGAGGGGAGAAGGTGTCAGTGGCCTTGGGACTCGCTGCTGGGGCTGGTGGCAGCCCCGGGCCACGTGAATGCAGCACAGGCCTGCTTGGGAGCTGCTGCCGCACAGGGGGTGACGAATTTTCTTTCCTTTTAAAAGGAGAACACGAACCCTTCTGATCCCACTCATGGCTCCAACCAAAGCTCGGTTTTGTTCCACAAAAGCAAGCGCAGCGCTGAGGAGGGCAGACGGTGGCCACGTCTGCTGGGGAACGGAGCCTGGCTGCCTCCCTCTGCTGCCCGAGGGGAGCCTGTTCTCACTGTTGTCTTTGATTCTGTATTTGGTATTCTGATTCTGGAATCCATTTATCACAAGGCCAGACTAGTGGCCAAAGTAGTTTACATCTCCCCCGTGACACTGAGCCGCCCTGACCTGATCTCACATCCCCACGCCAACATCTCCCTGCCCTAAATCAACCCAGGCCGGGTGCCATGCACCAGGGACAGCCCCACGGCCCCCAGCGTGCCTGAAGGACTCAGTCAGCCCATCCTCAGCTGCTCACGCTGCCCTGCCTGGCCGTTGGGTCAGAAACCCCCATGGAGGCTCCATGCCTCTTATTCCCAGGGGCTGTAACAGTCAGCTTCTTTTCCACAATCCTGGCATCCATGTCATCCTGCAGCCACCTCCACCATCTCAGACCCGGGCACGGATCAGACCGCCTCCCATCGTCAACCTCCACCAACTCAGACCCGGGCACAGATCAGACCACTTCCCACCACCATCTCCACCATCTCAGACCCGGGCACGGATCAAACCGCCTCCCAACACCGTCTCCACCACCTCAGACCCAGGCACAGAACAGACCACCTCCCACCACCACCTCGACCATCTAAGACCCGGGCACAGATCAGACCACCTCCCACCACCATCTCCACCATCTCAGACCCCGGCACGGATCAGACCACTTCCCACCACCACCTCCACCAACTCAGACCTGGGCACGGATCAGACCACCTCCTACCACCATCTCCATCACCTCAGACCCGGGCACGGATCTGACCACCTCCCACCACCATCTCCATCACCTCAGACCCGGGCACGGATCTGACCACCTCCCACCACCATCTCCACCAACTCAGACCCGGGCACGGATCAGACCGCCTCCCACCACCGTCTCCACCAACTCAGACCCGGGCACGGATCAGACCACCTCCCACCACCGTCTCCATCACCTCAGACCCGGGCACGGATCAGACCACCTCCCACCACCGTCTCCACCAACTCAGACCCGGGCACGGATCAGACCACCTCCCACCACCGTCTCCACCATCTCAGACCCGGGCACGGATCAGACCGCCTCCCACCACCGTCTCCACCATCTCAGACCCGTGCACAGATCAGACCGCCTCCCACCACCGTCTCCATCACCTCAGACCCGGGCACAGATCAGACCACCTCCCACCACCGTCTCCACCAACTCAGACCTGGGCACAGATCAGACCGCCTCCCACCACCAACCTGCATCTGTGCCTTCTCTGTGGTGCTCCTTTGCCTCACAAGCTGCACTGGGAGGCTTCAGGGGGTAGCCTCCTCGAGGGCAGGGCCCTGCAGAGCCACATGCAGAGGCCAACGGCCCCAGCGTCCCCCAGCACCAGCAAGGACCTGGGGGCTGTGCTCCGGTGAGGGTGATGGGTGCCTGCTTACCTCGGCCCACTGCTTGGCCCGGATCCGCATCTGGCTGTAGTTCCGCTCCTCAGAGTACAGGGCACCCACGAAGGCCCCGATGGACGTGCCTCCCACCATGTCCACAGGGATGCCGCACTCCGCCAAGGCCTTGAGAACGCCCACCTGGGCACAGCCTCTACACCAGCCAGGGACACAGAGCAAGGAGTGAGTACCAGGCCCAGGCTGCGCCCTGCAGAGGCCTTGTGCTCATCCTCAGTTCCCAACTCCTCCACAGGCAGAGACGCTGACGCAGAGAGGGACTCCAGATGCAGTTTAAAACCCCTCTTTCCGGGCTCACGCCTGTCATCTCAGCACTTTGGGAGGCCAAGGCGGGCAGATCACTTGAGGCCAGGAGTTCGAGACCAGCCTGGCCAACAGGGCAAAATTCCATCTCTACTAAAAATACTAAAATTAGCCAGGCGTGGTGGTGCGCGCCTGTAATCCCAGCTACTCGGGAGGCTGAGGCAGGAGAATCACCTGAACCCAGGAGACAGAGGTTGCAGTGAGCTGAGATCACACCACTGCACTCCAGCCTGGGAGACAGAGTGAGACTCTGACTCAAAATAAATAAATAAATAAATTAATTAAATAAATGAAATCCTTCCTTCTGGAGGTACTGAGGGACTGTGAGGCTGGGATGGGGAGGAAGGTGTCCTGAGAGTTGACCGGCATTGGCCTCTTCTACCCGGAAACACGGCTGCCTCCAGCAGGGCGTCTGAGAGGTGGTGGGAAAACTGGACTTGAGGGGCCCTGGAAGGGAGGAGCCTGGGAAGCATCCTGAGGGGCAGCACCCCAGGAGTCAGATGAGCTGGATGTAGACCAGCACCCATGAGACCAGGGAGCACCCCCGAGACCAGGGGGCACCCCCGAGACCAGGCAGCCGGCACCCAGGGCCTCTAATTGCTACTGCTGCTTTCATACAGAATGTCCACCACTCAACCAAAGATTACCAGTCATATGAGAAGAAAAGCCTCATATAGGCTTTCCTTTTGGCCTCATAGCCAAAAGAAAAAACAGACAATGAAAGTGGGCCCAGAGTGCCTCCCAGGTAAGAGATACAGACACAGGCTTTTACAATGACCACGCTTAAAGTGTGCAGGGAGCCAAAAGGTGGCAACAGCTGATGAATGGGTACAAAGTAGACAAGGGAAGAGCACCCAGCTCTAAGGAGGGAGCTCGGATGCAAGCCACAGCTGGGGGGGACCCTGGAGGCATTTGCTGTGGTTTAGCTCTCTGTCCCCACCGAAATCTCATGTTGAATTTTAATCCTCAGTGTTGGAGGAGGGACCCGGTGGGAGGTAACTGGATCATGGGGGCAGATTTGAGGTGGGAAGACGTCAAAGGCTACACTGAGCTGACGTCACACCACTGCACTCCAGCCTGGACTGGAGTGAGACCCTGTCTATAAAAAAGTTCTGGAAATGAACAGTGGCAATTGTTCATTTCACGACATTGTAACAACATTGTATCATTAATTATATTAATATGATATATTAATACTTAATTGGATACTCAAAAATGGTTAAGTGGTAAATTTTATGTTATGTATATTTTAACATAATAAAAAAAACCATATGTAATACTGCCACAGAATATTACTCAGGTATAAGCCTTAAAAACAAGTTCAAGTTGGGAGGTGGAGGTTGCAGTGAGCCAAGATCGCACCATTGCACTCCAGCCTGGGCAACAAGAGCAAAACTCCGTCTCAGAAAAAACAAAACAAAAACAAAAACCCAAGTTCAAGGAATTAAAAACAAGAGTGTTAATTCTGGCATAAAACCAAATGAAAATTCTAGAAGTGAAAAATATAATAACAAATGAAAAGCTCAATGAGTGGGTCTAACGGCAGAACAGAACAGCTGAAGAGAGAAATGGTAAAATACAAGATGGGTCAGAAACAGTCACTGAATCATGAAGCATCAAGAGGACAGAATATGTAACAATATTGTTTTACAAAATCTGTAAGGGAGTTTAGGAAACATGGGATCTGGCACCAAACTCTAATGTATGTGTGATCAGAGCCACAGAAAGCAGACAGGGAGGGAGCTGTATCTGAAGAGACAGTGTGGCATGTTCTACAGACAGACATCAGGCCTCAGAATCAGGAAGCATGATAAATCCTAACATAAATCAAAAGAAAACCATTCTCATGTTGTCAAAAACCCAAGGAAAGAAAAAACCTTTAAGCGAGCCTGAGAAAATAAAAGATGCGTTACCTTAACTTTTCTATCCTCTGAGTGGTTGTGAGAGAGTATATATTTACTATCTGTTTCTTTATAGACAATGTCTGCTCGTCTAAATGTTAGGGAAAAAAGAACAACTTAAATAAAAGAGTAAAATTAAGCAAATAACAAAGATAAGAGCATAACTTAAAGAGCCAAAAACAAACATAGAGAAGATTGACAAAGATGAAAGTTGGTGTTGGAGGGACCAATTCGACGGACAGCCCGGGTGAAGCCGATCAAGGAAATGAAAGAGAGAAAGCATCAATGATGAACAGGAAAGAAAATGGGAACATTGGTGCAGATGCTTTAGTTTAAAATACTGAACAGCTTCATGCCATAAATAGAAAAATTCAGATAAAATGGGCACATTTTTAGAAAAACCTAACTCACCAAAATAACATAAGAAATAGAACATATGAGTAGTACTGTAACTCAGTAAAGATTAAATAAATTTAATCTATTTATTTTTTATTTTTATTTTTAGACAGGGTCTAGCTCTCACCCAGGCTGGAGTGCAGCGGTGTGATCACAGCTCACTGCAGCCTCAACCTCCTGGGCTCAAGTGATCCCCCTCCTGCCTCCGCCTCCCAAGTAGCTACGACCATATCACACCCAGCTAATCTTTTCATTTTTTATAAAGATGGGGTCTCACTATGTTGCCCAGGCTGGTCTGGAACTCTCGGGCTCAAGAAATCCTCCCTCCTTGGCCTCCCAAAGTGCTGGGATTACAGGTGTGAGGCACCGCGCCTGGCCTCTTGGAAGGTTTTATGTAAAATTTGTTTTATTTATTCCTTATACGTTTCATAAAATTCACCAGTGAAACCATCTGGATATGAAACTTTCTTTGTGGGGATTTAAAAGTTACAGATTCCATTTCTGGCTGAGCGCAGCGGCTCACACTTGTAATCCCAGCAGCGAGCTGTGATCACACCACTGCACTCCAGCCTGGGCAACAGAATGAGACACTGTCTCAAAGAAAATAAATAAAAATAAAAAAGTAAAAATAAAAATTTTTTAAAAACCTTCTAGAGAATAGGAAAAGAAGATGAACTTCCCACTTAAGCTTATGAAGCCAACAAACAAACCTTCATACCAAACCCGGTAAAGACATTTCAAAAAAGGACAATTTCAGTCCAGTCTTACTCAGGTTTGAGTAGAATCTAGCAATATACAAACAGGATAACTTTAACATCAGGACGAAATGGGTCTGTCCCAGGAGCACAATGTTCATTTTAATTTGAAAATCAATGTAATTAACACATTAACAGATTAAAGAGAAAATACAATCATCTCGATAGAGTCACAAAAACCACCATTCATGATTTAAAAAACTCAGGAAACTGAGAATAAAAGGGAACTTCCTCAGTCTGACCAAGGGCAGCCACAAAATGCCAACAGCCAAGATCACACTCAGTGGTGGGCTGAACACCTGCTCCCGCGCCTGGAATGAGGGTTGGGTGTCTGCGCCCACCACGTCTATCCACAGTGCAGCGGTGGTTCCCACCAGCACAGTAAGGCAAGAAGAAGAAACAGAAAGAACGTACATATGCATATTGTACAGGAAGAGAAAATACTGTTTTAATCTCAGAAAATTTAACTATGTGTCTAGAAAGTCAAAAAGAATCTACAACAAAGCTACAAGAATAAATGAATTTAGCAGGGTTGTAAGATATAAGATCAATTTATAAATATCAATTGTATTTCTATATACTGGCAACAAACAATTTGAAAATGAAGTCTAAAAGATACCATTTATGGCCGGGCACAGTGGCTCACGCCTGTAATCCTAGCACTTTGGGAGGCCAAGGCGGGCGGATCATGAGATCAGGAGTTCAAGACCAGCCTGGCCAAGATGGTGAAACCCCGTCTCTACTAAAAATACAAAAATTAGCCGGGCGTGGTGGCAGGCACCTGTAATCCCAGCTCCTCAGGAGGCTGAGACAGAGAATTGCTTGAACCCGGGAGGTGGAAATTGCAGTGAGCCGAGATCGCGCCACTGCACTCCAGCCTGGGTAACAGAGCAAGACTCCGTCTCAAAAAAAAAAAAAAAAGATACCATTTATAATACTTTTTTAAAAGCCTGTAAAACCCTTAGAAATATAGTTAACAAAAGATGTGCAAGACCTCTACACTGAAGACCGCAAATCATGGCTGATCATAACTACAGAAGGCCTAAGTACATGGGGAGATCTGTCTAGATTGTGGGCTGGAAGGCTCAATGTTGTCGACTAATGATGTACAGATTCAATGTATTCCTCCATCCAAATCTCAGGAGGTTTTCTTTTTGGAGACACTGACGAGCTGATTTTAAAATTCACATGCAAATGCAAAGGGCCTAGGACAGCCAAAACAATTAAAGAAAAATGGAAAATGGAAGGAACTAGATGACTCCTCGATGCCAAGACTGACTGTGAAGCTACAGTAACTAAGGCAGTGTAGTATTGTCACTAAGGATAGAGAAACACACCAGTGGAACCCAGCAAGGTCCAGATGGGCTCACACCTGCAGGGCCACTGGCACTAAGGATAGAGAAACACACCAGTGGAACCCAGCAAGGTCCAGATGGGCTCACACCTGCAGGGCCACTGGATCTGATGGAGGCCTCAGCCTCACACCTGTTGGGCCACTGGATCTGACAGGGGCCTCAGCAGTTCAGGAGGGAGGGAAGGTGTACTCATCCATTTTCATTCTGCTCTGAAGAAATTCCTGAGACTGGGTTATTTATAAAGAAAATGAGATGGAGGCTGGGTACGGTGGCTCAGCAGGATTACCCAGCACTTGAGCCACTGTACCCAGCCTAAACCTCATTTTCTTTATAAATTACAAGCCTGTAATCCCAGCACTTTGGGAGGCCGAGGTGGGCGGATCACTTGAGGTCAGGAGATCAAGACCAGCCTGGCCAACATGGTGAAACCCCGTCTCTACTAAAAATGCAAAAATTAGCTGGGTGTGCTGGTAGGTGCCTGTAATCCCAGCTACTCGGGAGGCTGAGGCAGGAGAATCACTTGAACCTGGGAGGCGGAGGTTGCAGTGAGCCGAGATTGCACCGTTGCACTCCAGCCTGGGTGACAGAATGAGACTCCATCTCAAAAAAAAAAAAAAAAAAGATTTAGGCCAGGCAAAGTGGCTCATGTCTGTAATTCCAGCACTTTGGGAGGCTGAGGCGGGCAGATCACGAGGTCAGGAGTTTGAGACCAGCCTGACCAACATGGTGAAACCCGGTCTCTACTAAAAATACAAAAATTAGCCGCGTGTGGTGCCACATGCCTATAATCCTAGCTACTCAGGAGGCTGAGGCAGGAGAATTGTTTGAACTCAGAAGGTGGAGGTTGCAGTGAGCCGAGATTGCACCACTGCACTCCAGCCTGGGCGACAGAGCAAGACTCCGTCTCAAAAAAGAAAAAAAAATGGTTTAATGGACTCACAGTTCCACGTGGCTGGGGAGGCCTCACAATCATGGTGGAAGGTGAAGGAGGAGCAGAGGCACATCTTACATGGTGGCAGGCAAGGGCACATGTGCAGGGGAGCTGCCCTTTGTAAAACCATCAGATCCCGTTAGACTATCACGAGAAGAGTACAGGAAAGACCTGCCCCCATGATTCAATTACCTCCCACCAGGTCCCTCCCACAACACATGGGGATTATGGGAGTTATAGTTCAAGGTGAGATTTGGGTGGGGACATGGCCAAACCATATCATTCAGAGCAACCAGACACCACATGGGAAAAGTGAACTCCCACCTCACACCAGTCATGAAAATCAATTTGAGGTGGCTCACAGACTTAAGCATACAGGATAGAATAGAAAATCTTCTAGAAGAAGATGAAGAGTACCTCTGTGACCTTGGGATAGGCTGAAGCTCTCAGAACACTGGAATTAATAACCATAAAAAAACTGGAAAATCACACTTCAAAATTTTAAATGGTTCATCCAAAGATGCCATTAAGAAAATGAGAAGAAAAGCCAAGACTGAGGACAATATCAGTAATAAATGTATCTACAAAAGACTCGTGTTCAGAATAAAGAACTCCTTCGATACAATAGTAAAAGACAAAAACCTATTACAAAAGGAATAAAGAACTTAAATGGATACTCCACAAAAGAAGACACACAAATGGCCAGCAAGCTCATGAACAGGTGTTCTACGTCATCAGTCATCGGAGGGATGCAAATTAGAATCACAGTGAGACACCACTGCAGACCATTAGAATGGGCAAAATTTAAAATACTGCCATTACCAAGGGTCGGTGGGGATGTGGGTCACTCGAACTCTCAGACATTGCTGGTGGGAGTGTAAAACAATACAACTGCCCCACGACCGGGCACTTACACTCCTAGGCATTTGCCCAAGAGGAAAGGAAATGTGTCCACAGAAGGATTTGAACAAGAGTTGGGGCTGGGTGCAGTGGCTCACACCTGTAATCCCGGCACTTTGTGAGGCCGAGGTGGGTGGATCACTTGAGGTCAGGAGTTCAAGACGAGCCTGGCCCACATGGTGAAAGCCCGTCTCTATTAAAAATACAAAAATTAGCTGGGTGTGGTGGTGGGTGCCTGTAACCCCAGCTACTGGGGAGGCTGAGGTAGGAGAATCACTTGAATCCAGGAGGTGGAGGTTGCAGTGAGCTGAGATTGCACCACTGCACTCCAGCCTGGGCGACAAAGCGAGACCCCGTCTCAAAACAAACAAACAAAAGAATTGGTGATAACAGCTTTGTTTGTAATAACCAAAACCAGAAAACCAACCAACTGTGCATCGACAGGAAGGGGGATAAGCAAAGCGTGGGGAGGGCACCATGGAAGCTGGCCCGGCACTGCCACTGCTGAGAGTCAGGAGTGCAGACAAATCTCAGGCACGTTATGTCGCGTGATCAACGCCAGACACCAACAGGCGCCTCGTGGAAAATCTGAGCAAGCAAGGAGGGCACAAGGAAGGCGACGAGCATTCTCAGGAGCGCGAGGCAGCCCTGGAGGACACCGGAGTGCCGTGGGGAAACGCACGCGGACCTCAGAGATGTTTTAGCAGAAAAGATCAACTGCAAGTACATTTGAGAAAAATCTTCCAGAAAGTGGAACAGAAGGACAGAGATGAAGAATAGGGGAGAGAAAAGACTAAAAATTAGAAGATCCATCTAAGATGCCCCAAATCTGACCATCAGAAGCTCCAGGAAGGCTGGGCGCAGTGGCTCACGCCTGTAATCCCAGCACTTTGGGAGGCCAAGGCAGGCGGATCACGAGGTCAGGAGATCGAGCCCATCCTGGTTAACACAGTGAAACCCCATCTCTACTAAAAATACAAAAAAAAAAAAAAAATTAGCTGGGCGTGGTGGGGGCGCCTGTAGTCCCAGCTACTTGGGAGGCTGAGGCAGGAGAATGGCGTGAACCTGGGAGGCGGAGCTTGCAGGGAGCCGAGCCGAGATCGCTCACTGCGACAGAACAAGACTCTGCCTCAAAAAAAAAAAAAAAAAAAAAAGAAGCTCCAGGAAGAGAGAACACAGATAAGAGGGAGGTAAACATTTTCATTTAGAAAAATTAAAAATTTCCCAGAGTTGATGTCTGTGAGTTTCCAAATTTGAAAGGGTCCACTGGGAATCCAGTGTCAGTGGATGCAAAAAGAGCCACATGAAGGCCCATCATGCACTTTCAGAATACCAAGAGTGCAGAGTCTCAGGCCAGGCACAGTGGCTCACGCCTGTAATCCCAGCACTCTGGGAGGCTGAGTGGGGAGGATTGCTTGAAGCTGGGAGTTGAGGCTATAGTGAGCTTATGATTGCCACTGCACGCCAGCCTGGGCAACAAAGCGAGACCTTGTTTTGTTTTTTGTTTTTGTTTTGAGATGGAGTCTTGCTCTGTCTCCCAGGCTGGAGGGCAGTGGCGCAATCTCAGCTCACTGTAAGCTCCATCCCCCCGGTTCACGCCATTCTCCTGCCTCAGCCTCCTGAGTAGCTGCGACTACAGGCGCCCGCCACCAAGCCTGGCTAATTTTTTGTATTTTTAGTAGAGATGGGGTTTCACCATGTTAGCCAGGCTGCTCTCAAACTCCTGACCTTGTGATCTGCCCACCTTGGCCTCCCAAAGTGCTGGGATTACAGGCGTGAGCCACTGTGCCTGGCTGAGAACCTGTTTTTTTTTTAAAAAAAAAGAATCTCCTACGAGGTTCCAGAAGAAAAAACGGCCCTGTGAATAAAAATAGCATTAAATTTCTCAACAGCAATACAAAAAACTAAAAAGACAATGGAACCATGCCTTAAAATTCTCAGGGAAATTTATTTCCATCTAGAATTCTATACCCAGCCAAACTATCACTGAAGTATGGGAATAGAATGAGGACACTTGCTGATATGCATGGTCTTAAAATGTTTACTTCCCCATGCGTCTTCTCCTAGGGAGATTTCTAGAACATATATCCACCAAAATGAGGAATAAACCAATAAAGAAGACATGAAATTACAGGAAATGGAATTGAACACAGGAGAGAAACAAAGGCAGTTTCCAGGGTGGTGGTGAAAGAAAATTCCAGGCCAACATCTCAGCAGCATGTTAGAAAACAACCAGTAGAGATACGAAGAGGCTAGAGGGCTTTCGGGAGGATGACTCCTGAAAAGTAAACAGAGATGAGTGGTATGTCCGAACATACCGAGAGGAGGTTAATGCCTGCCTCAGTGTCTTCGGGTAAATTAAGGATACCCAGAAAACTGAACAAATGTGACAATTATTAACTCCAAGGAAGGAACTTCAATCATAGGATAGGATAGGATGTGACTTAGTTCTGAGTGACACCCACAGTGTCATAACAACACAGACAGTGAGTGCTGGCTAACTAGTGATGGGACCACACTGGGATTGAGTGGAAAGGAGGGAGACAGATGCATAGATGAGTGATTAATCAATAGTTAGCAGACTCTGATTGCGGGTGTTGAAGGGGGTTAAGAAGTCAACAATCTAAAACTAAAAAAAAAACCAAAAACTTAGTAGAATAGGAATATGATTTAGAAATACAGACAAGCAGACAGCTCAAAACACTGGACATGGTTATTTCTGGGATAACTCTGGAGGTGGTGCTGGAAGGAAGGCAAAGGACTGCAGTTACGTGCCTTACAGAACCGTATGGCTTCTAAGTATTACCTTGATCAAAGCTACTTTCTCATTAAAAATGCTGCTGATGTGGCCTGGGCTCAACTGCTCCAAGTCCCTGCACTGTCCCAGACCCACAGAAAGAGACTTGGGTCCTGTCCCCAGCCTGGCAACCTCAGGCAAGCCATTGAACTGCTGTAGGCCAACTTCCGCAGCTTTCAAGAGAAAATGTGGCACAAGACAAGGTGGAAAGTCCCTTAGACAGAAGGATGCAGTGGGCACCTCATCACCTAGAACAGCCCCAGGCTGACAGGGCCCTGCCCTGGGGCCAGCAGAAGCATCCTCGAGGCCCTGGGGCCACCTCCGAGCTTTTCCCGGGGTAGCAGTGCTGGCACTCCGTGGGAGATGGGAGGGGCTGCCGGAGAGGCCCCACCCCAGAAGGCAGCCCTGGCCTGGACCCCCGCCCAGGCACCCCTCGATGTCCTCCCTTCCTTTGGGGGCAGCGGTAGGAGGCTCCGCCCTGCCCCTTACGCACCTGGCTCAGCAGAGGGGCACATGCCTGTCCCACCCTCCTCGTGGCTCCCAGGCTCCATCTCTGTTCCAAGGGTATTTATTCAAGTTCAGGAGAAGGTGGTGTCTGACGACAAGGCAGGGGAGGAGGTATCTGGGTTTAAAGTCCCTGAAGGACTCAGTTTGGGCAAAGCAGATCATTCTTTATCAAGTATTGGAGTGAAGGAAACTCACCAGATGCTGGGAAAGACCGGCTAAGGAAAGAGCAGAGGTTTCAGAGGAGGAGGTGCAAAGGGCCAACAAGCAACCGCTTCTTTTTTTTTTTGAGACAGAGTCTCGCTCTGTCGCCAGGCTGGAGTGTAGTGGTACGATCTTGGCTCACCACAACCTCTGCCTCCTGCATTCAAGCAATTCTCCTGCCTCAGCCTCCAAGCAGCTGGGACTACAGGTGCGCGCCACCACGCCTAATTTTTCTATTTTTAGTAGAGACTGGGTTTCGCCACGTTGGCCAGGATGGTCTCAATCTCTTGACCTCGTGATCTGCCCGCCTCGGCCTCCCAAAGTGCTGGGATTACAGGCGTGACCCACGCGCCCGGCCCAAGCAACCACTTCTAAGCAAAGACAGTCAAAACGAGATATGTCTTCTACTAAACTGGCCCTAATAAAACCAGGGCCACTTTGGGTGTCAGTGGGCACACCGCATGTGCCAGGGTCTGCAGGGCCTGCTCAGAGGACAGGCCGGGGTGGAGGCTGGGTCTGGACAGGCGGCCTGAGGGTCTCGTCTGCGGGTGACACCCCCTGTCCCCCGCACCCAGCACCTCCTAGCACCCGAGGGGGCGACTGTCACCACACACACCAGTGAGGAGTGTGTAGGAAGCGGGGGGACTCACCTTGCTCCCCCTCCCCCAAGCACCAGGGCAATGGCGTTGCCCGTCAGCACCCTCGCCAGGCGGGAGAAGTCTGAGTGTCGGTCCGGGGGCCGCTGGAAGACATGCTTGTACATCTCCACCTGGGGGAGGAGCCGTCAGGCAGGGCTGGTGCAGGGCCCCACCCTCGGCCGAGACCTCGCATCCTGGCTTGACTGGGGGGAGTTTCCTCCACTTCTGACCCAAACTGACCCCAAATCCTCTCCAGCATGCAGCAGGCCCTGCCTGATACGACTGGTCAGCACCTCAGTGCCCGGACCGGGCCCCAGAGACAGCTCAGCTACTGGGGGGAGGACACTGGCAGAGGGTACGTGGGCAAGAGAGTGGGCCCGGGTGGGGGGCCAGAGAGTGGGCCCGGGTGGGGGGCCAGAAGGCATCCTCAGAGCTGTTCCCACTGGGGTCCCTCTATCCTGCAGCAGATGGTGCCTTCAGGGCGTGGGTTTCTGGACAGAGCTGTGGGCTGGGGGCCGTGAGCATGAGCAGACTCCCCACACCCCTCACTCTCAGGCCCCTGGGCTGCCTGAGGACACCGGAATTAAAAGTCTCAGGGCCTTCTGCCCAAAGGAGGGAGCAGCGCTGGCCTGAGGACACCCTCATCAGCTGGATGTGGGGGCCTCAGCCTCAGCCCTGAGCAGCCCTGACATGAGGCCCATCCCCCAGGGTTCACTGAGCCCCCCTGACGTCAGGCCCATCCCCAGGGTTTGCTGAGCCCCCTGATTCAGGCCCATCCCCGGGGTTCGCTGAGCCCCCAGCCCGATGGCCGCCCTGTGCCTGCCCCCACTGCACCGGCTGCTTCCTAGCCGTGGCCACCAGAGGCCCAAAGGGCAAGATGAAGGAGACGTGAGGCAGGGTCACGTTCACAAGCACAGGAAGGGCCCAGGAGCGCAGGTGTCAGGGAATCAGGTGGGGAATGTGAAGAATGCTTCGAACGTTCGAGGAAATGAACCACGGAGCCACGGGCAGGCAGCCTCCTCTCCCCGCCTCACCAGCTTGGGCAGGCTCCTCCTGGAGAAGACGCGGCGCGGGCAGCAGAGGTGCAGGTGGCCGGAGCACCAGCTCCGCATGTTGAGCCACTCCACGGTGCGCGCTGGCGCCGGGCCCTCCTCCCTGTGCAGCAGGATCAGCTGCTTCTGGGCACGCACAGCTGTGCTCTCCAGCATCCGCTCCAGCTGAAAGGCAGAGCCCACGTGTCTGCCAGCCGGGTGAGCCTGGGACTCGGGACAGGACGGAGCTGAAGGCCAGCACAGAGGGTCTGAGGGCAGGACCCCGGGAGCAGCTCCTGGGTTCTGCAAAGCAACTTGGCTGTGGCCTGGTCTGCCTTGGCGCTGCCGAAGCTCTGACGGCAGGGGTCCATCCGTCCACTGTGTGCTGGGCAAGGTCAGTACGGCAGGAGGGGGACGCCTCCTCTTTCTGTTTCTCTAACACTGCCTCATAAACACACACAGCAACCTTTCCAAATGAGGTATTTTGCAAACAAACTCTCACAAGGGAGCATCACTAGCTGCAGAACAGGAACATACATCAGAGAGGAGGAATTTTTAGCTGCCCCAGGATTAGCCCAGGCAGGCTTGTGATGAGAACAGAGCAGGGAGCAGAGGAGGGAGACGGGAAATGCAAACTGAAGGCAGGAAGCTGGAGAACACGAACAGGACTGGGTGGCCATGAGCCCGAGGCCTCGCCTGCAGCAATGGCCAGGTGGAAGGAAGCAATCAGGTCAGTGATCTGCTGCCATCTGGGAACCTGCAGACACAGCCTGGGGCCAGCGTCCCGAAGGTGCCTGCAGAAGGCTGTTCCTGTTGGCTGAGGATGCAGAGGCAGAGGGTAAGGCATTCACAAGAGGAAAACTAAGCAGCCAGAAAAAGCAGTGAGAGGAACAGGAACGACGCCGACACCTAAGTGCTGTGGAGAAAAGCAAACTTCAGATGACACAAAATAGGGCACCGTTTACGTAAAAGGTTAGTCCTGGAAAAGGCTTCCCGCACCTGCTGTAAAAGTGCGAAAGGCGGCCGGAGGCTGCGGCTTCACAAGAGGCCACGTGGGGCACCTGCCCTGCTCCGTGCTAGAACCCCTGGAGGTCAATACAGCACCGTGTTTTTAAAACATGGGTAGCAGATATCTGAGTGTTGGCTCTTATCATCTGTCTTTTTCTGAGTTTGTGCAGTATTTTACTCAAAGGAAAAGAGAAACAGGAGGTTCTGAAGAGAGGGCTCTCCCCAGCTCCACCGGCCCTCCCCGTGCTCACCTCGCCCACTGTGGGCTCCTGGTCACCCAGGCCCACGATGAGGATGCAGTCGGCCTGGCGCACGCAGCGCTGGGTCCAGGGTGTGAGCGTGCCATCTGCCTGGTAGAGCACGATCCTGTGGGTGTCCTCCTGCTGCCCCAGCCAGCTGGACAGCCGGTACTCGTGAACACTGCAGCACGCAGAGGGAGTACCTCACTACTCCGCAGGGGCCTGGCACTCTTAGCACATGTCCCCGGGGCAAAGAGGCAGCAGAGGCCAGCACCAGCCGCTGCCCCTTCCCCTCCCTGCCCAGCACTTCCTGCCATCGCTAGTTCGCAGTGAGTTATTCAGGGCCTAGGCAGTCACGCAGAGGCTGCAGTTAAGCCCAGAGGCTGAGGCTCGTTGAGGGGCAGGCTGGGGAGAGTGAGACCCGGGGCTGCCCAGGCGGGAAGCGGGGGCTGGGGTCCCCTGGGAGGCCTGACAGTGCCCAGCAGGTCAGCGCTGCCCAGTGTGTCCAGTGAAGGGAGTCACGTCATCAGCCCTCACACCACAGTGTGCTGGACGAGGAGCACGCTGCAGTGCAGATGCTGGATGTGGACACAGTGGGGACACATCTCAGGGCTGCGTTGGGCCGGCTGGGAGGAAGGAGTCGGGGCTGGCGGCACGCACCTGTCCAGGGCAGCGGAGCCAAGGCGCCGTTTTATGTTGTCACTAGTCAGCAGCAGGGTCGGGCCTGAAAACACCACCACCAGTAACGGAGCCTGCCTGGGCAGCCCACCTCCAACGCCAACAAGGCACCGACACCCAGCAAGGTACCGACGCCGAGCCAGGCACCGACGCCCAGCCAGGCACCAAGGAGGAGGAAGGCAGTGAGAGTCCACTCCCCAACCCCAAGGTCTGCTCCCCTTGAGCACAACTGCCAAGCCTTCTTCACCTGCCAGTGGGGAAGGGCCTGTGGCCTGATGCTACCTCCCATCTGCCCTGAAGGAGGCCTCGGGTAGCCTCTCTGAGCCTCGGTCCCCTCCAGCACGAGCAGCAGTGGAATCTCTGTGTCCTGCCACGTGTGCAGGGCAGGGAAGGCTGTGCGATGGGAGATAACGTAATTTCCAAAACCCAGATCATCGAGGTGCCAGACGCCAAGAGGCCAGGGTCCCCAGTGTTGACATGCCTGTTCGTATGCATCTTCCACATGGGCACGGCTGTCAGGGCCCTTCTCAACCAGGGGCGCCAGTGTCAGCCCTGGCATCACAGCCACCAGAGGCTCAGGGGAGAAGCTAAGATGAGGGGCTCAGCCTGAGGGGGTGCTGCTTGGCAGTGCCGGGTGGGAAAGGACCCAGAGCCCCATGTGTGGGAAGCAGGGAGGTCTAATTCTAATTAAAAGCTAGAGATCGGCTGGGCGCGGTGGCTCACGCCTGTAATCCCAGCACTTTGGGAGGCCAAGGGATCACGAGGTCAGGAGATCCGGTGAAACTCCATCTCTACTAAAAATACAAAACTTAGCTGGGTGTGGTGGCGGGCGCCTGTAGTCCCAGCTACTTGGGAGGCTGAGGCAGGAGAATGGCATGAACTCGGGAGGTGGAGCTTGCAGTGAGCTGAGATCGCGCCACTGCACTCCAGCCTGGACAACAGAGCAAGACTCCATCTCAGAAAAAACAACAACTAGAGATCAGATCAATGTGTCTCGTGCCTTAACTAGCAACATTTGTTTCTTAGAGGCACACAAAATAAGGGCCCCTCTTACAACTGAACTAGAATGCCCCCTGGGCTCAAGAGACAGCTCTGAGCTGAAAATCCAGCCCAATGCTGGTGCGATGTGCAGCAGCCGAAACCTGCTCACTGCTGTGGGACTGCAGCCTGGTGCAGCCTCACTGGAAGTCAGCTTGGTGGTTTCTTCTACAACTAAACATACTCCGACCACAGGATCCAGCAATCATGCTCCTTGGTGTTTACCCAAAGGAACTGAAAACCTCTGTCCACACAGAAGCACGCACACAGGTGTTTACAGCAGCTTCACTCATAATTGCCAAATCCTGGAAGCAGCCAAATGCCCTCCAGTAGATGAACAGATCAACTGTGGTGCGTCCAGGCAGCGGACGATGACTCAGCACCAAAAAGAACTGAGCTCCAGGCCAGGAAAAGGCCAGGAGGAACTTTGCGTGCACGTGACTGAGTGGGAGAAGGCCGTCTGCAGAGGCTACACCGTGTGGTTCCATTTCCATCACTTTCTCAGAATGACAAAATTATAGAGATCGAGAACAGATCCAGGGCTGCCGGCAAGCCGGGGTGCTGGGTGACAACATGGCAGCCACCTGCAGGGTCTCCTCCGTGACAGAGTGGCCCCGTGTGGTGCAGGTCACAGAAACGGCACCCACACCACACTGCACCACACACACCCAGGAGGGCACGGACGGGCTGCTGGGGCCCAAGGGGTCTACAGATGGCGTAAACGCCAACGTCCCGGCCTCGATGTTACCCCCTAAGGCGCTGCCCGTGAAGGAGCCCTGGCGAAGGGCACATGGGGTCTCTCTTTACTATTCCACAATTTCTCCGATCCTATAATTATTTCAAAATAAAGTGGGTTTTTTGTTTGTTTTTGTTTTGACACGGAGTCTTACTCTGTTGCCCAGGCTGGAGTGCAGTGGCACCATCTCAGCTCACTGCAACCTCCACTTCCCGGGGTCAAGCGATTCTCCTGCCTCAGCCTCCCTGGTAGCTGGGACTACAGGAGCCTGCCAACAAGCCTGGCTAATTTTTGTGTTTTTAGTGAGACGGGGTTTCAACATATTGGCTAGGCCGGTCTCGAACTCCTGACCTCAAGTGATCCTCCCACCTCAGCCTCCCCAAGTGCTGGGATTACAGGCGTGAGCCACCACGCCTGGCTTAAAAAGTGTTTTTTAAAGGGAACTAATTTATGTGACGTGGGACAGCTCCACCGCACAACTCGAAGATGTTTCTAAAGGGAACTAGTTTATGTGACGCGGGACAGCTCCACCGTACAACTCGAAGATGTTTTTGGACATACCTGGAATACTCTGACTGATGTCACCGGAAATGAGTAAGATTTTCTGCATATACTGGGAATATGTGTCATGTAACGACGGTCAAGGCCATCAGACAAGGCAATCCATGCTTTATGTGTTTTAAAATTTTGTTTTGAGAGTAACTTTCATTTATTTATTTTTGAGATAGAGTCTTGCTCTGTCACCCACGCTGGAGTGCAGTGGTGCGATCTAGGCTCACTGCAACCTCTACCTCCTGGGTTCAAGCGATTCTCCTGCCTCAGCCTCCCACATAGCTGGGATTACAGGCATTTCCACCACCACGCCCAGCTAATTTTTGTATTTTTAGTAGAAACGGGGTTTCACCATGTTGGCCAGGCTTGTCTAGAACTCCTGACCTCAAGTGATCCACCCGCCTCGGCCTCCCAAAGTGCTGGGATTACAGGCATGAGCCACCGCACGTGGCTGAGAATAACTTATAAGTATTCGATGTTTATAGTAGCATCTTTCTATATTATAAATTTTTTGAATGTATTGTTTTCTATTACCAAATGTCTGTATCAGGAGGGAGCATTTTCACATGGTTCTGAAATACTCTTGTCACAATATATTGTTTTATAATAATTATACAACATTCATTGCATTTATTATTATTATTATTTGAGACAGAATCTTGCTCTGTCGCCCAGGCTGGAGTGCAATGGTGTGTGATCTTGGCTCACTGCAACCTCTATCTCCCGGGTTCAAGCGATTCTCCTGACTCAGCCTCCCCAGTAGCTGGGATTACAGATGCGCACCACCACGCCCAGCTAATTTTCGTATTTCTAGTAGAGATGGAGTTTTACCATGTTGGCCAGGCTGGTCTTGAACTCCTGACCTCGGCCTCCCAAAGTGCTGGGATTACAAGCATGAGCCACCGCGCCCGACCGCATTCATTATTATTGCATTATTTTGCCAAGACAACACTGAAATTTTTAGCATAACCTTAAACCCACAGAAAACTGACTTCCTGTCTATCATCATGGTCCCTATCATCACATGAAAACTTGTAAATAAAATGTTGCAAAGAATATAGAATAACTTAGAATTTTGAGAGTTCTCAGGAAATTCAATTCCTTGCCCTTGAATCCCCAAATTTAACAGCTGCCAGCAATTTGGAAACACTACCGAACACTGACCCCAACTGAGCCCTGCCCACCCACCGCCGCGTCCCCTCGAAGACAGAGGGCAGCCGGCAGGCGCCCTCCACCAGGCCCAGAACCCAAGGATGGCTGGAGGCTGGGAGGCTCAGGCTTACCGATGGCGCTGAGGGCATGCTCCAGCTCCAGGGCGAAGGCGGTGAGGGGCACTTCCTCTGACACGGGCATCACTGCCACCGTGGACAGGTTGACAGCCGGGTTCCCCAAGTCCCACTTGCTGCCCTCCGTGGGGAGCCCAAGCTGGTGGCCTGTGGAGCAAAGGACCCACGTCAGCTGGGACAGCCCACACGCTCACAGATGCCTCCAGATGCCCTGGGGCCCCCCGAGGCTGCACAGGAGCAACGCAGCAGCACCAGAGGCCGCCTGGCCCTCCCGCCTCCCCAGTCCTGAGGCTGCCTGGCCCTCCCGCCTCCCCAGTCCTGAGGCTGCCTGGACCTCGCGCCTCCCCAGTCCTGAGGCTGCCTGGACCTTGCGCCTCCCCAGCCCTCAGGGGCTGCCTGGACCTCATGCCTCCCCCAACCCTCAGAGGCTACCTGGGCCTCACGCTGTCCCCAGCCATGTGGCTGCCTAGGCCTCACGCCTTCTCCAGGCCGGAGGCTGTCTTGGTCTCACGCCTTCCCCAGCTCTTCCTGATGAGCTGCCAGTCCACACCTGCAAGCGTCCCCAGGCCCCACACAGCAGGTCTGACCAGCACTGGTCCAGGCCCAGGCCCAGGGAGTGGATTCCTCCTGACCCACCAAAGACAGTGATTCACGGAGCGACTGAAAGGAATGTGAGGCTCAGAGTAAACCAGACAAACGCTGCAGGTGAGGCCTCATCGGAGTAAACCAGACAAACGCTGCAGGTAAGGCCTCACTGGAGTAAACCAGACAAACGCTGCAGGTGAGGCCTCATCGGAGTAAACCAGACAAACGCTGCAGGTGAGGCCTCATCGGAGTAAACCAGACAAACGCTGCAGGTGAGGCCTCATTGGAGTAAACCAGACACACTCTCCAGGTGAGGCCTCATCGGAGTAAACAAGACATACTCTCCAGGTGAGGCCTTATCCTCTGAACCAATCGTCGCAGGGCTTTCCACCACTCACTCCAGGAACAGTAAACAACACACGGGCTAGACATCAATAGGCCCGTTTCTCTTGTCTGTCATCTGCAAGGGATTCCAGAAACCAAGGAAGCACAGCGCAGCCCTGGGAAGCCTGGGCCAGGCCCTGGAGACCCCGGAGACGCGAGTGAGGGTGTCAAGGCAGACCAGGCTTTCCTCTCCCTGAGACTGGAGCCTCCAGGGCCCACCAAGGGGCCCGCCCAGACAGGCAGGACCCTCTCCCTGGGCCCCATGTGGGCTGAGGGGCCCCTCGGCCAGCACAGTGGCAAGGACATGGACCAGGGGGTCTGGGACTTGAGAGTCCCCCAGAGGGTCCCAGGCCCTCTTTACTGGATGCCGTCTGGCGAGTGGCATCTCTGCTTCCACAGAAGAGGTTGAGGGGACGGCCTCACTGCTCCTGAGGCCACCGCGCCACCAGCCACGCTCCTGCCCACGAGGGTCTCCTGCATCTAGGTGCCGTGGATGCTCCTCCTCTGCAGTCCCCGTGGCCCAGCCCTCTCACAGGCTGTCCCCTGGCCTATGTCTCCCGTCCCCAGTGAGGTGGCTTCCAAAATCCACCAGACACGCAGGTCCTGATTGGCCAAGGTCAGAGTAAGGGGACGCGGCATGGTGAGGGAAGAGGCCAGGAGAGCAAGCCTGGGGACACAGAACCAAGTGAGGGCTTAAGGGCCACTCCCTGCAGACGGCGGCCAGCGGACACCTGCAAGATCCTGGGATGCACACGGCGCCGTGGCAGCACTGCGGGTAAGAGCCTGTGAACGGGGAACATGGCTCGGAGAACCAGCGCACAGCCGGCAATCATGTGCTCACAGGAAAATAGCTGATGACGTGCTGCTGAGCAGGAAAGCTGCAGAGTGGTTTATAAATGTGATTCCATTATTAAATAAATACTCAAGGCCTCCCAAAAGAAAAACACCCGTACCTGTATGCAGGCAGAAACAGATAAATGATGCTGCCCATCCCACATCCCGAATGAGTGTCCAAGACTCACACAGCCCCAGATCCTCCCTCGGACTCGGCCCCCACCTCCGGCCCCAGGCTCCTACCCGACCCACCAAAGCTCAGTCCCCGCCCTCAGTCCAACTCAGCACCGGGAGCCCTGGGCCTCCACCGCCCAGCCTTGGGGTGGCTTCAGCCGCCTGCTTGAGAGGACGCTCTGTGCACAGTGGCCGGAGCTGGCCTTCGACGCCCAAGTCTGCCCGGAGCCTTTTTTGCTCAAAGCCCCTGGTGCCCCTCCCCACTCAGAACAAGCCAGAGTCTGCAGCCTCAGCCCATCTGCGGTCCCTGAGAGCTGCTGGTGACCCCCACACCACACAGCTCTCTTCCTGGCCCCAAGGGTCCTGACCTCCTCAGGGAGCGCTGCCCCACCACCTGCGTGCCCCTGCCCCTCCCCCCGCCCTTCTGAGCCATCTCTTTTGCCTTCTTGGTCCAATTTCATCCCTGACCCAACTCGACTGCAGCTCTAGGAGAAGGTTCTTTCCTGACTGGCTTCCTGAGCACGGTGCCAGCTTCCGACAGGGCCCAGTGCTTGGTTGGCCCCAGCAGGTAAGCCAGGGATGGACGGTTGCGTGCTGCGCACCGGCTGCCAAGGGCTCAGTGTCCAGTGCCCATCTCTGCCTGGAGGTTGCAAAGCCCAGCTGCATCCCCAGCTGTTCACAGACCGCACCCAGCTTCTGCCAAGGGCTGTGACCAAGCAGCGCTGGAGACGTGCAGAGGCATCCACACCGGGCCCTGGTCGGGATAAGCGCTTGGAGCTGAGTGGCCCAAAGTGCCGGCCTGGAGTGCAGGGCTGGCCAAGTGTCGCCGTGGGGCTCATGGACCCCTGGAGGGGACCCCAGCCCTGGAGTAAATACCCAAACCGGCAGCCCCAGTAAAGGACCCTGCCTGACGCATGTGCAGCTGTGTCTGTGCAGGAAAAGAACCGGGGCACTGGCGCCTCAGCACCACCTGAGCAGCTGTAAGAGGGAGGCGCCCACGTCTTCATCTCGTGCCTGGGGGCTCTTAGGTCTTTTTGCAGCCTACACAGCCTTTGTGATAAAACTCCACAATGACAGACAAGAAAAATGAAGCAAAATAAAACCCTCCACACGTGTTCCTCCTGGCAGCCTCTGCTCCTCTGGGGGAACCAGCCACACCGGCACGGAACCGGCTGTGCCAGCCACAGAGCCTCCAGTTCTACCCAACCCCAGCTGGCCCCCGAGAGGCCGTCCCATCCAGCCTCCACCTGCCTGTCAGGGGCATCTCAGGAGCCTGGGCCACCACCACAACCTGGCACGCCCTGCGAGGTGTCCCCAGCATCACCTTCACCGCACGCACTTCAGCCCCTCACTGCAGCTGAGCCTTGGCCACACGGGAGGAGCGGGGGACTCAGGCCCAGATGATGTGTCTCCGCCTCTAGGCGCTGAGTGGAAGGCAGGTGGCTTCTATAATCAGGAGGAAATAACTCCCAGATAGCAAACAAACAATGCACACACACACCAAAGTGCTGCTGAGCACAGAAAGACGGAGAACCGCCTCCTCATCCTGAGCTTCGGCCTGAACGCTGCTCTCGTGGTCTGATGTCTCGTCCCGAGCTTCACTTGCAGTCTGATGTCTCGTCCCGAGCTTCGGCCCGAACGCGGCTCTCGCGGTCTGATGTCTCGTCCCGAGCTTCGGCCCGAACGTGGCTCTCTGATGTGGATTTATTTTTATTTTTCCTGCAGCTTTTCCTTGGGAATCCCTTTCCTCTCGCCTCTCCAGGGACTGAGGTGTCAGAGTCCTCATTTGAGGCGGAATGGGGGAGGCCATTGCTAGTTCCATATGGCCTTAGCCTTGGGAAAAAGCACTGGTGAGGTTCTGGCTCTGGGCCAGAAGGGAGGTGGAGCAGACACAGGCCACCTGTCACCAGTCATGATCAGAGAGGGACAGAGCTCGAGGCAGCTCTCGCAAGACTCCAAAGGATGGAGAGGAAGGCAGGCTGGCCGGGGACCTCGGACTCATGGAGGAACCACTTGACTCAGGCCAAGAAAGAAGCAGAGTCTGCTTCCCAGCCACATGGCTGCCACAGACGGAGGGGTCTGTCCCTCCCTCCCCATGGGAGCTGCCTCTAGGGACACTGACTGGCACCAAGCAAGCACCAGCAGACATCCCCCCCCAACTGTGCACCCCCCGACCAGCCAGCATCCTCCCAACTGTCCACCACCCACAGCAGGAAACCTCTTCACCAACTGTCCACCGCCCACACCAGCAGACATCCCTCCAACTGTGCACCCCCTGACCAGCAGACATCCCTCCCAACTGTGTACCCCCTAACCAGCAGACATCCCAACTGTCTACTCACTGACCAGCAGACATCCCCCCAACTGTGCACCCTCTGACCAGCAGACATGCCTCCCAACTGTGTACCCCCTAACCAGCAGACATCCCAACTGTCTACTCACTGACCAGCAGACATCCCCCCAACTGTGCACCCGCTGACCAGCAGACATCCCTCCCAACTGTGCACCCCCTGACCAGCAGACATCCCCCCAACTGTGCACCCCTGCAGAGAAAGCAGAGGAGGCCCCACCTCCTGCCAACTAGAGGTAGGAGATCAAGAAAGCCTCGAATCTGTAATGAAGACGCAGCCTGTGCCAGGGTCAGGTGTTCGGGTCTGAGAGCTGAAGATGGCGCAGAATGCAGCCTTCACACTGGGCCTGGGCAGCACCTAGTAGGCAGACCAGGGTCAGTTCACGTTCAAACCACACTCCACAAACGTTGGCCAGGACATGCCCTGTGAATACAAGCACACTAACAGTGAAAATTGAAGACTTAAATGGGAACCAGAGTCTCATAGCCTAACACTCAAAACATCAGGACACAAAATCCACAGTGACCAGGATGGGTCCACAGTGACCAGGCCACATCCATGGTGACCCAGTATGCCAAGAGCAAGGAGGATCTGAACCAGAGGAGTAAAAACAATCCACAGATAAAAACGACCGCATGTCACAGACGGAATTATTTCTCCAGGACGATAAAGCTGTTATCATTACCAGCTAGAACCAGCAATCCTGAACACTCCTGAAACAAAGACAAAGAGAGAACGTCCTAGCAAAGAAACAGGAGGCACACAGAAGAACCAAAACACGATGACAGAACATTTTTTTAAAACTCTCTGATAGGCCTCAAAGCAGAATCGAGATGACAAAAAGCCAAAGATCCTGAAGATAGATCAAAAGAAACAATTCCATCTTAACATCAGAGAGAGAAAAAAAAGGTTTAAAAAATGAGCAGTGCCCCAGAGACCTTGGGGACAATAACGCGAGGTCTAACACTTGTGCCACTTTATTTCCAGAAGAGGTGGAGGGGCACACGAGTGGAAGAATCGTTTGAAGACATATAGACTGAACACTTCCAAAATGTGTTAAAAGCTATAAACCTACGGGTCCAAGACGAAGAAACCCCAAACAGGACAGATCCAAAGTATTCATGCTCAGACACTTCCAAATCACATTTCTGAAAACTAAAGACAGAGAAAAACACCTTTTTGTGTGTGTGTTTTGAGGCAGGGTCTTGCTCTGTTGACCAGGCTGGACTGCGGTGGCGCGATCATAGCTCACTGTAACCTCGAACTCCGAGGCCCAAACGATCCTCCCACCTCAACCCTCTGCATAGCTGGGACGACAGGTGTGTGCTAACATGCCTGGATCATTTTTCAAATTTTATTCATAGAGACAGGGTCTCACTATGTTGCCCGGGCTGGTCTCGAACTCTTGGGCTCAAATAATCCTCCTGTCTCGGCCTCCCAAAGTGCTGGGATGAGGTGTAAGACACTGTGCCTGGTCAAAACATTCTTGAACACAGCTAGAGAGAAATGATGCGTTACCTACTGGAGAACATCTGGATACCTGGATCCTTCATGAGAAGCAACAGAGGCCATGAGGAAGTGGCACAAGATTTTTAAAGTGCTGAAATACTTTGTATTTCTGCCAAACCAGAATTATACATCCAGCAAAAGCACCCTTCAGCATGAGGGTGACATGGAGATATTCTCAGATTCTCAGATGAGGGAAAGCAAGCGGATCTGCAGCCATCAGACCTTCTCTGAAAGAACCGCTAACCACAATTCTTCAACAGCAAGGAGACGAGCCCAGAAGGAAACCTGAGATGCCGCAAATGAAAGAAGAGCAGGAGGACGGTGACCCTGGGTGAACATCACAGACTATTCTCCTAAGTTTTAAAAATCATGTTTGATGGCTGAAAGCGAAAGTTGTAGCCCTGTGTTTTTGGGGCTACAGTTTGACAAAATTACAGAGGTAATAGTTAAGACAACCACATCATAAAGGGGGAAGGATGAAGTGACTGAACAATGGTGAGCTCTCCACATTCCACTTAAAGTGCTGAGATGTGGCTGTCAGTAGACAAGGATAAGTTAGGTATGGATAACGTCATCGCTAGAGTAACCACTGAAAATGTCACATGAAGAGACATCATGGAAACCACAGTTGATAATTATAATGGAATACTCAAAAAAGTTCAAGTAACATAAGAGTAGACAGAAAAGCTGGGCGCAGAGGCTCACAGCTGTAGTCCCAGCTACTCAGGAGGCTGAGGGGGGGGGAATCACTTGACCCCAGGAGTTAGAGGCTGCAGGGAGCTATGATTGCACTTGTGACTAGCCACTGCACTCCAACCTAGACAAAATAGCGAGACCCCATCTCTAAATAAAAAGAGAAAATACAGTAGTGTTTAACAACAGTGGGGGGCGTGAGAACAGAAAAAACAACAAAATGGAAGACGTAACAGAATAATTACACTAAGTATCTACAGTCTAAACACACAAAAGATAAAGATTGTCAGAAGGGATGAGGAACACATGATCCAACCGGACACCTTCTACAAGAAACTCACTTCAAAACTCACGGTGCCGGTAAGTGGAGAGCGAAGAGTCACATTACGTTACGTGTTAGACAGTGTCCCCCAAAATTCACAGTGCAGGTAAGTGGAGAGTGAAGAGTTACATTACGTGTTAGTGTCCCCCCAAATTCATGTCTACCCAGAACCGCAAAATGTGACCTTATTTGGAAACGGTTTTGCAGAGGAACTCAGATGAAGATGGGGTCACCCTAGAGTGGGGCTCACACTTCGCTGCCTCTGTGTGGCCCTCTGTGCATCCATCCGCTTCTTGGACAGACGTTCAATGCTGTGCACACGTCACTGTGTGAACACAGACGCAGGCTCCTGCTCCCAGCCAGCTCACACGCCAATGCCAGAGGCAGGTGACAGGTCATGCAATGTGTCGGGGGTGACAAGCACAGAGAAGAAAAAGGAAGCGGAAAGGGAGCTGAGAGTGCTGGGCGGATGGGGAGGCCAGGGAGGCTGTGCTGAGACGGAGATGCAGGACACGCGGGAGCAGCCAGGCTCTTCTGAGGGCTCCAGGCAGAGAGCAGCAGGCACAGAGGCAGAAGGCAGGAGAGAGGAGCTCCCAGAATGGCAAGGGGATCTGGGGTCAAATGCTGTCCAGCAGAGATAAAGGGTCAGAGTCCTTGAGTATGTGGGACCTGGTGAGAGAGGACAGCCTGAGAGCTAACAGTGGCTCCAGAAAAAAGTACACCTCAGAACTAGGAAAGAATGAATATGCTGGAG
Organism: Homo sapiens; assembly: GCF_000001405.40. NCBI lineage: Eukaryota > Metazoa > Chordata > Mammalia > Primates > Hominidae > Homo > Homo sapiens. The sequence continues at coordinate 137,492,196 of NC_000009.12, forward strand.
CAGGGAAAACTAAATTCCCCACACTCTAGAATGGTCTCATTATCTTTCCATGCTGAGCACAGGAGAGAGAGCACTCTCCGCTCCACCAATACCGTTTCCGGAGGTTTCACCCTGTTTCCTTTTTCCAATCAGCTGACAAAAATAGGAGGGAGATATATCACATTTCATCTTTTCACATATAGCAGAGCTTTCCTCCAGTGCTGCCCACATTGAGATACAGTTTGAAAAAAATTACTGGGCTCGGGTGGGCGGGGCTCTGAGGTAGGTGGGACCATGGGTGGGCGGGGCTCCAGCACAGGGGAGGGGCATGGGCGGGTGGGTGGGGCTCCAGCACAGGGCGGGGCCATGGGCGGGTGGGTGGCCGGGGCTCCAGCACAGGGCAGGGCCGTGGGCTGGGTGGGTGGGGCCCCAGGATAGGGCAGGGCCCATGAGCTGGGTGGGTGGGACTGCACGACAGGGCAGGGCCATGGTCTGGGTGGGTGAGGCTCCAGGATGGGGTGGGGCCATGGGCTGGGTAGGCAGGGCTCCAGAACAGAGCAGGGCTATGGGCTGGGTGGGCCGGGCTTCATGACAGGGCAGGGCCATGGGCTGGGTGGGCAGGGCCATGGGCTGGGTGGGCTACGGCTCTGGGACTAGGTGGGGCCATGGGCTGGGTGGGCAGGGCTTCATGACAGGGAAGGGCCATGGACTGGGTGGGCAGGGCTCCAGGACAGGGCGGGGCCATGGGCTGGGAGGGCGGGGCCATGGGCTGGGTGGGCGGGGCTCCAGGACTGGGTGAGGGCTCCCAGGAGGCTCTGGGTTGGGAGAGGTGACCCACCTGTCACAGGTCCCTGCTGGAGGCTGCCCAGGATCTTCTCACCCAAGAGATGAATCAGCCGAGTCACCACCTGCGGGCAGACACAGGAGCCAAGAGCCACACGTTTTAAACTGAGAAACACTGGGAACCAAAGACAGTGATGCTCAACAACAGCGAGACTCAGCCAATGGCGCTGGATCTGCTTTTCAAAACCTCCATGAACTGAGTTGCACATGACTCACAAGCCACGTGCTGGGCCATGGCTGTTTAGGCCTTGCAGCCTTCTTGATGCCCAGGTAAGCCATACGGCTGCCTTTCTGGTTGCCAGGCCAGCAGGTACAAGGGGTATGTCCTCTGTGACCGTGAGCCCAGGCCAGCCTCTCACTCTCACTTCAGGGCAGGCAGACAACTCCAAGCAAGCCACCCACGACCCTGAAGGCAGGACAAGGGCAGGCTGGCAGGCTTCTCTGGAACTGAGGGCTCATTGTGGCTGTTGCTTCTGGGTGCCAAGCCTGCTTCAGGGCACGGTTGGGGACATTTGTCCTGACTGGACCAAACGGTCCCCACACCAGGGGTTGCTGGCTTGCAGGGACCCTGCCCAGGGGCTGACTGTACAGCAAAGCTGGCCCCACAACAGCGGACCCACTGGCTTCACCCGCACTGTCCCCCAGAAGCTGCTGGTTGGATGGAGCCCTGCAGCGGCCTCTAAAGGGTGGGCCAGGGCTCCTGCTCCGAGGCGCTCATGAGAACGAGGCCCACCCTGCAGGCCAGGACAAAGATGGAGGAGTGGCCTGGCTCCCTGCTGTTCCCAGCAACTGTGGCTGCCACCCTGGAGCCTGCTGGCCCTGTGAGCTGCACTCACATGCTCCGCCAGGCTCTCCTGGTCCATAAGTGGGCAAGTACAGCAAGCGCCAGGACCTAGGATCTGCGGGCAGGAGAACCAGGATCCAGGAGCTGCGGGCAGGAGAACCATGGCCCAAGAGCTTTGAGTGGGAGAAGCGCTACCTGAGGGGAGGCGGTGGAGGGAGGGCAGTGGTGGCCTCTCAGGATGAGCCCCAGGGGTGGTGAGAGGCACTGGCCGTAAAAGGCCCTGCAACATGCTGTGGGCCACACCTGCACCCCCTTTCCATTTGTTCTAGAATGAAAAACTTCTTGGGATCCGTGTGCTGGCTGATGAACAACTGCAGACCTGCCCTTCAGGCCCCTCTGCCGGTCCTTCCTGGGCGCTCTCCTCACCGCTGACCCTGCACTTCCGAGCAGCCCGCCCTGTCCTTCTCCAGATCTCAGAGTGAGAGTCACTTCCCTTTCCTCTGCCACACCCACATCACTCATGAGTAGAGAGGCCACCAAGAAGGCAGCTGCACGACTGTCCTGGGAAGCAGCCTGGGCGCCTCTCCAGGTTTCCTGCTCACCGTCACCGCCCCCACCCAGCTGGGCTCTAATCTTCACCTCCTCCAGGTCGTTTTCCATCCATGTGTAGGTAGACCGAATGATCACCACAACTCAGGGCACAGTTTGGGACATGGCCTGTGCCACCCTCACCCGCACCACCCTCACCCGCGCCCTCACCTGCTCTGCGCCCTCACCTGCTCCGCACCCTCACCTGCGCCCTGCCCTCACCTGCTCCGTGACCTCATCCACTCCGCACCCTCACCTGCTCCGCGCCCTCACCTGTGCCCTGCCCTCACCTGCTCCATGACCTCATCCACTCTGTGCCTTCACCTGCTCTGCGCCCTCACCAGCTCCGCACCCTCACCTGCGCCCTGCCCTCACCTGCTCCGTGACCTCATCCACTCCGCACCCTCACCTGCGCCCTGCCCTCACCTGCTCCGTGACCTCATCCACTCTGCACCCTCACCTGCGCCCTGCCCTCACCTGCTCCGTGACCTCATCCACTCCGCGCCTTCACCTGCTCTGCGCTCTCACCTGCTCCGCGCCCTCACCTGCTCTGTGCCCTCACCCGCTCCGCCCTCACCTGTTCCATGCCCTCATCCACTCCACACCCTCATCCGCTCCGCATCCTCACCCACGCCATGCTCACCTGTGGGTACCTGCGCTTGATGGACGTGAGGGCTCCTGCCGGCAGCTTGGCCAATTCTGAGTCCCGAACGGCATGCACCGTGGTCGCCCGGGCCTGGTGGGTCAGTGTCTCCACCTGAGGACAGGAGCCGGCTGCTGGGGCCGCGGGCTTGGGAGGGCCGAGCCAGCTGGACCTGTCCCTGACAGCCTCCGGTGCCTGCCAGAGCCACACATGACACCCCATCCACACCGCAAGGCGGAGGCAGTCAGTGAGTGCTGGCGGGCGACGCTGTCAGAACCACTGGAACATGCCAGAAGCCAAAGGTGCCCCCTAGCAACCCAGGCAAATTGCAGACACAGGCATTGGACACCACAGGCTGGAACAAGGGCAGCCTCAGCTCTCCCGAAGAAATAAATGCCTTTGGAGAACACCTCTTTTTTTTTTTTCTTGGAGACGGAGTCTCATTCTGTCACCCAGGCTGGAGTGCAGTGGTGCGATCTCGGCTCACTGCAAGCTCCACCTCCTGGGTTCACGCCATTCTCCTGCCTCAGCCTCCCGAGTAGCTGTGACCACAGATGCCCACCACCACGCCCGGCTAGTTTTTTTGTATTTTTAGTAGAGACGGGGTTTCACCATGTTAGCCAGGATGGTCTCGATCTCCTGACCTCATGGTCCGCCGCCTCGGCCTCCCAAAGTGCTGGGATTACAGGCGTGAGCCGCCGCGCCCGGCCTGGAGAACTCCTCTTTTTAAGATGTGTCCCTCAGCCTGCGGGAGCCCTGCCCTCTGGCACTGAGGCCTCCCTGCCGGCATCCGGCCTGGAGTGTGAGCCTTCATCCGGTGGATGGAGCTGGAACCACCAGGCTGCACATAAAGCCAAGCAGAGGCCCAGGGCCTGCTGAGCCATCGGAGCGCGGGACTCTGATGGGAAGACCTTCGGCCCTGGCAGAGCTGAGGCGAGGCGGTGCTGGAGCACACTGACAGAGTTCCCATCAGCCCCGGGCAAAACACGGAGCAACACGGCACCTCCGACCTCAGAGGCTGCCTGAAGGCCACGCTGTCCCCAGGGGAGGGCACCTAGGCCTCCCCACACACTGTTTTTTTTTTTCAGACGGAGTTTAGTTTTTTTTTGTTTTTTTTTTTTTGAGATAGAGTTTAGCTCTTACTGCACAGGCTGGAGTGCCGCCTCCCAGGTTCAAGCGATTCTCCTGCCTCAGCCTCCCGAGTAGCTGGGATTACAGGCACCCGCCACCACACCCAGCTAATTTTGTATTTTTAGTAGAGACGGGGTTTCTTCATGTTGGTCAGGCTTGTCTCGAACTCCCAACCTCAGGTGGTCCACCCACCTTGGCCTCCCAAAGTGCTGGGATTACAGGCGTGAGCCACCACACCTGGCCACACTGGTTTAAAACTTAACACAGTCTGGGAGCAGTGGCTCACGTCTGTAATCCTAATACTTTCAGAGGCTGAAGTGAGTGAATCACCTGCGGTCGGGAGTTGGAGACCAGCCTGACCAACATGGAGAAACCCCATCTCTACTAAAAATACAAAATTAGCCGGGCGTGGTGGCGCACACCTTTAATCCCAGCTACTCCGGAGGCTGAGGCAGGAGAATCTCTTGAACTCAGGAGGCGGAGGTTGCAGTGAGTTGAGATCGCGCCACTGCACTCCAGCCTGGGCAACAAGAGTGAAATTCCGTCTCAAAAAACAAAACAAAACAAAACAAAACAAAAACACAAATCGGCAGAAGCCCCAGGCCGTGGCACCTTGGAGCTGGGCAGCCCCCCACTCGCTCAGGATGCAGGGGCCTGCTGTGAGACCCAGACCAGCTGTAGTTGCTCCTGTGGAACCCCAGACCAAAGGCAGCTCCTGCTGCTACCAGCCCTCAAGAGACACCCAAGGCATCTGGGCCAGTGCTCCCAGATGCCAGGATAGGTGCCTGGGAGTCCCCCACAGAGGCAGAGCCTGGGGATCACAGCAAAGCAGCCGCGGGGAGTCCCCCCAATGGAGGCAGAGCCCGGGGCTCACAGCAAAGCGGCTGCGGGGCATCACTACTACCATCCACTCCTGGGGCTTTTGCTCCCAAGTAACTGGCCAGGCCACACCCAGGCCAGAACCCAGGATGCTCTGGGAGGGATGCAGAGGTGGGGGAGGCAGGAGCAGGGCCCAGCACCTACCACGCCGACGAGGTCTCCTCGGCCGTACTCCCCGGCCAGGCGCTTCTTCCCATCATCCTTCCGGATCACAGAGCGCAGCCGGCCGCTGAGCATGATGTACGTGCAGTCGGACTTGTCCCCCTGCCTGCGGAAGACACAGAGGCCCTGCAGCCCTGGGCCCCCAGCCTCAGCCTCCACACCCAGCTTCCCAATGCCAGACAGACTCAGGATGGAGAAAAAGAAAATGCAGGCTTCTCACTATCTTATTTTTGTTTTGGAAAACATATTTTTTATTTTAAAATATTTATGTTAACAGGCCTGGGTTGTTTTAAATGAATATTCTAAAATTGTCTTGGTTTTAATTATTATTATTATTTTTTGAGACGGAGTCTCGCTCTGTCGCCCAGGCTGAAGTGCAGTGGCACGACCTCGGCTCACTGCAACCTCCACCTCCCAGGTTCATGTGATTCTCCTGCCTCAGCCTCCCAGGTAGCTGGGATTATAGGCGCACACCACCACGCCCAGCTAATTTTTGTATTTTTAACAGAGACAGGGTTTCACCCATGTTGGCAAGGCTGGTCTCAAACTCCTGACCTTGTGATCCACCCACCTTGGCCTCCCAAAGTGCTGGGATGACACGCGTGAGCCACCACGCCCAGCTAATGGGGCCCTTTTAAAGGGACGGTGTGGACTTGAATATAATGACACGGAGAGATGCTCATAGAACATGGACTATGTCCAAGCGTGTGTGGGTGTCATGAAATCCAGGAGGCCACGAAGTGTGTTTCCGAGCTAAGCTGGGGTGGGGCTGGGGAAATCCAGCCTTCCATGTGTGGTTTCCACAGTAACTTCCGTGTGTGGTTTCCACGGTAACCGTGCTTTGCCCATCCCCAGCTCCTGCATGCCAGGGCAGCATGGATGCGGAGTGTGTGGCACCCACGGCCTCACCTGTATATTGCTCGCCCGGCCTCCACCTCCACCCAGTCCAGGGCAAAGTCGATTTGCCGCACGAAGGACGACATCCTCTTCACCACAGTGTGCGCCACACCCAGGACGACGGTCGGCTGCTTCCGCATGATTCTGCCGGGCAGCCCAGAGTCAATCCTGCCCCATCCCTCCAACCCTACCCTTCGCCCAGGGCCGCAGTGCTCGGGAATGGATGGGACCCACAACCCCCACCCCACCCGGAAAGTAGAGAGACCACTGGCAGGGGCTGGGACGGGGCACGCACCAGTCAGCTGCCTGCCCCACGGCACAGCACTGCCCACCACGTGCCCAGTGGCCAGCAGCTGTTGGGGAGCCCAGAGAGCCCCCTCCTGGCAGGCCCGCGAGTGCCCCTTGGACACGGGCCCTGTGTCAGGCTGCGGTCCTGGCAGGGGACTGCACATGCCGTCAGGAGCTGCATAATGCACACTCGGGCCGTGGGTGTGGCTGGCAGTGAGTGCCGTGAAGGGCACCAGCAGGCAAAGGCAGAGGCTGAGAGACCCATGGGGCCTGGATAGCACAGGGTCTCTCCTGGGTGGGTGGAGGGTGGCTGGGGCCTCTGACCCGGGGAACACTGTTCTCTCCCCGGTGGTCGTGTGTGGACAGACTGTCGAGGGTGAGGGCTGCAGCAGGGACGTGCCCAGGGGCTCTGGGCAGTGGCGAGGTGGGACGTGGGGCAACCTGCACCAGGTGTGAGAGTGACGCCGGGCGACTCCAGGCCTAGCCTGAGCCACAGGCAGGTGGAGCTGCCATTTCCTCAGAAGGCAAAAGCAGGAGGAAGAGCAAACGTGGAATCAGGATCTGCTTTGCACAGGAGGTGGGGGAAGCTGGGGAGATGGCAAGACAGTGGCTGGGTGAGGGCGTGAAGGGCGTGAGCGTGGCACTTAGAGCCCTGGGGGTGGAGGAGGAGCCCTGGGATGCTGGCTGGGGTGACGGCTGCAAGGCACACCATGCACGGACACACAGGCAGACACACAGACACACACAGACACACGGAGACAGAGACACTCGCAGACACACGGACACACGGAGACACACGGACACAGGCAGACACACAGGCACACCGAGACACACACAGACACACAGACACACACAGACACAAGGAGACACACATGGACACATGTAGACACAGAGACAGACACACGGACACATGCAGACACATGGAGACACACAGAGACACACGCAGACACACGACACACGCAGACACACAGATAGACACACAGCACGGGGGGACTGAGCTGCATTAAGGCTGAGGGCCCTGAGCTCTGCCCTGGGTGGTTCCTGTCCCTGCTCTTCGCCATCCGTCCTGATCTCCCTGGCACTGATGTGGAGCAGCTGGGGATGCTCAGGAGGGAGATGGGTCCAGCTCCACCCAGGGTCCCCTGCTGGTGGAGGGACCGGGACTTGGAGCCTCAGTCTCCCCATCAGCACGCTGCGGTGTCAGGGCACCCGGCATCGGGACCTGGCTGGAGCCACTCAGGCCAGGCCTGGAAGACAGAGGCCATGCAGAAAGCCCTTCCCAACTGGGCCAGGGCCCCGCTGCCCCCACCCCTGCCCCTTGCCCGGCTCGGGGTCCCCAGGCTGAAGCAGCAACGGCGCGGTGCCATTTGCTGGATTACAGGCGTGAGCCGCTGCACCCAGCCGACCTGTTTTCTTCAGCTGCTGTGCTTCCACTGACCTTCAGGCTTCTGACCTCTCCTGCTGCCCAACCACTCAGGCAGAAGAGCTCTGAGACCACAGCAGACATCTGGCCTATGAGGGTGCGGAGGACTTCCAGAAAACACACACAGAACGGCTCAAGCCACCAGAGGCGAGAGCTGGGGTTAAACTGAACCCCAGGCTCCAGGAGATTCTGGACCTGACAGAGCAGAATGCCCAGTGCCGTGGATGCAAAGACGTGGCGGCTCTGCCAGGCAGCCACAGGCGGGCCGAGGGCAGCTCTGGGCCTGGAGGGGCCAAATCTGAGACTTACGGGCTGGGGTCAAGTGGACAGATGTCTTCCAGCCCGGAGCCTGGAAGGCGACACGGGCACATTCTGCCCCAAGAAGGGACACACGTCAGTGGGGCTCCTCCCCCGAGCCAGAGACGCGTCCTCACCCACTGCCTTGCCCTTCCACCTCCGCATCACTGGCTCCCGACACGTCAGCCCAGGCTGCAGAGGTGGGACGGCTCACGGCCCCTGAAGCCCGGCCCTGCCCCAACGTGGGCCTTGCTGAGCCAAGCTGGGGAGCCCCAGAACTGACCAGTGATAAATGGACACGGCTGAGACCAGACCACAGACCAGTGATAAATGGACACAGCTGGGACCAGACCACAGAGACGGCCGTGCGAAGCTGATCGCTGCGGGCAGGTGGGGTCGGCTGACTGAGCGCTGGAGCAGGGGGCACAGACCTGGGCCCACACAGGTGCCGGGGACAAAGAGGGGAGCCCGAGAAGCAGGGAAGAGGGTGAGAGCACCAGGAAGAGGCCGGCCACGCGGGGAGGGGTCTCAGGGCAGGGGGGGCTGGGGCCCGCCCTGAGGTCCTGGCCCGTGGGACTCACTCATAGAAGTGGGCCTTGGAGATGGACAGGAAGCTGCAGTCCCTGTTGGCCTTGACGGTGAAGATGAGAGGCTCCCCGGTGAGCACGGCCAGCTGGCCCACCATCTCCCCGGGGCGCGTGAGGAACAAGCAGGTGTCCTCCTGGCTGCCGATCTTCCGCTGGTACACGTGCAGCAGCCCCGAGACCACGAACAGGATGCTGGCGTCCTGACACACGAGAGGGCTCAGGAGGCGCCGCGAGTGGCCGCGGGCAGGACGGGGGCAGCTCTGGGCCCAGAGCGGACGATGCCACCAGGCTCAGCCGGGAGACCATCCGCCGACCTGATCAGCTCTGGGCATGGACTTCACTGGAAACATTTCGGCAGCGTCTACGGTTTCATGATTTCACGAGCAGTCGTGGAAAATCTGGGTTCTCAAGGGCTCCGTGCAGCGAGCCGGGCCTCGGACCTGCACACCTTCCCTCCCGGCACCCGCATACTGACTGTCCCTGGCAAATGCGCGTCAGCCCAGCATTCCTGTGCACGGGGGGTCCCATGCCGCCTCGCCTGGGGCCTGGCCTCTGAGGGGTGGGCTCCTGGCCCCTCCCACACTGAGCCCCCGGCACACGCCACGCGTTTTGGTCCCACATCTGCAGATGTACCCATGAAACCACTCCAAGGCCACTTCCACTGATCTGTATCCACTGTGACCTCTTATGACCTCTTCCCAATCTGCTTGCCCGGCCCACTCTCAGGTGCGAGCAGAAGGGCCAGTGCAGCAGGGGCCAAAGGTGGACACAGCTCTCAGGGCTCAGGGCTGCCTGAGGGGAGGGGCTCTGCCATGGTGCCCAGAGGGGCAGTGGCCCGGTGCTGGGAGGTCCCCAGTCACTGGTGTCCAGTCCAGGCCCTCCTCTGGTGCTCCACTTGGCACTGGGCTATGGCATTGGGTGGTCCCAGTGCCCCCCCCCAGACCCCCGCTCACCTGGTCTCCCTGCCTTGACACCACCGTGCCTGCAGGAACGTGCAGAAGCGCCACCCGGCCATCCAACAGAGATGAGTCCTAAAAACAGAGCAGACTTCAGGGAACACGGGCGGGAAGCATAAATGAAGGTCCAGAGAACAGAGGCTGCACTGGGCTGTTCAGGGGCAACGAGCGGTGAGGCCAGAGGCCGGGCAAGGCCCTCCTCCGAGGCTGTCCTCCAACAAGGGCCTGATGGACACTGGGCACCCTGCAGAGCCACCGATGCCAAACCAGGGCATCGGCACAGAGACAGACACCAAACAGTGGAGCAAGGCAGAAAATGCAGAAACAGACACTCGTATTTTTGTGAATTTACGTAAAAGAGAGAGGATGTCATTTTAGGGAGAAAGGGTGATTTCTTTATAAGTGGTGCTGGCATAGCCAGCAGTGGGATGCCTTCTCCACACCACCTACAGAATGATGCCCTCCAGGGCACGAGGACTCTGGAATCTGGGAGCTCCCAGAGGTGACCCGGGAGTGCCCAACACACTGGAACCCAGAAGGCAGAGGTTGCAGTGGACCCGGAGCCTGTGGAGAGGCCCTGGGGCAAACCAAGGGTGAGGGAGCGTCTGCGGGCACCACACCCACGAAGGTTTGAAACATCAGGTGTGTAAACCCCCAGTCCACAGTGATGATGAAATAAAAATAAGAAGCCCCACCCAGCATCTTTGGAAAATGATCGAAAAACAAACCATTAAACTTCCCAAACCCTGACGGTGAAGGGGGTGAAGGCAGCTCCCCCCCAAAAGAGAAATGACATCACATGTCGCCAAAAGTTTGTCAAACAGGAGGGAGAAAGAGATGGAGGAGGATGAGAAGAATCTGAGCAGCCACATATCCAGCTCTCAGGCAGAGGACGGCCGCTGACGGAGAGGCCGCATCGCCCCAGGGCGCGTTGTCAGCCCGAGGAGGAGCCGTGGGAGGTTCTTCAGGAGAAGAAAGCGGCCTCCCTGAGGAAAGCAGCTGCACTAAGAAAGTCAGAGCCTTCGGGAGATGAGGGGGACGGGGGGGACGCGGGGGACGCGGGGGACGCGGGGGACGGGGGGGACGAGAGGGATGTGGGAGCCGGCCACGGTGACATGGACGAGGCCGCTGGACAGGGGGGCACTGAACGCACGGCTGAAGTCATTTGGCCATTTTAAGGATTACTGTTAAGTATTCAGAAATGATAAGAGTATTGTGGTTAGAGATGAATCCTGAAATATCCACCAGTGACGTGCTATGATGATGGGATTTGCTTCAAGGGGGGGCACCCGAACGGTACGGAAGGGGTGCAGAGAAAACAAGGTGGGCTGTGGTGTGATCGTTACTGTGAGGGATGCTAGGTACTCACCTTCACATATTATTCCATCTATTCTATATAGTTTTGAATTTCCCATAATTAAAAAGTTGTTTAAAGAGAGAGAAGACTGGCTGGGTACAGTGGCTCATGCCTGTAATCCCAGAATTTTTGGAGGCCGAGGCAGGTAGATCACTAGAGGCTAGGAGTTCAAGACCAGCCTGGGAAACATGGCAAAACCCCGTCTACACTAAAAATACAAAACTCAGCTAGGTGTGTTAGTGAGGCCTGTGGTTCCAACTACTCAGGAGGCTGAGGTGGGAGGATCACTTGAGCCCAGGAAGTGGAGGTTGCAGTGAACTGAGATGGCACCACTGCACTCCAGGCTGGATGACAAAGTGAGACACTGTTTCCAAAAAAGAAGAAGGAAGGAGGAGGGAGAAGGAGAAGAAAGAAAGAAGGAGAATGAGGAGGGGGAAGGAGAAGGAGGAGGGGGAAGGAGAAGGAGGAGGGGGAAGGAGAAGGAGGAGGGGGAAGGAGAAGGAGGAGGAGGAAGGAGAAGGAGGAGGGGGAAGGAGAAGGAGGAGGGAGAAGGAGGAGGAAGGAGAAGGAGAAGGAGGAGGGAGAAGGAGAAGGAGGAAGAAGGAGGAGGGAGAAGGAGGAGGGAGAAGGAGAAGGGGGAGGAAGAAGGAGAAGGGGAAGGAAGAAGGAGAAGGGGAGGGAAGAAAGAAGGGGAAGGAAGGAGGAGAAAGGGAAGAAAGGGGAAGGGGAAGGAAGAAGAAGAAAGAAAAGAAAGAAAAAGAAGAAAAAAGAAAGAAGAGAATGAAGAAGAAGGAAGAAGGAAGAAGATGAAGGAAGAAGAAAGAAGCAAGAAGAAGAAGGAAGAAGAAGAAGGAGGAGGAAGGAAGAAGAAAGAAGAAGGAAGAAGAAGAAGGAAGAAGAAAGAAGAAGGAAGAAGAAGGAAGAAGAAGAAGGAAGAATGAAGAAGAAGGAAGAAGGAAGAAGAAGAAGGAAGAAGAAAGAAGCAAGAAGAAGAAAGAAGAAGGAAGAAGAAGAAGGAGGAGGAAGGAAGAAGAAAGAAGAAGGAAGAAGAAGAAAGAAGAAGGAAGAAGAAGAAGGAAGAAGAAGGAAGAAGAAGAAAGAAAGAAGAAGAAGAAAAAAGGAAGAAGAAAAAAGAAAGGAAGAAGAAGAGAAGAAGACGGAAGAAGAAGGAAGAAGGAAGAAGAAGAGGAAGAAGAAGAGAGATTTTTTTTTTTCCTTTGGGACAGAGTTTCACTCTTGTTGCCCAGGCTGGTGTGCAGTGGCGCAATCTTGGCTCACTGCAACATCCGTCTCCCAGGTTCAAGCAATTCTCCTGCCTCAGCCTCCCAAGTAGCTGGGATTACAGGCACGTGCCATCACACCCAGCTAATTTTTGTATCTTTAGTAGAAACAGAGTTTCACCATGTTGGTCAGGCTGGTCTCGGACTCTTGACCTCAGGTGATCCACCTGCCTCGGCCTCCCAAAGTGCTAGGATTACAGGCATGAGCCACCACTCCTGGCCAGAAAAGCAGATTTAAGAGATAGATCAGCCCACTGCAGTGTATGGCCCTTACTCAGATCCTGATCTGTACAACAAGAAACCACTGAGAACCACTCATGACACAGTCAGGGGTCCAGGAACACGCTGGGTGGGTGAGCAATCGCAGCTTTTTAACATTTCACTTGCAGAACGACACCGTGGTGATGCCTCAGAAGGAGTCCTTAACCGTTAGAGAGGAATGATGTGAACTTATAACGTGTTGGAGATTTTTGAGACAGAAAATAACTGGGGGAGGGACTAGGAGTACAGCTGTAAAGTGATTAGCCATGATTGGTAATTACGGAATTGGGTGACCAGTGCATGGGAACTCATGACACCATCACGGCTGTCTTTTTACCTATTTAAAGCTTTCCATCAGCCGGGCGCCGTGGCTCACGCCTGTAATCCCAACACTCTGGGAGGCTGAGGTGGGCAAATCATTTGAGGTCAGGAGTTCGAGACCAGCCTGGCCAACATGGTGAAACCCCGTCTCTACTAAAAATACAAAATTTAGCCAGGTGTGGTCGTGGGCGCCTGTATCCCAGCTACTTGGGAGGCTGAGGCAGGAGAATCGCTTGAATCCAAGAGGTGGAGGTTGCAGTGAGCCGAGATCATATCACTGCACTCCAGCCTGGGCGATACTGCGAGACTCTGTCTCAAAAAAAAAAAAAAAAAAAAAAGCTTTCCATCATATGTAAGAAATTAAATCCTAGATGAACTAATGATTGAATATTAAAAAGTAATAAAAATAAATTATTAAAGTGAAGCTGGGAAAATGTCATACTACAATAATCTGACACTATTATTGCTGTATTAAATATAAACATAGATGAGAATTCTAAAGTTCAGCTTTGGGACACCCTGATGTCCCAGAAAGCTTCGGCTTTGAGTTTGAACATAAGGCGATCTCAAGCTGCTAGCTTCCCAAAGGGGACCCCAAAAGACAAGCAAGCCTGCACTCCACCCAAAACACCTCCTTTGCAGCCACTGTCCTCCACACCTGGAACCACTGCCCAACAGAGGCAGAGAGGAGGCCACGGGCCCTGGGTGGGACAAGGGCCAGGTGCCCGCCGGGGCCACTCACTTCCAGCTTCATCAGGGTGAGCAGGTCCTTCTTGGCAGCTCTGAAGATGGCATCCGACTTCCTGCTGGCCAGGGTCTCATCCGTGTGACTCTCTGAGTGCTGGGAGACCGTGGAGGGTATCTCTGCAACCATCACGCTTTTCCTGGACTGGAGAAGAACGGAGATACCGGCAATTCGAAGGGATGTGGTTGGGGAACATCGCACAAGGGTGTGGTCAGGTCTGAATCGCACAGTGCGGAAAGGCCGGCTGAGCCTCCTGAAGCTGCAGGTGCCACATGACACCAAAGCCGGCGGCGCCCCCAATGCACCAGCAAGCCACGGAGAGGGTGGGGCCCCAGGCGGAGGGTGAGAATGACAGCCAGGGCCTACCTTGCTGGCCACGGAGCTCCCGGGGTGCTCGTCCGAGTGCAGGAAGACCCTGGCACGGTCACATGCCATCCCCAGATCAGAAGTGGCACTGCCTGGGCCCCCTACACACAGAGGGGACACTCAGGACACGGTTCGCTAGGCCACTGACACAAACGTCCGCGGTGTGGGCTGAGCACACCCTGCAGTCTAACCACACAGACCCCGGCAGCTCCCTCGAGGGAGTCGGGCCCTGAGATCCCTCCACACCCTGCTTTCTTTCGGCATCTGCCTCAATGGCTCTGTGACCCACCAGCTACAGGTTTTCTCCGCAGCTTAAACCCACACGGTGCCTTCAACATTTCTGGGCACTGATAAAGGTAGCCCGGTCGGTACCTAAAACACGGAAGGAAACCAGCCCTGGTCCTGAGCCAAATTCCTCAAACCTTGCCATGCGTGCCACACCCTGACGGCTCGCTGCGGCCAACCCTGGGTAGAGCACCCTTTCTCTTGCTGTCCATCTCAGGGATGCTGCCGCCCTCTGTATGTGAGCTCCCCTAACGGGTGCCCTGGGCCGTCACGCTGGTGCTTTGGGCTTGGCTCTTTGCAGTCCCAGCCCCATCTCAGAGGTTCGCTCTTCGCAGTCCAGCCCCATCTTGGAGGGAGGGGGTTGAGGCACCCCCTCCAAAGAGCTCCCCTGTTGCTGCTTTTGGGCGGCCTCGGGCTGAGCGGGATGAAGCAGTGTGCACCCTTTTACAGCCTGCCCTCAGCATTACACATCACTACACACACAGCGTATCTGACCTCTGGACCAGCTGCTGTGGATTCTGAGGAAGGGTGCACGCTTTGCACGACGGGGTCACGCACTTCCAGGCACAGATCCAGCCCTTCGTGTGCAGCTGCGCATGCGAGCGAGTCATCTGCACTGCGGTTTCCCATCCATACTGGAATTCGCAACACCCATTTCTCAGCGGAATACAGAGGAACCGCGCAGACACTAACCGCAGACACATGCCACACAGATGCCGCAGCCACATGGCGCTGCGGGAAGGAACCAGGCCCAGGAGCACAGCCATGTGCCCCTCCCTGGGAAGCCAGACACAGAGAGCCAGGAGCGCTGGGCCTTGGAAAGGGGCGCATGTCTCCGAGGCTTACGCTGAGGGTGCGCTGGTCGGGTTTCACGGAGCTGGCACCCTTCAGCCCGGTGCACTGTGCTGTGTATTACTCATGCCCCCGTCAAGTCCTGCTGTTTTTTAAAAAAATCCGAACTGGAAAGCAATCTATGGCAACAAAGGTCACCAGTGCTTCCTCTGGGGCTGACCCTCTGGGCTGGGCGAGAGGAGCGCAGCAGCCCCTTTACCTGGCTGCAGCCACACAGGGGAACACTGGGGTGTAATGACCACACCTTGTACGTCAACAAGCATGTAGCTAAATGATAAAATTTCTCACACCTATAGTCCCAGCACTTTGGGAGGCTGAGGCAGGCAGGTCGCCTAAGGTTGGGGGTTCGAGACCAGCCTGACCAACATGGAGAAACCCTGTCTCCACTAAAAATACAAAATTAGCCGGGCGTGGTGGCACATGCCTGTTACCCCAGGTCCTCGGGAGGCTGAGGCAG
Organism: Homo sapiens; assembly: GCF_000001405.40. Taxonomy (NCBI): domain Eukaryota; kingdom Metazoa; phylum Chordata; class Mammalia; order Primates; family Hominidae; genus Homo; species Homo sapiens. The sequence goes on from NC_000009.12 coordinate 137,507,577, forward strand.
GAGAATCCCTTGAACCCAGGAGGCAGAGGTTGCGGTGAGCTGAGATCGCACCATTGCACTCCAGCTTGGGTGACAAGAGCAAAACTGTGTCTCAAAATAAATAAATAAAATAAAATACGGGGGCCAGGCATGGTGGTATGCACCTGACAAGAGCAAAACTCCATCTCAAAATAAATAAATAAAATAAAATACGGGGGCCAGGCATGGTGGTATGCACCTGTGGTCCTTGCTGCTCAAGAGGCCAAGCCGGAAGGATCGCTTGAGCCCAGGAGTTTGAGGCCTGGACAACATAGTGAGAGACTGCATCTCTTAAAAATAAATACATAAATAAATGGGCCAGGTGCAGCGGCTCATGCCTGTAATCCCAGCACTTTCAGAGGCCAAGGTGGAGGCAGCGCTTGAGGCCAGGAATTCAAGACCAGCCTGGGCAACACAGCAAGAGATCTCTATCTACAAAAATTTTAAAAACCAGCCAGGTGTGGGGGCCACACCTGTGGTCCCAGCTACCCATGAGGCTGAGGCGGGTGGATCACTTGAGCCCTCATGGGCTGAGGCAGGTGGATCATTTGAGCCCAGGAGCTCGAGGCTGCAGTGAGTTGTGATTTCACCACTGCACCCCAGCCTGGGCCATGGAGCAAGGCCTTACCTCAAAAAAAGAAAAAGAAAAAGTGGTGGATCAACTAGATAGCCATTTAGAAAAGGATGTATCAGCCGGGCGCGGCAGCTCACGCCTGGAATCCCAGCACTTTGGGAGGACGAGGCGGGCGGATCACGAGGTCAGGAGATCGAGACCATCCTGGCTAACACGGTGAAACCCCGTCTCTACTAAAAATACAAAAAATTAGCTGGGCATGGTGGTGGGCGCCTGTAATTAACAGCTACTCGGCGGCTGAGGCAGGAGAATTGCTTGAACCCCAGAGATGGAGCTTGCAGTGAGCTGAGATCGCACTATTGCATTCCAGCCTGGGCAACAAGAGCGAGACTCTGTCTCAAAAAAAAAAGAAAAGGAAAAAGAAAAAAGAAAAGGATATATCTTGACCCCTACTCACTTTCTACAAAAGAATAAATTCTAGATGGATCATATGAAAGGTAAAACGTTAAATCTTACAGACAGATTTCTTAAACAGGACACAAAATATATTAACCACAAAAGAAAAATATTGATAAATTAGATCCCATTAAGTTTAAAATTTCCTATTCATCAAAAGACACCACTACGATAGTAAAAAGTGAATAGAAAATATTTTTAATATACATACTTGACAAAGGAATCATACAGAGAATATATAAAGAATTCCTATTAATAATAAGAAAATGAAAGCTAAGAGGAAAATGGGCAAAAGACAAAGAAGGCTATCCAAGGTGCTCGGCCTCACAGTTCATCAAGAAGACAGAATCAGAGCACAGGCAGCCTCCACTGCACGCCCACCAGAAGACAGAGAGCAGCACATGCTGGGCCGGAAGTGGCCGCTAACCATGGGCGGCCAGTGAGCACCTGAAGTGTGGCTGGCATGAGTGAGTTTAGCTGGTACGAATGAGTTTAATTGGCATGAGTGAGTTTAGCTGGCATGAGTGAGTTTAGCTGACATGAGTGAGTTAGCTGGCATGAGTGAGTTTAACTGGTATGAGTGAGTTTAGCGGGTACGAGTGAGTTTAGCTGGCGTGAATTTAGCTGGCATGAGTGAGTTTAGCTGGCATGAGTGAGTTTAGCTGGTACAAGTGAGTTTAGCTGGTGTGAGTGAGTTTAGCTGGTACGAGTGAGTTTAGCTGGTACGAATGAGTTTAGCTAGTACGAATGAGTTTAGCCGGTATGAGTGAGTTTAGCCGGCGTGAGTGAGTTTAGCTGGCATGAGTGAGTTTAGCTGGTATGAATGAGTTTAGCTGGTACGAATGAGTTTAGCTGGTACGAGTGAGTTTAGCCGGCGTGAGTGAGTTTAGCTGGCATGAGTGAGTTTAGCTGGTACGAATGAGTTTAACTGGTGTGAGTGAGTTTAACTGGTGTGAGTGAGTTTAGCTGGTACAAATGAGTTTAGCTAGTATGAATGAGTTTAACTGGCGTGAATGAGTTTAGCTGGCATGAGTGAGTTTAGGTGTCAACAGTCACATGAGGCTTGTGGCCCATGATGCACAGCACAGGCATGGAGCAGCCACAGCAGTCGGATGAGGCTGAGGAGTAGACGCTGGTGTCTGTGGGCGGCAAGCCACCCAGGCACTGAGGCAAGAGACAGAGGACACGAGCTGTTCCAGTATAATAAAATATAAAACAAGAATAGTTATACCAGATATAGATCTTAGGTATGATTATATATGAATATCATTAATCATTAGTTGGTAGTAATTACTCTTTATCCCAATATTATAATAATCCTCGCTCTACAATCATAACCTAGGAAAAACCAGGCCATACAGAGATAGGAGCTGAGGGGACAAAGTGAAGAGTGACCAGAAGACAAGAGTGCGAGCCTTCTGTTATGCCTGGACAGGGCCACCAGAGGGCTCCTTGGTCTAGCGGTGACGCCAGCGTCTGGGAAGACGCCCGTTACCAGGCGGATCATGGTCCAGCGGTAGCAAAAGGTGTCAAGGAACAACACCCGCTACTTAGCAGACCGGGAAAGGGAGTCTCCCTTTCCCCGGGGAGTTTAGAGAAGACTCTGCTCCTCTACCTCTTGTGGAGGGCCTGACATCAGTCAGACCTGCCCACAGTTATCCGGAGGCCTAACCGTCTCCCTGTGATGCTGTGCTTCAGTGGTCACGCTCCTAGTCCACCTTCATGTTCCATCCTGTACACCTGGCTCTGCCTTCTAGATAGCAGTAGTAAATTAGTGAAAATACTAATAGTCCCTGATATGCAGAAATAATGGCGTAAGCTGTCTTTCTGTCTGTCTCCTCTCCCTCTCTGCCTCGGCTGCCAGGCAGGGAAGGGCCCCCTGTCCAGTGGACACGTGACTCACGTGACCTTACCTATCATTGGAGATGACTCACACTCTTTACCCTGCCCCTTCTGCCTTGTATCCAATAAATAACAGTGCAGCCAGACATTCGGGGCCACTACAGGTCTCTGCACATTGGTGGTAGTGGTCCCCCGGGCCCAGCTGCCTTTTCTCTTATCTCTTTGTCTTGTGTCTTTATTTCTACACTCTCTCATCGCCGCACACAGGGAGAGACCCACTGACCCTGTGGGGCTGGTCCCTACAGGTGTCAGTGCCTGAAACGCCACCAGGCAGTGCCCCCGTGTGGGCGGAAAGTCACCCAGGTGCCGAGGCATGAGACTGAAGGCACAAGCTGTTCCAATATAATCAAGAAAATAGTTAGGATAAGAGAAAGTTATATTCGAAATAGGATATAGAGATGAATGTATATGGATATTATCAATCATTAGTTTTCTGTATTAACCTTTGTATGATTATTATAACCAAAGAAAAACCAGGCCACACAGAGTTAGGAGCTGAAGGGACATTGTGAGAAGCAACCAGAAGACAAGAGTGTGAGCTCTCTGTCACGCCCAGATAAGGGCCGCTTGAGGGCTCCTTGGTCTAGCGGTAGTGCCAGTGCCTGGGAAGGCACCCGTTACTTAGTGGACCTTGGTCTGGCGGTAGCACCAGCGCCTGGGAAGGCACCCGTTACTTAGTGGACCTTGGTCTGGCGGTAGCGCCAGCGCCTGGGAAGGCACCCGTTACTTAGTGGACCTTGGCCTGGTGGTAGCGCCAGCACCTGGGAAGGCACCCGTTACTCAGCAGACCTTGGCCTGGCGGTAGCGCCAGTGCCTGGGAAGGCACCCGTTACTTAGTGGACCTTGGCCTGGTGGTAGCGCCAGCGCCTGGGAAGGTACCCGTTACTCAGCAGACCTTGGCCTGGCGGTAGCGCCAGCGCCTGGGAAGGCACCCGTTACTCAGCAGACCTTGGTCTGGCGGTAGCACCAGCACCTGGGAAGGCACCCGTTACTTAGTGGACCTTGGCCTGGCGGTAGCGCCAGCGCCTGGAAGGCACCCATTACTTAGCAGACCAGGAAAGGGAGTCTCCCTTTCCCTGGGAGAGTTAGCGAGCACTCTGCTCCACCAGTTCTTGTGGGGGGCCTGACATTCCCCAGGCCTGCCCGCAGTCATTGGAGGCTTCAACGTCTCCCTGTGGTGCTGTGCTTCAGTGGTCACGCTCCTTGTCCGCTTTCATATTCCGCCTGTACACCTGCTGCTTCTCTTAAGTTCTTAGAAGATAGCAGTAGCAGAATTAGCGAAAGTATTAGAGTCTTTGATCTCTCTGATAAGTGCATAGAAGAAATGCTAACGTCTGCTGTCCTCCCTCTCTGCTTCAGCTACCACAAAGGGAAAGGCCCCCTGTCACGTGGACAGGTGACTTGCTTGTCCTTATCAATCACTTGAGATGACTCACACTCCTTACCCTGCCCCCTTGCCTTGTATACAATAAATAGCAGTGCGTCCAGGCCTTCAGGGCCACTACCGGACTCTGCGCACTGGTGGTAGTGGCCTCTGGGCCCAGCTGTCTTTCCTACTATCTCTTAGTCTCGTGTCTTATTTTACTACAATCTCTCGTCTTTGCACATGAAGAGAAAACTCACAAGGCCCTGTAGGGCTGGACCCTACACCCCTGAGCCAAGCACACGTGACTCCATGACCCAGCAGCCCCAACAGAAATGTGTACACGCTCGTGCAGTGGACGCACAGACGTAAACATTCACACGGCGAAGCCTGCACCACCACGAGAAGGTGGGGAGGCTTCTCCACATGACGGCATGGATGGACCTCCCCACGGGACGTGGAGCAGGGAAGCCAAACACAAACGCACACCACACGGCTCCACTTCTGAAAAGGAAAACAGGCCAACCTCACCTCGGCTGGCAGCCATCGGGACGGCAGGCAGCCGTGGTGGGGAGCAGGTTTTACAACCAGACATGGCTGCTGGTGGTAACAAGAGGAGCATGAACGGGGCTTGCAGGGGCTAATTTATGTTTCTTTACCTGGTTCACAAGTGAGTTCAGTTTATGGAGTCATCAAACCGTCCACCTGCAATGTGCGTCCTGCATGCGCATTATACAACCATCACTAGTTAATAAACAAACAACAACTGGGCCAGGTGCTGTGGCTCATGCCTGTTTCCCAACAGTTTGGGAGGCTGAGGCAGGAGGATCACTTGAGCCCAGGAGTTCGAAACCAGCCTGGGTAACATGGCAAGACACCCTCTCTACAGGAAACAAGAAAAATAAAAAGAAAATACAAAAAAAAAAAATGCCAAGTGCAGTGGTGTGCCTGTACTCCCAACTACTCAGGAGGCTGAGGTGGGAAGATCACTTGAGCCCAGAGGGTTGAGGCCGCAGTGTGCCATGATCTCACCACTGCACTCTAGCCTGGGCCACAGAACGAGCCTCTGTCTGAAAAAAAAAAAAAAAGCTGTTACTTAAACAAAAAAATCCATGTAGATTCAGATACCTGATGCCCGATGGCACAAAAAAAGCAAGAGAGAGATGACAGATTGTTTTATTAATGGTGTTGGGTAAATTATCACCATAAAGAGTAAGGAAAAGATGAATTTCTTCCCTCATTCTTGCAGTATAAACTACAGATAAATGAAAGACCTCTATGTGAAAGGCAAAACTAAAAGCTAATAAAAATAGTCTTTGAGGCCGGGTGCGGTGGCTCAGCCTGTAATCCCAGCACTTTGGGAGGCTGAGGTGGGCGGATCACCTGAGGTTGGGAGTTTGAGACCAGCCTGGCCAACATGGGGAAACCCCGTCTCTACTAAAAATACAAAATTAGCCAGTTGTGGTGACACCTGCCTAAAATAGGCTGAGGCAGGAGAATCACTTGGACCTGGGAGGCAGAAGTTGCGGTGAGCTGAGATCACACCATTGCACTCCAGCCTGGGCAACAAGAGTGAAACTCTGTCACAAAAAAAAAAAAAATTAAAAAACAGAAATAAATAAAATAGTCTTTGGAAAATTTATTTATGACTCAGGAATAAGGAAAGAATAAATAAGACCCAAAACACAAATCACAGGTGCCAAGGCAAAAAGCTGGCTTTCCACAAAAGAACATCAGGGTCCCTGTTGCGTGAAGGTCCCGTGGCGGCATTTTCCAGCCCATGGACAAGAGGGAAGAGAATCTCCAACAACTGAAACTAATGAGACAAGAGGGAAAAGAATCTCCAAAAAAAACTAAGGAGACAATGGGGAAGAGAATCTCCAAAAGTGAAACTAACCAGGGACCTCTACCTACAGCACATAAAGAATCAACACAAATCAACCAAACTCCAGAATCCTGCAGAAAGTGGGCAGAGAATACGACCAGACAATCTGAGAGGGACGCCCAGATGGAACCGAATACAGCAGGAGCCAATGAGCTTGCCGGTGACCTGCGGGTGGCAGACGGCAGAGGGGGCAGGTCTGCGGCAGGAGCACGGCTGCACTGCCGGGCAGGATGGACTTGGAGGCTGCCCTGAAAATGCCCTGGGCCCTGTGGCTGGGCTGTGGGCGGGTCACCTGACTGTTGAGGTGCCCGGGCCCTGTGGCCGGGCTGCGGGCGGGTCACCCGGATGTTGAGGTGCCCGGGCCCTGTGGCTGGGCTGCGGGCGTGTCACCCGGCTGTTGAGGTGCCCGGGCCCTGTGGCTGGGCTGCAGGCGGGTCACTCGGATGTTGATGTGCCCGGGCCCTGTGGCTGGGCTGTGGGTGGGTCACCTGGCTGTTGAGATGCCCGGGCCCTGTGGCCGGGCTGTGGGCGGGTCACCTGACTGTTGAGGTGCCCGGGCCCCGTGGCCGGGCTGCGGGCGGGTCACCCGGATGTTGAGGTGCCTGGGCCCTGTGGCTGGGCTGCAGGCGGGTCACTCGGATGTTGATGTGCCGGGGCCCTGTGGCTGGGCTGTGGGTGGGTCACCTGGCTGTTGAGATGCCCGGGCCCTGTGGCCGGGTCACCTGACTGTTGAGGTGCCCGGGCCCTGTGGCTGGGCTGCGGGCGGGTCACCCGGATGTTGAGGTGCCCGGGCCCTGTGGCCGGGCTGTGGGCGGGTCACCCGGCTGTTGAGGTGCCCGGGCCCTGTGGCTGGGCTGCGGGCGGGTCACCCGGATGTTGAGGTGCCTGGGCCCTGTGGCTGGGCTGCAGGCGGGTCACTCGGATGTTGATGTGCCCGGGCCCTGTGGCTGGGCTGTGGGTGGGTCACCTGGCTGTTGAGATGCCCGGGCCCTGTGGCCGGGCTGCAGGTGGGTCACCTGACTGTTGAGGTGCCCGGGCCCTGTGGCTGGGCTGCGGGCGGGTCACCTGGATGTTGAGGTGCCTGGGCCCTGTGGCTGGGCTGCAGGCGGGTCACTCGGATGTTGATGTGCCCGGGCCCTGTGGCTGGGCTGTGGGCGGGTCACCCGGCTGTTGAGGTTTTGCTACACATCAGTTACAGCAAAGGTCCCTGCGGGGAGGCACACGTCAGCAGGGCTGGGGAAGGAAGGGAGGCTTGCTAGAGACCCGGGACACAAGGCAGGAGAGGGACCATGCAGGGAGGGCGGGAAGGGCCGAGCACATGGCTCTGCGGGGCATCTGGTGGCACCGGCCCAGCCCTGGCGGTGGTGGGGGTGAGACAGGGCAGGCACGCAGAGGAGCACACCAGGGTGTTCTGGGCGGCAGGACGGCCACCAAGCCTCGACCCTAGAGCCAGAGGACAGGCACAGGCCCCCCTGGGCACGTGGGGCTCTAGTGGAGGGTGCCCGCCTCGGCGGCGATGCTGGGCATCAGTGCAGCTCAGCCTGGGTCTCAGATGCCGAGGGCCTGTGGGTCACACTGGCTGGGCAGCCGTCGAGGTTCTTTACCTTGTGGGGCCGAAGGGTCAGGGTCACCTGCCCCGGGCTTCTCCAGCTCCTCCAAGATCTGTTTGCGAATGGAAGGCGCGGGGACGGAGTGGCTCCTCTTCAGCAGGGGCCCAGCAGCTGCCGGGCGGCCGCCCCCGTGATCTGCTGGGGAGGCAGCCGTAAGCAACCTTGTTTGCACGCACTCCCTGGTGTCTGGTGCAGCCCATTCGGGGCCACGCAGGGAGCAGGGTCCCCACAGTGCCCTGCGCACCTGAACGCGCTCTGGACCAGCCCACCGGCCACCAGGCCTCTGCATCTGCCGGGCCAGCAGGTGAGTGCAAGCGAGTGCCGGCCTCTGACTAGCCCTGGCCCCTCCCCGCCCAATCCCGCCTCCCACATCCCCCTCCTCCCAATCTCCCTCCCCACCCCATCCCCCTTCCCCCAAATCCCCCCTCCCCCCTCAATCCCTCTCCCCCAAATGCCCCCTCCCCCCAATCCCTCTCCCCCAAATGCCCCCTCCCCACCTCAACCCCCTCCCCCCAAATCCCCCCTCCCCACCCCAATGCCCCTCCCCCAAATCCACCCTCCCCACCTCAATCCCCCCTCCCCCAAATCCTCCCTCCCTACCCCAACCCCCTCCCCCAAATCCTCCCTACCTACCCCAACCCCCCATTCCCCGAAATCCCCCTCCCCACCCCAATCCCTCCTCCCCACCCCTTCCACCCCTACCCCAATCCCCCATGCGCCCCACCCCCATCCCTAACCTAACCCCCTGCCCCATTCCGAGGCCTTGCTGCCCTGATTGTCCTGCTGTGGGCCAAGTGCCTTGAAGGCAAACTCCATCCAGGTGGGGCTGCCAGCCAGGCCCTTTCTCAGGGCGTCCCATTGGTGGATGTGGCTGTCTGGGCTCGCCTGGGATGGGCCACGCAGGGCTGCATCTGCCCCTCAGGTGAAACGAGGAAGGAGCCTGGCCTTGCCGACCACACAGGCTGAAGGAGGCTGCCCTGCCTGGACACTGTCCTTACCTACAGAGGCCCATGAGCACCCCCGGCCCTGGTCTCTGCCAAGACCTCATCCAGGACAGCTGCTGCCCCATCAAGTCACATGGACCTAATCCAGTGAAAGAAATGCCATTCAGGCAATGACACATACTCTAAAATACACTTTGAGGCCAGGTGCAGTGGCTCACACCTGTAATCCAAACAATTTGGGAGGCCAAGGTGGGAGGATCACTTGAGACCAGGAGTTCAAGACCACCCTGGACCACGTAGTAAGATGCCATCTTTACAAAAATTTAAAAATAAAAGTAAATGAGCTGGGCCTGGTGGCATGCGCCTGTGGACCAAGCTACTCAGGAGGCTGACGCAGGAGAATCCTTTCAGCCAGTGACATGGGGGTGGCAGTGAGCCAGTACCACACCACTGCACTCCAGACTGGGCAAAAGAGCAAAACCCTGTCTCAATAGTAATAATAATAATTATTATTATTATTATAAAAATAAAATGCATTTCTGGGAAAAAGCACATCAGCCAGAGCTGCGTTTAAAGGTGGCTGTGATCCTCATGGGGTCTCACAAGCACACATGAGTGCAGGAGTAACACCACTCTGCTCACTCCATCCTCACTCACTCAACTCTGTCCACTCCATCCCCCACTCACTCCACTCTGTCCACTCCATCCCCTGTCACTCACTCCACTCTGTCCACTCCATCCCACACTCACTCACTCCACTCTGTCCACTCCATCCCTCACTCACTCACTCCACTCTGTCCACTCCATCCCCACTCACTCACTCCACTCTGCTCACTCCATCCCCCACTCACTCACTCCACTCTGTCCACTCCATCCCCCGTCACTCACTCCACTCTGTCCACTCCATCCCTCACTCACTCACTCCACTCTGTCCACTCCATCCCTCACTCACTCACTCCACTCTGTCCACTCCATCCCACACTCACTCACTCCACTCTGTCCACTCCATCCCCCACTCACTCACTCCACTCTGTCCACTCCATCTCCCACTCACTCACTCCACTCTGTCCACTCCATCCCCCGTCACTCACTCCACTCTGTCCACTCCATCCCTCACTCACTCACTCCACTCTGTCCACTCCATCCCCCGTCACTCACTCCACTCTGTCCACTCCATCCCACACTCACTCACTCCACTCTGTCCACTCCATCCCACACTCACTCACTCCACTCTGTCCACTCCATCCCTCACTCACTCACTCCACTCTGTCCACTCCATCCCCCGTCACTCACTCCACTCTGTCCACTCCATCCCACACTCACTCACTCCACTCTGTCCACTCCATCCCTCACTCACTCACTCCACTCTGTCCACTCCATCCCCCACTCACTCACTCCACTCTATCCACTCCATCCCCCGTCACTCACTCCACTCTGTCCACTCCATCCCTCACTCACTCACTCCACTCTGTCCACTCCATCCCCCGTCACTCACTCCACTCTGTCCACTCCATCCCACACTCACTCACTCCACTCTATCCACTCCATCCCACACTCACTCACTCCACTCTGTCCACTCCATCCCCCGTCACTCACTCCACTCTGTCCACTCCATCCCCACTCACTCACTCCACTCTGCTCACTCCATCCCCCACTCACTCACTCCACTCTGCTCACTCCATCCCCCACTCACTCACTCGACTCTGTCCACTCCATCCCCCACTCACTCACTCCACTCTGTCCACTCCATCCCCCGTCACTCACTCCACTCTGTCCACTCCATCCCTCACTCACTCACTCCACTCTGTCCACTCCATCCCCCACTCACGCACTCACTCCACTCTGTCCACTCCATCCCCCACTCACTCACTCCACTCTGCTCACTCCATCCCCCACTCACTCACTCCACTCTGTCCACTCCATCCCTCATTCACTCACTCCACTCTGCTCACTCCATCCCCCACTCACTGACTCCACTCTGTCCACTCCATCCCCCACTCACTCACTCCACTCTGCTCACTCCATCCCCCACTCACTCATTCCACTCTGTCCACTCCATCCCTCACTCACTCACTCCACTCTGCTCACTCCATCCCCCACTCACTGACTCCACTCCATCCCCCACTCACTCACTCCACTCTGCTCACTCCATCCCCCACTCACTCCACTCTGTCCACTCCATCCCCCGTCACTCACTCCACTCTGCTCACTCCATCCCCCACTCACTCGCTCCACTCTGTCCACTCCATCCCCCACTCACTCACTCCACTCTGTCCACTCCATCCCCCACTCACTCACTCCACTCTGCTCACTCCATCCCCCACTCACTCATTCCACTCTGTCCACTCCATCCTCACTCACTCACTCCACTCTGCTCACTCCATCCCCCACTCACTCACTCCACTCTGTCCACTCCATCCCCCACTCACTCACTCCACTCTGTCCACTCCATCCCCCACTCACTCACTCCACTCTGTCCACTCCATCCCCCACTCACTCACTCCACTCTACTCACTCCATCCCCCACTCACTCACTTCACTCTACTCACTCCATCCTCACTCACTCACTCCACTCTGCTCACTCCATCCCCCACTCACTCACTCCACTCTGTCCACTCCATCCTCACTCACTCACTCCACCCTATCCACTCCATCCCCCACTCACTCACTCCACTCTGTCCACTCCATCCCCCACTCACTCCCTCCACTCTACTCACTCCATCCCACACTCACTCATTCCACTCTGTCCACTCCATCCCCCACTCACTCACTCCACTCTGCTCACTCCATTCTCTCCTCACTCTCATCAGCATTGCTTCATTTAATTTCACATACTTTTGTTAGTCACTTCAATTCTTTTGGGAACATGATGGGCTATAAATAACCAAGCGCGCACCTCATCTGTAGGGTGGCTGTTAACTCCATCACACAGATCGTCGTGGGGTGACTCATGCAGTGCACGCCGCACCCGACCGCTTCCTCCTCAGATTCAGGCCCCCCGGTTAGCACTCAGAACAGCGGGTGAGAGCCCATCGCGGGAGGCCCACTCCCCACCAGGCACCTGGCCCAGGCCAAGCACGCAGGGAGAATTCTGGGAACAACTGAAGAATGGAGGGTGAAGGGTCCTGGGCCTGTCTGAGGACATCCGGGCCTCATGTGAGGAGACGGGCACACGTAATGAGACCGTTGGAGGTTTGAGGACATCCAGCCCACATGTGAGGAGATGGGCACACCTGATGAGACCTGGGGAGGTCTGAGGACATCCAGCCCGCATGTGAGGAGATGGGGACACGTGAGGAGACCTGGGGGGCCATCTGATGAGACCTGGGGGGCATGTGAGGTGACCTGGGGCACGTGTGAGGGGACCTGAGGCACGTGAGGGGACCTGGGGTGCGTGTGAGTAGACCTGGGGGGCATGTGAGGTGACTTGTGGGACTTGTAGGGTGACCTGGGCCGTGTGAGGTGACCCGGGGATGTGTGTGGTGGCCTCAGGCATGTGCAAGATGACCTGGGGTGACCTGAGGCAGTGGGAGCAGGATCCCCCGGACTCTGGGGCTGGACATTGCCCTCCTTGGTGCAGGACAGTACCTGAGTCACAGGACTCCTGGAGCCGCGGTGGCTTTTTAAGCCGCTCTTCTTCGCCATAGAACACCTGCTTCTTGGCCTTCCCGGCAGCCACACTGGCTACAGACACGAGAGGGATGGCCTGGCTCTCCTGGGACACAAGAAGGAAGTTCAGTGCCACCCCAGGAACACCCCACACCCACTGACAGGTGTGGGCTCCTCAAAGGTGTGACAGGTGTGGGCTCCTCAAAGGTGTGACAGGTGTGGGCCCCTCAAAGGTGTGACAGGTGTGGGACTCTCAAAGGTGTGACAGGTGTGGGCCTCTCAAAGGTGTGACAGGTGTGGGCCTCTCAAGGCAAAGTTTAAGCTACATTTCAGGCAATGGAAAGAGGCCGATCATCAACCCAGAAATCCAGTTATTCAAGAAAAGGACTGGTCTGTTTAAGGCAACCAAGCTCAGCCTGCTTTTACCCTAGGCCCTGTCTCAAACACTTGATCAAGTCAACATACTGCCCCAAATTGTCAGAACCTTAATACTCTTCATTAAAACAAAAGATAATGTAGAAAACAAAAAGATATTCCCTTAATGTCAACAACTGAAGACGACAAGCCCTAAAATGTCATCAGAATTATGATTTCCAACTGAAATGCACATACTAAAGACTAATGCGTGCTGGGCCTTTACTAACCGAGCTCCACTTGCCCCATGACTAAAGAGAGCCCTCCGCATATCAGGCTACTGTTTTGGGCAGTGGGGATGGAGCAGGGCACGAAACCCTGGTCTCACTCAGTTCCCACGAGAGCTCGGCTAGGTGGGGACCGTCCCACGTCCCGGCCAAGTGCCTCCCAGGGTCACACCGCCAGGAGGAGGGAGAGCCGGGGTTGACAGCCTTGTGCCCTTGACAATGCGCTGTACCCTCCAAACGCGTCACAGTTCAGGGTCAGCTCCGCCCCACCCGGTTCAGATAGGAGGAGCTGTCAAGGGCAACACACAGGGAGTGCTGGCAACAGGGACCCCATGGGACGGGCATGGGGAGGGGCAGCCTCTGCTGGACGCGGACGTAGGGACCCCACGGGACGGGCATGGGGAGAGGCAGCCTCTGCTGGATTCGGCTGTAGGGACCCCATGGGACGGGCATGGGGAGGGGCAGCCTCTGCTGGACCGTGGCCATAGGGACCCCATGGGACGGGCATGGGGAGGGGCAGCCTCTGCTTGACATGGCTGTAGGGACCCCATGGGATGGGCATGGGGAGGGGCAGCCTCTCCTGGACAGGGCTGTCAGCTCAGTGTGCAGCCTGCAGGGCCAGAAAGGGAAGGAGCGTGTGTGTGGCTGCCGATGTCCTACAGAACACAGGTGACCAAAGGAAGACTCATCACAGAGTCCTGAATGGGAGCTGCAGAGGCACCAGGCGGCTGTTCACAACCGTGTGGGCCTCCAGAGGGACAACTCCATCATCGGAGAAGGAATTCCACCTTTCCCAAGTCCAACGGATCAGAGATTTTGGAACACAAGGCCCCAGGAGAATCAAGCCTCCAAACTGACTAGCAGGTGCTTTAAGGTAGGAGAATAAACACAGCACAACCAGCCCCTCCCAAAGTCCTAATGACCAGCAACTGGGAAGACCACAGCTGTTGCTGGCACTGCCCCACCAGGCACTGGGCGCCTGCCGTGCCAACCAATAGCTGTCCCGATGCCAGCTGCATGGAGCAGCATGGGGCTTTGTGAGGTGGTTTTCACTTACAGCGTTGAAGAGCTCTGTGGTCAGGCCGAGGTAGTTGTGCAGAGCCAGAAAGGTCACCCTCTGCAGCCGCACCATGATGATCTGCAAGAACACGCCAGCTGCGCGGTGACCACCGGCCTGGGGTACAGGGCGGGCCCCCGGCAGCACCACACAGAGCACTGAGAACCGTGCCCCAAACCCTGCAGATGCCACAGACCGAACCCTCTCAGGGTGAAAAACCCCGCAGACTTGACACCTCACCACGGTCAAGTAACACGTTCACATCACGGGGAATGGGACAAGGGGCACATGAAGACTGCATTGTTTTTGCAAGTTTTCTATAAATCTAAAGTTACTCCAAAGTGAGAAGTTTAATAAAAATGTAAAAATCTCTTTGGGGGTAGTGAGGGATCTTAAGACCTCTTTGAGATTGTGAACATTCATTTTTATTTTAAGATATATATTACAATTTTTTTTTGACATGGTGTCTCGCTATGCCGCCCAGGCTGGAGTGCAGTGGCACCATCTCGGCTCACTGCAAGCTCCGCCTCCCGGGTTCATGCCGTTCTCCTGCCTCAGCCTCCCGAGTAGCTGGGACTACAGGCGCCCGCCACCACGCCTGGCTAATTTTTTGTATTTTTAGCAGAGACGGGGTTTCACCGTGTGAGCCAGGATGGTCTCGATCTCCTGACCTCGTGATCCGCCCACCTCGGCCTCCCACAGTGCTGGGGTTACAGGCGGGAGCCGCCGCGCCCGGCCAAGAGACGGGGTTTCACCGTGTGAGCCAGGATGGTCTCGATCTCCTGACCTCGTGATCCGCCCGCCTCGGCCTCCCACAGTGCTGGGGTTACAGGCGTGAGCCGCCGCGCCCGGCCCCAGATTTTTAAAATATAACCTTCATTATTCCCGAACCCACTCAGAATCCCACAACACCAGTGGTAAGTCCCGCCAATGAAGTTGATTTCTCTATTCCTCTGAAATCACCTTCATGGCTGTAAAGCTCAGAACTGAGAAAGTAAGTGGGCAATAAACCCACTCAAATCCCAAACCAGTGCCCAGGCCCCCCCAGGGTGACCCACAGCAGCTAGAAGAGTTGTCTGAAAAAGTGACTCACCTGCACCACCCTCACCAGAGTTTCCGGATATTTCTCAAAAACTCCATGAAAAGCCGCAGCTGGAAGCCGGAGGATGGTGGACGGGATGGCCGCGCGGACGGAGACCGTTTTGTAAGGTGCAGCATGGCCCTGTAACAACAGCTCCATCAGTCCCCACTCTGTGGGCCTGGCCAACCCCCCAGGGAATGCCAAGGCTCCTGGAAGCCCTGGAGGAGGCCCCGCCTGCTGCCCAGTCACACGGCTCCATTCTCCCTCCCAGGCTGGGCTGTGCAAAGTGCTGCTTTTGGCACCAGCTGCACACGTTTTTTGACTGTCCAAGACATGTGCGGCGAAGGACTGGCTGACGATGAAATGTGGGTGAGGGGAGGCCCGCAGGCAGCCACCCCACCAGACCTGGGCACTCACCATGGGGAGTTCCAACCACTCCCACCTGCCACTGAGGCTCACGGACCAGCTCACCAGCGTCCTACTCTACGTCCGACATCAGCGTCGGTACCCCTCGCCAAAGGGCGTGCCAGACACCAACCTGAGCGGGCTTCCTAAAAAGGCCACCGAGAGGGTCAGGAGCCACCACTGTCAAATGCCCACCGCCACAGTGGGGTCACCGCCTAGGACAGGGAGCGCGCACTGCCGGGTCGCACGAGGCCCAGGTGAGGAGCCACAGTGGCTCACCGCGTGGATGTGGCCAGCAGAGCTCCACACGGCCAAGGAAAGAGCCCAGGAAAAGCCCCAGTGAGTGACGTGGTTTCCATCTTCTAGAAATTGGTGGGCTCTAGAGAGAAAAGGCTGTTTTTAAATCACGCTGTGATCTGCATGCAGGCAGATTCTTCTGGAAACTTGTTGGCTCTAGAGACGAAAGGCTGTTGTTTACACCATGCCGTCACCTGCCTGCAGAGACAGATTTTTTTTTTTTTTTGAGACAGAGTCTCGTTCTGTCGTCCAGGCTGGAGTGCAATGGCGTGATCTTGGCTCACTGCAAGCTCCGCCTCCCGGGTTCACACCATTCTCCTGCCTCAGCCTCCACAGTAGCTGGGGCTACAAGCGCCCGCCACCACGCCCGGCTAATTTGTTTTTTGAATTTTTAGTAGAGACAGGGTTTCACTGTGTTAGCCAGGAGGGTCTCGATCTCCTGACCTCGTGATCCGCCCACCTCGGCCTCCCAAAGTGCTGGGATTACCGGCGTGAGCCACCACGCCTGGCTCAGATTATTCTGGAAATTAGTTGGCTCTAGAGAGAAAAGCCTTCTGTTTACATCACGCCGTCACCTGCATGCAGAGGCAGATTCACCCTTTTTGGTGCACACCTCTAGCATTTTCACCCCCACCACAGAAACAGAACAATCCCAACCTCCAATGCCCCTGGCAGCCTTTTCGCAACCTCCTTTCTTCCCACCACTGGGTCTTGGCAATGCTCCCCCGTCTTCTGTCCCAGTGGTTGTGCCTTTGTCAAAATGTCACATAAATGGAGGCACAGAGTGTGGAGGCTTCCCTCAGCGGTGTGACACACTCGAGATTCCCCCACGGTGGCATGTCTGACAGAGGTCTCTGCCTTGACTCCCAAGTGCTGGCTGTCTCGTGGAGGCCTCGCAGGGTCTCCGTCCATTCAGCAGTCGAGATTCCCCCACGGTGGCGCGTCTGCCAGAGGCCTGTGCCTTGGCTCCTGAGTGCTGGCTGCCTCATGGAGGCCTTGCAGTGTCTCCTCGTGAAGGCCTCGCAGGGTCTCCGTCCATTCAGCAGTCGAAGGATATTTGTGTTGTTTCCACTGGGGACAATTCTAAATAAAGCTGCTTGATAAATATGCATCTCCCAGTGTTTGCGTGGACACAGTTCTCATCCCTCTTGCTAAATACCTAGGGATGGGACTTGTAGGTTGTACGGAACACGTATCCTCACATTTATAAGAAACTACCAAACTGTCTCCTACAGCGGCTGCCGTGCTTTGCATTCTCACCAGCGGTGAGTGAGTTTCCATGGATGCCCTGTGTTTTGCATTCTCACCAGCAGCGAACGAGTTTCCGTGGATGCCCCGTGGAATGAGTTTCCGTGGATGCCCCGTGGAATGGGTTTCCGTGGATGCCCCGTGGAATGAGTTTCCGTGGATGCCCCGTGGAATGAGTTTCCTTGGATGCCCCGTGGAATGAGTTTCCGTGGATGCCTGTCTTCACCAGCAGTTGGTGCCACCATGTCGCATAATAAAGAATTTAGCTGGTCTTGTCTTCAGTTCCCAGGAGAAAGCCCTCAAGATCTTAGAAGCTCCTGGAAGTGTCTTTTTATTCACAGTGCAATTCACTTGGGTTTATGCTAGCAGGTGACTCCTGGCGGCAAGGCCCAACCCAGAAGTTTCAGGAGGGAGCTGGCCATGCAGGGAAGACCAAGCATGTGACTAGATCCAGGGGTGTCAGCCCAACCTCCCACCTGCGGGGAGGGGAGGAAGCTAGACATCGAGTTGGATCACACAGCCAAAGTTCAGGCAAACGTCCCTGGGTGGCAACACACATCAGTGTGCCAGGAGGTATAGGGTCCAGCCCTACTGTGCCTGTGTGTTTTTTTCTTCATGTGCAGAGATGAGAGATCGTAGAAATAAAGACACAAGACAAAGAGATGGAAGAAAAGACAGCTGGGCCCAGGGGACCACTACCACCAAGGCATGGAGACCGGTAGTGGCCCCGAATGCCTGGCTGCACTGTTATTTATTTGATACAAGGCAAGGGGGCAGGTAAGAAGTGTGAGTCGTCTCCAGCGATACGTAAGGTCACGTGAGTCACGTGTCCACCGGACAGGGGGCCCTTCCCTATTTGGTAGCCGAGGCGGAGAGAGAATGGGGACAGCTTATGTCATTATTTCTTCTATGTATTTCTCGGAGAGATCAAACACTTTAATACTTTCACTAATTCTGCTACTGCTATCTAGAAGGCACAGCCAGGTGTACAGGGCGTAACACGAAAGTGGACCAGGAGCGTGACCGCTGAAGCACAGCATCACAGGGAGACGTTTAGGCCTCCGGATGGCTGCGGGCGGGCTTGACTGATGTCAGGCCTTTCACAAGAGGTGGTGGAGCAGAGTCTTCTCTAACTCCCCTGGCGAAACGAGACTCCCTTTCCTGGTCTGCTAAGCAGTGGGTGTCTTCCCAGGCACTGGCGTTACCGCTAGACCAAGGAGCCCTCTAGTGGCCCTGTCTGGGCATAACAGAAGGCTCACACTTGTCTTTGGTCGCTTCTCACCATGTCCCTTCAGCTCCTATCTCTGTATGGCCTGGTTTTTCCCAGGTTATAATTGTAGAACAGAGATTATTATAATATTGGAACAAAGAGTAATGCTACAAACTAATGATTAATATTCATATATCATCATATCTATATTCTAGTTCCAGTATAACTATTCTTATTCTGTATATTTTCTTTATTATACTGTAACAGCTCGTGCCCTCGGTCTCTTGCCTCGGCACCTGGGTGGCTTGCCGCCCACAAGGAGGATGGCATAGCTCAAGGACACGGGAGCCTCATGGCTGGACCATGCCAGACCTCACTCTGTGGGTCTCTTGACTGTTTTGACTGATCCTGATTTTCATCCTTTTTTTTTTAAGACAGAGTCTCACTTTGGAGTGCAATGGCGCGATCTCAGCTCACTACAAGCTCCGCCTCCCGGGTTCACGCCATTCTCCTGCCTCAGCCTCCCAAGTAGCTGGGACTACAGGCGCCCGCCACCATGCCAGGTTAATGTTTTGTATTTTTAGTAGAGACGGGGTTTCACCGTGTTAGCCAGGATGGTCTCAATCTCCTGACCTCATGATCCACCCGCCTCAGCCTCCCAAAGTGCTGGGATTACAGGCGTGAGCCACCGCGCCTGGCCGATTTTCATCCTTTGTAGTACAAATGTGAATTGTTCTAGAATATTGAATCTGAGGGGGTCACAGGAATCCCTGAAGTTGTAACCAGTTGGTCACAAGTGTGAGTGGCCTGGGAACTCCCAAGTTTGCAGTTTTGGATGCTATTATAATTGCTGTTACTTTTAAATTTCAATTCCTAATTCTTCATTGCTAATATAGAGAAATACAGTTTATTTTCGTATGTTGATAAACCATAAGTTCTAGTAGTTGTCTTATAGAATCCACAGGATTTTCAATCTAGATAATCATGTTTGGGAATAGAGACTTTTATTTTTTCTTTTCCCATCTGCATGCTTTTTCTTTCTTTCTCTTCCCCTACTGCTCTGAGGACCTCCAATACGATGCTGAACAGGAGTGGTAAGAACACACACTTGGCCAGGCATGGTGGCTCATGCCTGTGGTCCCAGCACTTTGGGAGGCCGAGGCAGGTAGATCACGAGGTCAGGAATTCAAGACCAGCCTGGCCAAGATGGTGAAACCCCGTCTCTACTAAAAATACAAAAATTAGCCGGGTGTGGTGGCAGGTGCCTGTAGTCCCAGCTACTTGGGAGGCTGAGGCAGGAGAATTGCTTGAATCAGAGGGGGCGGAGGTTGCAGTGAGCCAAGATTGCGCCACTGCACTCCGGCCTGGGAGACAGAGCAAGACTCCGACTCACAAAAAAAAAAACCACAAAAAAACAAAAAAACAAAAAAAAACCCACACACACACTCTGGCTTGTTCGCAATCTTCAAGGGAAAATATTCAGTCTTTCACGATCAGGCACGATGTTTGCTTTCATTTTTTTAGTACAGATGTCCTTTATTCGATTTAGGAAGTTCTCTTCTGGTTGCTGACAGTTTTTATCGTGAACAGATGCTGAATTTTGTCAAATACTTTTTCTGCATTTATTAAGGTAATCAGATGGCTTTTCTTCTTTAGTCTGTCAATATGGAACATTACATCAACTGATTTTCAACTGTTGAAACAGCTTTGCTCCTGGAATAAATCCCACTGATCATGATGTATTATCCTTTTCCATATACTGCTGGACTCAAATCTCTAATATTTCATTGAGGATATGTATGTTTCTAATGATGAGTGACTGGTTTGAAATTTTCCTTTCTTGTAATGTCTGTCTGATTAGGTATTAGGGTATTGCTACCCTCAAAAACTAAACTGGGAAATAGTCCCTCTTCTACTTTTCCGGAGAAGTTTGTATAAAATTAGCATATTTTGTCCTTATTGTCCTAAATGTTGGGAAGTATTCCCCAGTGAAGTCATCTAGATCTGGAATTCTCCAGGTGGGAAGGATTTTAGCTACAGATTCGATTTCTTTAGTAGTAGCCATTCAGATAATCTATATCTGAGGGAACTGTGGTAGTTTGTGCCTTTCAAGGAATTTGTCAATTTAATCTGCGTGGCTGATTTTATGGGCATAAAGCTGTTCAAAATATTTCCTTATTAGTCCTTTTATGTCTGTAGGGTCTGTAGACATGTGCACTCTTTCATGTCTAATATCTGTAGTTTGTGTCTTCTCTTCTTTTCTACACTAGTCTGGCTGGAGGATTTTTCATTTTACTGACGTCTTCCAAGAGCCAGCTTTTGGTTTCATTCATTTTCTCTCTTGTTTTGCATTTCCAATCTCATGGATTCCTGCTCTTTATTAGTTTCTTCCATCTGCTTGCTTTGGGTTTCATTTGTTTTTCTTTTCCTAGCTTCTTAAGATAGAAGCTTGGGTCACTGATCTGAGACTTGTTTTATTTTCTAATATGAGCATTGCCCAGGCTGGAGTGCCATGGCACAGTCGTGGCTCACTGCAACCTCTGCCTCCTGGGTTCAAGTGATTTCCAGATAATTTTTGTATTTTTAGTAGAGATGGGGTTTCACCATGTTGGCCAGGCTGATCTCGAACTTCTGACCTCAAGTGATGCACCCGCCTCGGCCTCCCAAAGTGCTGGGATTACAGGCATGAGCCACCGCGCCTGGCCGTGTTGTCCATTTTTATCCTTGGTAATATTCCTTCATCTCATCTGACATCGACTTTGTCTGATACTAATATAGCCACTCCAGTTTTCTTTTAATTGGGGCTTTCATGATATATCTTCTTCCAGCCTTTTTTTTTTTTGAGATGGAGTCTCGCTCTCTTGCCCAGGCTGGAGTGCAGTGGTGCGATCTTGGCTCACCGCAAACTCTGCCTCCCGGGTTCACGCCATTCTCCTGCCTCAGCCTCCACAGTAGCTGGGACTACAGGAGCCCGCCACCACGCCTGGCTAATTTTTTGTATTTTTAGTAGAGACGAGGTTTCACTGCGTTAGCCAGGATGGTCTCGATCTCCTGACCTCGTGATCCGCCCGCCTCGGCCTCCCAAAGTGCTGGGATTACAGGCGTGAGCCACCGCGCCCGGCCTTTTTTATTTTTTGAGAAACTGTCTTGCTACTCTATCACCTGAGCTATACTACAGCAGCACACTCAGAGCTTCCTTCAGCCTCAGCTTCCCAGGCTCAAGCAATCCTCCCACTTTAGCCTCCTGAGTAGCTGGGAGCACAGGTGTGTACCACCACACTAACCTAATTTTAAATTTTTTGTAGAGATGGGGTTGCTATGTTGCCCAGACTGGTCTCAAACTCCTGTGCTCAAGCAATCCTCCCACCTGAGCCTCCCACAGTGCTGGGATTACAGGTGTGAGTCACTTCGCCCAGGCCAACCTTCTGTTTTCCATCTAAGTATTGATATTTAAAGTGGGTTTTTCCTGCAGACACCATAGAGTTGGGGCTTGGACTTTCCATCCAATCTGACAGTCTGTCTTGTTGTTGTATTTAGACCATTTGTATCCACTGTGATCATTTATAATGGCTGGGTTTAGGATATAATTTTCCGGAGAATGTTGCCTTCTTTGTTTTAGCAGGCGATTAAGCTGGTTGGGTTCAGACCACAAGTCTGTATCTGTGGATGGTGGATTCCAGTTTCTCTGTTTTCAAAGCCTTGGTTCTGATGCTTTGCTCTGCCCTGAACATGCACCACTCAGGAGTCAATCTGAGATTCGAGGTGAAGTTTGAATCTTTGTTTTTTTTTTTTTTTTTTTGAGACGGAGTTTCACTCTACCACCCAGGCTGGAGTGTAGTGGCACGATCTCGGCTCACTGCAACCTCCGCCTCCTGGGTTGAAGCAACTCTCCTGCCTCAGCCCCCTGAGTAGCTGGGATTACAGGCACACACCACCACACTTGGCTAAATTTTTGTATTTTTAGTAGAGACGGGGTTTCACCATGTTGACCAGGCTGGTGTGGAACTCCTGACCTCATGTGATCCGCCCGCCTCAGCCTCCCAAAGTGCTGGGATTACAGGTGTGAGCCACCGCGCCCAGCCTGAAGTTTGAATTTTTTTTTTCCTGAGATACAGTCTTGCTCTGTTTCCCAGGCTGTGGTGCAGTGGCATGATCTCGGCTCACTGCAACTTCTGCCTCCCGGGTTCAAGCGATTCTCCGGCCTCAGCCTCCCGAGTAGATGAGACTAGAGGTGCGCGCCACCACACCCAGCTAATTTTTTTGTATTTTTAGTGGAGACAGGGTTTAACCATGTTGGCCAGGACAGTCTTGATCTCTTGACCTTGTGATCTGCCCGCCTCGGCCTCCCAAAGTGTTGGGATTACAGGCGTGAGCCACCGCACCTGGCCTTGAAGTATGAATCTTAATACAGTTTCAAAGTCTTTGTTATGCTGCTCTGGGTCTGTCCTGAGCCTTGTACAGGTTCACAGACAAAATCTGTGCATCTACTTCCCTGGCTCTCTCCTCCCTGAGATCCACACACTCTCTCTGGCCCTTGGGGGCCCTTCTTCTGGTGCTTTTGGAGGATTCCCATCAGGGCTTTTGCTCCATAACTGGGCTACCATCAAGGCAAGGCCATGAGTAACAGAAGAAAACGAAAAAGCAGGAAGCAGAACCCTCGTGGGTGGCGGCTCCACGATGACTATCCACAGTCTACTGGCTTTATTTTCGGAGTTCTCCAAGAATTGTTTTCTGCATTCTGTCCAGAGTTTTTCACTGTAATCAGCAGGACAGGCTGTTGTGGCACTACCTTGCCACAGCAGAACTGTAACTCTCCCATTTATTTTAGTTAAAAATAAAATCTTAATTTCCTTCTTCTTTGAGAGCCTGAATGAAGATGCCTAACACATCACCACAGATACTAAATCAAACAGCAGCTGCTCACCTGTGTAGACCAGGCTCACGGCTGCTGCTGTTCAGGAGAATTCCAATGTACCTTCCTGCACGAGGCCACATAAACGAGAACCCAAACAAGGAACTTAGAGGGTGCCCAATCTCCTGGTGCTGGGCTCCAAAGCACAACTGGCCGACACTCAGGCCTGCTGCGGGCCCCGCACATCGAGCACACCAGATACTCAGCTCTTGGCACATGCTAATCGATCTCTGAGACTCAGCAATTTTTCTTCCACTTGGAATTTTGTTCCGTTCCTTTCAAAACCTTTATGTAGAGCAAGTTCCTCCCTAAGAGAGCTACACCACACCACAAGAAACACAAGCACAGAACGGTTGAGAGGAGTCATCTGCCAGCCCCAACAGCCGGGGTCCAGCGACTGAAATCACGGCCTGCTCCAGACTCAAGGGAGAGACACCCCCACCAACCGCATCAGCTGGGCAAGTCTCATCTCCACTCTGGAATCAGGGAGAAAAGCACGTGCGTGTGTTTGGGGGCGGGTGGGGAAAAAGAATAACAACTTAGCAGCTGTTGCTAAAAATGGCTTTTGTGTGTTTTATTTCAAATCCACTTGTTTACTTCAAAAAACCATGCCTTCATAACCTCACCCCAGATCAGGAAGCTGTGAAAACCACAGGGAGAGGCTGGATGCTGGGAAGCCCAGGTGGACACGCAGCTCCTCTGGCAGGCAGGGGTCCCCGAGGGCTCCCCACACTTGCACATCTTCAGATCTCGGCAGTGCTGTATGTAGCAGCCAGCAATCACACCCAACCCAGCTGTCACTCAGCCACGGAGAAATCAACGGTGGTGTCAACGACTGAACTAGAACGACACCCACTCACGCCAATGAATCTCACGTTCATAATGTTGCTCAAATTAGGAAAGGTGAGGAATCCTGGTGTGATGCCATTTATGAGATTTAGAGTCAAGCAAAATTATACTACATATTGTATAAGTACCAAAGAAAATTCAGAAAAGTAGCTATCTCTGAAGAAAAGAGAAGGTGAAATGAGAGCACACGTGGGTAATGTGAACAGAGCCGGCAGTGTGCATCTAACCTGTGTTCTAGCTAACCAGGGTTAAAACTATATAACCTGGGTTCGAGTTAAGATGCCTGTTTGCTGTGTCATGCCTACTTGTTTTAGAGACAGGGTCCTGCTATGTTGTCTGGGCTGGCCTAGAACTACGAGGCTCAGCAATCTCCTTTCCTCTCCCGAACAGCCAGGACTATAGGTGCCAACCGCCATTCCCAGCAACATCACGCTTTTTTGCGTATCTGCGGTATTTTGTAACAACTTTATAAAAATTAAAATAATAAAGACTATCTCCCATTAAAAATGGTGGGTTGGGCCAGGCACGGTGGTTCACACCTATAATCCCAGCACTTTGGGAGGCCCAGGAGGGCAGATCGCTTGAGGTCAGGAGTTGAAGACCAGCCTGGCCAACATGGTGAAACCTTGTTTCTACTAAAAATACAAATATTACACGGGCATGCTGGTGTATACCTGTAGTCCCAGCTACTCGGGAGGCTGAAGCACAAGACTCACTTGAACCCAGGAAATGGAGGTTGCAGTGAGCCAAGATCACGCCACTGCACTCCAGCCTGGGTGACAGAGTGAGACTGTCTCCAAAAAAGAAAGGTAAGTTGAAGGTAAATGCTTATCTTTGTCCCCTTGTGGAATATACATGCTTATCTCTGCTCTCTTAAAAAGATACAAACCTCCAAGGATAAAGACAAAAGCTAAGAGTAGATAAAAAATGTCACTGAAATTTTAGCGGCTGATGAAAGCAAGTGACAGGGTCATGGCTGGTGGAGCCCTCTAAGGAAAGCTGACACTTGGTTTTAGAGGTGCAGAACCTGGACAGAGAGGACTGGTCCTCACTGCAGAGCCAGAACGAGGCTAACATGCAGGTGAGACGGGAAGAGGGGCAGGCTAACCCCAAGTCACTTTCCTGACCCCAACAGGCTGGAAATGGCTTTTCCCCGTGGCCAGAGGACTACCAGGAACTCTCTGGAGAAGGTGAAGCAAGCAGGTAAGAGCCCAAGGACATCAGGTGTGGCTACGAATCCAAGAACAGTGTCCACTCCAGACGGGAGCACTCCCAGACTCCTCAGTGAGTGTCCACTCCAGACGGGAACACTCCCAGAATCCTCAACAACAGTGTCCACTCCAGACGGGAGCACCCCCAGACTCCTCCCCAAGTGTCCACTCCAGATGGGAGCACTCTCAGACTCCTCAGTGAGTGTCCACTCCAGATGGGAGCACTCTCAGACTCCTCAGTGAGTGTCCACTCCAGACGGGAGCACCCCTAGACTCCTCCCCAACAGTGTCCACTCCAGGCGGGAGGACTCCCAGAATTCTCCACAACAGTGTACACTCTAGACGGGGGCACTCCCAGAGTCCTCCCCAACAGTGTCCACTCCAGGCGGGAGGACTCCCAGACTCCTCCCCAACAGTGTCCACTCCAGGCGGGAGGACTCCCAGAATCCTCAACAACAGTGTCCACTCCAGACAGGAGCACCCCCAGACTCCTCCCCAAGTGTCCACTCCAGATGGGAGCACTCCCAGACTCCTCAGTGAATGTCCACTCCAGACGGGAGCACCCCCAGACTCCTCCCCAACAGTGTCCACTCCAGGCGGGAGGACTCCCAGAATTCTCCACAACAGTGTACACTCCAGGCGGGAGGACTCCCAGAATCCTCCACAAGTGTCCACTCCAGACGGGAGCACCCCCAGAATCCTCCCCAACAATGTCCACTCCAGGCGGGAGGACTCCCAGAATCCTCCACAACAGTGTCCACTCCAGACAGGAGCATCCCCAGACTCCTCCCCAAGTGTCCACTCCAGATGGGAGCACTCCCAGACTCCTGAGTGTCCACTCCAGATGGGAGCACTCCCAGACTCCTCCCCAACAGTGTCCACTCCAGGCAGGAGGGCTCCCAGAATCCTCCACAACAGTGTACACTCTAGACGGGGGCACTCCCAGACTCCTCCCCAACAGTGTCCACTCCAGACAGGAGCACCCCCAGACTCCTCCCCAACAGCGTCCACTCCAGACAGGAGCACTCCCAGACTCCTCAGTGAGTGTCCCCTCCAGACAGGAGCACTCCCAGAATCCTCCCCAACAGTGTCCACTCCAGGCGGGAGGACTCCCAGAATCCTCCACAACAGTGTATACTCCAGGTGGGAGGACTCCCAGAATCCTCCACAACAGTGTCTACTCCAGATGGGAGCACCCCCAGACTCCTCCCCAACAGTGTCCACTCCAGGCGGGAGGACTCCCAGAATCCTCCACAACAGTGTCCACTCCAGGCGGGAGGACTCCCAGAATCCTCCACAACAGTGTCCACTCCAGACGGGAGCACCCCCAGACTCCTCCCCAACTGTCCACTCCAGATGGGAGCACCCCCAGACTACTCCCCAACACTGTCCACTCCAGGCGGGAGCACTCCCAGGCTCCTCAGTGAGTGTCCACTCCAGACGGGGGCACTCCCAGGCTCCTCCCCAACAGTGTCTACTCCAGGCGGGAGCACTCCCAGGCTCCTCAGTGAGTGTCCACTCCAGATGGGTGCACTTCCAGGCTCCTCCCCAACAGTGTCCACTCCAGATGGGAGCACTCCCAGACTCAGACAGGAGCACTCCCAGACTCCTCCCCAACAGTGTCCACTCCAGATGGGAGCACTCCCAGACTCCTCCCCCTCCTCCAACCCAGTGCCACCACAGCAGAACATACGCAGATTCCTTTCTGAGAAGCTGCCCTAAAAAAAAGACCTACAGACCCTGACCTGTAGACTCCCAAACCATGAAGGAAAGAGCCAGCGTCCTGCTCAGTCCTCCTGCAGGGAGTGTCCCCTGTTAACGAGCCCTGACCCCATGCACACGCAGCCTATATGCAGCTTTCAGGTGGATCACGCTGTTTTCGTTTTGTAGTTAACCCATGTAACTCCCACCGAAATCAATATGTAGAACATTTCCAGTAATCTAGATTACCTTACGCCTCCCCGGGTCGATACCCAACCTAAACCCCTAACAGGCAACCACTAATGAGACCTTAACCCCAGCAGGGCCAAACACCAGGACCAAGTCCCTCGAACCGCGCGTTCTAACAGGCAACCACTAATGAGACCTTAACCCCAGCAGGGCCAAACACCAACACCAAGTCCCTCCAACCGCACGTTTTTTGTAAAGGAAGTTTTTTTTGGAACACTAGATGGCCACATTGAGTAGCTGCAAGAGAGACCACGTGGCCCATAAAGCTGAAATATTTACACTCTGGCCTTTTACAGAGAAAGCTGGCTGGCCAGCCTCTGTCCTCAAGTGTCAGTACAGCTGGTAGCTGAGCCTCAGGTGAGTGAAATTACACAGTGTGTGCTTTTTGTTGCTGGCCTCTTGGGCTCCACATTATTTCTGTGAGATGCAGCTATGCTGGTTTGCACACTTGTGTTCAATAAGAACTTCATTCACACATAAAGTGACTGCTGGAGGCAGAAAAGCCCCTGATCAGAAAGACAGAAGCCAAAATAAACAGAGAAGAAAAACTCAGGTCAGAAACAACTCAGGGAGCAAAAGAAAACCCATCTTACTTTATCCATGAAGTAAGAACAAGATAATTTTTAAAAATTAAAACATAAGAACAAAGATACTTTTTTAAAAAGAACATTCAGGGCCAGGCGCAGTGGCTCACACCTGTAATCCCAGCACTTTGGGAGGCCGAGGCAGGCGGATCACAAGGTCAGGAGTTTGAGACCAGCCTGACCAACATGGTGAAACCCCGTCCCTACTAAAAATACAAAAATTAGCTGGGCATGGTGGTGGGCACCTGTAATCCCAGCTACTCGGGAGGCTGAGGCAGGAGAATCGTTTGAACACGGGAGGCAGGAGTTGCAGTGAGCTGAGATCACGCCATTGCACTCCAGCCTGGGTGACAGGGCAAGACCCCGTCTCAAAAAAAAAAAAAAATTAACAGAAAAAACCTCTTGAAATGAAAAATATGACAGAAATTAAAAATTCAATGGAAGATTTGGAAAATAAAGTTGAAAAAATCTAGAAAGTATAACAAAAAGGCTGGGCATGGTGGCTCATGCCTGTAATCCCACCACTTTGGGAGGCCGAGGCGGGCAGATCACGAGGTCAGGAGATCGAGACCATCCTGGCTAACATGGTGAAACCCCGTCTCTACTAAAAAATACAAAAAATTAGCCGGGCGTGGCAGTGGGCGCCTGTAGTCCCAGCTACTCAGGAGGCTGAGGCAGGAGAATGGCGTGAACCCAGGAGGCGGAGCTTGCAGTGAGCTGAGATCGCGCCACTGCACTCCAGCCTGGGCGACAGACCAAGACTCCATCACAAAAAAAAAAAAAAGAAAAGAAAAAGTACAACAAAAAGACAAAGGTGGTGTAGAATAAAGACAATTCTAGATTTCTAAGGTTTCCAAACATACACCTCCCTGGCATCCTGTCTCAGGAAGTGAATGGAGGATTTGCTCCACCAAAACACGCCGGCCGAGAAAGCAGCAGCAAGAGCCCTGTGTAGGGGAAGGAAGGGTGGGTGGTCCTGGGATGGCGTCTGGACAGCAGGCCTGGGGAGGGTCCGACTGGGCAAGAGGATGGGGGCTCCTAGCAGGGGCGCTTCCCAGAGCAAAAAAGCATTCACGGAGCCGCTGGTTCAGGCGTGAATCTGTAATGGGTGCATATAAAAATCACCAAGAGGCCAAAAATAAGCCGCTGGTTCAGGTCGTGAATCTGTAACAGGTGCACAGAAAAATCACCAAGTAGCCAAAAATAACACAACTGTTAATTCCAAGAAAAAGAGAAAGTTGCAAGAAAGGAAATTTAACTATAGTACACTACATAGCTCAGCTGTGAATAGTATCCATGAAGTCGAAAGAACCGCCCATGAGCGGTGCAGATGGGAACGTAGCATGAGGCATGGGGGCAATCTACGGAGCCACACTTCATCTCCCATGACAGGAAGCATGGGGGCCATCCACCGAGCCACACTTCATCTCCCACGACAGGAAGCATGGGGGCCATCCTCCGAGCCACACTTCATCTCCCACGACAGGAAGCATGGGGGCCATCCTCTGAGCCATACTTCATCTCCCACGACAGGAAGCATGGGGGCCATCCTCCGAGCCACACTTCATCTCCCACGACAGGAAGCATGGGGGCCATCCACCGAGCCACACTTCATCTCCCACAACAGGAAGCATGGGGGCCATCCACCGAGCCACACTTTATCTCCCACAACAGGAAGTCAGTGTGTCTAGAATGGATGGGTTAGGAAACAGCAAGAAAAGCTGCTCAGAAGGAACCGAAGCGTTTTCAGTGTGAGGGGACAGACGGCCACTGTTGATAAAACTTTAAGTATGTTTTTAGAATCTGTCCATGTTATTTTGCAAGAATTTAAGTTTTGTTAAAATGACAAACACAAAAGTTTGATGAGGAAAAACGATGTCACGGCAGATGATCAACTGATCACAATACAGAATTACCTCTCTCAGATATCACCCCCATTTTTTTTTTTGAGACAGAGTTGGAGTGTCACTCTGTCACCAGGCTGGAGTGCAGTGGCACAATCTCAGCTCACTGCAACCTCCAAATCCCTGGTTCAAGGGATTCTCCTGCCTCAGCCTCCCGAGTAGCTGGGATAACAGGCACCCGCCACCACACCCAGCTAATTTTTGTATTTTTAGTAGGGATGGGTTTCACCATGTTGGCCAGGATGGTCTCGATCTCCTGACCTCGTGATCCGCCCACCTCGGCCTCCCAAAGTGCTGGGATTACAGGCGTGAGCCACCGTGCTCAGCCAATCACCTCCCATTTTTTACTCCCACTACACTCAGGGAAGATCCATTCCCACCCCTAAGGGAGAGGGGCTGTGACACCAACGCGGATGAGACGGATCGCAGCAGCTGAGAGGAACCCGGCCCGTCTCAGCGCACAGCTCCCCTCTCCTGGAACAGGCATGGCTGCACTGTGATAAGTGAGGCCCAACCTGAATATCACAACAAGATCAAGATCAGAAAGAACAAAGAAATAATGGAGAAAGCCTCTACCCCAGTGAAGCTATTTTTTGCTTAAAGAGAAACGAATCATCCAAGGTAGGTCGCATACAGATGCCCCGTGCTGAACGGGTTTACGTCCACGTAGACCAAAGCTCCTGTGGTCCTTTCCCAGTTTTTCTCAGGCCCACAGGTGCCCCTTACACATCCAGGAGTCCCTGAGAAGCCCACCTCAGCTCCAGAGACACACTAACCAGAGGCTCCAAAGAGGTGCACAGAGGTGGATCTGGTGGCTGGGACCCCACTCTGCCCCAAGCCACGCTGGGGGCTCCCTCGAAGATGAGCACCGGCCTTCTAACGGCAGGTCAGCCTTGCTCAAAGGAGGTGGGTGTCTTCTCCCTCCCCAGGCCGGCAGCCTCCCCAGCACAGGCCACGCGTCACGTGAAGATACACAAGTCCCAGGGAGCACAACGAGATGCCGAGGTCCCACCCACGCCTCCACCCCAGGCCCCAAACAGCTCAAAGCGCACCTGTGCCCATCTGCCGGGGAGCAGAGTGAGCACCCTGGACACCCCGATGTCTGGCTGGAGCTTGTTACGTCCTTTCCGAGCAGAGGAACATAGGATGGGATCAGAGGACACCACCCAGGCTCCAGTGCGAGGTTTCATGCAAGGACCTAGCGCTTGGTTCTGCCTGAATGCATCCGAGCCAGGGTTCTGGTGAGCTCTAGAAAACTCTCCTAACAAAGTCTAGAGAAACTGAGGTAGAAGTTACCTTGATACACAGCTAACAATGAATGCAAAAGGTGTAACTCAAAAGAGTAAGATTAAAATCAGTTACCTCTTTTGAGTTGAGAGGCATTTAGCAAAATTCAGCTAATGGACACTAAAGATTTGTTTCACTGCATGTAGGTTTTACTCAAAGAAAAAAAGATTAAACACACATTAAATTCCAGTTAATGGGCCAAGCGCGGTGGCTCAGGCCTGTAATCCCAGCATTTTGGGAGGCTGAGGTAGGTGGCTCACTTGAGGTCAGGGGTTCAAGACCAGCCTGGCCAACATGGTGAAACCCCGTCTGTACTAAAAATACAAAAATTAGCCAGGTGTGATGGCACATTCCTGTAATCCCAGGTACTCAGGAGGCTGAGGCAGGAGAATTACTTGAACCTGGAAGATAGTGGCTGCAGTGAGCCAAGATCGTGGCACTGCACTCCAGCCTGGGCAACAGAGCAAGACCCTGTCTCAAAAAAAACAACAAAATTCAGGCTGGGTGCAGTGGCTCACGCCTGTAATTCCAGCACTTTGGGAGGCCAAGGCAGGCAGATTATGAGGTCAGGAGTTGGAGATCAGCCTTACCAAGGCTGTTCTCTACTAAAAATACAAAAATTAGCTGGGCATGGTGGCGCATGCCTGTAATCCCAGCCACTCGGGAGGCTGAGGCAAGAGAATTGCTTGAACCTGGGAGGTGGAGGTTACAGTGAGCCAAGATTGCGCCATTGTACTCCAGCCTGGGCAACAGAGCGAGACTCCATCTCAAAACAAACAAACAAACAAACAAAAAACAAAAAAACTTCTAGTTAATGGCTTGGCATGATGGCTTATGCCTGTAATCCCAGCATTTTGGGAGGCTGAGGTAGGCAGATCACTTGATCCCAGGAGTTCAAGATCAGCCTGGCCAACATGGCAAAACCTCATCTCTATCTCTACAAAAAAATACAAAATTAGCCAGGTATGGTGGTGCACGCCTGCTACTTGGGAAGCTGAGGTGAGAGAATTGCTTGAGCCCAGGAGGCGGAGGTTGCAATGAGCAAAGATCATGCCACTGCCTGGGCGACAGAGCAAGACCCAGCCTAAAAAAAAATAATTCTAGTTAATGTTGGGCACATGGGGTGATTTTACTATTTTTGCACATTTTTGAACTGTCTCATAATAAAAAGTTAAAAATCATGAGACAACATGATACATGATTTTTTGTTTTGTTTTGTTTTGTTTTTTGAGACGGAGTTTCACTCTCGCTGCCTAGGCTGGAGTGCAGTGGCAGGATCTTGGCTCACTGCAACCTCTACCTCCCGGGTTCATGCGATTCTCCTGCCTCAGCCTCCCAAGTAGCTGGGATTACTGGCGCCTGCCCCTACACCCAGTTAATTTTTGTATTTTTAGTAGAGACGGGGTTTCACCACGTTGGCCAGGCTGGTCTCGATCTCTTGACCTTGTGATCCACCCACCTCAGCCTCGCAAAGTGCTGGGATTACAGGTGTGAGCCACTGCGCCCGGCCCGGCAGCACCTTTCAAAATTACAAGTCTGCATCCCTGGGACCCTGCAAGTCCACCCTAGGATTTATCCTGCAGATCAGGCTCTGGTATCGGAAACGATGGACACAGGAAACCATTCACTGCAACGACGAAAAGCAAAAGACTGGGAGCCACAGAAAGACGGCGCCAGCAGGGAAGAGCCCAGCAGGACCTGCAGGAAACGGGGGTGGCTGGTCCCTCGGGAGGGCCTTGGGCCTGAGGAGAGGAGAAAACGCCTTCCCTCTACAACACTTTGTGCCTTTTGAATGCTGAACCACATGCATTTATGACCCAGTTCAACAACAGTCATTTAAGAGACAACCAAAACCGTTAGCCACATGCCCGGCTATTCTTCAACGCACTGTGGCCAGAATGAAGCTCCCTCCTCTTTCTTCCCTCCTTCCTGGACCAAACCCTGCTCCCCTCACATCACTGTGGAGAACTGGCCTTTAACCACTACCAGCTGTCCAGACAAGACAGAAAAACCAGGCCTCCGGGGCCAACCCAGGGGCGCCCGGAGGGCCAGGCAGCGGGGGACTCACGGTGATGATGTCCAGGATGCTGAGCAGGCTGTGGACGCTGTCTCCCGCCAGAACCTCTTTCACCACCACCTCGGTGCCGTCCTGCGCTTGGAGAGCAGAGTGGGTGCCGTCAGGTCTGGGGCTGCGACCGCGGGGCCTGGCGGAGGCTCAGCCCAGCCCAGGGCAGTGGGGCCACGGGCCTGCACCTCTGAGGCGCCATGAGAGCAGCAGGCACCTTGGATGGAGGGCAGGGGACAAGATGGACCTGCTGGCATCAGGGGTACAACACACAGGAAGCGGCAGCAAGGAAAACAGACGGAGGAGACCCCACCTCTCCATCCCATGACTCGTCTTCAATGTGGGGACTGAGGCAAAAGCTCGCAGAGCCTGTTTGTTTGCTGAGCTAACTATAAGGACTCCGAGGACCGATTCAGTTATTACCAGCCTAAATTCCAGAACTTTGATATAATTTTCCATTAGGTAAAAAAAGAAAAGAAACCGCGCTATTTTGGTGATTTAACAAAGTAAGCACTTCATCTCAGCTTGACCCAGGAAAATTCTTTATGAAGTTGCCCAAATCTGGCCCCAGTCCCCTCCATGAGCCCCTCCCATCTAGTCCAAAGGCCAGAGGGACACGGGTTCTGGTCCTTCAGGAGGGCCCCGCACGAGCGGCAACGAAAGCCGCTGCTTCACCAGCTGGGCGGCCTCATCCCCAGGAGCTACTGGCTCCAGCTTCCCCCAAGCCCCTTTCCCTTCTAATAACCCATCAAGTCCAGCCACAGACAAAGCGACAAACCTGAGAACCAAATAATTTGCCCAGCAGCGCTTTTGGTCTAGAAACCCCGACAGGCAGTGCCGGAGCTGGCGTGGGATCACAGCCCACTCCCGGGACCACAGCTGGCAGGAGCCCTGCAGGTCAGGGTGATGATCACACAAAGCCCAGGGTTTGCTGAGTGCGTGCTTTAAATGAGAACAAGCAATGGGAAGTCTGGGTCGCAAACTGCCCAGACAGACAAAGCCACACCACCCTCCAGGAGAGCAACACAGCGCCAAAGAGGCCACGGCAGGGTCTGGCCCAGCACCCACCCCCGAGCAGCGATTCAAAGGGTGGAATTTAACAGAGGCAGGAAACAAGTATTGAGCTCCTACGTGGATTCACACCCGAATTTTTTTTTTTTTGAGACAGGGTCTCGCTCTGTCGCCCAGGCTGGAGTGCAGTGGCGTGAACACAGCTCACTATAGCCGCAACCTCCCAGACTCAAGCGATCCTCCCACCTCAGCCCCCAAGTGGCTGGGACCACAGGTGCTACCACCATGCCTGGATAATTATTTTTTATTTTTTGTAGAGACGGGGTCTCACTACTTCGTCCAAGCTGGTCTCTAAGCCGTGGGCTCAGGTGATCTTCCCACCTTGGCCTTAATTACTTTCTTACAATTAATTTAATTTTGTTAGAAACCTGAAAATAGAGCAAGGGTTCAATGGACCATGGCAAATCAACACAGTGACTTACTACTAAACTATCAAAGGGAGTATTCTGAGGACTTGGAAGATACATTTAAAACAGCTGCCCAGCCCAGTGCCTCATGCCTGTAATTCCAGTGCTCTGAGAGGACAAGATGGGAGAATCGCCTGAGCACAGGAATTGCTGATGAGCCCGGACAACAAACTGAGACTCCATCTCTACAAAAAAATTTTATAAGTGAGCTGGGCATGGTGACATACACCTGTAATCCCAGCTACTCGAGAGGCTGAGGCGGGAGGATCGCTTGAGCCCAGGAAGTCCAGGCCTCAGTGAGCTGAGATCACACCACTGCACTCCAGCCTGGGTGACAGAGTGAGACCCTGTTTCAAAAAACTAAATAAAATGTAATAAAAAATAAAAACGGTGAGTTTTCCCCCAAAGAAATTAAAATCAAAATTTTGCCTAGCTTTTCAATGAGAAACGTTTTACAGCCCGAGAAGACAGACGTGGAGGTAAATGCGCAGCCGCCTGACCCCGCCCCGCCGCCCTGCGACTCACAGTGTCCTGGATGCAGACCTCCAGCCGCCCGTCCTGCACCACACAGATGCTGGGGTCCGGCTCCCTGGGCTGGAAGACGTGCTCCCCTTCCTGCAGCTGCACAAAGACGATGTGTTTGCAAAGCTCCAGGAACAGCGGCTTCTCAAAGTGGCCCAGGACCCTGCAAGAGCCAGAGGGCACTGTGGGACGCCCTTCCAGGGGAGGAGGACGGCCTCTCCAAGAGTCTCGAGAGCACACGGTCACTGACCCCACTGGCGCCAGGCTTTGTGCTGTGGGTCCACACGGCTGACCAACAAACCACACAGCATTACTGCCAAACACAACCGTCAACTTCTGAAATTCCCGTGAGCCTGTTTTCCATCACCTCAGAGAACTTCTTGACCCGTGAACCTGAGCCACACACACACGGGAGGAAGGCAAAGGTGGCCTCCAGGATGGTGAGCTGGGCCAGGGAGCGGAAGGGGTGCAGTCCAGGGGCCAGGCAGCAAGACAGGAGCACAGAGCAGAACCCAGGCTCCAGGCTTTGGATCCACCACACCCTTCTTGCTCTTGCCCTGGGTTCACCGCTGAAGATGAAACACCGGGAAATCGTTCAACAGAACAAGAAAGATCTGGTGAAGGAGCCAGCAGACCACGAGGCCCCGCCACGGGGCACAGACACCAGCAGCCCCACGATGCGCTTTGCCAACCATTCCCCCAACACAAGACGGCCAAGCTGGAGCCAGGCCCCAGCGAGAAGCCCGGGGCTATGGGAGCTGCCGCAGCCCCCGGGGCTCATCCCCGCTCTTACCGAACGTTTTTCAGCATGTACAGAACTTCCGATGGCAGGTGAGAATTCTTCACGTCAAACTCCGTGAGGTCGGCCTCCAGCAGGGAGGGCGGGGGCTCCTTGGGCTGCAGGGCCGGGTATTCCTTCTTGAAACGCAGAATCCTACAAGGCAGAGACACACTAGCCTTGAGCAGACCAGGCGGGTTCGAAACCCACAGCATCAGTGGCTGACACACCAGGCAGCTCAGGGTTGGGGAGGCCAGCACCATGGGGGGCACCTGGGGCAGGATGTGGTCTGAAGGACACACAGTACCTCTTGGCCAAAGACAGCACCTTGGTCCTCTTCCTGGCCCGCTGCCGGGGCAGGGCAGTGTTCTCCACAAGGGTGTTGGGGAGTGTGGTCACCTGCAGAGCCAAGGGAGAGACCAGCCACTGACCCTGCAAGCCGCAAGGTCCAAGCTCTTTGCCATGGGGATCAGTCCTCAGGACCTGCCTGTGGGCCTCCCACAGTCCCAGCTTCAGCTCCTGGGGTCTGGCTGTGCCATTTTCCCACCCTGCCTGGCCTGTGAGGGAATGTTGGCAGCGATACAGCCCCACACATCCTTGGGATCGTCCTCACTGTCCCCAAACAGCCAACCCTCCAGAGCCCCCAGGCTTCATGCCTGCTGGCCCCGCTGCCCCGAAGGCTGACACCCGCTCCATCTTTGGCTCTCATACTGGTCAACACAACCCTTTGCTACAACCCTTTAAAAATCCACCACTGTCCCCACCGACCTTCCCCCCCAACTTCCCCTCTGACCTGGGGCCACTGCCCACTCTGTCCCATATCTGGAACAGTCTTCCTCCCTTTTCTCAGGCAGTGCCTGCTTGACTGCCCAGAATAGCAGTGGCCTGGGTCACACCCTGCATGCTGGCAGGGTCACCTCACTCAGGCCCCACTGCCTGCTGCCCCTCGGTCCAGAGCTGTCAGCCTCATGGCTTTCCTCCCAGGCCCTCAGCTTCCCTGTCCTCTGTGGGGCCACTGGATGATGGCCGACACTCAACAGACCGCCTCCACTCTGCTCCAGACCACCCTACGCCCTGTCCCGGCCGCCTAAGCCTGTCCCAGACCCAGCCTACAGCAGCCCTAACTCATCTGCCCTTTCACAGCACTTAATGCGGATGAGAACAGATGAGTCACAGACACCCACATCCCTCCCCTCTTGAGTTTCTCAATTTTCTTTTTGTTTTTTGTTTGTTCGTTTGTTTTTGAGATGGAGTTTTGCTCTTGTTGCCCAGGCTGCAGTGCAATGGCACGATCTCGACTCACTACAACCTCCGCCTCCTGGGTCCTGGCTCAAACAATTCTCCTGCCTCAGCCTCCCGAGTAGTTGGGATTACAGGCGCCCGCCACAAAGCCCAGCTAATTTTTGTATTTTTAGTAGAGACAGGGTTTCGCCATGTTGGCCAGGCTGGTCTCGAACTCCTGACCTCATGATCCGCCCACCTCAGCCTCTCAAAGTGCTGAGAGTACAGGCGTGAGCCACCGTGCCCGGCCGAGTTTTTCAATTTTCTATGAAGAACACGAATTAGTTGTACAACCAGAAAAAGGTAACAAAGATTGCTTTAAAGGGATCAGTCTGTGCGGTTTCTGTGAAGCTTCTGGGTGGTCTGTTGAGCACCTCCTGGGCCCTTCAGGAGTGCAGGGAGGCGGCCAGGGGAGGCCTCCGACAGCCCAATTGGCCAAAGACGAGGAAGGGTTAAACCAAGGCTGCTTATTCCCCAGATCGGGGCTTGTGAAACTCGGATCCCTGAGCCCTGGCCCAGGGATCTGTGTCTAGGTTCCGGAACCACCCAGACATTCAAAGTGAGTCACGCAGCTTTCAGCTTAGAGCACACATGCCGGTAACCAGGGAACTCAGCCCCTCAAATCCCAGGGGATGGACTCTGTCCTCAGCTCAGCATCCCAAAGCCTGGCAGAGACCTCCAAGCTTGGCAGCAGAGTCAGGAACCTCTGGCCGAGCGTGAGGCCCTCTGCACCCACTGGGCCCCAGTGATGTTCCTAGAAAGCAGCTTTCCGTTCTCACTTATTGTTAAAATAAACATCCACTCTGGGGGCCGACAGGGCCTTTGTGAGCGGCAAGCGACTGAGGGCATGAGCTGTTCCAGTATAATAAAATATATAAAATAAGAATAGTTATACTACATATAGATCTTAGATATGATTATATATGAATATCATTAATCATTAGCTTGTAGCAATTACTCTTTATTCCAATATTATAATAATCCTCACTCTATAATCATAGCCTAGGAAAAACCAGGCCATACAGAGATAGGAGCTGAGGGGACATAGTGAGGAGTGACCAGAAGACAAGAGTGCGAGCCTTCTGTTATGCCCGGACAGGGCCACCAGAGGGCTCCTTGGTCTAGTGGTGACGCCAGCGTCTGGGAAGATGCCTGTTGCCAAGCGGACCGTGATCTAGCGGTAGCGTCAGTGTCAAGGAAAAACACCTGCTACTTAGCAGACAGGGAAAGGGAGTCTCCCTTTCCCCAGGGGAGTTCAGAGATGACTCTACCCCTCCACCTCCTGTGGAGGGCCTGACATCAGTCAGGTTCGCCCGCAGTTATCCGGAGGCCTAACCGTCTCCCTGTGATGCTGTGCTTCAGTGGTCACGCTCCTAGTCCGCCTTCATGTTCCATCCTGTACACCTGGCTCTGTCTTTTAGATAGCAGTAGTCAATTAGTGAAAGTACTAAAAGTCTCTGATATGCAGAAATAATGGCATAAGCTATCTTTCTCTCTCTCTCCTCTCTCTCTCTGTCTCGGCTGCCAGGCAGGGAAGGGCCTCCTGTCAAGCAGACACGTGAACCACGGGACCTTACCTATCATTGGAGATGGCTCACACTCCTTACCCTGCCCCTTTGTCTTGTATCCAATAAATATCAGTGCAGCCTGGCATTCAGGGCCACTACTGGTCTCCGCGTCTTGGTGGTAGTGGTCCCCAGGACCCAGCTGTCTTTTCTTTTATCTTTTTGTCTTGTGTCTTTATTTCTACACTCTCTCGTCTCCGCACAGGGGGAGAAACCCACCGACCCTGTGGGGCTGGGCCCTACAGGCCTTCCCTCCCCTCCGGCCACTGTGCACCACAGACATTCCTGAAGCTGCCCCTCCAGGCCAGGGGGAGTAGAGGCCTGAGAGGGTGAGGGGTTATTCTTGGGTAAAACACACTGGATTCAGCTGGAGGAAGCAGACACCATTCGGCACAATTTATAATTTCCCCCAAACCCTGAGCCTGGTGGCAGAGCTGGGAAGCTGGGGAGAGGACAGCACACACCAAGCACTGCCCAGCCTGGGGGAGCCCACAGCAGAAGGGGTCCCTCCCACAGGGGCCTGCTCGAGGAAGCCGTGTGCAGCCTGGGGCCCCGAGCAACAGCTACCTTCCTCATGATCTTCCGGCCGTAAAACATCACTTTGTCTCTCTTCCGGAACCGGTACTGAGGAGTGGGCTGTGCTTGTCCTGCAGGGGAGTAAAGGGATGGCCTGAGGTAGAGCCGTGGCACAGGCCTGGTCCTGGACATGCAGGTGCAGCACAGTCAGTCATACTCTCGTCCCTGCCAGTAACTGGCCATACTCAGACAGCATGAGGGAAGAGGGCCTGAGTGACAGGCTCATCTCCAACAAAGGGGGCTCTCCCCTCTTCCCACTGAAGCCTTGCTCAGGAGAGGAGAACAGAAAGGGCTCTGAACAGACTTGGCTTCCTGGAACCGACGGGCTCAGCCTGAGCCCAGACGGGCCATCAGATTCTAGCCAAAGCCACCATGCGCTTGAGGGCCCCTCCCAGGGGCTCAAAACACATCCCAAGACACCCACGCTTTCCCCCAACCCCCCGGGCCAGAGTCGGAACCAAGATACTCACGAAATTGTCTAAGCCTTCTGAACATGAAAAGGATGAGGACACCAACCAAGGCCAGGGCCAGGAGGGCTCCAACTGCAATCCCCGTCAGCTGGCCGAGAGTGGAAACACGGCGCCCATCAGCAAAGCCACAAACCTAACCCTAGCCCTAAGCCTGCCCCCACCCCTGGCTGCCCAACCACAGGCTGGGCAGGAATGAGCCAGGGGATGGGGACAGGGAGAGGTGAAAAAGGCCACGGCCCATCCAGGTCTGGCTCCAGGGAAGCGTGAGGTGATTACCATGGTGGACGGTGAACCTTCCTCCGTGAACCACAGTCCCCAAGAGTGCAGGGCGGTGCCCAGGCAGAAGTCAGCCTGCAGCAGAGAGCATGGGGTCAGGTGGGCATGGACAGGCTTCCCAGCCCGAACTTGTTCAGAGCAGCAGGAGGAGAGCTGGGAGTTAGGGGAGAAGTCAGCAGCCCTGGAGACTTCTGGGAAGAAGTGATCTCGCCCGGGGTGCCGGGGTCCTCTGAGCCCCCTGCTAGGAAGCACTCAGAGAGCAACCTGGCTCCCTCAGTCACTGGGATACAGTGGGGCAGGGCCAGCGGCTGCCCCAGGCATCACTAACACACCCACATGCTGGTGATGCAATCCTTGGGATGCAGGTCTCAGGGAGCAGGCCTGGCCAAAGGGGAGGCCAAGGCCCCCCTCTCAGTGTCGCCTCAGCCCCAGCAGGAGCAGTGCTCAAAACCCCTATGAGCCATCTGGATTCTGAGAACATTCAACACCAGTTCACATGCCAAACAAGGAGGCAGCGGCCGAGAAGGCTCTGTGTCCTGCAGTCTCCTGGAGCAGCAGGACTTCAGAAGTCCAGGTCCGCGGGAGGGAGGGAAGAGAGGGTGAGGGCAGGATGGTGAGTGAACGACAGCAGAGGACGCTGGTGGTTCCAAGAAGTGAAAGAGAAAACGAGAAGACGAGAAGACGACACCAGCCAGACAGGCAGCCCTCTCCATTCCTGCTGGCATCACACCTTCCTCCCAGGCAGCCAGGAACCGGATAGGGCAGGGGAAGCCACTGGTTCAGCCTGAAAGTTTCTACACAAGAGCCAAGGCCTAAAACAACACCCACCCCCGCCTCACTGCAGAGAGCAGGACTCCCATCCGTGCCAGAAAATCCAGGGAAGGGCCGGGCGCAGTGGCTCACGCCTGCAATCCCAGCACTTTGGGAGGCTGAGGCGGGCGGATCATGAGGTCAGGAGATCGAGACCATCCTGGCTAACACGGTGAAACCCCGTCTCTACTAAAAATTCAAAAATTAGCCGGGCGTGGTGGTGGGTGCCTGTAGTCCCAGCTACTTGGGAGGCTGAGGCAGGAGAATGGCGTGAACCCGGGAGGCAGAGCTTGCAGTGAGCTGAGATTGTGCTACTGCACTCCAGCCTGGGCGACAGAGCGAGACTCCATCTCAAAAAAAAGAAAACTCAGGGAAGTCAGAAGAGCACTCAGAAACGCATTTAAAGACACAATTCTGCACCAAGACAGAATGAGGACGTGCCCAGAAAGCTGAGCCCTTCGAACTTGGTTCAGAAGCAAATACAAGCCCTGGGAGCTTCTGCTTCAGGACAGGGGAACCCCTACGCTCACTCTCAACCAGGTGGGGAGCAGAGAAGCACCTACGACCATGTCCCTCACTTAAGGAAGCGAAGTGAGTCCCTCAGCCCAGCAACCGCTTCTGGGACCGATTATCCAAGGAAGGCCTATCACGCGATGGCCCGTGACCTGGTCACAGGCTCTCCTGCGGTGGAGCGGCTCAGCCTTTTCTAGCTTTTCACTGTTGCTTTAATGGGTCCAGTGTTCTGGTTTAGGAAATAAGGCCTTTGCCATGTGGCTACAGATGTTTGACTAAGAAAAAGATTCTAGGGCTGGGCACAGTGTCTCACGCCTGTAATCCCAGCACTTTGGGAGGCCGAGGCGGGCAGATCATGAGGTCAAGAGTTCAAGACTAGGCCGGGCACGGTGGCTCATGCCTGTAATCCCTGCACTTTGGGAGGCCAAGGCGGGCGGATCACGAGGTCAGGAAATCGAGACCATCCTGGCTAACACAGTGAAACACCGTCTCTACTGAAAATACAAAAAAATATTAGCCGGGCGTGGTGGTGGGCGCCTGTAGTCCCAGCTACTTGGGAGGCCGAGGCAGGAGAATGGCGTGAACCTGGGAGGC
Organism: Homo sapiens; assembly: GCF_000001405.40. Taxonomy (NCBI): domain Eukaryota; kingdom Metazoa; phylum Chordata; class Mammalia; order Primates; family Hominidae; genus Homo; species Homo sapiens. The sequence goes on from NC_000009.12 coordinate 137,549,502, forward strand.
AGAGCTTGCAGTGAGTTGAGATCGTGCCACTGCAATCCAGCTTGGGCGACAGAGCAAGACTCCGTCTCAAAAAAAAAAAAAAAAAAAGTTCAAGACCAGCCTGGCCAACATGGCGAAACCCCGTTTCTACTAAGAATACAAAAATTAGCCGGGCGTGGTGCCTGTAGTCCCAGCTACCCGGGAGGCTGAGGCAGAATTGCCTGAACCCAGGAGGCGGAGGTTGCTGTGAGCCAAGATCACACCATTGCACACCAGCCTGGGCGACAGAGCGAGACTCCGTCTTGGGAAAAAAAAAAACACAGAAAAAGGTTCTAAGCAAAACCATCAGGCAAAGTCCTAAAGGAACTGGAAGTAGCAACTGTGACCTTAGGGGAAGAAAAGACAAGGCCTCAGGCAATGCCCATGGGCCACCGCTGGCTGCCCTCGCTGTGAACAATGCCCATGGGCCACCACTGGCTGTCTGCTGTGACAGGCGCGTCTAACAAGTGCTGGCAGCTGTGACAGGCAGCAGAGAGGGGCCAGATCCACCACTCCCACAGTCCTCAGGCGCCAAGAAGCCACGGGGCCAAAGAGCGCGGCAGAGCAGACGCCAAGAGGACCCTTCTCTGGGTCCAGAAATGCCCCCCAACTGGGAAATCCAGGCATCTGGTCCCCCGAGTTACATACCTGTGGGCTGTCATCTTTCTCTTCCTCCATGGCCAGAAACAGAAAAAACAGTCAGGGGCGAAAAGCAGACAGCCTGAAGCAAACAAGGGCACACCTCTACCCGCTCATGCTCACACCTGGACACTTTTCCCTGGGTTCCTTTCAAGTCAAATTATGTTTCACTGAAAGGAAAATCCTGCTGAAAAAGTCTGTTCTCCAGGAAGAAAAGCTGTCTTTTGAGAAGTGTCTGTCATCTGCTAGGAGCCACCTCCTTCCCTCTGTAAACAGCCCTCACGTGGCTGTCCCGGAACCCAGAACAGCAGCCAGATGGGGCGTATCCAAGCAGGTCAAGAGGAGCCAGGCCCAGCGCGGCGGGGATGGGGGCAGCGCTGCCTTCTGGAGAAGCACGGCTGGAGGGGAGGTGACGCTGGCGGGGCGTGGATCCGGGGTGTGGGGATGCAGCTGGGGAGGAGGGTGCAGCTGGGGAGGGGGTGGATCCGGCGTGTAGGGGTACCGCTGGGGAGTGGGTGCAGCTGGGGAGGGGGTGGATCTGGGGTGTGGGGGTGCCGCTGGGGAGTGGGTGCAGCTGGGGAGGGGGTGGATCCGGCGTGTAGGGGTACCGCTGGGGAGTGGGTGCAGCTGGGGAGGGGGTGGATCTGGGGTGTGGGGGTACTGCTGGGGAGAGGGTGCAGCTGGGGAGCGCGTGGATCCGGCGAGTGGGGGTACCGCTAGGGAGGGGGTGCAGCTGGGGAGGGGGTGGATCTGGGGTGTGGGGGTGCCGCTGGGGAGGGGGTGCAGCTGGGGAGGGGGTGGATCTGGGGCGTGGGGGTGCCGCTGGGGAGGGGGTGCAGCTGGGGAGGGGGTGGATCTGGGGCGTGGGGGTGCCGCTGGGGAGGGGGTGCAGCTGGGGAGGGGATGGATCTGGGGTGTGGGGGTACCGCTGGGGAAGGGCGTGCAGCTGGAGAGGGGATGGATCTGGGCTGTGGGGGTGCCGCTGGGGACGGGGTGCAGCTGGGGAGGGGGTGGATCCGGATTGTGAGGGTGCGGCTGGGGGGCGACTTCCGCGTGGGGTGAGAGGTCGCCTGCGAGGGTGACCGGGCAGGAGGGCTCAGTGCGCAAGCCGGACGTGCTGGGTCCAAGATTATTGATTAATTTGGGCACCGCGAGGGCTCGAGTCCCCCCACACCACTGCCCGGCCTGCGGGGGAGCACAGACAGCCCGGGCCCTCCCGGCTGCAGGTCCCGGGCTTTCCCCGCGCGGTTGCCGGCTCCGCCCAGAGGAGCCGCGCCCGGCGGAGGGGTAAGAAAGGCAGGGTCGCGGCGTCAACGCGGCGGCCGTCTCGAGTCCAGGGCCCGCGTCCTCCCCGACCTCCCGACGCCACCTCACGGCCTCAGGGGGACTGGGCTCCCGGGAAACCGCCGGCCACCTGGCGGACGAACACAGGCAGTGGCGGGCAGTGGAGACGCCAGGGACCACCGCGCTGAGAGCGATCACTCATCCGCCAGCCCCGCCCCGCGAGCCCCGCCCCGCGAGCCCCGCCCCGCGAGCCCCGCCCCGCGAGCCCCGCCCCGCGAGCCCCGCCCCGCGAGCCCCGCACCGCCGGCCCCGCACCGCCAGCCCCGCGAGCCCCGCCCCGCCCCGCGCGCTCCTCGCATTGGCCGAGTCCCCGCGGCCACACCCCCTACCAGATTGGGGCCGCTATTGGACGCGGCGGCCGCGGCCAATCGGAGCCGCTCTTGCTGCGACGCAGCGGTCGGAAGCGGAGCAAGGTCGAGGCCGGGTTGGCGCCGGAGCCGGGGCCGCTTGGAGCTCGTGTGGGGTCTCCGGTCCAGGTGAGTCTGTCGGATTGGGGCGGGCGCCGCGCGCGGCCAGGGGCGGGGCTGGCCGGGTTCCCGGGGCCGCGACTACCCGCTCTCTCCTCCCGCAGGGCGCGGCATGGGCGTCCTGGCCGCAGCGGCGCGCTGCCTGGTCCGGGGTGCGGACCGAATGAGCAAGTGGACGAGCAAGCGGGGCCCGCGCAGCTTCAGGGGCCGCAAGGGCCGGGGCGCCAAGGGCATCGGCTTCCTCACCTCGGGCTGGAGGTTCGTGCAGATCAAGGAGATGGTCCCGGAGTTCGTCGTCCCGGATCTGACCGGCTTCAAGCTCAAGCCCTACGTGAGCTACCTCGCCCCTGAGAGCGAGGAGACGCCCCTGACGGCCGCGCAGCTCTTCAGCGAAGCCGTGGCGCCTGCCATCGAAAAGGACTTCAAGGACGGTACCTTCGACCCTGACAACCTGGAAAAGTACGGCTTCGAGCCCACACAGGAGGGAAAGCTCTTCCAGCTCTACCCCAGGAACTTCCTGCGCTAGCTGGGCGGGGGAGGGGCGGCCTGCCCTCATCTCATTTCTATTAAACGCCTTTGCCAGCTATACGGTGTTTGTTTTTTGGCCTCAGGTCATGGCAAAGTGTGCAGCATGACAGATTTCAGTGCAGGCACCTAAGCCGAGTTCTCATGCAGACTCGGCGCTGTGAACCTCTTTGGAGGTCATCTTCCGAGTCCGAAGGTTCTGGGAACCTGCCAAGGGCAAACATCACTCAGCTTGCAGGAGAAAGAATTTACAAGGCAGATTGTGCCGGATGACAGCACTGGTCAGTTCATCCCCCAAATTATTCACCCAGGGAACAAAGATACAGAGATGGGGGTCTCACTATGCTGCCCAGGCTGAGAACTCATGGGCTGAAATGATCCGCCCGCCTCAGCCTCCCAAAATGCTGGGATTACAGGTGTGAGCCACTGCGCCCAGCCTAGGAAAATTTCCTGTTGCAATCTGACATATAGTGACATGTTGTGTTGTATCATCAGAAAAGAAGAAAGGGATAAGGCCAGGTGCGGTGGCTCACGCCTGTAATCCCAGCACATTGGGAGGCTGAGGCGGGAGGATCACAAGATTAGGAGTTCAAGACCAGCCTGGCCAGCATGATGAAACCCCATCTCTACTAAAAATACAAAAATTAGCCAGGCGTGGTGGCGTGCGACTGTAGTCCCAGCTACTCCAAAGGCAAGAGAATCGCTTAAACCCAGGAGGCAGAGCTTGCAGTGAGTCGAGATCGCACCACTGCACTCCAGCCTGGGTAACAGAGTGAGACTCCGTCTCAAAAAAGGGATAAAACTGCATGTTTTTTTGCTTGTAGTCACCTATGTATCATTAGTAAATGCTGAGGATTTGACAAATAGTGGCCTGTACCTCAACCACAGTTCCTCCCAGAGAGACAAAAGCCCTCACAGCAGGAGTTGGATGTAACACACCCAGTTTGTTCACACACCTAAAGTCACCATCTGTCCAGTATTTGGGAGCTAACCCGTGTGGGTGCTGCAGTGATGAGTGTTCCCTACAGACTTCACATATTTCAAGCTGATGACCCCCAAGGCAACTTGGAACACACACTCCCTTTTACTTACCTGCATAGGGATCCAATACAGGTTGAGCGTCGTTATCCAAAATGCTTGGGGCTGGGCGCCCTGGCTCATGCCTGTAATCCCAGCACTTTGGGAAGCCGAGACAGGCGGGTCATCTGAGGTCAGGAGCCTGGCCAACATGGTGAAACCCCATTTGTACTAAAAATACAAAAATTAGCCAGGCATGGTGGCACACACCTGTAATCCCAGCTACTCCGGAGGCTGAGGCAGGAGAATCACTTGAACCTGGGAGGTGGAGGGCAGTGAGTCGAGATGGAGCCACCGAGATTGAGCCACTGCACTCCAGCCTGGGTGACGAGCATGACTCTGTCTCAAAAAAAAAAAAAGGCACAGCTCAACGCCTGTAATCCCGGCACTTTGGGCGGCCAAGGTGGACGGATCACCTGAGGTCCAGAGTTTGAGAGCAGCCTGACCAACATGGAGAAACCTTGTCTCTACTAAATATACAAAATTAGCCGGGCATGCTGGTGGATGCCAGCTATTGGGAGGGTGAGGCAGGAGAATCGCTTGAACTTGGGAGGCGGAGGTTGCAGTGAGTCAAGATTGTGCCATTGCACCCCAGCCTGGGCAGCAAGAGCAAAACTCCATCTCGGGGGGCAAAAAAAAAAAAAGCTTGGAACCAGAAATGTTTTGGATTTCAGATTTTGGAATATCTGCATGTACATAATGAGACATCTTGGGGATGAGATGAGATACAAGTCTAAACATGAAATTCAATTTTGTTTCATGTACACCTTATACACATAGCCTGAGGGTAGTTTTATACAATATATATGTTTTTTAGGCTAGTCAAATGAAGCTGTGAGAGAAGGAATGAATCTGTAACTGGTTGTCCTCAATTATTGTTTATACAATTTTTTATTATTTAATTTTTAGAGATAAGAGTCTTGCTCTGTTGCCCCTGGCTCATTGCAGCCTCGACCTCCTGGGCTCAACAATCCTCCTGCCTCAGCCTCCCAAGTGGCTGGGACCATAGGCACATGCACCACACCTGGCTAATTTTTGTTTTACTTTTTATAGAGACTGGGTTTTGCTATGTTGCCCAGGCTGGTCTTGAACTCCAGGCCTCAAGCAATCCTCCTGCCTCAGCCCCTTCCAAAGTGCTGGGATTACAGGCCACTGTGACTGTGCTCAGTAGTTTTAATAATATATGCAACCCGTCACATGAGTTCAGCTGCGGGATTTTCCAAAAGTTTTGGGATTTTGGATTTTTGGACTGGCTGTGCTCAATCTATACAAGCATTTCTGGTGCCATGATGAGGCATAAAATGTTCATTTTAAACATGTTATAAACTCGTGTTTTTCAAAAAACTTCATTTAATACAAATAGTTGCTTAAACAAGTATGAAAGGCTGAAAGTCAAAATCTGCCTGAGAAACTTAACAAATCTGCAAGCTGGAAACCGCGTCTTTTCCCCACTCTCTGCCAGACAGAATCACCCAGTCCACTTTCAGGGGCCCAGCAGGGAAGCTGATTTAAGAGAAGTCAACAGCTTTTCTGACTACACTGTGGATTCCATCAGTGCACAGGCACCTGCAGGGCTGCAGTAAGCATCTCTGATGAGGTGGTCCCGGGCACTCACTCGCAGTCTCCCTCCTGGTTTCCTTGTGGGAAGGGGCTTCATGATTTCAAGCTCAGTTCCCCTCCCACTCCCAGAGGTGGAGCGCATGGTCATAGAAGGAGCAGGTGGCCAGGAGGCTGAAGGCTGAGTCTGCTTCTTCTGGGTTCACGCCACAGTCACGTGTGGTGGCTGCTGTAGCCTGCAGCCAGGTGCCATTCTTCCTCATGCCCTCTGTGAGTGGCTTCATTCCACTCTGGGGTCTGGCATGGCCCTCCCCATCGTTATCCTCTCTGCATTCATGACAGGGTGTTGGCAACTCGCTTGCACCCTTCAGGTCTGCCGTCTTGGTTCCTAGGTTGCTAGGAAAGGACCACGAGGGGGCCCGCTGCAGAGAACGGAAGAGCAGCCAGGACCAGTCGGCTCCATACACCAGCGAGTCGGGCAATGTGTGAGATGTCAGGACCGTCGCCTCCTGCCTCTCCTCTGGAGTGAGAGATGGGAGAACCCAGGAAACACAACATCACCCAGAGCCTCTCCCCAACCTGTCACACCTGACAGGGAGACTCCAAGAACAGCCCCTCACAGGTCAGCAAGTGTTTCCTGAGGAGCCGTTGTGTCATGCAAAGGAACCAGCAAGACCTGGGCATATGTTGGAGAAGAAACAGACCGTCATCTTGCAGTGCACACGCCTGTGTGCCTCCAAGAGAAGCATCAAGCGGGGCTACAGAACCTCACTTGATGGTGAAGAATACGGCAAAAGCCAGAGAGGGGGAAAGACCTCAGTTAACACTTAAAACCAAAGAACAAAGGAGTTTTAGCCAGCTGGGAAGGAAGGGGATGTCTGAGGAACAGGCAGCATGTGTACAGCAGAGGTGAGAAAGTCCAAGGCTCGCACGGGGAACCACAAACAGGCAGCCATGGCACTGTCAGTGAGTGACAGTGGGCTGGAGCGTCCCAAGCATGCAGGGTCCGGCACGCCCTGTTTCAGAGTCTGGATTCTGGCTTGGAAAGGAGCCACTGACAAGGTTAAGTGAGCAGTTTCTTTATAGAAGTTGCTACGGCAACTGGAAAGAGGCCACAACTGCCTCCCAGAGCACACAGCAACAGAGGGAATGACGAGGCGTGGCCAAACCCGAGGCGATCTGGAGTCCAGGAGGCAAGGCCAGGGCTGGCAGGGGCAGTTGCAGAGAGCAAGTGGAAGGTGAGCCAGGGGCTGCAAGGCTGGGTGGCCACTTGGGCTCTGAAAGGGCTGCCATCGCTACCTCTGAAGTACAGGGATTGATGCCAGCAGTGACCGGAATCAGAACCAGAATGAGTGCTGATGGAAGAAGGGCTGAGGGCAGAACAGGACCGCACTGGATTACAAAACGTGCCGAGGTTGTATGGGCCTGGGCCGGGGAGGCCCAACCCTGGGCCCAGGGCTTCAACTGGGCAGAGGTGGCTCCGAGGAGGAGTGAGATGCTGAATGTTCAGAGACAGCCACAGGGGCCCTCGAGCAGCATGTGTGGGGCGACCCTCGGGAGGAAGCCCCTGGGGAGGCCGTTACTGTCCCTTGGGAGGTAGCGTCACAGGGCAGGCAGGACCTCCGCTAGTCTTTCATCCAGCAATCGCTCAACACGTCCACTCGGGCCAGCAGGACCTCTTCTACAGCTTAGGAAAAGGTAATAAGGCAGAGTCTAAGCCCTCAGAGAGCCACAGCCTGGGAAAAAGACAGCGAATGAGTGGACGGAAGACACTGTTGCGACCCCAAGAATGGGAGGCCCTTTCTGATTAGCCACAGGCCAACGTTTCCTCCCTCTTTTTATTTTCAAGACAGGACCTCACTCTGTCGCATAGGCTGGAGTGCACTGACCTGGGCTCTGTCTTCCTGCCTCACCTCCTGAGTAGCTGCGACCATCATGCCCCCTAGTTTTTTCTATTTTTTGTGGCCACGGAGTCTCACTATGTTGTCCAGGCTAGTCTTGAACTCCCGGCTCAAGCAATCCGCCCACCCTTCCCAGAGTGCTGTGACTGCGAGTGTCAGCCACCGCACCCAGACAATACAAATTGTTTTAAAATTAGGCCGGGCGCGGTGGCTCACACCTGTAATCCCAGCACTTTGGGAAGCCAAGGCGGGTGGATCACAAGGTCAAGAGATCGAGACCATCCTGGTCAACATGGTGAAACCCCGTGTCTATTAAAAATACAAAAACTAGCTGGGTGTGGTGGCATGCACCTGTAGTACCAGCTACTCGGGAGGCTGAGGCAGCATAATTGCTTGAACGTGGGAGGTGGAGGTTGCATGAGCCAAGATCGTGCCACTGCACTCCAGCCTGGGTGAAAGAGCAAGACTCTGTCTCAAAAAAAAAAAATTGTTTAAATTAAAGATACAGGCTGGGTGCAGTGGCTCACGCCTGTAATTCCAGCACTTTGGGAGGCCGAGGCAGGTGGATCACATGAGGGCAGGAGTTTGAGAGCAGCCTGGGAAACATGGTGAAACCCCATCTCTACTAAAAGCACAAAAATTAGCCAGGCATGATGGCGCATGCCTGTAGTCCCAGCTACACAGGAGCCTGAGGCAGGAGAATCCCCTGAACCTGTGAGGTGGAGGTTGCAGTAAGCTGAGATCACCCCACTGCACTCCAGCCTGGGCGACAGAGCAAGACTCTGTCTCAAAAAAATACATAAATAAAGTTATGAAAAAGGCCAGCCGAGCACAGCGGCTCACGCCTGTAATCCTAACACTTTGGGAGGCCGAGGCGGGTTGATCACCTGAGGTCAGGAGTTCAAGACCAGCCTGACCAACATGGTAAAACCTCGTCTCTACTAAAAAATACAAAAATTAGCCAGGCGTGGTGGCACACACCTGTAATCCCAGCTACTCCGGAGGCTGCAGCAGGAGAGTTGCTTGAACCCGGAAGGTGGGAGTTGCAGTGAGCTGAGATTGTGCCATTGTATTCCAGCCTGGGAGACAGAGCAAGACTCCGTCTCAAAAAAGAAAGAAAAAGAAAAAAAGGCCTATACAGAGTACCTGACAAAACTGGCCTGGAATGTTGAACTCTCAGACCTGTCTTAGTTCACCTCTTCAACTTTAAGAACTGAAGGCTGGATGCAGTGGCTCAAGCCTGTAATCCCGACACTGAGGACTGAGTTGAGGCAGGAGGACTGCTTGTGTCCAGGTGGTCCGGGCTGCAGTGAGCTCTGACTCCACCACTGCGCTCCCACCTGGGTGACAGGACACAAGACCCTCTCTTTAAAAAAAAAACTAAAAACTCACCATAGCCAAAAGGTGAAAACAACCCAAATGTCCATCAGAGGATGAACAGACAGAATGTGGTCCATCATTACCTTCTTAAAAAGAGAATTCTGACACATGCTCCAACAGGGGTGAACCTTGAAAACGTTAAGCTATGTAAAGAAGCCGGATATAAAAAGACACACGATTCTACTTCCATGAAATATCTAGAAAAGGCAAATCCCCATAGACAGAGTAAACGGAGGTTATAGAGGCTGGGGGAGGGATGTTTGGGGTGATAGAAAAGTTTTGAAAATAAGTAGCAGTGATGATTGCACAGTATTTTGAATGTCTTCTTTTATTTTTTATTTTTTTTGAGACGGAGTGTCACTGTCGCCAGGCTGGAGCGCAGTGGCGTGATCTCGGCTCACTGCAACCTCCGCCTCCCAGGTTCAACCGATTCTCCTGACTCAGCCTCCCAAGTAGCTGGGACTACAGGCGCCCGACCTCAGGTGATCCGCCCGCCTCAGCCTCCCAAAGTGCTGGGATTACAGGCGTGAGACACTGCGCCCGGCCTTGAATGTCTTTAATACCACTAAATTGTGGGCGGCAAGCCACCCAGGCACCGAGGCAAGAGACCGAGGACATGAGCTGTTCCAGTAAAATAAAATATAAAACAAGAATAGTTATACCAGATATAGATCTTAGATAATGATTATATATGAATATCATTAATCATTAGTTGGTAGTAATTACTCTTTATCCCAATATTATAATAATCCTCGCTCTACAATCATAACCTAGGAAAAACCAGGCCATACAGAGATAGGAGCTGAGGGGACATAGTGAGGTGTGACCAGAAGACAAGAGTGCGAGCCTTCTGTTATGCCTGGACAGGGCCACCAGAGGGCTCCTTGGTCTAGCGGTGACGCCAGCATCTGGGAAGACGCCCGTTGCCAGGCGGACCATGGTCTAGCGGTAGCGAAAAATGTGAAGGAAAAACACCCGCTACTTAGCAGACCTGGAAAGGGAGTCTCCCTTTCCCCGGGGGAGTTTAGAGAAAACTCTGCTCCTCCACCTCTTGTGGAGGGCCTGACATCAGTCAGACCTGCCCGCAGTTATCCGGAGGCCTAACCGTCTCCCCGTGATGCTGTGCTTCAGTGGTCACGCTCCTTGTCCGCCTTCATGTTCCATCCTGTACACCTGGCTCTGCCTTCTAGATAGCAGTAGTCAATTAGTGAAAGTACTAAAAGTCTCTGGTATGCAGAAATAATAGCGTAAGCTGTCTTTCTCTCTCTCTCCTCTCCCTCTCTGCCTCGGCTGCCAAGCAGGGAAGGGCCCCCTGTCCAGTGGACACGTGACCCACGTGACCTTACCTATCATTGGAGATGACTCACACTCTTTACCCTGCCCCTTTTGCTTTGTATCCAATAAATAACAGTGCAGCCAAACATTCGGGGCCACTACCGGTCTCTGCACATTGGTGGTAGTGGTCCCCCGGGCCCAGCTGTCTTTTCTTTTATCTCTGTCTTGTGTCTTTATTTCTACACTCTCTCGTCGCCGCACACAGGGAGAAGCCCACTGACCCTGTGGGGCTGGTCCCTGCACTAAATTGCACACTTAAAGTGGCTAAAATCATGCATTTTATGTTACATAAATTTTATCACAATTTTTACAAAAGCAGTTAAAAGGCAGGAGACCCAGTGTGTGCCCAACAGACAATGCTGGAGTGTGTTTAAGAAACTCAAGCAAAGGAAATGCAAGTCAAGGGATTAATGGGCAAGTTCTCCTTCAATTATCAAGGCTACAGAGAAAAGTATCAAGTATTCAGAAGTCTAGGAAACACCACCGAGGGCCTCTCCTAAGCGTCTCTCAGGAGGCAAGCTCTATCCAAACAGGCGGTGGCTGGGAACAGCTGTCACCAGGATGGATGGGAGCACAACAAATAGTCAATTGCGAGCTGAGACTTAGGAAAAAACAGGTGGGGCAAGGACAGAAAAATAATATGTTAATGCTGTGTTCTGAGTAGGAAAAAATGCCATTAAGAATGGGAAGAGATGGCCAGGCGTGGTGGCTCATACCTGTAATCCCAGCACTTTGGGAGGCCGAGGCAGGCAGATCACAAAGTCAGGAGATCAAGACCATCCTGGCTAACACGGCGAAACCCTGTCTCTAATAAAAATACAAAAAATTGGCCAGGCAGGGTGGCTCACGCCTGTAATCCCAGCACTTTGGGAGGCCGAGGCGGGCGGATCACGAGGTCAGGAGATCAAGACCATCCTGGCTAACACGGTGAAACCCCGTCTCTACTAAAAATACAAAAAAAATTAGCCAGGTGTGGTGGTGGGCGCCTGTAGTCCCAGCTGCTCAGGAGGCTGAGGCAGGAGAATGGCGTGAACCCGGGAGGCGGAGCTTGCAGTGAGCCAAGATCCCACCACTGCACTCCAGCCTGGGTGACACAGTGAGACTCTGTCTCAAAAAAAAAAAAAAAAATTTGCCGGGCGTGGTGGTGGGCACCTGTAGTCCCAGCTACTCAGGAGGCTGAGGCAGGAGAATCGCTTGAACCCGGGAGGTGGAGGTTGCAGTGGGCCGAGATCGTGCCACTGCACTCCAGCCAGGGCAACAGAGCAAGACCCCATCTCAAAAAAAAAAAAAAAAAAAAGAAAAAAAGAAAATCACCATTTTGCCATTACCATAATTTATTCAAGCACCAATTGTCTCTGAATTGGGTAAAAGTCTGAAAAGGGAGTTATTGACACAGGTTCAAAGATTCTCACCACAGATTACTGATTAATCCCAAAGAGGAAAATAGTATCTCTTCAGTGAAGGGATTGGGGCAAACACCACCTTAACAAAGTGACCAAATTTCACAAAAATGGAACAATGTGGCATCATAGGCCCTTGATGTGAGGAACTAAGGAGGGCACAGCGCCACTTTCACAGGTTTCCTGGCAAAAATGCACGACCCCGGCCAACATGGTGAAACCTCGTCTCCAATAAAAATACAAAAATTAGCCAGGCGTGGTGGCAGGTGCCTGTATTCCCAGCTACTCGGGAGGCTGAGGCAGGAGAATGGCGGCGTGAACCCGGAAGGTGGAGGTTGCAGTGAGCCAAGATAGCGCCACTGCATTCCAGCCTGGGTGACAGAGCGAGACTCCATCTCAAAAAAAAAAAAAAAAAAAAGCATGACCCCATACCAAAGACTCGCCTCAGACTCAGGTGTGAACTGAAAGAGAATGAAAACGATGCATCACGCCACACTGAAGTGACTTTACCAATGCCAGACAAAACTGACTTTAAAACAAAAAATGTTACTAGATTTAAAGACAGACACTTTATATTGATAAAAGGGTCAGCACATCTGGAAGATACCAGAATTATAAACATATATAAAAGAGATCCCCAAAATACGTGAAGTAAAAACTGATGGAAACGAGGCTGGAAATACATAATTCTACAGTTAGAGTTGGAGGTAGCAATAGCCCACTTTCTTTTATTTTTTTGAGATGGAGTCTCGCTGTGTCTCCCAGGCTGGAGTGCAGTGGCGCGATCTCGGCTCACTGCAAGCTCCGCCTCCTGGGTTCACGCCATTCTCCTGCCTCAGCCTCCCAAGTAGCTGGGACTGCAGGCACCCACCACAGCGCCTGGCTAATTTTTTGTATTTTTAGTAGAGACGGGGTTTCACCATGTTAGCCAGGATGGTCTCGATCTCCTGACCTTGTGATCTGCCCACCTCAGCCTCCCAAAGTACTGGGATTACAGGCGTGAGCCACCGTGCCCAGCCAACAGACCACTTTCAATATTGCCCAGACAGGAGATTCAGTAAGGAACCAGAAGATCTGAACATTATAAAGCCGAGACCTCACAGGCACCTACAGGGCACTCCAGCCAACAGCAGCAGAACACACGTCCGCAAGTGCACAGGGGCACTCCCCAGCAGAGACCACACTCTAGGCCACAAAACTAATCTCAGTAAATTCAACAGGAATGCACAATGGAATAACATTAGAAATCGGTAACAGAAAGAAATGTGGGCACTTAAAAACATGTACATTAAACAACACACTCATAAATAACCAATGGTCGAAGAAAAAAACCACATGGGAAATTAGAAAGTACCTTGAGATGAATGAAAATAAAAATACAACATACCAAAATGTATGGGTTGCAGCAAAAGCAGTGCTCAGAGGAAAATGTATCACCATTAATAAAGAAAAAAGACCTCAAATTGTTTTAAGATGAGAAATATTATGGCTGGGCATGGTGGTCCCAGCTACTCGGGAGGCTGAGGTGGAAGGATGGTTTGAGCCCAGGGGCTGGGCACGGTGGCTCATGCCTGTACTTTGGGAGGCCAAGGTGGGCGGATCACCTGAGGTCAGGAGTTCAAGACCAGCCTGGCCAACGTGGTGAAACCCCGTCTCTACTAAAAATACAAAAATTAGCCAGGCGTGGTGGCACAAGCCTGTGATCCCAGCTACTCTGGAGGCTGAGGCAGGAGAATTGCTTGAAGCCAGGAAGCAGAGGTTGCAGTGAGACGAGATCACACCACTGTACACCATTCTGGGTGACAGAGCAAGACTCCATCTCAAAAAAAAAAGATCTCAAATTGTTTTAATACAAGAAATATTATGGCTTGGCATGGGGGTCCCAGCTACTCAGGAGGCTGAGATGGGAGGATGGTTTGAGCCCCAGGAGGTTGAGGCTGCAGTGAGCTACAATTGCACCACCACACTCCAGCCTGGGTGACAGAGCAAGACACCATCTCAAAACAAAACAAAAAACGATGAGAAATACAAAGCACATTCACAGAACTAACAGAAACAATACAGAAGAGATGGAGAAACTAAAGATGCAAAACACAGAGGAATACAGGCCAGGCACGGTGGCTCACGCCTGTAATCCTAACACTTCGGGAGGCCAAGGCAGGCGGATCACGAGGTCAGGAGTTCCAGACCAGCCTGACCAACATGGTGAACCCCCCATCTCTTCTAAAACTATAAAAATCAGCCAGGCATGGTGGTGGGTGCCTGTAATCCCAGCTACTTGGGAGGCTGAGGCAGGAGAATCGCTAGAACCCAGGAGGCGAAGGCTGTGGTGAGCCGAGATCGCACCACTGCACTCCAGCCTGGGTGACAGAGCAAGACTCCGTCTCAAAAAAAAAAAAAAAAAAGAGGAATACCATGCGGAAATCGAGTCAATCAAGTCCTTGAGTACAATCCAGTGCAGAGAAGAAACTGGCCTTGGGAACAGGTGTGGGTCACCCACCGCTGCAGAGGGCAGAGAGCATGTGGGTGGCCCGAGAGGCTGGTGGGCTTAATGGTGGGAAGATGAGGTGGTTTTGTGATTGCTTATTTTTGGAGTGAGGGGAGAGAGAAGAGGCGAAAGAGGAGAGATCATGAGCTGCAAGTCAGGAGGGAAGAGGAGGTCCTGGAGGTTTGAGCAGAGAGAAGAAAATGTGAACCAGTTCTGACAGTGGGGGATTACTGCCTAGAGAAATGTTACAGATCACCAGGAATCCCAGGGACCTACTAGAACACAACGTGGACAGCTGATTCCAGCCACGTTCTCCGGCTCAACCAGAATCAGAGGTGCTTGTTCCCAACAAAACAACACTGGGTTCTGCCCAGAGTGTGAGAAAGGGATGAAGGGAATGGAGTGTGAGCTCACAGGGGGCAGCAGACCACAGAGTCCCAGCTGACCACAGGCAGGAAGAGCATGGGAGAGCACAGACAAGGATGGTTATGGGAGTGATGGGTGGCCAAGCCTCCAGACTAGAGGTCCCAGTGGGGTCAGAGGTCTGCCGAAATGCAGGAGGCACCGGAATGACGGAGCTGGGAAACCAGGGAAAACTGTGGTTAGAGAGCAGAGATTCTGGAGCTGGGACAGTTATGGATCACGACCAAGTCTAGGGCGCGACGCTGGGAGTGTGTAAAAGCTGAGGGAAGAGCCCAGCAGAGCAAGGGAGCAGGGAGCTGAGGGAAGAGCCCAGCAGAGCGAGGGGGCAGGGAACTGGTGCCCTGCCCTGAGGCCCAGCAGCCACGGGTCCCCACTCACCCATTGCCTTTTGGCAGTTGAGGATCTTAAAGCCACTGTGCATGCAGGCGGCCAGGAGCAGGTGGTGGTGGAAAGGGTGCCACTTGATTCTCCATACCCCACCCTGCACAGGCGTATCTGCCAACGGCTGCTTCATGTTTCGTGTGTCCCACAGTAGGATGTGTTCATCATAGCTGAAACCGACCAACCACAGGAGGCATATAAGGAAAGCCCAGGCTCACCTGTTCCACAAGGCCCCTGGGGGGCACAGAACGTCTCCCAGAGACCTGTCCCATGCATCCCTCGAGGACAAAGTCCCCTTTACCAAACCCATATACCTACACTCCGGCGAAGCACTGGCAGACGAAATGCTGCAATGGTGCCAGGAGGAAAGGCAGCGAAAGAGGGAAGAAGGGCCCAGGAGCCCCCCGGGGACAGCGAAAGAGACGAGAAGGGCCCGAGAGCCTCCTGGGGACTCACCTTCCCGTGGCCAGGATGTGCTCCCGATGAGGGCTGCTCTGGATGCTGCACACACCCATGGTGTGTCTGCAAGCAGAGGCGGCTTCTGAACCAGTGTCCAGCACACAGACCCACCCAGGGAACGGGAGGGCTGGTGACCCAGGGAACGCGGGGGCTGGTGTGGGCACCGAGTGCTGGCCCTTGGGCAGTTACCTTTTGCTGGTGAAGAGAAATTTGCCGGGTACCCTGGTGTCCCAGCCCCTCAGAAGGCCATCGTCGCCCCCTGTGTGGAGAAAGAGAAGCATCAACACCACTAATGACAGGAAATGAGTGTTCTCAGTTAGGCCGTTGATGTCTGTGAGGAAGCTCCCCGGGGTGACTGTCTGTGAGGAAGCTCCCCGGGGTGACTCTGTCTGTGAGGAAGCTCCCCTGGGTGACTGTCTGTGAGGAAGCTCCCCGGGGTGACTGTCTGTGAGGAAGCTCCCCTGGGTGACTCTGTCTGTGAGGAAGCTCCCCTGGGTGACTCTGTCTGTGAGGAAGCTCCCCTGGATGACTCTGTCTGTGAGGAAGCTCCCCTGGGTGACTGTCTGTGAGGAAGCTCCCCTGGGTGACTGTCTGTGAGGAAGCTCCCCGGGGTGACTCTGTCTGTGAGGAAGCTCCCCTGGGTGACTCTGTCTGTGAGGAAGCTCCCCTGGGTGACTCTGTCTGTGAGGAAGCTCCCCTGGGTGACTCTGTCTGTGAGGAAGCTCCCCTGGGTGACTCTGTCTGTGAGGAAGCTCCCCTGGGTGACTCTGTCTGTGAGGAAGCTCCCCTGGATGACTCTGTCTGTGAGGAAGCTCCCCTGGGTGACTCTGTCTGTGAGGAAGCTCCCCTGGGTGACTCTGTCTGTGAGGAAGCTCCCCGGGGTGACTCTGTCTGTGAGGAAGCTCCCCGGGGTGACTCTGTCTGTGAGGAAGCTCCCCGGGGTGACTGTCTGTGAGGAAGCTCCCCTGGGTGACTGTCTGTGAGGAAGCTCCCCTGGGTGACTCTGTCTGTGAGGAAGCTCCCCTGGGTGACTCTGTCTGTGAGGAAGCTCCCCGGGGTGACTGTCTGTGAGGAAGCTCCCCTGGGTGACTCTGTCTGTGAGGAAGCTCCCCTGGGTGACTGTCTGTGAGGAAGCTCCCCTGGGTGACTCTGTCTGTGAGGAAGCTCCCCTGGGTGACTGTCTGTGAGGAAGCTCCCCTGGGTGACTCTGTCTGTGAGGAAGCTCCCCTGGGTGACTCTGTCTGTGAGGAAGCTCCCCTGGGTGACTGTCTGTGAGGAAGCTCCCCTGGGTGACTCTGTCTGTGAGGAAGCTCCCCTGGGTGACTCTGTCTGTGAGGAAGCTCCCCGGGGTGACTGTCTGTGAGGAAGCTCCCCTGGGTGACTCTGTCTGTGAGGAAGCTCCCCTGGGTGACTGTCTGTGAGGAAGCTCCCCTGGGTGACTCTGTCTGTGAGGAAGCTCCCCTGGGTGACTCTGTCTGTGAGGAAGCTCCCCTGGGTGACTGTCTGTGAGGAAGCTCCCCTGGGTGACTCTGTCTGTGAGGAAGCTCCCCTGGGTGACTCTGTCTGTGAGGAAGCTCCCCGGGGTGACTCTGTCTGTGAGGAAGCTCCCCGGGGTGACTCTGTCTGTGAGGAAGCTCCCCGGGGTGACTCTGTCTGTGAGGAAGCTCCCCGGGGTGACTCTGTCTGTGAGGAAGCTCCCCTGGATGACTCTGTCTGTGAGGAAGCTCCCCTGGGTGACTCTGTCTGTGAGGAAGCTCCCCTGGGTGACTCTGTCTGTGAGGAAGCTCCCCTGGGTGACTCTGTCTGTGAGGAAGCTCCCCTGGATGACTCTGTCTGTGAGGAAGCTCCCCTGGGTGACTCTGTCTGTGAGGAAGCTCCCCTGGGTGACTCTGTCTGTGAGGAAGCTCCCCGGGGTGACTCTGTCTGTGAGGAAGCTCCCCGGGGTGACTCTGTCTGTGAGGAAGCTCCCCGGGGTGACTGTCTGTGAGGAAGCTCCCCTGGGTGACTGTCTGTGAGGAAGCTCCCCTGGGTGACTCTGTCTGTGAGGAAGCTCCCCTGGGTGACTCTGTCTGTGAGGAAGCTCCCCTGGGTGACTCTGTCTGTGAGGAAGCTCCCCTGGGTGACTCTGTCTGTGAGGAAGCTCCCCGGGGTGACTCTGTCTGTGAGGAAGCTCCCCTGGGTGACTGTCTGTGAGGAAGCTCCCCTGGGTGACTCTGTCTGTGAGGAAGCTCCCCTGGGTGACTCTGTCTGTGAGGAAGCTCCCCTGGGTGACTCTGTCTGTGAGGAAGCTCCCCGGGGTGACTCTGTCTGTGAGGAAGCTCCCCGGGGTGACTGTCTGTGAGGAAGCTCCCCTGGGTGACTGTCTGTGAGGAAGCTCCCCTGGGTGACTCTGTCTGTGAGGAAGCTCCCCTGGGTGACTCTGTCTGTGAGGAAGCTCCCCTGGGTGACTGTCTGTGAGGAAGCTCCCCTGGGTGACTCTGTCTGTGAGGAAGCTCCCCTGGGTGACTCTGTCTGTGAGGAAGCTCCCCTGGGTGACTCTGTCTGTGAGGAAGCTCCCCTGGGTGACTCTGTCTGTGAGGAAGCTCCCCGGGGTGACTGTCTGTGAGGAAGCTCCCCTGGGTGACTGTCTGTGAGGAAGCTCCCCTGGGTGACTCTGTCTGTGAGGAAGCTCCCCTGGGTGACTCTGTCTGTGAGGAAGCTCCCCTGGGTGACTCTGTCTGTGAGGAAGCTCCCCTGGGTGACTGTCTGTGAGGAAGCTCCCCTGGGTGACTCTGTCCGTGAGGAAGCTCCCCGGGGTGACTCTGTCCGTGAGGAAGCTCCCCGGGGTGACTCTGTCTGTGAGGAAGCTCCCCTGGGTGACTCTGTCTGTGAGGAAGCTCCCCTGGGTGACTCTGTCTGTGAGGAAGCTCCCCTGGGTGACTCTGTCTGTGAGGAAGCTCCCCTGGGTGACTCTGTCTGTGAGGAAGCTCCCCGGGGTGACTCTGTCTGTGAGGAAGCTCCCCGGGGTGACTCTGTCTGTGAGGAAGCTCCCCGGGGTGACTCTGTCTGTGAGGAAGCTCCCCGGGGTGACTCTGTCTGTGAGGAAGCTCCCCTGGGTGACTCTGTCTGTGAGGAAGCTCCCCTGGGTGACTGTCTGTGAGGAAGCTCCCCTGGGTGACTCTGTCTGTGAGGAAGCTCCCCTGGGTGACTCTGTCTGTGAGGAAGCTCCCCTGGGTGACTCTGTCTGTGAGGAAGCTCCCCGGGGTGACTCTGTCTGTGAGGAAGCTCCCCTGGGTGACTCTGTCTGTGAGGAAGCTCCCCTGGGTGACTGTCTGTGAGGAAGCTCCCCTGGGTGACTCTGTCTGTGAGGAAGCTCCCCTGGGTGACTCTGTGAGGAAGCTCCCCTGGGTGACTCTGTCTGTGAGGAAGCTCCCCTGGGTGACTGTCTGTGAGGAAGCTCCCCTGGGTGACTCTGTCTGTGAGGAAGCTCCCCTGGGTGACTCTGTCTGTGAGGAAGCTCCCCTGGGTGACTCTGTCTGTGAGGAAGCTCCCCTGGGTGACTCTGTCTGTGAGGAAGCTCCCCTGGGTGACTCTGTCTGTGAGGAAGCTCCCCTGGGTGACTCTGTCTGTGAGGAAGCTCCCCTGGGTGACTGTCTGTGAGGAAGCTCCCCTGGGTGACTCTGTCTGTGAGGAAGCTCCCCGGGGTGACTCTGTCTGTGAGGAAGTTCCCCTGGTGACTTTGCTGGAGGAGTCTTAGGTTGCCACCTCAACAGGAGGTCCCAGAAACAACCCCCAGGAAAGTCATCACTGTGCCTTGACTCTCTAGAGACTGGAAGCAGGAGGGGAAAGACGGACGGGAACAGAAAGAAGCCTGCAGGAACAGAAGGGAGGAAATGGAAACTGAAGGGGCCCTGAAGGCCATCAGGTGCAGGCGACCATTGTTCACAGGGGCCGTTACTAGGTCCTAGGGGCTAAACTGCCTTTGCTAAGGGCTCCAGTGAATAAAGCCCTGGCTTCTAAGAAGAAGAGTTGCCAGATCAGAGCCCTGAACAGAAACTGCACACAGGAGGCAGCAAGCACAAGGACTCCACACCATGCACCTGAAAGGAAGGTGCCCTCTGTCATCTTAAAGCACTTGTTTAGGGGAACGAAAAGGATGGGAGAAGAGAGGAGTTGGTGCACTGAACCACAACCAATCTTCCAAGAAAAGCAATGCAGACATGGGGTGAATGGTGGCACCTGAAGGAAGGGAAGCTCAAGAGCAGGGCCCACAGGGAGAGTGAAGAAGATCAGAAGGAAAACGTCTAGGCCTAACCACATCACCCACCCCTGCATCATCCAGCTCCCACTACCCACCCACCTTCCATCCATCTCACCATCTATCCACCCCCCGACCTCACCCTATCCAAAATTCCACCATCCATCCACCCATGCCCCCACCCACCCCCCACCCACCTTCCATCCATCTACCCACTATCCATCCAACAATCCACCATCCATCCACCACCCACCACCCACCACCCACCATCCAAAAATCCATCCATCCACCCACCATCCATCCATCCAGCCAGCCAGTCACTCACCCACCATCCATCCATCCATCCATCCAACAATCCACCATCCATCGACCCACCCGCCCTCCCACCTTCCATCCAACAATCTACCATCCATCCACCCACCACCCACCACCCAAAAATCCATCCATCCACCCCCCGTCTATCAAGCCAGCCAGCCAGCCACTCACCCACCATCCATCCATCCAACAATCCACCATCCATCCACCATCCACCACCCACGACCCACCACCCACCACCCACCATCCAAAAATCCATCCATCCACCCATGATCCATCCATCCATCCATCCATCCATCCATCCATCCAACAATCCACCATCCATCTATCCAGTCACTCACCATCTATCCACGCCACCACCACCACCATCCAAAAATCCACCATCCATCCACCACACACCCACCAACTCATCCACCCACCATCCATCCATCCATCCATCCACACGCCCTCCCACCCACCATCCATCCACTCACCCACTATCTATCCAAACTCTACCACCCACCATCCAAAAATCCATCCATCCAGTCATCCACCATCCATCCATCCAGTCACCCACCATCTATCCACCCCACCACCACCCACCATCCAAAAATCCACCATCCATCCACCACAAACCCACCCACTCACTCATCCACCCACCATCCATCCATCCATCCACCCACACGCCCTCCTACCCACCATCCACCCACCCACCCACCACCCATCAAATAGGTACTTGCTGAACACACACTATGGACCCTCATAATAGACACTACGGATACACAGTGAACATGACCTACAGTTAAATGAACCAGCGGAATCAGCTGACCTAGGCATGAAGCCTGCAGATGAGCCTCAAGTATGAGCTGCCATTCTGTGGCAAATTTGTACAGAGTAGGCAAAGGCTTCTTTATACGTGAGTCTCTCCACTCTCGCATGCCCCACATATCCACTCCATCAGGAAATCTGACTGGATATACCTTCACTTCTATCCAGAACCCAACCACTGGTCCTCACCTCCACTACTCCAAACCTGCTCTGGGCTGTCTCATCACCTGCCCAATGTCAAGTCTCCAGGCTGTGTCCCTCCCTCTTGTGGTCTAGACTCACATTCACCAAAGAGGTCATCGCAAATTTTAAAATGCAAGTCAGAATCTGTCATTCCTCTGCTCAACATCCTGCAACAGCTCCCATTTCATTCTGAGTAGGAAACAAAGTCCTTCCTGGAGCCTGCACGGCCCTGTGCCCTGGCCCATTACCTCTGATTTCACCCTCTTCTATTCCGCTACTGCCTCAGGTCATCCTAACCATGCTGGCTACTGGCTACTCTTCTGCCATAGCAGGGCCACTCCTGCCTTAGGACCACTGCCCACCCTGACCATGCTCTCCAACAGTATAATCTGCACCTGCTCCCAGCACCCTTGGTCCCCTCTCACCTCCTTCTACCTTCTTTCCAAAGCACTCATTGCCCCTGACAGGCCATGCAGTCTCCTTCCCTATTACATATTATGCCTTGTGTTTACTGTCTGTCTCCCCGCCACAGAATGTAAGCTGGGTGAAAGCAGGGACTTTTATGTGAAAATCAGCCAGGTGTGGTAACTCACACCTGTAGTCCCAGCTACTCAGAAGGCTGAGGCAGGAGGATCGCTTGACCCTGGGAGGTTAAGGCTGCCGTGACCTGTGGTCACGCCATTGCACTCCAGCTTGGGTGACACAGCAAGACGTGAACCACCCACCCCATCCTCAAAATGTATTTATATAAATAAATTTTTTTTTTTTGAGACAGAGCCTTGCTCTCTCGCCAGGCTGGAGTGCAGTGGTGCGATCTCGGCTCACTGCAACCTCTGCCTCCCGGGTTCAAGCAATTCCACTGTCTCAGCCTCCCGAGTAGTTGGGACTACAGGCGCCTGCCACCATGCCCGGCTAATTTTTTGTATTTTAATAGAGATGGGGTTTCACCATGTTGGCCAGGATGGTCTTGATCTGCTGACCTCATGATCCGCCCATCTTGGCCTCCTAAAGTGCTGGGATTACAGGTGTGAGCCACCGCGCCTGGCCTATATAAATAATTTTTTTAAGAAGGCTGAGTGCAGTGGCTGACGCCTATAATCCCAACACTGGGAGGCTGAGGCAGGTAGATCGCTTGAGCCTAGGCATTCGAGACCAGCCTGGGCAACATGGTAAAACCGCATCTCTACTAAAAATACAAAAATTAGCCGGGCATGGCGGCAGGTGCCTATAATCCCAATTACTCAGGAGGCTGAGGCAGGAGAATCACTTGAACCCAGGAGGTGGAGGTTGCAATGAGCCAAGATTGTACCACTGCCCTCCAGCCTGGGCAATAAGAGCGAAACTCCATCTCAAAATAAATAAATAAATAAAAATAATAAAACTTAAAAAAGAAAGCAGGACTTTTGTCTGTTTAGTTTGCTAAAGTATTCTAATCACCTAGAATAGGGCTCAGCACATAGCATTTGTTGAAAGAATGAATCAGTCCAGAATTATTCAATCATTGCCCTACGGTACCTTTGCTCTGAATTAGCTCAAGGTAGAAGAACCAACCCAAGGAGAGACCTCAAGAAATGAGATCTTTATGGCTCTCAGACGGTTCAAGGCTGTGACAATGAGCAACACAAATAAGAACGCCGCCTTACACACGTGCTCGTCACTCGGACAAGCAGAGGCAGCGTGAGCCACGGCGGAGGTGAGGCCTGCCTGGGGTGGAAGGACAGCTGCTCTGCGTCAGTCTTCTAAGGACAAGATTTTAAGCTGGGCATGTCAAAAAAGCAGAATTCACCCATGAAGGAAACATCCCGTGACGAAACCCTGAGACTGAGGGAATGTGGACTATTTCAGGAAAAGGTGACTGAGAGCATAGGAGCCAAAACAAGGCCGGAGAAGCAGGCGTGGACCAGATTCCACAGGCCTTGGGTAATCGCATCACTATTTTGGATTTTATCCTCAATGAAACAGGAACTGTGAGGGGTTCTAACAATGAGTGAGATGCGATAAAGTGTGTGTGTTTTTAAAACACTTGCTTGGCTACTGTGTGGAGACTGGAACAGTCAGGAATGAAGGCAGGGCCATCACTTGCTGCTCTGCTGTAACAAACTAGATGAGACAGTGGCCCGGATGGGTAGCAGCAGGGAAGGGTCAGATCTTTTCTTCGGCTGTTTGCAAATTCAGCAGCTCCTCTTCTGTCTTTTCTCAGAGACCCGCCCCTCTCACCTGCCATGAGTTATCTCTACCTGGGAAAGAGATGCTAGCCAAAGCTACCTCCTTCCTGGAAACACCAGTTGTTAATTTCTCACTCCCACATCAGCATGCCCCAAATGCAAACCATTCACAAGACCTGGAAAGGAATCTTATTTCTCTCATGCTTCCTTTATTTCTGGAAGATAAACTATATCCAAAAAGGGTGCAGACAAACTTGAAATCCAACATGGCGAAGTCACTATTGTATCCACAGGTATCAGGCAAAAAGCACAGAAACTGGACTTCCAGTAAAAGCATAAAGGATCTGACACCGAGCATATCAGGGAGGCAGGATGGCTCTGCCCACAGGTGCCTGCTCCTCCAACACCCTGGCCAACACCACCCAAGACCCTGCACTGCCTGAGGCAAGCTATACTTTGCTCTCTAAAGAATAAGTGGGCGGGGCAAGGTGGCTCACGCCTGTAATCCCAGCACTTTGGGAGGCCGAGGCGAGTGGATCACGAGGTCAGGAGATCAAGACCACCCTGGCTAACACAGTGAAACCCCGTCTCTACTAAAAATACAAAAAATTAGCCGGGCGTGGTGGCGGGCACCTGTAGTCCCAGTTACTCGGGAGGCTGAGGCAGGAGAATGGCGTGAACCTGGGAGGCGGAGCTTGCAGTGAGCCGAGATCGCGCCACTGCACTCCAGCCTAGGCAACAGAGCAAGACTCCATCTCAAAAAAAAAAAAAAAAAAAAAAAGAATAGCTAAGTGGGCCGGGTGCAGTGGCTCACACCTGTAATCCCAGCACTTTGGGAGGCCGAGGCGGGAGGATCACGAGGTCAGGAGATCGAGACCATCCTGGCTAACACGGTGAAACCCCATCTCTCTAAAAAAAAAACTACAAAAAATTAGCTGGACATGGTGGCGGGTGCCTGTAGTCCCAGCTACTCAAGAGGCTGAGGCAGGAGAATGGCGTGAACCCAGGAGGCAAAGCTTGCAGTGAGCTGAGATTGCATCACTGCACTCCAGCCTGGGCAACAGAGTGAGACTCTGTCTCAAAAAAAAAAAAAAAAAAAAAAAAAAAAGAATAGCTAAGTGATGAGCGCCAACTATAGCCTTTGTTCCAGAAAGTACATTCTCCAAAAAAGAAAAAAAATAGTGGCCAGGCGCAGTGGCTCACACCTGTAATCCCAACACTTTGGGAGGCTGAGGTGGGCGCATCATGAGGTCAGGAGATAGAGACCAGCCTGACCAACATGGTGAAACCCTGTCTCTACTAAAAACACAAAAATTAGCTGGGTGTGGTGGCAGGCGCCTGTAATCCCAGCTACTTGGGAGGCTGAGGCAGTAGAATCGCTTGAACCTGGGAGGTGGAGATTGCAGTAAGCCAACATCGTGCCACTGCACTCTAGCCTGGCAAAAGAGCAAGACTCAGTTTCAAAAAAAAAAGTACACTTTCCATAAAAGGTCTTCAAGATCCCAACATAACTGGAATCACAGCTGTGGCACAGGCCTCCCTCTCTCCCTCCGCCCCTTCCTCAGCAAGCCTTCCATCAGAGGTGACCGGTGGAGGAATACTGACCTGAATACACAATTTCTGGATGCCAGTAATTGAAAGCAGCAATCCAGGCCTCGAATTGATGTGCCTGCCATGAGGCCACTTTCTGCAGCCTGGGCCTCGTCTCATTCACCATCAGGAGGTGGAGCTGCCCTGTGGAGTCACTGCTGATGATCTTCAAGGGCTGGTCCCCGGCCCTAGACACAGGGAACCCATGAAGAAGCCCGGCAGAATGTTATTCGTCAGCCTCTTCTGGTTCCCAAACAAGTCCTGAGAGACGGTCTCCACAGCCCTGGGATGCGGATATGCCCCTTAAGAGACTGGCGGCTAAGATCACAACCACTGCTAAGCTTGTCAAAGACACCAGTGTCGACTTCTCTAGGTAAAAACACTATCGCTATGTATCTAAAATGGGGGACCTTTTTTTCATAATAGGACTGGCAGTGATGATGTCAGGGCTGAGGAGCACAGTCGCAGCTCGCTGAAGGTGGCTGGAGCCCTCTAGCCTGAAAAGTGGAAGTGGTTCTCAGAGAAAGACTCAGGACCCCTGACCAAGCCTGGCCCTTACCTTCCAGTTTTCCCAGTGGACCAATCTAGGGACAAAGCCAGACACTGCTCCTCCAGGGCAAGGCTGGACAATGGCTCCAGCACGTGGCTCTTCTACTGGAGAAGAAGAAACTCCATCAAAGGGAAGTAGCCGCCCCAGAACCCCCAAAAGACTTTTCCTCTCCTGCAGGGAAGTCATCGTTCCCTCATTTACAACCTATGCGAATGAAGTACATCAGTCACTGAGTCACACCTCCACCTAACACTGAAACCCCTGCTAGGGGCCCCGAGAAGACCTGGGGACACTGGAGCTCACACTCCTCACACTTGCAGGACAACTTTCCCACAGGCTTGATCTTGGGGCATGGTCTCCCTCCCTTTCACACCCCCTTGCCATCCTTGCGCTCCTAGATGCTGTCGAGATGCCTGTGCAGGCTCCAGACCACAGTGGCACACACAGTTTCCCACCCCAGGCCTCCAGGGCCACTGGAACACTCGCCTCCCGAGACAGAGACAATGGGGAAACTCCTCTGGTTTCCACTTCAGAAGCCGCGAGCAGCCATGAGAACGTGGTTGCTCTTTATGCAGATCTATATAAATTTCATTTCCTAAACAGCCTGGCCAGTGCTTAACTCCATCCCTGCTCCCAGCAGGCTGCTGTACCAAAGCCCTTTCCTGGGTTCATGCACTCCTCCCTTGGGCCCACAGCTTTCCTGTGGCTGCTCTTTCCCTCCTTTCTAAGACAGGGCAACTGCTCTAAGCTGCCTTAAGCAAGGCCTTTTCCTACACAGGCCCTCGGTTGGCCCAGCCCCGCCTGCAGCATCTGCATCGGAGTGAGGGCGTGGTTTCAGGCTGTTTACATCACCCCACTACGGGACATCCCCGTTCTCCTCCCCGACAGCTATCAGATGAAGTCACTTTGTTAATGCATGGCTCCAGAGCACTGTGAGAAACTCGGAAAAATTCACACAGGACTCACGTGCTTTTCCAATAATCAGTGAGAAATGCCATCTTCACACAGGATGCTCACTGCTACTCTGGGCCCCAGCATCAACCTAAGAATGCTTGCCCAGGCTCTCCTTAGAGAACTTTCAGATCCACTGACAGGTCAATGAACATCCTGTCACTTCAGCCCTTCTGCTGGTGACACATGAGGTGACTTCCTCTTGGAGTTGGATGTAGAACGCAATACAACTTAAAAATAGACTCCACATTATCTTAGAACGTTTATATATAGCTCACCATTGAAGAGAGATCGTTTTAGAAAAATGTCTGTATCAGCACAGCCTCCTCCCCAACCCTCTCTATTCAGGTCCCTTCTGCCCCACAGAACAAGTGCAAGTCACTGACCTCAGATTCCACCAGGCGGAGCAGTTGTATGGATCCACTGGCATCTGCCAAGCCCAAGAGGGCATGTCCAGCCACCGGGATGTGACACCTGAGGAGAGGGCCCACCATAAGCACACCAATGTGCCCGGAGCACAGGCGTGCACTGTGCGTCCCGGTAACCACAGTCACGCTTCCCTTAACAACGGGGCTGCAGTCCACGCAAACCCAGCTGGGACATCCTACTACACACCTTGATTATATGGTATGGCCCACTGCTCCTATGCCACAAACCTTACAGCATGTTACTGCAGGCAAGTGTGACACAACAGGAAGTGGTTGTATATCTAAACATAGAAAAGATACAGTAAGAATACAATATAAAGGATAAAAAACAGGTGGCCGGGCATGGTGGCTCACACTTGTAACCCCAACACTTTGGGAAGCTGAGGTAGGAGGATGACTTGAGGTAAGGAGTTCGAAACCAGCCTGAGCAACATAGCAAGACCCTGTTTCTACAAACTAACAAACAAACAAAAATGAGGTGTGGTAAGGCCAGGCGTCGTGGCTCACGCCTGTAATCCCAGCACGTTGGGAGGCTGAGGCGGGTGGATCACGAGGTCAGGAGATCAAGACCATCCTAATAACATGGTGAAACCACGTCTCTACTAAAAATACAAAAAAATAAGCCGGGTGTGGTGGCGGGCGCCTGTAGACCGAGCTCTTAGGGAGGCTGACGCAGGAGAATGGCGTGAACTCAGGAGGCGGAGCTTGCAGTGAGCCGAGACCGCGCCACTGCACTCTAGCCCGGGCGACAGAGCGAGACTCCGTCTCAAAAAAAAAAAAAAGAGGCATGGTGGCATCTACCTGAAGTCTGAAGTCTCAGCTACTCGAGAGGCTGAGACAGAGAATTGCTTGAGCCCAGGAGTTCAAGGCTGCAGTGAGCTATGATCACGTGACTGCATTCCAGCCTGGGCAACGGAACAAAACCCTGCCTCAAAAAAAAAAAAATTAAAAAGGATAAAAACTGGTACACCTGTATAGGGCATCTCCATTACGTTAAGGCACCACCATGGTATACGTGCTCCATTGTTGACCAAAACATAATTATGCCACACACCACTGCATTTAAATCTCAGCTCCAAAAGTGGGCTAGAGCCTACAACTGTGTTCTCAAACAAAAGACGCCCCAGGTTATGAAGTCAGAAAACTCCCATCACTTCCCCGGCTGGAACATGACAAAGGAAATAAGCCCCAGGTAAAGCACTCCCCAGGTGGAAGATAGGCGGGACAGCAAAGAAACAAATCCAAAGTTGAGATGCAATGCCTGTCTTGTTGAAGGCATCAGGCATCAGGCTTCCCTGATTGCTACTCATGACAAATTCTACACCCAGTGGGATTATCACAGTTATACCATTTCATGTCCAGGATTGCAGAAGTATCTTTTCTTTGGACCTCGACCAGAGGGTGAATAGAGTTGTTGTCATTGAAACTGTACAGGAAGAGACGGCCTAAACGGACCTGAGGCTCCTTAACTTCCATTCCACCCTACAAAAAATGCAGAGGTAGTCTCTGATTATCCCAAGACACGAAGGAACCCAAAGGATGGGAAAAGGGATCCAAGGAACTCAAAGGTTTGCCATGACTAAAGGAGTGGAATTCTGCCTGGAAGGAGAACCTCTGGTTTTCTGAGCTGGAGAAACGTCTATTAATGAGTAGGTGAACACTCCTGGACCCAGTAGAGAAGGCTCCTTCTAAACCGGCCAACAGGGACCAGCTATGGCTAGGGTAACCACAGAACCCAGTTTGCCTGGGACAGTCCTGACTTACGCCTGTTGTTCCAGTGCCCAATTTGGATCCTAATATGTACCCACCAGAAGTTAAGATATAATTCCCACTTTCTCTTTACTGTACATTCCACCCATTCCCTTGGGCCACACCTGTATATAGAAGACGTTCTGCTCTCAAGATTTTAAAGTTGGCCGGGGGCGGTGGCTCGTGCCTGTGGTGCCAGCTACTCAGGGGGTTGAGGCGGGAGGATGCCCTGAGCCCTGGAGTCCGAGGCTGCACTCCAGCCTGGGTGACAGTGCAAGACCTTGTCTCAGAAAAAAGTAATTTCTTTTTTTTGAGATGTAGTCTTGCTGTATCGCCCAGGCTGGAATGCAGTGGTGCGATCTCGGCTCACTGCAAGCTCTGCCTCCCGGGTTCACGCCATTCTCCTGCCTCAGCCTCCCGAGTGGCTGGGACTACAGGCGCCGCCACCACGCCCGGCTAATTGTTTTGTATTTTTTTAGTAGAGACGGGGTTTCACCATGTTAGCCAGGATGGTCTCGATCTCCTGACCTCGTGATCCGTCCGCCTCGGCCTCCCAAAGTGCTGGGATTACAGGCGTGAGCCACTGCGCCCGGCCGAGAACAATTTTTTTAAAAAGATTCTAAACTGTTTCCAGCCTACCTCCTGGCCAAAGGGCCAATATCCCCTCTTCATCTCCTGGGCGATTCGGTGCGCCTTTCGGCCTCAACCTCGTGGCCGGCCCCGCCCTCCCCTCCCGAAGCCGCGGCGCGCGCACCTTGTTCTGGGGGCCGGCAGGCCGGTCCTCCGGCCGCCGCAGCTGGTAGGTCCCGCACGCCAGCAGGTGCCTGCAGCCTTGCAGCGGGCACCACTCCACCGAGTCCGCGGTCAGCTCGGTGTCCACCGTTTGCAGGGCGAAACAGCCCATCATCCAGCCCTCGGGGAAGGGCGCGGAGCCGGCAGTAGAGGCGGGTCGGCGGGGCCGGGCTGGGTACTGCGCGGGGCGGCGAGGCCGGGGCCGGCCGGACGAGCGCAGAGCCCCAGGGACACCGTCAGCGCGGGCCGCCTCTCTCGCGACTCCTTCCGGGGTGCCGGGGCGGGAC
Organism: Homo sapiens; assembly: GCF_000001405.40. Classification (NCBI taxonomy): domain Eukaryota; kingdom Metazoa; phylum Chordata; class Mammalia; order Primates; family Hominidae; genus Homo; species Homo sapiens. The sequence continues at coordinate 137,578,950 of NC_000009.12, forward strand.
ATCCGGCAGGGCCTTGGCCTCCGTGGACGCCCCTGGGAAGCCAGGCTCCCACGCCCCCTGTCGGCCGGCTGACCGCGGCGGGCTTCAGGCGTCAGACGCGCTGCTCCCTGCGGGGCCGTAGAGACCGAAGGCTTCGGGAAATCCGCTCCTCCACAAAGCAGGTTTGGAGACGGCAAGTTAGTGACAGAGCCGTAGGTTTGAAGCCGCCTCTGCAAAATTTCTATCACTGAGAAAAACCCCAACAGCGAGCTGCGGTAGCGCACCCCGTGGCGCCCTCCCGGTTACTCCTGGCCATCGGGCCGCGCTGACTTAACATTTAGGCTGCAGTTTCCATGACAGGCCTTGCCCCGGAATCAACGCCTTCGTAAAGCTGATGAGGAGCCCGCGCCCCACTAAGCCCAGCACCCCGAGGCCGCAGGCGCGCTCTGCCTGCCTCCTGTGAACCCGCCATGGCGGAGCTGCCCCTCAGAGACCGCCTTCCAGGGTCTTTGCTTGTCTGACACCCGTGGCTGCATCAGGACCCCCCAGAAGCGGCTCAGCAGGTGGACGGCTCCGACCCCTATGATTATCAGCACCAGTCGCCTGGCCGCCGCCCCCCTCCCCCAAAACTGCCTTTGAAAAAACCCCTAACCTAGGAGCTTTGGACAAGATGATCTGAGGACGAACTCCATCTCACATGTGGCCTGGCCGGCCCGTGTCTATTAATTTTTTTGTTTTTTTTTTTTGAGACGGAGTCTTGCTCTGTCACCCAGGCTGGAGTGCAGTGGCGCGATCTCAGTTCACTGCAAGCTCCGCCTCCCGGGTTTAAGCCATTCTCCTGCCTCAGCCTCCCCAGTAGCTGGGACTACAGGCGCGCATCACCACGCCCAGCTAATTTTTTGTATTTTTAGTAGAGACGGGGTTTCACCGTGTTAGCCAGGATGGTCTCGATCTTCTGACCTCGTGATCCACCCGCCTCGGCCTCCCAAAGTGCTGGGGTTACAGGTGTGAGCCACTGCGCCCGGCCCTAAACTTTTTTTCTTTATTGCAATCCACGGTCTGAATGTGTGCAGCGGGCAGGAAGAACCCCTTGGGCCGTTACAGGTTGAACTGTGCCCCCCAAAAAACAATGGACTGAAGACCCCAGCACCTCAGAGAGCATCCTTAACAAACAGGGGCTCTCAGAAGCAGCAGGCGTGGGCCCTGACCCAGAGGAGCAGGAGTCCGCAGAAGAGAAAGCTGATGCAGAAGACTTGCAGGGCCATTGCTGTGCAGAGCACAGGGAGGCAGGCAAGGCACCTGGCAGGGAGGAGGCGTCCGCACCTGAGGGCCCTTGCCTGCGCCTTCATCTGAGACTCCGGCCTCCAGAGCCTAGACTGTGAATTCCCGCTGCTTCAGGCTGCACAGCTCGCGCTGCTTTGTTGCGGCAGCTCCAGGAAGCTAAGGCGGACTTGACTGAAATATACGGGTGCCTGGGTATTCAGCCTCAGGGCTTCAAGCAGGGCTGTGGCTAAAGACATGGCAGAGAGCCAACAGCTCAGACCACCACAGAGACAGAGGCGCAGAAAAGGCTGGCCAGGAAGGCAGCAGGGCATTCCAAAAGGGCCTCAACCACACACCTCTGCGGGGGAGGGAGAGTGACCAGGTGCGCATCCCAACACACCACACTCCAAACAAGCTTTAGAAGCAGCCCCACATTGCAGCCATCTGGATGTCCTCACAGGACGTCTTAGATACCTGGCTACGAAGACCAAGAAGTCGGGGCCACGGAACGGGAAAGATGACCAGAGGATTGGGTATCAGGTGAGAGGGAAGCAGTGGTGGGGCCCGTCCCACCCTCACGGTGCCACCTGCTGGGGTGAGGCCTGGAGGAGCTGCCACATGCAAACCTAGAACCTGCACCGCCCCCTTCCCCAGCGTGGTGTCTCACAGGTGGGAGGCCCTGGGCGCTTCTTTCAGTGCACTTTTCTGATGAATGACTGCCAAACAAAGCAGCCCTGCTGGTCAGGGGCAACATGGCCACACCCCTGGATGCAGGTAAAGGGGACCCCTGCACTCCGTGCTCATCCTCAGACTCTATCTGAAAGCAGGCTGCCTGAGGGCACTCGGGGCTCCAGGCCTGAAGACTGCCCCAAACCCCAACCTGCTGACCCGCCATCTCTAGGGACACATATGTCCCCCTCCCTGGCAGCTTTCACCTACTCAGCAAAAAATGTCCCCAACCTTTGCAGCAGCTAAGGGGGCTTCTCAGGGCCTGATGTGGGCACATGCAGTTCTCTAAGCTCCAGGAAATCCTGCGGAGTTTGTTGATATCACCCATTTTCAGCAGTCCTGTTCTTCAGGAGCCCCCAGGGTACTGCCAGAAAAGGTACTGGAAGTTTTGCTTACAGACAAAAGCCAGCCCAGCCAGGGGCAGCAATGAGAACACACAGGGTGTCCTGGAACATGGCAGTGGAGCTTCAAGAAGGGAAAGTGTAGCAGCAACCTGTGGGACCAACACAGGGTCGGACCGGACCAGACCAGACAGGTCAGAGTCGGACTGGCCAGGCTTCCAGCTCCCAAGAAGCAAGGCCTCTGGCTGGGCGCACCTGGAGACAGGCAGGATCCCAGCCACACAGCCTGGCATGTTTCCCTGGGGCAGCTCTATGGGTACAAGATGCTGACCAGCCCCAGACACCTGGGGCTCCCCAAGGAGAGGGAGGGCTATCCTGGAAACCACAGCCCTGCAGACGGACGGAGAAGTGAGACCCTCACCTCACCCTGGCTGGCCAGCCCCCTCCACCATCTGCAGCAGGCCTGCTGAACATGCCCTGTGGATTCTTCTGGGCAGAAGCTCACTGCTGAGCTCCCAGCCACTTCATGCATAAATCAGGCAAGAACTAACCAATGTCAGGGGCGAGAGCATCCTACTCCCCATAAAACAGCGGGCAGCTGACTTAGCAACCCCACCACTCCTGCCGCAAGACAAGGACAGAGTCTCACTCATACTCCCTGCTGGACTCAGGAAGGTCTGAGCTCACCCGCTCCTCAGAAGGGCCCACCAGGAACAAGGGTCCTCCTGCCTCACCCACAAGGACTCGGCTCCACTCAAAATGACCTCACCCTAAGCAGCACAAGAGGGAGGCGGAGCAGAGAATGTCCGAGAGGCCAGATGATTCCACCCCTTTACTTTGCCTTTGTGGACACAACTCCCGTGCAGGCCGCGCTCCACGGGGCTCCCGGCGGCCCAGGGGAGAAGCTTCGACAACAGGACAGTTTTTAGTCACGTGGCCTGACCGTTTGCCATTTAAGGATTACAGCAAATGATTCTATTTGTAATTTCTACCCTTCCCATTGCCTCCCCCCCAAAAAAAACTGTACATGAGTTTACAAACATATTAACATATAAATAATGAGAACCGTCCTGGTGGGAGCCTCCTCCGTTGTCTCTGCTGGAGATGAACACTGAGGGGCGCTGTAACCACACAGACTGCCTGTGACATCGGGAGTCTCACGGCAGCTGTCCTGGGCCCGCAGCTGGCTTTTTTGGCACCTCCAGGTTCAACCACCAGTCTGTCTCTGCTGTGCCCAGGGTAGAGCCCGGGGGCTGTGAGTATGTGTGGCTCCCCTGCCCGTCATCGCTCTGGCTCAAGCTCATGCTGGAAGGGACGCTTCCTCTCCCGACAGTGCTTCTTGTGGGCAGGCCAGTCCTTCTGCTGGCACTGGGAGCCGCAGTACCGGGCCACCTGGCAGCGCCCACAGATGTTGAACTCCCGGAGCTGAAATACAGAACACCTGTGGCTTCACCATCATGCCTGGGACGCAGTGTGGGGCAAAGGCTGCGTCTTACGGACAATCTGACGGACCCAGCAAAACACCACGTACCAAGGCTGGAGGGCCTGGGCCCTGGTCAGGCCAGCACAAGGGCAAAGGGAGACCACTCTGGTGGAAAAGCCCAAGAGGTGCTAAGCGGTCTCTGGGGAATGGGACCCCGCGGTGGAGGGCAAGATCCCAAACCAAGGCTGGGCTACAGGGTAGAGGTGCCAGGGACGCGACCGCACTGCAGCACACCCACCTGCTTCTCAATCACTGTGCAGGGAGGGTAGTGGCACTCATAGTAGGTGCAAGAGTTCTCCTCCTCTTCCACTACATCCCCGTTGGCATTATAATACCGGGTCACATTTAGGACAGGAAACTGTTCTTCTATAGGGTCTGTAGGCAGCTGCTGAATTGCAAGCCAATACAAGCTTTGCTCCCTTAAAGAAAGAAGCAGACACTTGAGTGCACTCTGGCCAAACGGGGCCAGCACACAGCAGACGATGCAATGACTCCATAGAGTGCCATCCTGCCCAGGACACCCAGCCCGAGTTTGAGTCTCCTTTGGCCCATCCCTGCTGCATGTGCTTTTCACCACCTGACAGTAAATATTGTGTCTCATCTTCCCACTAACCCGTAAGCATGGCCTCATCTATCACCCTCTCCCCAGCACCTGGGACTGACAGGCACACAGTAGGCAGGAGACAGGGCCCAGGTCAGGCCCCTGTGCAAAGCGAGGCGGCCCCTCTCCTTGCCCTTGACCTGCAGAGGTGCCCATTACTGCCCCGTCGGTCCACTTCCCCTTCCATACCGGGAGCTGCCCTACGTCCGTCTAAAAACTCCTCCTGCTTGAGTAGGCCAGATGCCTACAACGGGAGAGTTCTACCAAGAACGGAGCCTCAAAGGCATGTGCACTGGCTGCTCAGAGGCAAGCGTGGGCAGCCCCAGCCCTGCTGCATCACGGAGTAAAGAAGCTGCATAAACCACCCCACCAACCCCGTTCTCCGAAGCCAGACCCTGAGGAGACTTGGTTAAAACGGGGAAGGATCAGGACATGGGAAGATGTTGGTGAGGTCCCACCAGACAGAGGCAAGTTTCAGACACTGCTGGCTTCTGAAGACAGAACAGGAAAACACCCCTTTGCCAAGAGGCCCCTTTTGTGGGGGCTGAGCTGACACAGTGCCAGGAAAGCAAAGCAATAGCCCAGGCCTGACAAAGACAGGGTGACCCCACCACAAAGAGCCGGACCACAGGGAGGCCACAGACTGGGATCCAGACGGACGCACAGCACCCAGCCAGTCAACAAAGACAGGGTGACCCCACCACAAAGAGCTGGATCACAGGAGGCCACAGACCAGGATCCAGACGGACACACAGCACCCAGCCAGACAGGATGTCAGGCCCACACTGGCCAGCTCTGACTTCTGCTCGGGGCCTGGGGTGCTGACCCAGCACAAGAGGCCCAACACCTGCTGGGTTCTAAAACCCCATGTTGGCAAACCAAAGATGGCTGAGCCTGATCAGTCCTGAGCCACCCCAGGCCCACCTCCTGTAGCAGGGGGTTGTGTAAGGCAGCAGCCCCAGCGCAACTCGTCCTGCTGTGCCCTCAGAGAATGGGCATCCTGCCGTGCCCACAGAGAATGGGCTGACCAGGAGCATCAGCCCAACACCCCCTTTCCAAACGGCTGTTCTTAACGGCAGTTATCTCCTCTCCTGATTATAAAGGGTGCTGAGAGGATTCAAGGTAACATTCAGTCACAGGCTGGCCGGACCCTGAGTCTTGTTGAGAACCGGCTGAAATGACCCGCACCATGGCAGGGACAGAAGGCATTGCCAGGTGGAGTGGTGAGCAGCGGGCGAACTTGCGGAGTTGGGAAGGGCCCATCCCAGCATCAACACTGAGCATGTATCAATGTGGGACAACGCAGGAGGAGATGCTACAGATGCTGCTCTGCCTGCCAAGCACGCCTTCCCCTTCCCCTTCCCTTTTCATGTAGAAAAGTGATTCTAAGCAAGCTAACTACAGTTCATCCCAGGGCTTCCCCAGACACCACTAGAACAGGGTGCCTGCTTCAGTCCGCAAGTGCTAGGTAGTGCCCATGCCGCCTCCCAGAGAGGAGCCGGGAGTGGGGGCGCAGAGCTGGAGGCAGCAGCATCCCTGGCTCTCCACATTTCAGTCAGGATACCAAAATGTACCCTATTTTTGTTTCAGCCAAATTGACCTTTGTTTCTGTTTCTTGCAACCCAAAGTTCCAACTAACATAATCCCCGAAAGAATAAAAACCCCATTCAACAATCGTAAGAGGCCTGGCTTCACTCACAAGCAGTATGAGGAAGGTCAAAACTCTAATATTAGAGCAAGGACCGGGCGTGGTGGTGCACACCCGTAATCCCAGCTACTCAAGAGGCTGAAGCGGGGCCAGGCGTGGTGGCTCACGCCTGTAATCCCAGCACTTTGGGAGGCTGAGGCAGGCGGATCACCTGAGGTCAGGAGTTCAAGACCAGCCTGGCCAACATGGCAAAATCCCACCTCTACTAAAAATACAAAAATTAGCCAGGCGTGGTGGTGGGCACCTGTAACCCCAGCTACTAGGAAGACTGGGGCAGAATTGCTTGAACTGGGCAGGCAGAAGCTACAGCGAGCCAAGGTCGCGCTACTCCAGCCTAGGCAACAGAGCCAGACTCCGTCTCAAAAAAAAAAAAAAAAAAAAATGCTGAGGCAAGAGGATTCCCTGAAGCCAGGAGTTCAAGAACAGCCTGGGCAACATAGTGAGACCCATCCGTAAAATTAATTAATTTAATGAAATAAACAGAGCAGGGAAAAAAAAACACCAGCCCAACAAGAACGAAAGACACTTCAGGCTCTGCCTTCGTCCTGAGAGGCCCAGTGAGGAAGGGATGGGGGGGGATTTGTAGGACTCCCTCCAGGGTGGCAGGAACAGCAGTTTGGGAGTGGCATTTTGGAGGCCTGGGGACTGTCCCCACATCACCAACCAGTGTGTCAGGTGCTCCCACTGTTTCCACCTCGGCTGCCCAGGGCTCTGGCATGACTCTGAGGTGACAACTGCAAAGATTCTACCCACAGCCACCAACCATCACCAAGCCCGAAACACTAAACCTTACCAGCGTTGCTGACAACCATCTGCTAGGGCAGTTCGCACTGCCTGCACCAGGAAAGGCTGCCCAGAGGCTTGAGGACGTGCCCAAAAGCCCCAGGGCGCCAGGGGAACATGTCAGTGAAGCGTGTGTGGCTGGGGACTCCCTGGCTCAACTGGGCTCCCAACCCCTATCCTGCTGGTCCCTTGGCTCTTCCCAAGGGCTCCATGAAGTTCACAGACTGGCTGGTTCTAGGGCCAGCAGGAACCGCCCTCCCAGGTGGGAAGCCCATGCAAAGCACTGCTTTCAGGATCACAGGCAGGTCGGGGGCCGAGGGCTGAGCCCTGAACCATTCTCCGCTTTAAACCTTTGCTTAAGGAAAACTGTTTAGCAAAAGAACACAACAAAAAGACCCATCTGTGTGCACAGAAAAGAATCCTGAGGTGAGGAGAGAAGGAAGGAATCCTGAGGTGAGCAGAGAAGGAAGGAATCCTGAGGTGAGCAGAGAAGGAAGGAATCCTGAGGTGAGCAGAGAAGGAAGGAATCCTGAGGTGAGCAGAGAAGGAAGGAATCCTGAGGTGAGGAGAGAAGGAAGGAATCCTGACGTGAGCAGAGAAGGAAGGAATCCCGAGGTGAGGAGAGAAGGAAGGAATCCCGAGGTGAGAGAAGGAAGGAATCCCGAGGTGAGAGAAGGAAGGAATCCTGAGGTGAGAGAAGGAAGGAATCCTGAGGTGAGAGAAGGAAGGAATCCTGAGGTGAGCAGAGAAGGAAGGAATCCTGAGGTGAGGAGAGAAGGCTGATGCCTCCCAGGGGTGTGGGGCAGAAGCCCTGCTCACACCGAGTCCCGACGCTGGCCCTGCCCTGGAGCAGGCAGCCCTTCTCCCCACTGTCATGCCAGCTAAAGGGAGGTTCCCAGAGCCAATTATAAGAGGAGCAATGCAAAAACACACACCATCAAGATCCTTCCCGCTCCCATGAAGAAAAGGAGGATTCCACGCTTTGGGGAAAAACAATGAAATTCCCAAAATACACAGAAGCATCAGGGCTCAGAGGAGGAACAGGAGACCCTCTTGGAAACAAGAGCTTTGGCGGTGGCCCTCCTCAAAAGGCGCCTCTGCTGGCATCGCCAGGCCCTGAGAAGACCCACCTCTGCTTGCTGGAGGTCTCTTCAGCCTTGGGCCGCCAGCCCCACGGCACCAGTTGCAGGTTGTCCAGGCGATTGTCCACGGTCACAGCGTTGAGGTGCACCACCTGGAAGCCCGGGGCCACGCCCCCCCGGTGCCGCTCCCTAGAAACAGACAGCAAACCCTGCATCTAACCCTGCATCGCTGCCTCCCACCCTCACAGACATTTCTGGTCAGGTACCAAAGTCCTTCCAGGAAGAAATGTCAGCCATGTGATCTGATCGGGCCCCTGGTCCTTTGGATGAGGGTACCTCAGGCGGAAGCTGCTGAGAGAAACCCAAGCACCTGATCTGTGGCCCAAACAGGACAGGGACACAGGGAGGACCCGGCCCCTGGACTTCAGAGCACAGACAGCCAAAGCTGGAACGCAAAACCACCTAAGCAGATGGCCTCGAGACAGCTCCCCATCTGAGTGGTCCCTACCATGCACACCGGGGGGGCTCGGCAAAACCCAGCAAGGGGAGCAACCACCGTCCCTCCAGAGGCTGCCGGTCCTGGGCAAGCTCCCAGCAGAAAGTCCACTTGGTGTTTGAAGTGCAACATACAAATCATTCGTTCCTTTGGGTTAGTGGTGAAGGACACAAAAATAACTGCGAGATTCAGGGAAGGCAAGGCAGGGCTTCAGCGGGGCAGGGGGCTCCAGGCGCCCTGTGCCATCGGAGCTCACCCAGGAGCCCAGTGGCGGGGGGCAGAGACAGCTTGGAAACACCCACCACAGCAGCTCATGAAGGAGTCTCCCAGAGCCCCTTCCTCGGTTCTTGTCAAAGGCATAGGCAAATATCTTAGCACCATTTCCATCTGCATCCACTTCCATTCGGGCCTGAGAAGGAACAAGGGAAAGAGCTGTTAAAAAACCTCCAATTCTCAGCAACACTTCAATTCCCTCTTAGAAAAACCAAGTGAAACAAGCAAGCCAGAGGGACAAATGCCAGCCCTGTCCCTGAGACCCTGGGGAGTGCAGAGCTTCCCACAGGCACATGGCTCCCAGGGGCCAGCGTGGCCCACCACCACTCTGTCTATTCGAGCAAGAAACACTCACAAACAACTCTGCAAAATACAATGGGACATAGACAAATACATTTTCCTACCCTTAAAAAAAGCCCACGGTGCAGTGAGATAGAGAACCCCCTGGAGAGGTCACTACTGTGAATGTGTGGGGCACAGAGATAAAGGATGGTGAGGGAGGCCAAGCTCAGCGGCAGGAATGGAAGCTGGGAAGAGGCAGGAAGACCCCATGAGAGCAGAGAACGGGAGGCAGCTGGGCAGCCAGGAGGGACTGCTAAGGCAGGCCCAGCAGAGGTGGCTAGCTCTAAAGAGCAGGGTCTTCGAGCTAACAGACATGGTCCACGTGACACAATCACAAACATGAGAACATTCCATTTGCTTTCAAGAGGAGCTGGCAGCTGGGGTGAAAGTGAGGAAGACCACTGTCGCCAGGCCATGTGGGCCACAGTGGGCTCCAGTGGCAGCAACAGCCAGGTTCTGCAGGGCCACGGCTCGAAGTGGGGCTGACGGCTCAGGGCTCACAGGCCAGCACCAGTTGTCCACTTGTGGGGCCGCCTGCTCTTGCAGCACAGGGGAGAGAGCTCGTTCCTCGTGACCCTCCTGGGCACTGACCACGAGCATCAGGGGAGGGAACAGCCATCCTTACTTACCTCAAAGGAGTAGCTCTCCACCAGCGGGATGTCCTGCTCATCGATCAGCGTGTATTTGGTCTGGAAGTTAACCACATGTTTCAAATCATTACATTTGGGATCTGCGTGAGGTGCAGTAACCTTATAACCAGAACAGGCAGGAGCCTGTTGCATTTTCCTGTGAAGTGGAAAGTAACTACAGGCCTCTTCAGACCAAGACAGCTCAGCACATGGGGGCCTCATTCCACCGTTTGGGGTGGTGCAGTCTACGACAAAACACAGGCAGACAGGTTAAAAGCCAGCTGCCCACTTTAGTCTGCGCCAGAGGAGCTGGTATCAGGCTTCATCCTCGCAGGGCTAACCCCAACAGTGGCACTGAACATTCAACGCACCAATAAACCTAGGCAAAGACTGTTTCACTGAGCTGAGGGAGGGGCCGGGGCTGAGGCAGAAGAGCCAGAAGGTTTTGATTAGGGTGTGTTTATTAAGCTGAGCTACTCACTGATTACCCTTTTTAGCTTTTTGTCCATCTGAAATGTTCCAAAGAAAAGCTGTAAGGGATGACAATGCCATCATGGGTGGAGTTAGAAGGGGTCTCTGGTCTCCGACCTGACTGGAGAGCCCACCCTTCCCTGGTGGAAAAAAGCCTCCTCCCCAGCAGGCCCTGCCTATGCTCTTGCAGCAGGGGCAGGAAACAGGAACAGGTCCCAGAACGGGCCAGTCTCCCTCTTGGCAGTTTTTCTTCTGGGATCTGAACCTGTTTTACCTGACGCCGCCTGACACTGCCTCGGCTCCTCTCTCCCACCAAAAGCCGCAGCCGCTGGTGACGGGAACAGGGCTCCCATCCGGGTAAGGACCCTGGCTGGTGCAGCTGCACAGGTGGCTCCGAGAAACCGCCAAGCCTCAATGCCCACAGGTGCCATGGAATCCCCAGCCTCAAACGTGGAGCGTGGGGGCCAAGTAAGAAGAGAAGTCGAGGAAGGCCCTGAGTCTGCAGCATCAGGGCCCAGGCTTCTTCCTCTCTGCTCCGAGTCTGAGGCTCAGCCTAACGTGGCCAACCCCTGGCAGCGTTAAAACGAGCCTGAAGCCCTGCTGAGAACTGGGAGGCACAGAAGAGCCCACACCAGACCCGCCTCGGCGAGAGGTGTGGAAGTGGCGCTGCCTCGGAAAGGGCGCTGTGTTTAAACCGTGTGGCCGCACTGGCAGCCCGGACGCCGCGCTAGGCCCCGGATCGCCGACACCACTGGGAGGGCTCCGGGAGAACGCGGCTCGGGCTCGAGCCACGCATCTCCGCACCCGGCTCGGGACAGGGCCGTGGCCTCCACCTCCGGCAGGGCAGGGCCGAGGGTGGCCAGGTGCACCCCAGAGCCGAGGGGTGCGTGCCCGCCGGCCTGCGAGAGGAAGCTGCACCCGCGCGGGGCCAGCAGCCGGGCCCGCGCAGCGTCCCCCGCCCCGCTGGGGCCCATCCCGGGCTCCGCGCCCCCGCCCCGGCCGCCGCCCGCACAACCGCCCCCGGCCCCGCGCGGAGGCCTGGACGGGCGAGACGGGCCGGGTCGCGGGCTCCGCGCCGCTCACCTTCCCGGCCACCCGGCCGAGCCGCACGATACCCAATTTGAAGTCGGTCATGGCCGGGCCTGCGCTCTCGGCCGGCAGCGCCGCTCCCTCGGGAGGCGCCGAGCGGGGGCCGGGGCGAGGCCGCGGCGCGCCGGGACAGGACGGGACCGGAGCCGGGGTCGGGGTAGCAGCCAGGCGGGCTCCGGGCGGGACGAGGCTGGGCCGGGCTCGGGCCTCCGCCGCCGCCTCGCGCCCGCCGGACCTGCCACGCGCCGCCGCCGCCGCCGCCACCGCCACCGCGCGCACCACAGCGAGCGGAGCGGAGGGGCGGGGCGCAGCCCCGGACACACCCCCCGGCCCGCCGCCGCTCGGCCAATGGCTAGGCGCGCACGGCGCCGACCGGCGCGCGCCGCCCCGCAACAACCAATAGGAGGAGGGCGAGTGCGCCGGCGCTCTGGGGAGCGGGGCGAGCGCGGGGGAGGGGCGAGGCCGGGGGCGGTGCCTGCGCGCGCCGACGTCAGTTTCGCGGGAAGCTTTGTGCGGGCAGCGGCGCCGCGCCTAGAGGGGCAGTGCGGAGTGTGGCTGGGGACTCGCGCCGGGTCCGTGGAGCTCTGCGAGCTGGCTGCTTTTCGCCTCCCTTGCGGTAGCCTCCGTAAGCTGTTTCCCGCCGCCGTCCTGGCCCCGAGCGCGGAAGGAGGAGGTGGACGGAGCTCGTGCGGGGCCCTCTGGGCGGGCGGGGAGCGGGCGAGGCGGGCTAGGAAGAGGCCGTTGCCGCGGGACGCGGGTGTTTCTGGAGAGACAGCGGACGCCCGGCCCACGCGACCCGGAGGGCGCGGCCTCCCGCGCAGCCTTCTCCGAGCCGCCGGCTCTTCAGCCTCGGGGGCGGCTGACCTCCAGAGCAGCCTGGTCCAAGGCGTCTGGAAACGGAACTCCAGTGAGGCCCATTAGGCTCCGCGGGAAAGCCGAGACCCGCTCAGGGAGGGACTGGGTACGCCGTGGTGGGCAGCGTGGCTCCCCTGCAGCCTGGAGCGAACGGGGCTAGGTCCTGCGTCCTGCTCCGCCGGTGTCCAGTCGCCCGTGAGGAGGCCTCACCCTGCCTCAAGGGCGACTCCTGCACCTGAGGAGCTGCACAGGCTCCTTTCTGGCTTGCTGGGTTCCGTTTTCTTTTCTTGCTTTTTTTTTTTTTTTTTTTGAGTCAGAGTTTTGCTCTGTCACCCAGGCTAGAGTGCAGTGGCACGATCTCGGCTCACTGCAGCCTCTGCCTCTCGGGTTCAAGCGACTCTCCTGCCTCAGCCTCCCGAGTAGCTGGGACTACAGGCACGCGCCACCATGTCCGGCTAATTTTTGTATTTTTAGTAGAAGTGAGGTTTTTCCATATTGGCCAGGATGGTCTCGAACTCCCAACCTGAGGTGATCGGCCCACCTCGGCCTCCCAAAGTGCTGGGATTACAGGCATGAGCCACCGTGCCCCAGCCTGCAAAGGGTGTACATGAGTGAGCCCAGACGTTCCATCTCTGGGTCCCCTGGTACTTGCCAGTACCCCAGACACCCTAGAGGACTGAAGGGGCTGATGAGTCCTGGCCTGCCTGAGACACACATTGGGGTTCAGGCTGGGCCTTGCTCAAAACATGCCTGTCCGACCGCGCGCGGTGGCTCATGCCTGTAATCCTAGCACTTTGGGAGGCCGAGGCGGGCAGATCACGAGGTCAGGAGCTGGAGACCATCCTGGCTAACACGGTGAAACCCCACCTCTACTAAAAATACAAAAAAAAAAGCCGGGCGTGGTGGCGGGTGCCTGTAGTCCCAGCTACTTGGGAGGCTGAGGCAAGAGAATGGCTTGAACCCGGGAGGCAGAGCTTGCAGTGAGCCGAGATCGTGCCACTGCACTCCAGGTTGGGCGACAGAGCGAGACTCCGTCTCAAAAAAAAAAAAAAAAGTACCTGCCCTACCAATCTCAACCTCATGGAGTTGCAAGGGTGTGATGAGATTATGAGCAACTGCTTTGTGAAAAGAAGTGGAGCTTGGTGGGTGCTCCCTAGGGTAGTTGAAAAGCACTGGTGTCATAGTCCAGGTTCCCCCAGAGGTTGACTTGAAATGGATTCGAGTCCAAATTTTGTCCGGGCCTGGTGGCTCATACCTGTAATCCCAGCACTTTGGGAGGCCGAGGCAAGTGGATCACCTGAGGTCAGGAGTTCAAGACCAGCTTGGCCAACAGGGTGAAATCCCGTTTCTACTAAAAATACAAAAATTAGCGGATGTGGTGGCACACACTTGTATTCCCAGCTACTTGGGAGGCTGAGGCAGGAACATCGCGTGAACCCAGGAGGCAGAGGTTGCAGTGAGCCAAGATTGTGCCACCACACTCCAGTCTGGGCAACAGAGTGAAACTCCGTCAAAAAAAAAAAAAAGTCCAAATTGTTAGCTTGAGAGAAGACCCCAGGAGACACCAGCAGGAGAGTAGGGGTGTGAGGCAGGGAAGGGGGTGCTACCAGTCCAGTTACTGTAGCAGGCGCTTGTGTAGGAACCATCCTCAGAGTCCCTCCCCGAGGGCCAGGGGAGCCAAGGCATTCACCCTTCACCCTGCTGCAAGGGGACCCAGCATTCACCTCTCACCTTGCAGTCATTGGTTGGAGGCTGTTCCTGGCAAGGTGACTTCTTGGCTCCAAAGCCGAGAAAGACCTGCAGGTGTTGACACAGCGCAGTGCTGCGGGCAGTGCCCAGCTGGCTTGGGAACTCATACCTGGTCCACCACAAGCCGGCTGCTTTATCTACACATTCTACCCAAGTATGAATGTGGCACCCCTGCCTCTGTGTCCTGCGAGGGTGGAATTATGTAACGCTGGGGCGGTGCTTCCTCTCACTGCAGCTTCCCTCTCCCAGGGGCAGGCACCTTAAAAAGAAGCCCTTGACTCCCCCATCCCTTTCCAGCCACTGCCTCATTTTCCTACTTCCCATCCCAGCAAGAGTTTTTAACAGGTTGTCTGTACTTGGCGTCTCCTCTTATCTCCTAGTTAATTCGTTTTCTATCACTTTATAACAACCAACCACAAAAGAGCACCCATTATCTCACGGTTCTGTGCATTAGAAGTGCAGGTGGGTTTGACTGGCTTCTCTGCTGCAGGTCTCAGGGCTGAAATCAGGGTGTCAGCTGCCTCAGCTCTTAGCAGGGGCCCTAGGGGAGACCCGGGCTACAGGCTCCTTCAGGTTGTTGACATTCATCACATGGTTGTATGAGGTCTCCGCTTGCTGGCTGCCGGCCCGGGGTTGTTCTCAGCTTCTAGAGGTCGCTCACATCTTCAAAACCAGCAAGACTTTCTTTTCTTTTTAGACAGAGTCTGGCTTCGTCATCCAGGCCGGAGTGCAGTGGTACAATCTCGGGTCGCTGCCACCTCCGCCTCCCGGGTTCAAGTGATTCTCCTGCCTCAGCTTCCCGAGTAGCTGGGACTACAGGTGCCCTCCACCATGCCCAGCTAATTTTTAAATTTTTAGTAGACATGGTTTCACCATGCCAGCCAGGCTAGTCTTGAACTCCCGGCTTCAAGTGATCCGCCCGCCTCAGCCTCCCAAAATGCTGGGATTACAGGTGTGAGCCATTGTGCCCGGCCAAAGCCAGCCTTTCTACTACTTCACGTCTTTGATCCTTTCTGTCCCATTTCTCCCACCTTCAGCTGGAGAAAGCTTTATGCCTTTAAGTGTTCCTGTGATTAGATTGGGTCCACCCAGATAAACAGGATAATCTCCCTATTTTAAGGTCACTAATTGGTAACCTACTTACATCTGCAAAGTCCCTTTTGTTATGTAACATAATATTACAGGCGCAGGCATAAGGGCGTGACACCTTTGGGGGGCATTCTGCCTACCGCCCAAGTCTCCTGACAGCCCACTCCAGCTGGGCTTTCACCCCTCCCACTGCTGAAACTGCTCCACACCAATGAACAAAATCAATGAAAGCCCCTGCTCATACTCGAGTGAGGGGGGCAGAACATACACGTAATGAGGAACCATACACCGCGTTGGCCAGTGAGAAGTGCAATGGGGAGAACAAGTCCATCACCATAAGGCAGTCAGAGGCCCTGCTGCAGGGGTGGGCAGAGCCGTCCTCTGAGAAAACAGCATTGGAACTTGCAGTGGAAGGAGACAGAGTGAGCCGTGTGGCTATACAGGGCAGAACATTCTTGGCAGAAGGAACGGCCTGTGCAAAGGCCCTAAGCTGCGACATGTCTGGCATGTTTGAAAATAGAGAGGTGGGGCTGGGTGTGGTGGCTCACTTTGGGAGGCCGGGGTGGGTGGATCACTTGAGGCCAGGAGTTCAACACCAACCTGGCCAACAGGGCAAAACCCTGTCTCTACTAAAAATACAAAAATTAGCCAGGTGTGGTGGCACATGCCTGTAATCCCAGCTACTCGGGAGGCTGAGGCAGGAGAATCGCTTGAACCCAGGAGGCAGAGGTTGCAGTGAGCTGAGATCACTCCACTGCACTCCAACCTGGGCAACAGGGCAAGACTCTGTCATGAAAGAAAATGGATGGCCTGAACCTGGGAGGTGGAGCTTGCAGTGAGCCTAGATCACGCCACTGCACTACAGCCTGGGCGACAGAGCAAGACTTCGTCTCGAAAGAAAATGGAGAGGTGGCCAATGAACTGGCCACTGAGAAGCAGCAGCACATGGGGCGGCGGGAGGGGCGGCAAGTACAGGATGAGCATTCAGATCTGAAATCTGAGATGCTGCAAAATCTGAACCTTGTAAGCACTGACATGACACTCAAAGGAAGTGCTCATTGGAGCATTTTGGATTTTGGATATGGAAAGCGCCATCAGGCAAGTATAATACAAAGAGTCCAAAATCCAAAATCTGAAACACTTCTAGTCCCGAGCATTTTGGATAAGGGACACTCGACCTCTCCTGGTAAGTGGTGATGTTTGGACCTGTGGTGGAGGGGTGTGTATGTCAGGATGGGCCTGGGTATGCTGCAGTAACAACCCCAAGTTCTCAGCGGCTTAGCCAAATAAAAATGTGTTACTTATGCTACATGTTAAGGTTACAAGGCAGTTGAATGTATAAGTAGAATATGTGAGTATAGAGTTCACAGAGATGTCCAGCCTGGGAATATAAGTTTGGCATCATGGCTGAGCGCGGTGGCTCACGCCTGTACTCCCAGCATTTTGGGAGACCGAGGCGGGCAGATCACGAGGTCAGGAGTTCAAGACCAGCTTGGCCAACATGGTGAAACCCTGTCTCTACTAAAAATACAAAAATTAGCCGGATGTGGTGGTGCGCACCTGTATTCCCAGCTACTCGGGAGGCTGAGGCAGGAGAATGACTTGAACCTGGGAGGCAGAGGTTGCAGTGAGCCAAGATCATGCCGTTGCGCTCCAGCCTGGGCAATAGAGTGAGACTCTGTCTCAAAAAAACAAAAAAAAAGTTTGGCATCATTAGCACATTTATTATATTTAAAGCTCTCTTAGAGACAGGTGCAGTGGCTCACACCTGTAATCCCTGCACTTTGGGAGGCTGAGGTTGGTGGATCGCTTGAGCCCAGGAGTTTGAGACCAGGCTGGGCAACATGGCAAGATGCTGTCTCTACAAAAAACAAAAATTAGCCAGGCATAGTGGCCCATGCCTGTAGTCACAGCTACTTGGGAGGCTGGGGTGGAAGGATCACCTGAGCCTGGGGATGTTGAGGATGCAGTGAGCTGTGATGGGGCCACTGCCCTCCAGCCTGGGTGACAGAGTGAGACCCTGAATTTTGGAGGGACACAAGCATTCAAACCATGGCAAAACTCATAAAACTGGATGAGATTACCATGAGGGAAAACGTGGATGTAGAGAGTGCAGCACTATTCACAAGAGCAAAGACATGGAATCAACCTAAATGCTGGCCAGCCCGGTGGCTCAGGCCTGTAATCCCAGCACTTTTGGAGGACGAGGCAGGCAGATCACCTGAGGTCAGGAGTTCGAGACCAGCCTGGCCAACATGGTGAAATCCCATCTCTACTAAAAATACAATTAGCTGGGTGTACTGGCAGTTGCCTGTAATCCCAGGTAGTTGGGAGGCTGAGACAGGAGAATCACTTGAATCCGGGAGGTGGAGGTTGCAGTGAGCCAAGATCATGCCACCACTGCAGTCTAGTCTGGGCTACAGAGTGAGACTCCATCTCAAACAAACAAACAAAAACCTAAATGCCCATCAGTGACAGATTGGATAAAGAAAATGTGGTACAGCCGGGCACAGTGGCTTACGCCTGTAATCCCAGCACTTTGGGCGGCTGAGGCGGGTGGAACACCTGGGGTCAGAAGTACAAGACCAGCCTGGCCAACATGGTGAAACCCCATCTCTACTAAAAATACAAAAATTAGCTGGGCGTGATGGTGTGTGCCTGTAATCCCAGCTACTTGAGAGGCTGAGGCAGGAGAATCGCTTGAGTCCAGGAGGTGGAGGTTGCAGTGAGCCGAGATTGCGCCATTGCACCCCAGCCTGGGCGACAGAGCGAGACTCAGTCTCAAAAAAAAAAAAAAAAAAAAAAAAAGCTGTGGTACATATACACCATGGAATACTATGCAGCTATAAAAAAATGAGAGCATGTCTTTTGTGGGAACATGGATGGAGCTGGAGGCGATCATCCTTAGCAAACTAACACAGGAACAGAAAACCAAATACCACATGTTCTCACTTACATGTGGGAGCTAAATGATGAGAGCTTATGAACACGAAGAAGAAAATAATACTGGGCTTAATGCCTGGATGATGAGATAATATGTACAACAAACCTGGTGACAGGTGTTTACCTATGTAACAAACCTCACATATCCCCAAACCTAAAGTAAAAGTTTAAAGTTAGGCCG
Source organism: Homo sapiens (assembly GCF_000001405.40). Classification (NCBI taxonomy): domain Eukaryota; kingdom Metazoa; phylum Chordata; class Mammalia; order Primates; family Hominidae; genus Homo; species Homo sapiens. The sequence continues at coordinate 137,597,036 of NC_000009.12, forward strand.
GGTGTGGTGGCTCACACCTGTAATCCCAGCACTTTGGGAGGCCGAGGTGGGTGGATCACCTGAGGTCAGGAGTTCAAGACCAGTCTGGCCAACATGGCAGAAACCTGTTTGTAAACCTCTACTAAAAAAACAAAAATTAGGGCCAGGGCGGTGACTCACACCTGTAATCCCAGCACTTTGGGAGGCCGAGGAGGGCGGATCACCTGAGGTCAGGAGTTCGAGACCAGCTTGACCAACATGGAGACACCCCATCTCTACTAAAAATACAAAAATTAACCAGGTGTGCTGGCAGGCACCTGTAATCCCAGCTACTTGGGAGGCTGCAGCATGAGAATCCCTTGAACCCAGAAGTTGCAGTGAGCCAAGATCATGCCACTGCACTCCAGCCTGGGCGACAGAGGAAGATACTATATCCAAAAAAATAATAAAAGTTTACATTCAATAAATAATTTTTTTTTTTTTTTTTTTTTTTTTTGAGATGGAGTCTCGCTCTGTCGCCCAGGCTGGAGTGCAGTGGCGGGATCTCGGCTCACTGCAAGCTCCGCCTCCTGGGTTCACGCCATTCTCCTGCCTCAGCCTCCCAAGTAGCTGGGACTACAGGCGCCCGCCACTACGCCCGGCTAATTTTTTGTATTTTTAGTAGAGACGGGGTTTCACCGTTTTAGCCGGGATGGTCTCGATCTCCTGACCTCGTGATCCGCCCGCCTCGGCCTCCCAAAGTGCTGGGATTACAGGCGTGAGCCACCGCGCCCGGCCAAAATAAAATTTTTAAAAGGATATTTACATCAGTGTAGTATGTGAAGTAAACAAGAAAAAGATAAAACTCACTTTTTAAGTAAAAACAGTCATGTGCTTGAAGTATGTTGTAATCTTTATCAGAAAAGTATGGGAAGTTATTATTATTATTATTATTATTATTATTTTTTGAGACAGAGTCTTGCTGTTGCCTAGGCTGGAGTGCAGTGGTACGCTCTCTGCTCACTGCAAGCTCCGCCTCCTAGGTTCTCACCATTCTCCTGCCTCAGCCTCCGGAGTAGCTGGGACTACAGGTGCCCGCCACTAATTTTTTGTATTTTTAGTAGAGTCGGGGTTTCACCATGTTAGCCAGGATGGTCTTGATCTCCTGACCTCGTGATCCGCCCGCCTCAGCCTCCCAAAGTGCAGGGATTACAGGCATGAGCCACCGCGCCCGGCCGGGAAGTTAATTTTTAGTTTTTAAAAGTTCTATGGTATTTATTGAAGTTTATGTATTATGACTATAACAGCAAAAAATGCACATTACATTTCTTTAAAATGCTAGATTGAGTATCATTTAAAAAAAGAGAAGGGATACTTAATACTATCATACTAAGGGGGAAAGAGATTGGAAAGAAGAGGACTCAGTAGAAAACAAAGATGTGAAGTAGGAGGAAGGCCTGCAAGGCAGCCCCAGCTGCTGCTGGGTCTGGTAAAGTGAAGATTGGGGATGAATCAATGGATTTAGCAACACAGGGGACCCCCGTTACCTTGAGAAGTACAGTGCCAGTGGAGGGGTGAGGGAAGATGTCCAAGGGTGTCGGAAGGAATGAGGGACAGGAGTTGCAGGCTGAGATGGACGGCTCTTCTGCAGCATTTTGCTGAAAAGGAGCAGTGAAGGGAGCTGAGGCTGGAAGAGGGGGGAGGTCAGGAGCACATTCGTGGTGCAGGGGACATGGCACTGATGTTCACCCATGGGGACGATGGTGGAAAGGGATGAGGCATTGGCTGCAGAGGAGAGGGGATGACGAGCTGTGTCGGACAGGGCGGTGCACCTTGGCAGTAGCCAATGTGAAGGTTCTAGAAAGGCTAGTAGGTGTGTTGGTGGGAGTTTGGGGAAGTTCTTTTTTTTCTGGGGTGAAAGGGTCCCCCTCTGTCTCCCAGGCTTTAGTGCGGTGGTGCAAATACGGCTCACTGCAGCCTAGACCTCCTGGGGTCAAGCAATTCTCCTGCCTTGGCCTCCCAAAGCATTGGGATTAGAGGCGTATGACACTGTGCCGGGCCAAGAGAGTTTATTCAGATCATCTTTCTTTTGTTACTTTCACTTTCTCATAAATAACTGAAAGAAGTCAATTGGCCCTTTAAACTCTATGTCAGGAAAGTCAGATCACAGCATGCACTTTCTGTCCGCCACGTTCCACAGGCAATGGTCTTGCTGGAAGGTAAATAGTCTACACTTTCTCCAGCCTGCAATAGCAACTTTCTCATGACCCCTCCTGCTGCATGGTTCCAAAGTCAACGCCATATTTAAAAATTTTTGGGGCCAGGCGCAGTGTTTCACACCTGTTATCCCAGCACTTTGGGAGGCTGAGATGGGCAGATCACCTGAGGTCAGGTGTTCGAGACCAGCTTGACCCACATGGAGAAACCCCATCTCTACTAAAAAAAATACAAAATTGTCAGGGCATGGTGGCTCACGCCTGTAATCCCAGCACTTTGGGAGGCCGAGATGGGGGGATCACAAGGTCAAGAGATCGAGACCATCCTGACTGACATGGTAAAACCCCATCTCAACTAAAAATAAAAAAAAAAATTAGCTGGGCGTGGTGGCACATGCCTGCAGTCCCAGCTACTCAGGAGGCTGAGGCAGGAGAATTACTTGAACCCGGGAGGTAGAGGTTGCAGTGAGCTGAGATTGTGCCACTGCTCTCCAGCCTGGGTGACAAGAGCAAGACTATGTCTCAATAAATAAATAAATAAATAAATAAGCCGGGCATGGTGTTGCATGCCTGTAATCCCCGCTACTGGGGAGGCTGAGGCAGGAGAATCGCTTGAACCCGGGAGGCGGAGGTTGCAGTGTTGGCCTGGCGCAGTGGCTCATGCCTGTAATCTCAGCACTTTGGGAGGCTGGGGCAGGTGGATCACAAGGTCAGGAGTTTGAGACCAGCCTGGCCAATATGGTGAAATCCCGTCTCTACTAAAGGTACAAAAATTAGCTGGGCATGGTGGTGGGTGCCTGTAGTCCCAGCTACTCGGGAGGCTGAGGCGGGAGAATCTCTTGAACCTGGGAGGCAGAGGTTGCAGTGAGCTGAGAGTGCATCACTGCACTGCAGCCTGGGTGAGACAGTGAGACTCTGTCTCAAAATAAAAAAATAAAAAAAAAAAGAAGGCCGGTCACAGTGGCTCACACCTGTAATCCCAGCACTTTGGGAGGCTGAGGTGGGCAGATCACAAGATCAGGAGAGCGAGACCATCCTGGCTAACATGGTGAAACCCCATCTCTACTAAAAATACAAAAAATTAGCCAGGTGTGGTGGCAGGCGCCTGTAGTCCCAGCTACTTGGGAGGCTGGGGCAGGAGAATGGCGTGAACCCGGGAGGTGGAGCTTGCAGTGAGCAGAGATCATGCCACTGCACTCCAGCCTGGGCGACAGAGCGAGACTCCGTCTAAAAAAAAAAAAAAAAAAAAAAAAAATTATGGCAGTATCTCACTTCTGAGCACCAATTTCTGTTCCAATTATATCTATTGCTTCATAACAAACCACCCCAGGCCAGGCGCGGTGACTCACGCCTGTAATCCCAGCACTTTGGGAGGCTGAGGTGGGCGGATCACCTGAGGTCAGGAGTTCAAGACCAGCCTGGCCAACATGGCAAAACCCCGTCTCTACTAAAAATATGAAAATTAGCTGGGCATGGTCATGGGTGCCTGTAGTCCCAGCTACTGGAGAGGCTGAGGCAGGAGAATTGCTTGAACCCAGGAGGTGGAGATTGGAGTGAGCCGAGATCGCACCACTTCACTCCAGCCAGGGCGACAGAGTGAGACTGTCTCAAAAATAATAATAATAATAATAATAATAATAATAATAATAATAAACCACCCCAAAACTTAGTGGCTTTAAACAACTATGTATTTTCTCATGATTCTGTAGTTTAGGATGGGCTTAGCTGGTTGGTTCTGCTGTTGTTGGCTAGGGTGGTAGGTTGTGTCAATTGTCACCATCAAATTCTCCCCTCCACGTGAATGTGTGTTGCTCCTATGACTTTCTTTTTTTGTTTGTGTTGTTTGTTTTGAGATGGAGTCTCGCTCTGTCACTAGGCTGGAGTGCAGTGGCGCAATCTTGGTTCACTGCGACCTCCACCTCCCGGGTTCAAGCAATTCTCCTGCCTCAGCCTCCCGAGTAGCTGGGACTACAGGCACGTGCCACCACGCCCAGCTAATTTATATATATATATATATATATATATATATATATATATATATATATATATATTTTTTTTTTTTTTTTTTTTTTTTTTTTTTTTGAGATGGAGTCTTGCTCTGTCACCCAGGCTGGAGTGCAGTGGCGCGATCTCGGCTCACTGCCAGCTCCGCCTCCCGGGTTCACACCATTCTGCTGCCTCAGCCTCCCGAGTAGCTGGGACTACAGGCACCCGCCACCACGCCCGGCTAATTTTTTGTATTTTCAGTCGAGATGGGGTTTTACCATGTCAGCCAGGATGGTCTCGATCTCCTGACCTTGTGATCCACCCGCCTCGGCCTCCCAAAGTGCTGGGATTACAGGCGTGAGCCACCACACCCGGCCTAATTTTTGTATTTTTAATAGAGGTGAAGTTTCTCCATGTTGGCTAGGATGGTCTCGATCTCTTGACCTTGTGATCCACCCGCCTCAGCCTCCCAAAGTGCTGGGATTACAGATGTGAGCCACTACACCCAGCCTTGACTGTTTTTGTTTTGTTTGATTTTGAGATGAAGTCTCACTCTGTCACCCAGGCTGGAGTGCAGTGGCGTGATCTCAGCTCACTGCAACCTCCCCCGCCGAGCTCAAGTGATTCTCCTGCCACAGCCTCCTGAGTAGCTGGGATTACAGGCACGTGCCACCACGCCTGGCTAATTTTTGTATTTTTAGTAGAGATGAGGTTTCACCATGTTGGCCAGGCTGGTCTTGATCTCCTGATCTCAAGCGATCTGCCCGCCTCGGCCTCCCAAAGTGCTGGGATTACAGGCATGGACCACTGCGCCCAGCCTGTTTCATTGCAATTCTTCCAGTTAACGCAAGCTGTGGGCCAGCCTAGGTTCCAGGGGAAGCCCCCCGGTGGGAAGAGCAGCAGGGATGCAAAGGTGGGCGGGATCTTTGAGGAGGGACCACCACGCCCTAGGAAGGAGACTGCTGAGGTAGAGGAGGGTTTTGGAGGAGGAACCATGAGACTGACACGTGTTTACCACACTTTTCTTTTCCCTCCCTCCCTTCCTTTTTTTTTTTTTTTTTGAAATGTAGTTTCACTCTTGTCGCCCAGGCTGGAGTGCAATGGCCCAATCTTGGCTCACTGCAACCTCCACCTCCTGGGTTCAAGCGATTCTCCTATCTCAGCCTCCCGAGTAGCTGGGATTACGGGCGTGTGCCACCACCATGCCCGGCTGATTTTTTTTGTATTATTAGTAGAGATGGGATTTCACCATGTTGACCAGGCTGGTCTTGAACTCCTGACCTCAGGTGATCTGCCCACCTCGGCCTCCCAATGTACTGGGATTACAGGCAGAGCCATTGCGCCCGGCCCACACTTTTCCTTTTCTGTATGTTATTATGCTTTGACATCTTGGGGGCTTTACTAGTCAGGGAGATGCTGCCCCTTCCAGGGCTGGCTAATCCCCAGAGCTAGCAAACAACTTTATAAACACCAATCCAGAGCCCATATCCCCAGTCTCTTCCTGATCTGACTCTCACACCCCAAGCCAGCATTTCTCCTGCCCTGCATCCCCCAGGGACAGATACCAGACGGCTAGAGCCCCCTGCTGTGACCTAGAGTCTGCTGACATGATTCAAGCTATCTAATCCTAAACTTGCTCACACTTACCTACCCTGCCTTGTCCATTTTCACCCTGAGGAAAACACAAAAAAGGCTCTGGGTCATGCTCTCTCCTGGCTCCTCCTGACCCTGGTACTTCCCCTTCTGGCCCTGCGTGGCATGGCAGGGCCCCTCCTCCTGAGAACCACGAGTACTAAATCCTTCCTTTGTGGCACTTGTCTTCTAGTCTGTCACTTTACTATACCTGATTCAAACAAAACCCAGGTACTTTTAGGATATAGGGCAGGAGGCTGGAAGGATTGCCTGTGTGGATTCAGAAGCACTGAGTTTCCACACTTGGAGATGGAGGGAATGACAGTGAGTTAGGAGCTAAAATCACCAAGAAATGAAGATGCCGACCAGAGCGAAGGTGGTGCTGGTGATTCTGAGACCAGGAAGCTTACACATGGTAGCTCCCAGGGTGGAGAATGGCCTGGTAGTGTTAGGAAGGAGCCAGGAGGGCCCCAACCCCACCTACAGACCCAGAGGTAGAGGGATCCTGCGAAAAGATATCTCTACACCCGAAAGCTCCAGGGGAAGCCAGGTTTTCATGAGAGTGCAGCTAGAAGTATGCTTGGAGAAGAAGAGTCTAATGACAGGGCGGTTGGTGCTGGTGGTGGTTTCTGGAACACAGGATGGGTGGGAGATAGGGTCAGAATCAAGGATGTGCAGAGTCCTGTGGGGCTTAGATTGTGGCTGACCTGGGATAAAGGCCACCTGTGTTCTGTGTCCATTGTCTTCCATCTCAGTAGCTTGCAATACAGTCTGTCTGTCCCTTGCTTGAAACACTTTCTTTTTTTTCTTTTTCTGTTTTTTTTTTTTGAAATGGAGTCTCACTCTGTTGCCCAGGCTGGAGTGCAGTGGCGTGATCTTGGCTCACTGCAAGCTCCGCCTCCTGGATTCACGCCATTCTCCTGCCTCAGCCTCCCAAGTAGCTGGGACCACGGCGCCTGTCACCACGCCCGGCTAATTTTTTTTTTTCTTTTTGTATTTTTAGTAGAGACGGGGTTTCACCATGTTAGCCAGGATGGACTCGATCTCCTGACCTCGTGATCCGTCCACCTCGGCCTCCCAAAGTGCTGGGATTAGAGGTGCGAGCCACCGCGCCCGGTGAAACACCTTCTTTCTGACTTCTGGCATGGCCGACTGCCATTCGGGAGGGCTGTCCACAATCCTTGCCATCCCATGGCACCCTTCTCTCTTGTTCGGGAATTCTGCCTGTGCATAGCCTTGGCAGGAAAGTGTCTGGAGCATGGCCAGTTAGACCCACCTCCGGAAACATCGGAATCCTAAGGGAGTGAGCTGGGCCTGGGGCTTCAGGGCCTCTCCCAGCCTGGCCCGGGGGCCCCTCCAGCCTGTGAGCCCCTTTCTCTTTGCTGGGGTGCCAGACTCCTCCTCCCTGACCTGTTACCTTCTACCAACTAGGGATGGCAACATTTTAGTGCTTGACTCCCAGGCTCATGCACGGAAGTACTTGGTCCATTGGGGATCAGTGGCACCTCAGACTCTGCATGTGATGACCCTCCCACCCCCAAACCATGTGTATCTAGGTCCGTCCTCCCCATCAGAGAAGGCCACCCTCTTCACCGGCTGTCCTAGAAAAACTCGCAGCACTGGGGCCCGCACACCCACTCCGTGGTGAGCTGGTCCTTGTCGAGCGACGCCTTCCCTCTCCAGGACTACCCAACCGGTCTCTCCCGCCTTAGGTCCCCTGGGTATTTGAGTCCCACCCCCCGCGGCTCACTCTCTACAAAGGGACCCTTTAAAAAAGATAAATGGGAGTGTGTTCCTCCTGGTTTCAAGTGATCCAAGTCCTCGCCCCACCTGGCCCCCGACCCTTCTGCTGCGGACCCCTGCCCAAGGGCCTCCGCCCAAGTGTGGCTCCCTTGGGCCCACACCCCATCAGGCCAGCAAGGAGGGGGATAGCGGGGGGCGGGGCAGGTGCTGGGACTCCGGGCAGGTGCGGGGAAGGCAGGGGGCGGGGGGGGAAGGGGTTGGGCGATGCAGGTGTTGGGGGCCGGGACAGTTGCGGGGGTAGGCAGGTACCGGGAAGGCGGGAGGGCGGGCAGGTTCCGGAGGGGCGCGACAGGTGCTGGGACGCGAGGTAGGTGCGGAGAAGGTTGGGGGTGCGGGGCAGGAGCCGGGGGTGGGGGTTGAGGCGGGGCAGGTCCTACGCGGCGGAGCATCCCCGCCCAGGACGCCCGCGCGGCCCCGTGACGTTTTTCCGCGACTCGGGGTGAGGGAGACCCCTGGGCGGGACGGGCGGAGGGTGGGGGCGGAGGAGTGGGTTCTGCCCGCAGCAGAGTGCAGCGGGGAGACCTTCCCAGTCTCAGAGCTCGCCTCGGCCCCGCCCCCAGCCCTGCCCCCCGACGGAGACGCGGCGGTGACTCCCTCCGTGGGGGACGCACGGGACGCTTGCGCCTCAAGTCCCTTAAGCGGCGCCCGACGCAGCGCAGCACCTACCCAGCCGGGACAGGGCCAGGGCCGGGGATGGATGAGCGCGGCCGGGGGGCGGGGCAGGGGTGGGGCGGCCGAGGCAGGGGCGGAGCTGGGAAGGCGAGGCAGGGGCGAAGGGCGGGGGCGGGGCGAGGAGGCTGTCAGAGGGGCGGGGAATAACGAGGGGGCGGGGCCACACGGACGGATGGGGCGGGGAATAGGGGCTGGGCCGGGCCTCCGAGCGGCAGTCCGCGGGCTACGGGGCGGCCGGGGGGCTGGGCGGGGCCGTGGGGCGGGGCAGGGCCTGGGAGGGGCCGGATGGGGGTGGAGGCCGGGATTGGGACGGATGGGGGCGGGGCATAGGAGGGGGCGGGGCCGGGCCTCGGAGCCGGGACTCGCGGGCGGCGGGCGGGGGCGTCGCTGCGCGGCTGGCCGGTGAGGCCGCGGCATGGGGCGAGTGCAGCTCTTCGAGATCAGCCTGAGCCACGGCCGCGTCGTCTACAGCCCCGGGGAGCCGTTGGCTGGGACCGTGCGCGTGCGCCTGGGGGCACCGCTGCCGTTCCGAGGTGGGCGCGGGTCCTCGGGGAGGGCCTTTGGCCGCACCTGCGCGGGGCCAGGGCTCCCGGAAGCGGCTGCCGTCGCCTGGCCCCGGGTTGGGCCCGCGGAGTCGCTGTCTTCGCCGCCCGGGACTGCTGGGAAGCGGGCTCGGCGGCGCCGGGGAGGTCCGGGCGGCGCCGCCCTTCCGCGTCTGCCCTTCCTGCCCTCTCGCCGAGGGGCGGCGGGGTCCCGGCGGGGCCTGAAGCGGGTCCACTGTGGAGGACGCCCTGAGCGCGGGCGCACGCAGGCCTGCGACCCTCCCCGTCCGCGCTCGCACCTGCTGGGCTCCTTCCCGCACCCTGGCTCCCGGCGCAGGCGCTCCCGCTGCAGAGCCGCTCCTGGCGCGGGCGTGCGGTCCCGGCGGGGTGCAGACACCTGCTGCGGCTCCCTGCGCCCCCTGCCACCCGCCAGCAGGCCTCGCCGGCCCCCCGCCGAGGTGGACGCCTGGGCCTCGGGGACTGGGTATCGGGTTGCTGCAGTGGCCGCTGGCAGGGCGCCCTGGAGGTGAGGGCCGGCCCGCGAGGTGAGGCTGCCTCTGCCCGGCCCTTGGCTGTGAGTGCCGCGTCCCTGCCGGGGACTTCTCTACCTTGGCCTCCTGTGGGAACCACCTGGGCTGCTTGGCCTGTGCCACAGCCCCTGGACTTGCCGCTGGACCTTGACCGCTGGGCCCGCGCGTGGGTAACAGCACCGATTTTGTGCCTGCTGAGAACCCACAGTCTCTGTTCTGTCCTCTCAGCCTCCTGGGACAGGTGATGGTGCTGTGGCCCTGACCCTGCACCGCCTGAGGCTGTGGGGCCTCGGAAGAAGCCGGGTGGTAGGTGCTTCTGTCAGGCTCCTGGCCCCACTGGGCCTCCTGGGATGACCCCACAGCCTCCCTTCCTCTGTCCCAACCTTGAGTTTGGGGTCTGGGTGGGGGCAGGTGTGGCCGTGGCAGGGCAGAGATAGCACACACATCTCTTGGGTACAGGTGTGGTGTGTGGTGAGGCCGGCTGGATCCTGGTTGAGGGCTGTGCAGGACCCTGTCGTCCTTCCCCTGGCGTGGCCTGGGGTGAGCAGGCCATTGCTTACCACAGGGAAGGGACGGCCCCGCGGTGCGTGACTGGCCTGGGTGTGCAGGCTCCCCTGGCCTCCGGGTGGACGTGGTGGGTGGGTTGAATGCTCACGCCTGTAATCCCAGCACTTTGGGCAGCTGGCCCAAGAGCCGAGGGAGCACTGGCTGATGGTCCTACCTCACAGAGGCTGGTCTGAATGAGGGAGAAAAAGGAGGGTCGTGAGCTAAGGAGTAGGAGATGGGCCCTGATGGGCCAGAGAGCACATGATTCAGGCTGCTGCAAGTGAGGTGGGAGGGTGTACCGGGGCCCCCGGGGGTTTCCCCCAGCCCTGCCTGGGATGGGAACAGAAGGACCATGGTTTCTTTTCCTCATTCAGAGGATGCTTGTCAATCCTGCTAGGAGCCAGTAGGGAGGCCCTCAGCCCCCAGGAGGACAGCAGCCCTGCCTGGGCCCCAGAGCTTGCTCACTTACTCTGCCGATGAGTGTCGGTGACAGTCAGCACCCAGCCGTGAGGACACCGGCTGTCTAAAGGGCTGACGCGGAGGGAGGCCTGGGAGGGAGCAGTTTTCTGGAGCTCAGGCTGGCCCAGTCCAGGGCTGGGGTTCAGGCAGGACCACTTCTTGTTCTGCTGTTACTGGGATGGGCGACCAGGGCCGACAGTGGTTCTCGGAGCACTCATGGTGGGCCCGATGCAATTCTCTCCACGTGCCACGGGCCAGCCTCAGTTAACCCTCAGCGCCCTGGCAAGTGGCACGGTTGTTACTCTCATGATACAGATTTGGAAACAGGACTGGGGGAGTGGCTTACAGGTCACAGCTTCTGTGGCAGGCGTGAGTCCTTTGGGATGAGGATGAGGAGTGGGTGGGTCTTCATGGTCCAAGTGCAGGTGGTGCAAGGGAGGGGCTGCTGAACAGGTGGGAGCCCCAGCTGGAGAAGAAAGTTCCAGTGGTCACTTGAGAACGCAGCCCAGTCATGATCTTCCTTAGAGTCAGAGAGGCCTGCAGCCTCCAGCAGCTTGTCCTTGCTTGTGCATCTGAACACAGGAAACATTTTTTATTTTTATTTTTTTAATTTATTTTTTCGAGACGGAGTCTCCCTCTGTCGCCCAGGCTGGAGTGTGCCGGCGCGATCTCGGCTCACTGCAAGCTCCGCCTCCCCGGTTCACGCCATTCTCCTGCCTCAGCCTCCTTAAGAGCTGGGACTACAGGCGCCCGCCACCACACCCGGCTAATTTGTGTATTTTTAGTAGAGACGGGGTTTCACCGTGTTAGCCAGGAGGGTCTGGATCTCCTGACCTCGTGATCCGCCCGCCTCGGCCTCCCAAAGTGCTGGGATTACAGGCGTGAGCCACCGTGCCTGGCCAGGAAACATTTTTTAAACCTGCATGGGGGAGGAGGGACAGGGCTTGCAGGGCCCCTGCAAAGAGGTGCAACGTTCAAGTCCAGAAGGCGGAAGAAGTCACACTCTGACTAGGGGACTGCCACTGAGCCACTCAGTCCTGCAGCCAAGCCCTGCCTGGTGGCTTTCCTGTTGCGAAAGGCTCGGTTCCCTTCAGCGTGTTCTGCCATCACAAGCAGTCTGCAAGCTGGAAAGAAGAGGGAGCGGGGTCGTATGCCGCCAGCAGCAGGGAGACCCCTCACAATGGACCCCATGTATTGCTCTGGCTTCTCCGTGGGCAGAACTGCATCCTGTGGTCCTGCCTGATTCGATGATTTGAAAAGGCAGAAACATGGCCGCTGCCATTGGCCTGGCCAGTGAAAACGGGCTCCCTGGGAAATTCACCCAGCCTGACCTGAAGCAGTTGCTGAGAGGCAGAGGAGCAGCTCCAGGTGTTTTGGCAGGGAAGCAGCTGGCAGCTGTGCGGGAGCCCCTTGCCTCCCGTGTTCTTACTGAGGAGTGTGTGGGGCAGCTCGGGACAGGTTTCACTTTGGACAGTGGTTGGAGGCTGCTTACTCTGGCAGAGTCATCTCAAAGAGCCTTGGTGTATGTGCAAAACGGGGCCATCTGCATGGGCGTTGGGAAGATCACAGAACCTGGACCCTTAGGATGACCCAAGGGTCAGTTGCATACTGTTTGTTTTTGTGGAGTCAATGTCCCATGACGGTTTTCGCGATGCTTTGCTAGTAGGAGCAGTGGCGTGTGAGGCTCCCGGTTAAATACCATGAGATTCTAAGCGGAATTCTGGGTCTCCTGGTATGCACAGGTAAAATTACAGTAGACCTGTCCCACTCTTTGCCAGAACCTCGTACTTGTCTGCAGTTTGACTGGAATAAGGGGTGTTTGTGTTCCACCTCCCTCCAACGTGTGTTGAGACATTTATTTATTTATTTATTTATTTACGTTGCTCTTGTTACCCAGGCTGGAGTGCAGTGGTGCAATCTCAGCTGCTCACCGCAACCTCTGCCTCCCTGGTTCAAGTGATTCTTCTGCCTCAGACTCCCGAGTAGCTGGGACTACAGGCACGCGCCACCAGGCCTGGCTAATTTTGTATTTTTAGTAGAGACGGGGTTTCTCCGTGTTGGTCAGGCGGGCCTGGAACTCCGAACCTCAGGTGATCCGCCCGCCTCAGCCTCTTAAAGTGCTGGGATTACAGGCGTGAGCCACTGTGCCTGGCCCCAAGACATTGATTTTATTTGAGATGAGGTCTCACTTTGTCACCCAGACTGGAGTGCAGTGGTACAATCTTGGCTCACTGCAACTCCTTCCTCCGGGGCTCCCACCACAGCCTCCTGAGTGACTGGGACCAGGGGCACGCGCCACCACACCCAGCTAATCTTTGGTAGTTTTGGTAGAGATGGGGTTTCACCGTGTTACCTAGGCTGCTGTCACACTTCTGGCCTCAAGCAATCCGCTCGCCTTGGCCCCCCAAAGTGTTGGGATTACAGGCGTGAGCCACTGCGCCCAGCTGTGTCGAGACATTTAATATTTGTCAATCTGATGGATTGAAATGGTAGGTCATTTGGGCTTTCCCTGCAAGCTCCACCTTCCGGGTTCACGCCATTCTCCTGCCTCAGCCTCCTGAGTAGCTGGGACTACAGGCGCCCGCCACCACACCCGGCTAATTTTTTGTATTTTTAGTAGAGACGGGGGTTTCACCGTGTCAGCCAGGATGATCTCGATCTCCTGACCTCGTGATCTGCCCGCCTCGGCCTCCCACAGTGCTGGGATTACAGGCTGAGCCACTGCGCCCGGCCGGGTTTTCTGTAATTTCTAGTGAGGTTGGACATCTGTTCCAGTTACCTACTGCTACGTAAAAGTCGCGGTCACCTCAAGTCAGACACCATTCTTAAAACAGTTAACACAACCATTTTATTATATCTCACAGCGTTGTGGGTTAGGAATCTGGACAGTGAGGGCAGGGTTAATCTTCAGTTCTGTGCCACCAGCTGGGATCACTTGAGGGTGCTTGGCTGGCATACGGGTTAGTCTGGGGACCACTGCCCCCTTTCCGGCATCCTCTGTGGGTTCCAGCATTTTTCTTTTTTTTTTCTTTTTGAGATGAAGTCTCGCTCTGTCACCCAGGCTAAAGTGCATTTGTGCGATCTCAGCTCACTGCAACCTCTGCCTCCTGGGTTTAAGTGATCCTCATGCCTCAGCCTCCCAAGTAGCTGGGATTACAGGCGTGTGCCACCATGCCTGGCTAATTTTTGTATTTTTTTTTTGAGATGGAGTTTCACTCTTGTTGCTCAGGCTGGAGTGCAGTGGCGCGATCTCGGCTCACTGCAACCTCCGCCTCCCAGGTTCAAGCGATTCTCCTGCCTCAGCCTCCCTGGTAGCTGGGATTACAGGCATGTGCCACCATGCCCAGCTAATTTCGTATTTCTAGTAGAGATGGGGTTTCTCCATGTCGGTCAGGCTGGTCTGGAACTCCTGACCTCAGGTGATCTGCCTGCCTTGGCCTCCCGAAGTGCTGGGATTACAGGCATGAGCCACCGTGCCCGGCCTTTTTTGTATTTTTAGTAGAGATGGGGTTTCACCATGTCAGCCAGGCTGGTCTTGAACTCCTGACCTCAAGTGATCCACCCGCCTTGGCCTCCCACAGTGCTGGGATTACAGGTGTGAGCCACTGCACCCAGCTGGGTCCCAGCATTTGCGGGATTCAAGGTGGGGATGTGCAGTCTGTCAGGAGTGTTAAAAGCACGGCAGCATTTCCAGTCCCCAGGCCTCCTCTCCTTGCTTCAGCCACGCCCACCCTCCTCTGTGCCTGCTCATGCCCATGTGCTTCTGTTGGGCTGTCTGCTGGTCCACAGGAGGATTACTGGTGTTCCGGATTTTCAGCATGAACACAGTATGGGGTCTGGCCCGAGGAGGGCCTGGCTAACAGAGCATGGATTCAAAATCAGAGCAGAGCTGGGTACCGTGGCTCATGCCTGTAATCCCAACACTTTGGGAGGCTGAGGCAGGTGGATTGCTTGAGCTTAGGAGTTTGAGACCAGCCTGGACAGCATGGCAAAACCCTGTCTCTATAAGAAAAACAAAAAACAAAAAACAAAACCCAGGTGTGGTGGCACGTGCCTGTAGTCCTAGCTACTTGCGGGGCTGAGATGGGTGGATCGCTTGAACACAGGAGGTTAAGGCTGCAGTGAGCCGAGATCGTGCCACTGCACACTAGCCTGGGCGGCGGGAGTGAGACCGTGTCTCAAAAACAACAACAACAACAACAACAACAAAAAAACAAAAAATGGACCGAGGTTGGGGTGGCAAGGCTGGGCTGGAATGGAGGCTGAGGACAGGCCCTGGCAGCGCCCGGGGGTAGAGGGCGTGCAGCAGGAAGCAAGGGCCACCCTCAGGGATGGGGGACTGGGCCTGGCAGCTGCCGAGGGGTAGGCAGGATGCATGTGGAGAGCCACGTGGGGCTGCGGCTGAGCCAAGGATTGTGAGAGGAATCCTGCTGCTCTGGGTGGCAGGCAGAAGGCCTGGGCCACAGGTGGGGCCTGCTGGGGAGACCACAGGTGAGGCAGGTATGGCTGACCCTGGGCGCTCGGCACACCGGTACTCCTCCTGCCTGGCTGCTCCCTCAGCAGGTGTCAGAGTCTGAGTCACCTTTTCCTCACGTGACCCCCACCAGGACCAGGCAGGGAGGTGGCCATCTTTGGCCCTGACTCAGCCCTGCAGGGAGAAGAGGGGCTGGAGGTGCAGGTGGCCTGCCACTGTCTCCCCCAACCCCTGCCCACCTGGGTCTTGTGCTGTGTGTACTTCTGCTGCGTCTGTCCTCCCTTGTGACCAGCTTCTGCTGGACCTGATTGTCCAGCCATGATCTTCTGATCATCATGGTTTCTGGACACACATCTGTTGGACTAAGGAATTTGTGTTCCTGGCCACAGAACAGTGCCACCTCTGCCTCAAGCAGTTCCTGGTCTGGGCACTCCCCCAGGGAGGCCGGAGAGGACTGAGCCGTCTCCTGATGCAGAAAGTCAGCCCCGCTGGGCAGTGCTCGCCCAGGAAGTAGGGCCCCACCCAACGGTGTGCTGACTGTGGAACACTGTGTCTGCCTAGGCGGGTCTGGCCACATTCCTGCAGCATGATGGTTGGCAGTTAGCTTCCTGGAGTGTGGACGGGTCCTTCCCTGCCTGACTGACTTGTCCACAGGGCAGCAAGAAGATGCGCCCCTTGGTG
Source organism: Homo sapiens (assembly GCF_000001405.40). NCBI lineage: Eukaryota > Metazoa > Chordata > Mammalia > Primates > Hominidae > Homo > Homo sapiens. The sequence goes on from NC_000009.12 coordinate 137,612,535, forward strand.
TGTCCCGAGTGTCTCCTGTAGGCAGCTGAGCTTTCGCAGGTCTGGCTGGGAGCCAAGGTTACCAATCTGGGGGGTAACCCAGCCATCATCTGGATGAGCGTTGGGGTCTTTCTGCTCTGGATTGCAGGGCAGACGTCGTTTTGTGCTGGTCAGGCCCCTCGCCTGCCTGATTCCCTTGGAGCCCCCCAAGACAGGAGATGGGCAGATGTCCTCTGAAGTGGCATGGGCTGCTTGCTCACTGGCCTTCCCAGGACCCTGCCCAGGTGGTGCTGCTTGGCCCCAGGTCGAATTCCTGTGCTGGCAGCAAGCAGGGGCCTGGGCCGTCGGCTGGCTGGGGCTCATGCAGCCATCCCCTTTGCAGCCATCCGGGTGACCTGCATAGGTTCCTGCGGGGTCTCCAACAAGGCTAATGACACAGCGTGGGTAGTGGAGGAGGGTTACTTCAACAGTTCCCTGTCGCTGGCAGACAAGGGTAAGTTTGGGAGCCAGTTCCCGAGTGGTGACCCCTGGGGGCAGCCCTTGGAGTGGGGCCTGTCTGTCCTGTCCTCCCCCTTTCCTAGATCTGCCTCTTGGATCTGGCACTGGCCCATCTTGTCCCAGGGTTGTGGGCCCTGATGGCTTTCTCATAGGCGCTGGGTGGCTGAAGGGGCCACCTCCCCCTTGTGCTGGATTTGGGTGGGCTCTGACCCCTGGCACAGCTGTTTCACCCTTGCCCCATTCCCAAACCACTCTCCTGTTCAAGCCAAGCTCTTATCCTCAGTCCTTCACCCAAGCCACAGCCCTGTGCTGCTGTGGCGCTGGTGACTGAGACAGGGAGACCCAGTGTGAGCTGGTCAGCTGCAGTGCCCACTCTTATCCTGGCCCTGTGGCCACCTCAGGCCACCTCAGGGGGGGACTGCCCCCCACCTCCCTCCTGTCTCTGCAGGGAGCCTGCCCGCTGGAGAGCACAGCTTCCCCTTCCAGTTCCTGCTTCCTGGTGAGAGCCCAGCCTGGACAGGCCTGGTGATGACCAACTGGTCCTGGGAGGTGGGCTCTGCAGGGTGGAAGGCAGCCAGGTACCAGTGCCTGCTCTCTCCCCAGCCACTGCACCCACGTCCTTTGAGGGTCCTTTCGGGAAGATCGTGCACCAGGTGAGGGCCGCCATCCACACGCCACGGTTTTCCAAGGATCACAAGTGCAGCCTCGTGTTCTATATCTTGAGCCCCTTGAACCTGAACAGCATCCCAGACATTGAGGTGAGGATGGCACAGTGACCTCCTTGGTGGGTCCCCACCCTCATGGAGGCTGGGGAAGAGCTGGGCAGGCACTGCTTCATCCCAGCGTCCTGTCCCCAGCTGAGGTGAGGGGGGCCAGGGTCTGGAGGCAGTGGCCTCTTTGCCCTGAGCTGACTGCTGATGTCCAGGGGCAGGGCGTGGCAGGGCTGAGGGGCCTGTCCCAATGCCACAGGGATCCAGCCTGCGCACACCTGCTAAGCCCCTCCCTGGCCCTCCCCCCAAGCAACCCAACGTGGCCTCTGCCACCAAGAAGTTCTCCTACAAGCTGGTGAAGACGGGCAGCGTGGTCCTCACAGCCAGCACTGATCTCCGCGGCTATGTGGTGGGGCAGGCACTGCAGCTGCATGCCGACGTTGAGAACCAGTCAGGCAAGGACACCAGCCCTGTGGTGGCCAGTCTGCTGCAGGTCAGAGCCCCCGCCAGTTGCCTGGACCGGCCTCCTGGGGTGGGCTGGCAGCCTGCGCAGGCTCACAGGCTGGTCCTTCCCCAGAAAGTGTCCTATAAGGCCAAGCGCTGGATCCACGACGTACGGACCATTGCGGAGGTGGAGGGTGCGGGCGTCAAGGCCTGGCGGCGGGCGCAGTGGCACGAGCAGATCCTGGTGCCTGCCTTGCCCCAGTCGGCCCTGCCGGGCTGCAGCCTCATCCACATCGACTACTACTTACAGGTTTGGTGCTGCTGGGGGCTGGGTGGTCTGAGGCCTAGTGGCCTTGGCCCTGGCCCCTCATGCCCCACCTCAATCCTGTCCAGGTCTCTCTGAAGGCGCCGGAAGCTACTGTGACCCTCCCGGTCTTCATTGGCAATATTGCTGTGAACCATGCCCCAGTGAGCCCCCGGCCAGGCCTGGGGCTGCCTCCTGGGGCCCCACCCCTGGTGGTGCCTTCCGCACCACCCCAGGAGGAGGCTGAGGCTGAGGCTGCGGCTGGCGGCCCCCACTTCTTGGACCCCGTCTTCCTCTCCACCAAGAGCCATTCGCAGCGGCAGCCCCTGCTGGCCACCTTGAGTTCTGTGCCTGGTGCGCCGGAGCCCTGCCCTCAGGATGGCAGCCCTGCCTCACACCCGCTGCACCCTCCCTTGTGCATTTCAACAGGTGCCACTGTCCCCTACTTTGCAGAGGGCTCCGGGGGGCCAGTGCCCACTACCAGCACCTTGATTCTTCCTCCAGAGTACAGTTCTTGGGGCTACCCCTATGGTGAGTCGACAGCCAGGGCTTGGCAGGGAGGGGACGCCAAGAGCCCCACGCAGACCCTGCTTTCTTCCCGCAGAGGCCCCACCGTCTTATGAGCAGAGCTGCGGCGGCGTGGAACCCAGCCTGACCCCTGAGAGCTGACCCCGTGCTGCCTTCTCCAGGCAGGCCTGGCCTCTGCCCTGGGACTGGGGCGCCCAGGGCCTCGTGCCTTCTCTCTTGGCCTAGCCTGGCCCACTCAGGACCTGCCCAGCCTCTGCCAGCTCCTCTGGCATCCGCCCTCTTCTCCCTGGGGCTGGGGTGGGGGTGGCAGGGAGCTGGGACCTGGAGAGACAACTCCTGTAAATAAAACACTTTATTTGTAGAGCTGGGCCTCACCGGCCTCGCCTTGGGCACCCTCCAGCCTCTGGCAGGGCCTGACCCTGACCCCATCCTGGGCTCTGCTCATGCCAGGGCAGACCCTGCTCCTCAGGTGCCCCCTACTACCCTGGGGGCGCGCTCAGGCTACCATGCCTGGGCGGAGCCGCGGGGCTGGCTCCCTTTAACAGAGGACGGGGGCTGGCGCTGGGCCTTCCAGAGCCGCCTAAGGACACGTCCTTGGAGCCCGGCTCATGAAATGGGGCCTCACGCAACCTTGGTGTTTGGTTAAATTTGTGCCTTGGCTCCTGTTGCGTTTAGGCACCCAGGTTCCCAAGCGGTGTGGTGTGGACCTCCCCTGCTGAGAAACCCGCTGGCGCGTGGAGGGGCTTGCCCAGGTCCCTCCGACAGGAGACCCTGCTCCCTGGGCCTTGGCCCCTGCTAGCACCACTGCCAGGCCTGGCTCTGAGGGACGCTGCTTCTCCCCTGCCCACGTCTCCAAGGCCTGAAAGGCAGGGTTCTGTGGAACAGCATTTCTCAAAGGGGCATCCTGCAGACGTTCCAGCCCCAGGGGAGGCCCCGTGATGCTGGCTGGCCTGCCTGGAGGGTGCTTCCAGAAACAACGGAGATGGTGGTGAAGAAGGCTCTGGGTTCAAATTCCAGTTCTCCTTTAGGGCGAAGGGGTGACTGTGGCTAGGTTTGTCAGTTACCTTATCTATAAAATGCACAGGACCAGGCCGGGCACGGTGGCTCCCTCCTGTAATCCCAGTACTTTGGGAGGCTGAGGCAGGTGGATTGCTTGAGGTCAGGAGTTCCAGATCAGCCTGGGCAACATAGTGAAACTCCATCTGTACAAAAAAAAAAAAAAAAAAAAAATAGCTGGGCATCATGGCACATGCTTGTAATCCCAATTACTCAGGAGGCTGAGGCAGGAGAATCGCTTGAACCCAGGTGGCAGAGGTTACAGTGATCTGAGATTGTGCCACTGTACTCCGGCCTGGGTGACAGAGCAAGACTGCCTCAAAAAATAAAAAAACAAAACCCCACAAAAAACTCGTGGGACTGTAGGGTACAGCCCCCCACCCTCATAGCATGACAGTTTATTTCTTGAACAGTCCAGAGGGGGCAGATCCTGGCCTTGTGGCAGAGTTGTCATTCCTACATAGTGGTTCCCATCCCTGGCTCCCAGATGGCTGTTGACAGCTTTCACCACTGCCCAGCCTAATGGTGGGACTTTTGAGGGACAGACTGGGAAATGGATTGTCACTTTTTGTCTCTGACCTGTCCCCTTCCTGTTGGAAATGTGGTCTTTAGCCAGGCAGTCCTGTACTTGGCTAAAATTTTACTAATTGTGGGACAGGCAGCATGAATATTGGAGAACAGCAGAAAGTGTACCACAGGTGGGGTCATCTGTGAAGCGCCTCCTGGAAGCAGTGCAGTATATGGTTGAAAGGAAGGCCTCCTGGGCTGAATCCCATCACTGCCTCTCACCACTCCCTTGCTTCAGTTCAGTCACTTATAAAATGTGGGTAAGAACAGTGCCTGCCTCTCAGGACTGACCTGAAGTCTGCAGTGTTAGCATGTCACGTGCTGAGAGCAGCATCTTGACATAAGTGCTGAGGGGCACACAAGGGTAGCAGCTGATGGAAAAATGGAGTGAAAAAGCTGCCTGCAGCTGCTTCCCACACCTTCACTTAGGGTGGATGTTTGCTTGGTGAAGGATTTTTCTTCACATTCTAACTCCCTTTATTCAGTCAACAATTTTTTTGTTGTTGTTGTTGAGACAGAGTCTTGCTCTGTTGCCCAGGCTGGAGTGCAGTGGCACAATCTCAGCTCATTGCAAGCTCTGCCTCCCGGGTTCATGCCATTCTCCTGCCTCAGCCTCCCGAGTAGCTGGGACTACAGGCGCCCAGCACCACTCCCGGCTATTTTTTGTATTTTTAGTAGAGATGGGGTTTCACCATGTTAGCCAGGCTGGTCTCCATCTCCTGACCTCATGATCTGCCCACCTCGGCCTCCCAAAGTGCTGGGATTACAGGCGTGAGCCACCGCACCCGGCCCAGTCAACAAATATTTTGTCTCCTGTACACCAGGTATTGTTCTAGGCACCATGGACTTACATTCTAGTAGGGAGACAATATTCCAAATCAGGATGTGGGAGAGTCACATGACACACACTGTGATGGAGCCAAGTAAGTCAACGAAGACAGGTATGGGGGGGCAGTATCATTTTAACTAGGGAGGAGAGGGAAGGCTTCCCTTAAGAGGTGATATTTCAACTCAAGGATGGTAAAGAGGGAAGCCACAAAGACACTCGAAATAAAGGTTTCAGGGAAGGGACAGACAGCAGGGGTGGCGGAGAGGTGGGTGCGGGGCAGGAGGGCCATGAAGGCGCTCGTGTCTCCTGCGAGGGCTCAGGGTGCTCGGCCTGTCATAAATGGACTTAGGCTTTGACAGAGCAGTTTAGCTGCCCTAAAGAAACCTGGGAAGGTTCCCTTGGCACTTGGGATTGTCCGTTTCCTTTTCTGTCTATGTGCGCTGTCTATGCTGGACTTGAGATAATTCTCCGGAGTCCGACTCACCAGGAGACTCGGGTGTCACCCAGATTGACCTTCAAGGCTCATTTCTTGTCAGTCCAGTACCCGTCCCCTCGGTTCACACGACCATCCAGAAACCTCAAATTCAGTCCATGCTTCTTGTTTTGGGTCTCGGGGCTGGGATAAGGCGGGCTGACCACCGCGGGGCATGTAGGTAGTTTCCGTGGTGCTGGGGGCGCTCTCCAGGGAAGGCTACTTGGTCTGCAGAAAAGGCCTTGACTTGTGCATACCTGGGCAGCGGGCCTATGAGTGGCAGCGAGAGCGGGGTAACCAGAGAGGGCACACCCCCCAACCGGAGCGCCCCCCAGGTTGGCATCTCCACAACTGTAGAACCTCCCCCATCAGGGCAACCCTCCCGATTGGGACACCGCCCCCAGCCAGACACATCCTCCTAGCAGAACACCCATGCTTAGCCGGAGCCGCTCCCCCGCCAGACACCTCCCCACCGGGAAACCCTCCCCAGTGGGACACCCCAGCCAGTCCAGGTATTCCCGCCGTTAGGGACACCCCCTCCAGCCGGAGCATACCCTCGGCAGGGGCATTCCTCCCAACCGAGGGAACCCCGCCGCAACGGGAACCTGCCTGAACCAGAGCACCCTCCCGCGCCGGGGACACCCCACAGGCGGCTCCCGCGCCAGGCCGCGGCCCAGGGAGTCAGCCTTCCGCGCAAGCCGGCGAAATCAAAGTGCGTCCGGGGTTAGAGGTCAGAGGTCGGAGCCGCGGGTCTTTCTCCTTCTTCGGCCAGCCCACCAAAACGTCAATTTAGAATGAGACATGTGTTGAAAATGGGACGGCTACTCCCCATCCACTACTACGACTCTGGCGGGCGGGTTCTCCAGCTCCAGGTCTCCTACCCCGCGGGCGCGCGTTCCGGTTCCGGCCGCCGCAGGCCCGGCGCCTGGGGCGCCGCACGCCTGGTTCCAGTGCGCAGGCGCCGCACCGGTCGAGCTCCAACGCGCAGGCGCGGGCGCAGGCGCAGGCGCAGACGTAGGCGATCGGCCCCGCCCCGACTCTGGGCCGCGAGGCGCGGGCGGGGCGATGGCGCGCGGGAGGGGCGGGGCCACGCTGCGGGCCCGGGCCATGGCCGCCGCCGATGCCGAGGTGAGCAGCGGGGCCGGCGGGGGGCGGCGCGGGGGCGGCGGGCAGCGGCGGAGGCGGCGCGGGGGCGAAGAACCGGGCGGGGCGGCGGCAGGCGGCCGGCGGGCGGGCGGGGCCCCGGGTCCCCCCGCCGCCGCCGCCGCCGCTGCCGCCGCCTCAGGCCGAGGCCGGGCCGAGGCCGCCGGGCGTCCGGCCCGCGCTCCCGCCGGGCGCGCTTTGTGCGCGGCGCGGGCCGGGCGGCGGCTGGGGGAGCGGGCGGGGGCGCAGGTGAGGGAGGCGACCGCGTACCTGTGCCCGCGCCCCCCACGGACCCCGTGCCGCCGCCGCCGCCCGCAAGCCGGATCTGCGGGGAGGGCCTCGGCCAGGGTGCCGGGGAGGTGCGGAGGACAAAAGGAAAAGTAGCGGGGCCGGCCAACTTTGGAGCGCCGGCCGAGGCGAGGCTGTCCCTCCTCTCGGAGCTCTTCCTTCGCTTCGTTGACCTTTCACTTTGTTCTGAGTAGGATGGCACCATCTTTAACGAAAAGTTGGCCAGTCCCGGCGTGTTTCTCCCCAGACAATGCTGCTCCAGCCCTGCTGGCTGTCAGAAGCAGGAAAGCACGCTCGGTGGGAAGCTTGCGGACTCAAGTTTATTTCCAAACCAGCAGCTTTAAAGGGCTCTCGATGTAAAAAGTTCACATTCTTTTGTTAATGGTCTCGGCCTTCCCCGTGCTCATTCTCAAGGATAGTTTGTTTCCTTGCTTAGGAAAGGAAGCAGCGTAGAGATTAAAGTCTTGCGAGTGGACCACTGGCGTCCCTCTGAAGGAAAAGCAAGCAGGAGGTGGTGTGTCCGTGGAGATGCAGAAATAGTGTGGTCCTAGGGCTGAGATAAGGGACCGGTTTGGAGAAAACTGTCAGCGTAGAAGTATTTCTTTGAAATTAACTGTCTAGTAACAGTTGAGACTTCTAAAGCTTAGAAAGTTAAGGTGTAGTAAGAAGCCGTACAGTATCCTGGTGCATAGACTTAACACTGTATTTTAACTCAGGTAATGTATGGCCTTTTTGTTTATTTTTTTCCTGCATTTTTGGGGGGTGTTGAAATAAGTAAACTGGGAAGGTGCAGGGGAATTCTTAAATTCAATGCAAGGAGTTTTTGCTGAGTATCTGCAGCATTCAAGGAATTAATATTAGTCACTGAGAACAAAAAGCGAAATTAGAAAATTTCAAGTCACTTCTAGGCTTGTAGGGGAGAAGACGTGTAGTGATGAATTCTATCATTTATGAAGTACCCACTGGATCCCACACACTGTGCAAGACCTTTAGATCAGGCGCCTCCCTCGGTTTTCTTCACCCTGTGCAGCAGGTGCTGTTATTTCCTTTTTTAAATTATTATTTATTATTATTATTTTTTGAGACAGGATCTCCCTTTGTCACTCAGGCTGGAATGCAGAGGCATGATCACTGCTCACTGCAGCTTCGACCACCCAGGCTCAAAGGAGTCTCCCACCTCGGGTGCTGCCACACCTGGCCAATTTTTTTGTATTTTTTTGGTAGAGACCGGGGTTTCACCATGTTGCCCAGGCTGGTCTTGAACTTTTGGACTCCAGCGATCTGCCTGCCTCCGCCTCCCTAAGTGCTAGGATTACAGACATGAGCCATTGTGCCCGTCCTGTTGTTTCCTGTTTAGCTGAGGAGGAAGGGTTAGATAACTTGGCCAGTCGGTTGTAGGACCAGCACTAGTACAGTGTTGGGCACGTAGTAGGTGTTTAATACATGACCGATGAGCAAATGGCTCCAGATGTCTCTGGTTCCATAGGCAGCCTTGAATAGGGCTTTACACACCTGATGAGAATGACAGCCTGTGTTGACTGAGCCCTGACTTGTGTCCAACCCTGCCATAGTGCCAGTGCCTTGCATGAATTCAATAATTTGAGCCTAGCAGCAACCTTAAGAGGTAGGTACTGTTACCTCCCCGTTTATAAATGAGAAGACAGGCGCAGTGAGGCCCAAGATTGAAGAGCTTGTGGCCAAGAAGATGGAGTTGCAGGTGGTTTGGCCATAGAGCTGATGCTTGCTAAATGTGTTATATCTGTGATGGTCATTTTAGGTTAATAAAAGCTCTGTTTTTAGATTGATAATTCTAAGGGTTTATCATCAAGGTGTATGAGAAGGTGAGGGAGCCCCTGTGTGTAGCGCAGCAACTCTGGCCTTCTGGACAGTAGGTAGGCATGTGATCACTGTTGTCACTAAACCTGGGAAATGATTCCTGGGTCAGGGTTCATTAATTGCCAAATGATTAAAGTAATAAAGCTGACACTGGAAACTTATCTAACTTCATTTCTTTTCCTTGATTTACAAAGATAGTCAATACATTTTCCTACCAAAAAGAACTGGCCAGCCGTGGTGGCTCATGCCTGTAATCCTAGCAGTTTAGGAAGCCGAGGTGGGCGGATCACTTGAGGTCAGGAGTTCGAGACCAGTCTGGCCAACATGGTTGAAACCCTGTCTCTACTGAAAATACAAAAATTATCTGGGCATAGTGGTGTGTGCCTGTAATTGCAGCCTGGGCAACGGAGTGAGAGACTGTCTCAGGAAAAAAAAAAGAAAAAAAACTACTGAGGTAGTTGAATATATCCTCCATTCCCCATTTGTGGATTAGTTAGTAAATGGGGCATCTTAGGGTTTAAATATGTCCAGGGTCACTGAGGATCAGATCCTAGGGTTCCTTTGACTCAAGGCTTTTGTCTCAGCAAAACGTCACCTTCCAGCAGGAAGGCTTTCTCAGGCAAGTAGCAGGGTGGCTACTATGTATCGCTTCTTTATTTTTTCTTTTTTAAAATAATGCAGGCACGTGCGCATAATTTAAAAAATCAGTGCTAAAACCCTTAAAAAAAAAAGCTGTTCTCATCTCCTGTCTTTCTTTTTTTTTTCTTTTTATTTTTTTCTTTTATTATTATTATACTTTAAGTTTTAGGGTACATGTGCACAACGTGCAGGTTTGTTACATATGTATACATGTGCCATGTTGGTGTGCTGCACCCATTAACTCGTCATTTAGCATTAGGTATATCTCCTAATGCTATCCCTCCCCCCTCCCCCCTTTTTTTTCTTTTTGAGAATGAGTCTTGATCTATTGCCCAGGCTGGAGTGCAGTGGCCCGATCTTGGCTCACTGCAGCCTCCGCCTCCCGGATTCAAGTGATTCTTGTGCCTCAGCTTTCCTGGTAGCTGGGATTACAGGCGCCTGCCACCACACCTGGCTAATTTTTGTGTTTTCAGTAGAGATGGGGGTTTCACCATGTTGGCCAGGCTTGTCTCGAACTCCTGACCTCAAGTGATCTATCTGCCTTGGCCTCCTAAAGTGCTAGGATTACAGGCGTGAGCCACCGCCCCCGGCCGATCATCTTCTGTCTTTCTAGAGAAGAAGCAGCCCACTTGCATCTCTTGAGCATTTACTTCATGTTTCTAAATATATGTTTGTATTGTCATGTCTTTATTCACCAACTTTAGGGGTCGACTATGGACTTCCATTAATGGTGAATTAGTGTAAGATTTAGATTAGAGAAGATTTTTGTTCTCTTATGTTCATCCTGCCCCAATCAGAATGTATGTTCTTGGCCAGGGCCAGCAGCTCATGCCTGGGAGGCCGAGATGAGAGGATCCCCTGAGCCCAGGAGTTTGAGACTAGCCTGGGCAACAGAGTGAGACCTTGTCTCTACTAGAAGTAAAAAAGTTAGCTGGGTGTGGTGGTGGTATGTGCCTGTAGTCCCAGCTACTTGAGGGGCTGAGGTGGGAGGATCGCTTGATCCCAGGAGGCCAAGGCTGCAGTGAGCTGTGATTGTGCCACTGCCCTGCAGCCTGGGTGACAGAGCAAAATCCTGTCTCAAAAAAAAAAAAAAAAAAATACAGCCAGGCGCGGTGTCTCACACCTGTAATCCCAGCACTTTGGGAGGCTGAGGTGGGTGGATCACGAGGTCAGGAGATCGAGACCATCCTGGCTAACACACAGTGAAACCCTGTCTCTGCTAAAAATACAAGAAAATTAGCCGGGTGTGGTGGCGGCCGCCTGTAGTCCCAGCTACTCGGGAGGCTGAGGCAGGAGAAGGGCGTGAACCCGGGAGGTGGAGCTTGTAGTGAGCCAAGATCATGCCACTGCACTCCAGCCTGGGCGACAGAGCAAGACTCCGTCTCAAAAAAAAAAAAAAGAAAAAAAAGAATGCATGTTCCCTCTGCCTGGTACACAGCATCATCCAAAGGAGTCTCCTCACCTTTCCCTGTGTCTGATGCTGCTCACTGTTTATTCCCTCCTGGTGATGGAACACACTCTCCGTTAGCTAGCCAGGAAGGTGTGGTAAGCGGTGAACTTTTGGGGTTTGCGTGTCTGAAAATGTATTTACTCTTTTTTTTTTTTGAGATGGAGGTCCGCTCCGTCGCCCAGGCTGGAGTGCAGTGGCACTATCTCTGCTAACTGCAGCCTCCGCCTCCTGGGTTCAAGCGATTCTCCTGCCTCAGCCTCCCAAGTAGCTGGGATTACAGGTGCTTGCTACCACGCCTGTGCCTGGCTAATTTTTGTATTTTTGGTAGAGACGGGGTTTCAACTTCTTGGCGAGGCTGCTCCTGAACTCCCAACCTCAGGTGACCTGCCCACTTCGGCCTCCTAAAGTGCTGGGACTACAGGAGTGAGCCTCCGCACCCGGCCGCAAATGTCTTTATTCTGCCCGTGCGCTTAGTAAGTTTGGCTGGTAGGTTGGAAAGTCATTTTGAAGTCATAGCTCCAATATCTTTCAGTTTTCATTGTTGCTCTTGAGAAGTCTGGTTTGGTCTTTTTTCTTTTTGAGACAGTCTGGAGGAGTGGTTCAATGATAGTTCTCTGCAGCCTTGACCTCCCGGGCTGAAGTAATCTTCCTGCCTCAGTGCCCTGAGTAGTACCTGGGACGGCAGGTGTGTGCCGCCATACCCGGTTGATTTTTCTTTCTTTCTTTTTTTTTTTTTTTTTGAGATGGAGTCTTACCCTGTTGCCCAGGCTGGAGTACAGTGGCGCCATCTCGGCTTACTGCAACCTCCGTCTCCTGGGCTCAAGTGGTTCTCCTGGCTCAGCCTCCTGAGTAGGTGGCATTAACAGGTGTGTACCATCACGCCCAGATAATTTTTTTGTATTTTTAGTAGAGACGGGGTTTCACCATATTGGCTAGGCTGGTCTTGAACTCCTGACCTTGTGATCTGCCCACCTCAGCCTTTCAAAGTGCTAGGATTACAGGCCAGGCATTAGGCACTATGCCCGGCCTCTTTTTTTTTTTTTTTTTTGAGACATGGTTTCACCCAGTCTGGCATCCAGTTGCCCAGGCTGGCATGCAGTGGTGTGTGATCTTGTCTTTCTGCAACCTGCCCGGTTCAGGCAATTCTCCTGCCTCAGCCTCCCGAGTAGCTGTGATTACAGGTGGGCACCACCACGCCTGGCTAATTTTTGTAATTTTAGTAGAGACAGGGTTTCGCCATATCGGCCAGGCAGGTCTCGAACTCCTGACCTCAAGTAAGTGATCCACCTTCCTCAGCCTCCCAAAGTGCTGGGATTACAGGTTTGAGCCACCATGCCTGGACTCCAGCTGATTTTTGTATTTTTAGTTGGGATGGGGTTTTACCATGTTGGCCAGGCTGGTCTCGAACTCCTGACCTCAAATGATCCATCCGCCTCAGCCTCCCAAAGTGTTGGGATTACAGGCGTGAGCCACTGTTCCCGGCAGTGATTTTTCTGTTTTTGTAGAGACAGGGCCTTGCCATGTTGCCCAGGCTGGTCTTGAACTCGGCCTCCTGAAGTTCTGGGATTAAAGGCATGATCCACCGAGCCTGGCCCAGTTTCATTCTTCTTTTTTTTTTTTTTGAGATGGAGTTTTGCTCTTTTCACCCAGGCTGGAGTGCAGTGACGCGATTGGGTTCACCGCAACCTCCACCTCCTGGGTTCAAGTGATTCTCTTGTCTCAGCCTCCCAAGTAGCTGGGATTACAGGCTCCTGCCACCCCGCCCCGCTAATTTTTGTATTTTCGGTAGAGATGGGGTTTCGCCATATTGGCTGGGCTGGTCTAAAATTCCTGACCTCAGGTGATCCACCCGCCTCAGCCTCCCAAAGTGCTTGGATTCCAGGCGTGGGCCACCTTGCTGGCAAGGCCCAATTTCATTCTTAACCGTTTGCAAGCACTATTCCCTTGCCGAACCTTTAGGATCGTTGCATCCGTGATTTTCCTAATATTTATCATGCGTTTAGTGCTAGCCTTTTGTTATGTATTATGCAGGTGCCTAAGTAGCTGTGAAATCTGAAGATTGACACCCTTTCATTATAGGAGGTTTTTTGTTGTTGTTGTTGTTGTTGGAGAGAGACAGTCTCACTATGTTGCTCAGGCTGGTCTTGAACTCCTGGGCTCAAGCAAGCCTCTTGCCTCAGCTTCCAAGTAGCTGGGACTACAGGCACGTGCTACCATGCCTGGCTAATTTTTGTATTTTTAGTAGAGATGGGGTTTTGTCATGTTGACCAGTTTGGTCTCACATTCCTGACCTCAAGTGATCTGCCCGCCTCGGCCTCCCAAAGTGCTGGGATTACCTGTGTGAGCCACCGTGTGTGGCCGACAGTTTATTCTTTACTGTTTTCTCTGTGTTCTCCTTTTCCGTTTCCTTTAGTTGAATGTTGGACTTCCTGTATTTAGTTTTCTGATTTTAAGTATATTTTCTTGTCATGTCTTGGTCTTGTTCTATTTTGGGGGAGCATTTTTGACCACTTCTCAATTTTTTTAATCGAATTTTTAACTTCAGTTGTTATTTATATATATATTTTTTGTTTTGTTTTGTTTTTGTTTTTTTTTGAGACGAAGTTTTGCTCTTGTTGCCCAGGCTGGAGTGCAGTGGGGCGATCTCGGCTCACTGCAACCTCTGCCTCCCGGGTTCAAGTGATTCTCCTGCCTCAGCCTCTCGAGTAGCTGGAATCACAGGCATGCACCACCAAGCCTGGCTAATTTTGTATTTTTTTTTTTTTTTTTAGTAGAGTTGGGGTTTCTGCATGTTGGTCAGGCTGGTCTCAAACTCCTGACCTCAGGTGATCCACCCGCCTTGGCCTCCCAAAGTGCTGAGATTACAGGCGTGAGCCACCACGCCTGGCCCAGTTGTTATATTTTTATATTCTTTACTGTTTTCTATTCTTTTTAGTATCTCCTGTTCTTGTTTTATATATATAGTATCTTTGCTTATTTATTTTAATTACAATTAAAATTTTAAAATTACAGTTAAAGTTATTAAAAAACTATTTAAAAAATGTCTCAGCCTGTGCAACACAGCAAGACCCTAAAATCTGGGACTTCCAGCATGCACCACCATGACCAGCTGGTGCGTGCCTGAAATCCCAGCTACTCAGGAGGCTGAGGCAGGAGGATTGCTTGAGTCCGGGAGGTTGAGGCTGCAGTGAGCCATGATCACACCACTGCACTCCAGCCTGGGTGACAGAGTGAGAGAGACTGTCTCTAACCAAAAAAAAAAAAAAAAAAGTTGTTTCCTTCATTTTTTGTGTTTTCCCTGCATTCGTTCCTCTTTGCTGTCTTATCTCTTAGTCTTTCTTCTATGATGTAACCTTTCCTTTAGTGTCTCATTGTCTTTGGCCATTTTGCCGTGTTGCGAATAAAGCACTCACCATGGAAAGCTGAGTGCTGGGGGCTTGTTTATTTGTTGCCTTCACTGTAGGGTGATGGTTGGCTGCTGCTGTTTTGTTGGCTCTCTTGCAGAATTTTTTTTTTTTTTTTTTTGAGACAGAGTTTTGCTCTTGTTGCCCAGGCTGGAGTGCAGTGGCGTGATCTCTGCTCACTGTAATCTCTGCATCCTAGGTTCGAGCAATTCTGCCTCAGTCCCACAGGTAGCTGGGATTACAGGCGTGCACTACCACACCTGGTTAATTTTGTTTTTGTTTTTGTTTTGTTTTGAGACGGAGTCTCGCTTTGTTGCCTAGGCTGGAGTGCAGTGGCCCCATCTCAGCTCACTGTGACCTCCATCTCCCAGGTTCAAGCGCTTCTCCTGCCTTCGCACCCCCTAGTAGCTGGGATTATAGGCGTGCGCCACCACGCTCGGCTAATTTTTGTATTTTTGGTAGAGACAGGGTTTCACCATGTTGGCCAGGCTGGTCTCAAACTGCTGACCTCAGGTGACCCACCCCCCTTGCCTCCCAAAGTGCTAGGATTGTAGGCATGAACCACCATGCCTGGCCATTTTTTTTTTTTTTTTTTTTTTGAGATGGCATCTCTTTCTGTCACCCACGCTGGAGTGCAATGGCGTGATCTTGGCTCACTGCAACCTCCACCTCCCGGGTTCAAACGATTCTCTTACCTCAGCCTCCCAAGTAGCTGGGATTACAGGTGCGCACCACCACTCCGGGATAATTTTTTTGTATATTTAGTAGAAACGGGGTTTCACCATGTTGGTCAGGCTGGTCTCAAACCCCTGATCTCAGGTGATTTGCCCACCTCAGCCTCCCAAAATGCTGGGATGACAGGCGTGAGCCGCTGCGCCCGTGATTTGCCCACCTCAGCCTCCCAAAATGCTGGGATGACAGGCGTGAGCCGCCGCGCCCGGCCCTTTTGCAGAGGTTCTGTCTGCTGGTTTGGTTTTCTTGAAGGATCCCTCAATTTCTTGCCTTGCTGGTATAAGCTGGATTTTTTTTTTTTTTTGAGACAGAGTCTTGGTCTTGTCGCCCAGGCTGGAGTGCAGTGGTGTGATCTCGGCTCACTGCAACCTCTGCCTCCTGGGTTCAAGCAATTCTCCTGCCTCATTACCCCCCCACCCCCAAGTAGCTGGGATTATAGTTGTGCACCACCACGTGTGGCTACTTTTTGTATTTTTAGTAGAGAGGGAGTTTCGCCATGTTGGCCAGGCTGGTCTTGAACTTCTGACCTCAAGTGATCCACCCTCCTGGGTCTCCCAAAATAATGGGATTACAGGTGTGAGCCACCATGCCCGGCCATTTTTGGTGGACCTTTTTATGGGGCTAAACGTCTGGTGTCTTGTGGCTACAGAAGACCAGTACTTGCTTGAGGAGGAGACCTGAGAGGTCAGCTGTTCTCAGGTGGAGTTTTGCCCGCATTCCCCTTTGTAGTTGCAGGCATCACCCCCATTGTCCCCACCCTTCTGTGTTTTCTGGGGTCAGTCTGCCAGCTGCTCAGCTGCAACTCCTTTATTTAAGTTTCTCCTTCCTCTACTCTGTGGGATAGGTTAGCTCTCCTCTACCTCTCTGTCTTCCTATTTGTGTTCTATTTAGGGATTTCACATGTCTTGGGGTTTATGTGTCTCTTTCCTGCTTTTCTTGTCTTTGATTGATTTTTGCTAAGAGAAGAGAGGATCAGAATCAATTTTTCTTTTTTTAAAATTACTTAAACATTTAATTTTTAATTACACAATATAATTTATAAAACATTTTGTAGAGATGGAGTCTCACTGTGTTGCCCAGGCCGATCTCCAACTGGGCTCAGGCGATTCTCCCGCTTTGGCCTCTGAAAGTGTTAGGATCACAGGCGTGAACTGCTGTGGCTGGCCTGAGAAGCATTTTCCATAAATCTTGAGAAGCAGATTCTTCCGTAAACTAGAAGCACAGCTGTCCTATGAAAAGGGCTGCCTGTCTTCGGATCTTACTATGTCAGTTGTTGGTTGTGGTCGGAAGGTTCTGGAGTCATAGTAAGGGCCAGCAAGGGTGATGTTTGTGCCTCAGCTCTAATGTCGAAAAGAGCGTCTGTGGCTACCTTAGTTGCTGGAGATCCCACACGTGGCCAGAGCCAGAGGTGGGGCTAGAGCCCTGGTTTCCTTCTTCTGCTTCCTGTCATGTGCTGAAAGAGCTGTGTAGGTTTGACCACATTTTATTGAGTTTTTCTTTGAAAATAATTTGGCTTATAAGAATCATGTTTTGGATTCTTTAGGAACTTTATTTTTTTTTTCAATCATTTCATTGGATTAAGCATGGTTGATGGATTACTTTATCCTAAGGTAAGTGGGCAGTTTGATTTTAAGTTGCTCACTCAGCAAACCAGGTAGGGAATAGTTATTTGCTTTTGTATTTTTTTTTTTTTTTTGAGATGGAGTTTCGCTCTCGTTGCCCAGGCTGGAGTGCAGTGGTGCAATCTTGGCTCACTGGAACCTCCGCCTCCCAGGTTCAAGCGATTCTCCAGCCTCAGCCTCCCGAGTAGCTGGGATTACAGGCGCCCACCACCATGCCTGGCTAATTTTGTATTTTTAGTAGAGATGGGATTTCTCTATGTTCGTCAGGCTGGTCTCAAACTCGTGACCTCAGGTGATCTGCCTGCCTCGGCCTCCCAAAGTGTTGGGATTACCGGCGTGAGCCACCACACCTGGCCAGTTTTTTTGTTGTTGTTGTTAAATGGAGTCTCGCTCTGTTGCCCAGGCTGGAGTGCAGTGGCGTGATCTCGGCTCACTGCAAGCTCCGCCTCCTGGGTTCTCGCCATTCTTCTGCCTCAGTCTCCCAAGTAGCTGGGACTACAGGCGCCCACCACCATGCCTAGCTAATTTTTTGTATTTTTAGTAGAGACAGGGTTTCACTGTGTTAGCCAGGATGGTCTCGCTCTCCTGACCTCGTGATCTGCCCGCCTCTGCCTCCCAAAGTGCTGAGGTTACAGGCATGAGCCATCGCACCTGGTCCAGTTTTTTGTATTTTTAGTAGAAACGGGGTTTCACCATGTTAGCCAGGCTGGTCTCGAACTCCTGACCTCAGGTGATCCGCCCACCTCGGCCTCCCAAAGTGCTGGGATTATAGGCATGAGCCACCGCACCCGGCTGAGAATAGTTATTAGAGCCCAGTTAATTTGGCCTATGGCAGGTATGATATAGAAAGCATTACTTCCAGGACTGAGAATTCTCCTTTCTTACTGTTTTGCTTCTCTTTAACTTTTAATATTTTCATGTATTAAAAAAAAATCTGATGATTTTGGATTTTGAAAAACAAAGCTAAAGTGGCTGCTATAACTCTTCAGAGGTAGCATTTCCTTTGAAATGGAGTCTCTTGGATAAGAGGCCACTTTCCCAGGAACATCACTGTGAGCTGCTGTTTCATTCTGGAAAAGCTTGTGGATTTCTTTCTGTATTCTAGTTGTAATAGGCTGGTTCTGATCACAGTATATTTAAGATGCTGTTTTGAGCACTTTCTGTTTATGCAGTGCAATTCTAGGTATTTGTAAGAGGACATACAAAGTTTTGAGATTGATCCCTGATGTTACAAAATTTAATAATAGAACAGAGCAAATATTACTGAGTAGGAAATGAGAGTCAGTTAAAAGTAAACAAGAAGAGGCTGCTGGATGGCCACAATTGCTGCGGCCACATGTGTGGGGAAAAGTTCCTTGAGGAAGATGAGTTAGTCTAGGTCTTTTTTTTCCTTTAACAGCTTCTTGTCCAACACATAGTCTAGGTCTTAAAGGATGTGAGACATGAATTGGCATGAGAAGGTGGACAAAGTGTACATTAACAAAAATTAGGCATTTTAGCAAATTTAGAAATCAAACCTAGAAACCTCAGGATGCCATATATTTGTCATCTGTTTTTTTCCTGATCCTCGTGAGTGTATGTGTTTTTATTTAAAATTGGTGGTAATCAGTGATTATGTGCCGTTGTACTTCCTCTGTCCCGTATTGTCTGACGTGCATTCGTATCTTCAGTGTTTTTGGTAGCTGCATGGTGTGTGACATAGAAAAGTCCCAGTTTCCTCGACTGTGATTTGGGTGAGGTCTGTATCCTTTGGTGCACAGTGGAATTACAAGGTCAGAAGGGGATAGTGGCATGAGATGAAGCTGGAGAGGCAGGGCAAGGTTATCCAGGGCCTTGTTACCATGGTAACAAGTTGGGAAGTTTCATAACCACTGTAGACAGTCCTTGAAGATTTTAGGCATGGAATGATACTTTAAAAAGATGACCCTGGCTGCTGTGTGGAGAGCGGAAGTAGGGGGCCAGTGAGCAGGCTTGGCTTGAGTGGTATGGGTTAGTCATGATATAGGTGTTTAGATTTAATTTTTTGAGCATATAGGACAGTTACATGGTTCAAAATTGAAAAAGTATGGCCGTGTGTGGTGGCTTATGCCTGTAATCCCACCACTTTGGGAGGCCGAGGCGGGTGGATTGATCACCTGACGTCAGAAGTTCAAGAGCAGCCTGGCCAACATTGGTGGAACCCTGTCTCTAATAAAAATATAAAAAAATTAGCCGGGCGTGATGGCGGGCGCCTGTAATCCCAGCTACTCGGGAGGCTGAGGCAGGAGAATCGCTTGAACCCGGGAGGTGGAGGTTGCAGTGACCTGAGATCGTGCCATTGGACTCCAGCCTGGGTAACAAGAGTGAACCTCTGTCTTGGAAAAAAAATAAAAATAAAAATAAAATAAAATTGAAAAAGTACCTCCCTAGCCACTAGTTCTTCTCTTGGCAGGTCACCAGTATTTAATTACTGTGCATATTTCATGATGTTTATGAATATACAGTCATGTGGCACTTAAGGACATTTTGGTCCGTGGCAGACCACATACATGAAGGTGGTCCCCTAAGATTAGAATGAAGGTCAGGCGTGGTGGCTCACACCTGTAATCCCAGCACTTTGAGAGGCTGAGGCAGGAGGATCACTTGAGCCCAGGAGTTCAAGATCAGCCTGGACAACATAATGAGACCCTGTCTCTACAAAAAATAATGAAAAATTAGTTGGGCATTGTGGTGTGTGCCTGTAGACCCAGCTACTCCGGGAGGCTGAGGTGGGGAGAGTTGTTTGACCAGGAGGTCAAGGCTGCAGTGAACCGTGTTGGTGCCACTGCACTTCAGTCTGGGCAGCAGAGTGAGACCCTGTCTCAAAAAAAGAAAAAAAAGATTATAATAGAGGCTAGAAATTCTTACTGCCTAATCACGTCGTGGGCATTGCTTTGTAGTAGGGTAGTGCACTGCCTTTTCTGTGTTCAGACGCACATGTGTCATTGTGTTGCACTTACCTGCAGTAACGCGCTGTGCAGGTTTATAGCCTGGAAGCCATGGGCTACACCACACAGCCTAGATGTGTAATAGGTTTGCA
The DNA here is from genome assembly GCF_000001405.40 of Homo sapiens. Taxonomy (NCBI): domain Eukaryota; kingdom Metazoa; phylum Chordata; class Mammalia; order Primates; family Hominidae; genus Homo; species Homo sapiens. The sequence goes on from NC_000009.12 coordinate 137,632,094, forward strand.
GAAGTGCACTCTTTGACGTTTGCACAGTGATGAAATCACCTGATGACGCATATCTCCGAATGTATCCCCCTCATTCAGCGTCACTTAGATGCAGTAGATGTTACTGTCCTGTCGAGGGGTTCGATGACTTTACCATGTAGCTGGTATATGTTAGAGCTGGCTCTGCCCTGGGCTAGGATGGTGCAGTAGAATGGTGTTCGTTCCAGGGTTGGGGGAGGGTTGGGAAGGAATCACAGAAGGCACTTGAAAGGTGCAGGTGGGAGTAAGTCAACCTTTCAGCCCCAGTTCCCCTTGAAAATGCAGAGGCGAATGCATGAAGACGTAGTCTGAGTTGTGCTCTTTTTTTTGTTTTTGTTTTTGAGATGGGGTTTCACTGTGTTGCCCAGGTTGGTCTTAAACTCCTGGGCTCGAGCAGTCCTCCCGCCTCAGCCTCCCGAGTAGCTGGGATTACAGATGCGTGCCACCACACCTAGGTAATTTTTGTATTTTTGGTAGAGACAGGGTTTCACAATGTTACCCAGGCTGGTCTCGAGCTCTTGGACTCAAGCCATCTGCCTGCCTTGGCCTCCTACGGTGCTGGGATTACAGGCGTGAGCCACTGTGCCCAGCCTAGACCACTTTTTAGGGATTACAGGCGTGAGCCACTGTGCCCGGCCTAGACCACTTCTTCAAGCATTTAATGACTGTTCCTTTGATCATATTCCTGGGTATAGCATCACACGGGGCAGGTTGCTAACCTAGGTGGGCTGATGGAGCTGTGGAGACCATGCTAATGATTCTCGTCCTTGCAATAAGGGCAGTAGGAGGGTTTCAAGGCAGGGAGTGACCTCATCAGGTTTGCGTGTTAGGCTCTGGCTTCCTTCCTGGTCTTCCTGCTGCTGTGTGAAGAACGGATTGTAGACGGATGGCAGTGGAGGCAGCAAACGCAGTCCTCAGGGAGTGGGTGGTCACCGGTTATGTGGCAGATGAGGAGGGCACAAGGATGACTTGTGGGACTAGGCCGGAGCCAAATGCTGGGTTCTCTGCTTGAACGGAAGGGTGGGTGGCCGTGCCATTCACCCGGACAGGGAAGGCATGCTCAGGTCAGCTCTGGGGTGGTTTATTCCAGGGGTGGCAAACTCTTTCTGAGCAGGCTGGATAGTATTTCAGACTCATGCACCAAGAAGCAAAATCAAGGATAACTCCACAAATTTTTGTTGACAAAGATCAAAATATAATTGACTACTTTTTTTTTTTTTGTAATACAGATCTACTGATTAGAAGAACAGAATTTTTGGGGGGATAACATTTTGCTTAATTGGGGTTCAATGTTAATGTTCCCCATCATAAAAATTACTGGAGCTGTTCATCTGTTAAGTGCTTACTGTGACACAGTTTTCTGTTTCATCTTTGAAAATGTCTTCACACCGATAGCTGTTGCCATATTCCAGTATCAGTCCAGGAGCAGATGATTTATTTTTATTGAGATGTAATTCATTTACTATAAAATTCACATTTTAAAATGTGCACCTCAGTGGGGTTCTTTGGTATGTCTGGAGTGGTCCAACCATTACCACTACTTCCAGATCATTCCGTCATTACCACTACTTCCAGATCATTCCGTCACCCCAAAAAGAAACCTCATACCCATTAGCAGGACTTCCCTAATCCTCCCTCCCCGACCCCCGACACTGCTCTACTTTTTTGCAAATATTTTTTCTCATTCTGTGGGCTGTCTTTTCACTTTCTAATTTTTTTTTTTTTTTTTGAGACAGTCTCGCTCTTGTCGCCTAGGCTGGAGTGCAATCTAGTCTCACTGCAACCTCCGCCTCCCGGGTTCAAGCGATTCCCCTGCCTCAGCCTCCTGAGAAGCTGGGATTACAGGTGCGCACCAGCACGCCGGCTTATTTTTGTATTTTTAGTAGAGTCAGGGTTTCACCATGTTGTTCAGGCTGGTCTTGAACTCCTGACTTCAAGTGATCCACCTGCCTCGGCCTCTCAAAGTGCTGGGATTATAGGCATGAGCCACTGTGCCCGGCCTAATTTTTATTTTCTTGATGCCTTCCTTTGAAGCACAGATGTTTTTAATTTTTGATGAAATCCACCTTCTTGTTTTCCAGTTGGTTTCTTTGCTTTTGTTGTCGTGTCTGATTGCCCAATCCAAACCAGGGAGTTTATGTTTCCTTGGAAAATTTGCATAGTTTTAGCTCTTACATTTAAGTCTTTGATCCGTTTTGACTTAATTTTTGTATATGATGTTAGGTAGGATCCAGGCTTCATTCTTTTCATGTACAGTTGGCTCAGCAGCGTTTGTTGAAAAGACCATGCTTTCCCCATTGAATTGCCTGGCCATCGTTTTTGAAAATCAGTTGAACATAAATGTGATGGTTAATTTCTGGGTTCTCAGTTCTATTCCGTTGATGTATATGTCTGTCCTAATGCGAGCATTGTTGCAGCAGTGTAATAAGTTTTGTAATGAGGAAATGTGAGTCCTTCAACTTTGTCTTTTTCATGATTGGGTCCCTTGCATTTTCTTTCATTTCTTTTCTTTTCTTTTCTTTTCTTTTTTTTCAAGATTGGGTCCCTTGCTTGCTTGCTTGCTTGCTTTTTCTTTCTTTTCTTTCTTTCTTCTTTCTTTTTTTTTTTTTTTGACAGAGTCTCTCTCTATCGCCCAGGCTGGAGTGCCGTGGTGCGATCTCAGCTCACTGCAACCTCTGCCTTCCAGGTTCACGCCATTCTCCTGCCTCAGCTTCCCGAGTAGCTGGGACTACAGGCGCCCCCACCATGCCCAGCTAATTTTTTTTTTTTTTTTTTTTTTTTTGTATTTTTAGTAGAGATGGGGTTTCACCATATTAGCCAGGATGGTCTCGATCTCCTGACCTCGTGATCCGCCGGCCTCGGCCTCCCAAAGTGCTGGGATTACAGGTGTGAGCCACTGCGCCCGGCTGTCACTTGGATTTTCGTATGAGTTTTAGGATCTTGTTGTCAATATCTGCAAAAAAGCCTTTCAGGATCTTGAAAGGGATTGTGTTGAATATGTAGATCAGTTTAGGATATCGCCATCTTAATAGCAAGTCTTCCAATTGGGGAACACCGGATGCTTGTCCATTTATTTAGGTCTTCTATTTTATTTTATTTTATTTATTTATTTTGAGACAGAGTCTTGCACTGTCACCTGGGCTGGAGTGCAGTGGCGTGATCTCGGGTCACTGCAACCTCCGCCTCCTGAATTCAAGCCATTCTCCTGCCTAAGCCTCTCGACTAGCTAGGATTACAGGCACCCATCGCCACGCCCAGCTAATTTTTTTTTTTTAATGTATTTTTGGTAGAGACGGAGTTTCACCATGTTGGACAGGCTGGTCTTGAACTTCTGACCTCGTGATTCGCCCTCCTTGGCCTCCCAAAGTGTTGGGATTACAGGCATGAACCACTGCGCTCGGCCTTCAGTTTTCTTTAACATTTTCAGAGCTGGGCGCGGTGGCTCACGCCTGTAATCCCAGCACTTTGGGAGGCCGAGGTGGGTGGATCACGAGGTCAGGAGATCGAGACCATCCTGGCTAACATGGTGAAACCCCGTCTCTACTAAAAATACAAAAAATTAGTGGGACGTGGTGGCGGGCGCCTGTAGTTCCAGCTACTCGGGAGGCTGAGGCAGGAGAATGGCATGAACCTGGGAGGCGGAGCTTGCAGTGAGCTGAGATGGTGCCACTGCTCTCCAGCCTGGGCGACAGAGCGAGACTGTCTCAAAAAACAAAACAAAACAAAAAACAATATTTTAATGTATAAGTTTTGTAGTTATTTCTTACAAGTATTTTATTCTTTTTGATGCTTTTATAAATAGAATTAAAAAAAATTTTTTTTTTTTGAGATGGGGAGTCTTGCTCTGTCGCCCAGGCTAGAGTGCAGTGGTACGATCTCGGTTCACTGCAACCTCCGCCTCCTGGGTTCAAGCAGTTCTCCTGCCTCAGCCTCCTGAGTAGTTGGGATTACAGGTGCATGCCACCACGCCTTGCTAATTTTTGTATTTTTAGTAGAGATGGGGTTTCACCATTTTGGCCAGGCTGATCTTGAACTCCTGACCTCAGGATCCACCCACCTCCAGCTCCCAGAGTGCTGGGATTATAGGCGTGAGCCACCATGCCCAGCCACATTTCATTTTTAGATTGCAATTGTATAGACATAAAATTGATTTTTATATATTGGATCTTGTATCCTGCAACTTTGCTGAATTTTTTTTGGTGTGGATTCCTTGGGATTTTCTATATATAGGATTATGTCATTTGGGAATAGAGTTGTAGTTCTTCCTTTTAAATCTGGACACTTTTTTGTCCTTCCCTAATTGCCCTGGCTAGTAAAATGTTGAATAGAAGTGGTGAAAGCTGACATTCCCATCTTCATTCCTGTTTTTAGAGGAAAGCTTTTAGTTTTTCACCATTAGGTATGATATTAGCTATGAGTTTTTCCATAGATGCCCTTTACTAGATTGAGGAATTCCCTTTTATTTCTAGCTTGTTGAGTGTTTTCATTATAAAGGGGTTTTGGATTTTGTCAAATGTTTGTCTCTATCTGTTGACATGATTATGTAGTTTTTTTCCTTTATTGATATGGTGTCTTACATAGATTTTCATATGCTCAACCAGCCCTGCGTTTCTGCCCTAAATCCATTTGGGTATGTTATCTAATCCTTTTTAAATCTTGTTGAGTTTGATTTGCTAGTATTTTGTTGGGGATTGTTGCATCTTTGTTCATAAGTGGTATTATGTTGGTCTGTAGGTACCTCTTTTTAAAAAAAATTTATTATTTTTTTTTGAGACAGTTTCACTCTTTTTTTTTTTTTTTTTTTGAGACAGAGTTTCGCTCTGTCGCCCAGGCTGGAGTGCAGTGGCGCGATGTCAGCTCACTGCAAGCTCTGCCTCCTGGGTTCACGCCATTCTCCCGCCTCAGCCTCCTGAGTGGCTGGGACTACAGGCACCTGCTACCACGCCTGGCTATTTTTTTGTATTTTTAGTAGAGATGGGATTTCACTGTGTTAGTCAGGATGGTCTCGATCTCCTGACCTCGTGATCTGCCCGTCTCCACCTCCCAAAGTGCTGGGATTACAGGCGTGAGCCACCGCACCAAGCCCAGAGTTTTACTGTTGTTGCCCAGGCTGGAGTGCAGTGGTGCAATCTTGGCTCACCACAGCCTCCGCCTCCTGGGTTCAAGTGAATCTCCTGCCTCAGCCTCCCGAGTAGCTGGGATTACAGGCATGCTCCACCATGCCAGGCTAATTTTGTATTTTTAGTAGAGATGGGATTTTGCCATGTTGGCCAGGCTCGTCTTGAACTCCTGACCTCAGGTGATCCGCCTGCCTTGGCCTCCCAAAATGCTGGGATTACAGGTGTGAGCCACTGCACCTGGCCTAAAAAAATTTTTTAATTTTATTTTAGATAGGTGGTCTTGCTCTGTGGCCCTGCTGGAGTGCAGTGGTGCCATCATGGCTCACTTCAGTCTTGAACTCCTGAGCTCAAGTGATCCTCCTACTTCAGCCTCCTGAGTAGCTGGGACTACAGGCAAGTGCCTGTCGTTTTCTGTGTGTTATCTTTGTGTATTTGGTGCAAAGGTAATACTGGCTTCGTAGAATGAGTTGGGAAGTGTATTTCCCTCTTCCGTTTTTGGGAAGAGTTTGTGAAGCACTGGTTATCACGCCTTTAAATGTTTGGTATAATTCACCTGCGAAGCCATCTGGATCTTGGCTTTTCTTTGTTGGAAGCTTTAAAAATTATTAATTTCCTTATTTGTTCTAGGTGTGTAGGTTTTCTGTTTATTCCTGAGTTATCTTTGTTGTTGTGGGTCTTTCTGAGAATTTGTTCATGGCATCCAGGTTATCTAGTTTCCGGTATGCAGTTGCTCGTATGTTCCCTGTGACCATTTTTATTTCTGTCAGGGCTTGTGTTCCCCTTTGACGCTAATAAATTTTGGTAAGTGGGGTCATTTTTCTCTTTTTCTTGGTCATTCTAGCTAAAGTTTTGTGAATTATGTTGAATTTTTCAGAGAAGCAACTTTTTTTTTTTTTTAAGATGGAGTCTCGCCCTTTTGCCCAGGCTGGAGTGCAGTGGTGCGATCTCGGCTCACTGCAAGCTCCGCCTCCTGGGTTCAAGCAATTCTCCTGCCTCTGCCTCCTGAATAGTTGGGAATATAGGCGTGCGCCACCATGCCCAGCTAATTTTTTGCATTTTTAGGAGACGGAGTTTCACCATGTTGGCTGTGCTGGTCTCGCGCTCCTGACCTCAGGTGATCCACCCACCTCAGCCTCCCAAGTAGCTGAGATTACAGGCACCCGCCACCACGCCCGGCTAATTTTTGTATTTTTAGTAGAGATGATGTCTCACCATGTTGGCCGAGGTGGTCTCAAACTCCTGACTTCAAATGATCCACCCGCCTTGGCCTCCCAAAGTGTTGGGATTGCAGGCATGAGCCACTGCACCCGGCCTAGTTTTTTACTAGTTTCTTAATGCTTTTAGCTATGTTATAGAATAAATTGCATTCCCCTAAAAAATATGTTGAAGTCCTAAACCCCATACTTCAGAATTTGACCTTATTTGGAAATAGGGTCATTGCAGATTAGTTAAGATGAAATCATAGTTGAGTAGGGTAGGCCTCTAATCCAGTATGACTTACGTGTCCTCATAAAAAAAAAAGGATGCCTTGTGAACACAGACATGCACAGAAGGAAGACAGCATGCGGACACACAGGGAGAAGTGGCGCATGACTGGGGTGATGCTTCCATAAGCCAAGGAGTGTCAGGGACGGCCAGCAGACCCCAGAGCCTGGCCGAGGCAGGGGATGGCACTCCAAAGCCATTACAGACCACAAGGCCTACTGACACCTTCATTGTGGACTTCCAGCCTTCAGAACTTCGAGACCATACATTTCTATTGTTACATGTGTCCTAGGAAAAAACAGGCTGCTTCCTATAAATGTTGATATGTTGTATTTTCATTTTTATTCAGTTCAGAATATTTTCTATTTTCCCTTGTGACTTTAGAAGTGTGTCATTTAATTTCTAAATATTTAGGTATTTCCTGGATTTCTTTGTTTTGTTGATTTCTAATGTAATTCCTGTATGGTCAGAATTATACTTTGTATAGTTTCAGTGTGTTTAATTTGTTAGATTAAAAAAAAAATCCCGTATTATATTCTGTCCTGGGGAATGTTTCATCAGTGCTTGAAAATAATGTGCATTATGAATTTATTAGGTGGAATGTTCCCTATATGTCAGATTGAATTGGTTGATAGTATTAAGTCTTCCTTATTCTTTCTCATTTTCTTTCTAGTTCTATTAGTTATTGAGAGTAGAGTATGAGATCTACAGTACTGTCGAATTTTACATTTTCACTTTCAGTTCTGTTGGTTTTTGCCTCGTGTTTTGAGACTATGTTATCTTGCGTGTGTTTATAGTTGTTACATCTGCCTGGGTGTTTTGACACTTCTCTCATTATGAAATGTCCCTCTTTGTCTCTATAAATGTTTTTGTTTTAAAGTCTATTTTGTCTGATGTCAGTATAGCCACTTCAGTTTTTTTATGGTTTATTTTTGCATACTATATCTTTTTCTGGCCTTTTAATCTCTTTGTATCTTCAATCGAAGGGATGTCTCTTACAGTCCTTTCCATCTGAGATCGGATCTTGTAGATTCAGCAGTTGAATCATATATATGTATTTTTCTTACCTGATAGAAGAGATTTTATTTTTAAAGTGTCACCTTAGACTGCAAGGATGTCTGTTGTACCTCCCCATTAATCAGCCAGAGGAGGAGCTGTGATATCAGAATGCCCACTCAACCCACCAGACATTTGAGACCCACCCTTTGCTGGCCTTCTGTAACCTTATTTATTTAGAGACGGAGTCTCGCTCTTGTTGCCCAGGCTGGAGTGCAATGGCGCGATCTTGGCTCACCGTAACCTCTGCCTCCCGGGTTCGAGTGATTGTCCTGCCTCTGCCTCCCGAGTAGCTAGGATTACAGGCATGTGCCACTGTGCCCGGCTAAGTTTTATATTTTTAGTAGAGATGGGGTTTCGCTGTGTTGGCCAGGCTGTTCTTGAACTCCTGAACTCAGGTGATCCGCCTGCCTCGGCCTCCCAAAGTGCTGGGATTACGGGTGTGAGCCACCGTGCCTGGCCTGTAACCTTATTTTTTAAAGCTTTTAATTTTAATTTTTGTTTTGTTTTATTTTTGTGTGTTTTAGAGACCTGGTCTTGCTGTTACCCTGGCTGGAGTGCAGTGGCGTGATCATAGCTCACTGCAGCCTTGACCCTGGGCTCAAGCAGTCCTCCCACCTTGGCTTCCTGATCAGCTGGGACCACTGGCATCTGCCACTATGTCCAGCTAATTTTTAAATTTTTTGTAAAGATGGGGTCTTCCTATGTTGCTCAGGCTGGTTTTGAACTCCTGGCCTCAAGTGATCCTCCCATCTTGGTCTCCCAAAGTGCTAGGATTACAGGTGTGCACCCCTGTGCCTGGTCTGAAATTTTCTTTTTTTAATCAAGAGCAAGTAGATACATGTTTTCTCTGAGCCCAATATGCAGAGAAGGAAAAAATGCTAGAATTCTCTGCATTATAGGGGCCTGGCGCCCTTTAGCTTCCAACAGTGCAAAGGGGGCAGAAAGTTGTTCTTTTTTCCATAGAACATGGTGATGTTGATTCCATACAAGTTTGTTGAGATAGGAAGGGATAAAAATGAGTTTGAAACAGAAAGAGGTAGAGATTCTTTTCACATTTTATTCTCCTCAAGGTATTTCCCCCCCAGATAAGTTGAGATCCACGGTGTAGACAAAAGAGACCTCAAGAACTGGGTGAGCACAAGAGGGAAAAAGCAAGACTGCACCTTGCTCCCGGGAACTGGAGACAGCTTTAAAAAAGGAAGGTTCTAATCCATGTGTGTTCTATTAGTTATCTTCTCCTTATCCCGTTCCTCATCAGTGTCTTCCAGTTCCTCCTCCTCATCATCTTCGTCTTCTCCTTCTTTATCATCCATATTGGGAACCAAGGAGCACTGTGATGAATTTGGCCAAGTATGGTCTTTGCTGACCTCTCCTAACTCATCTGCACCTGCGTCAGAATGGCCAGTAAACCAGGTGAAGAACCTGTCTGGTTCCTCAGGATGCCTCTTCCTACTGGCTTTATTCTGCATTTGACTTGAAGAGTTTCCTTTCCAGATTTCCATTTGATTTCCGTGGACTTTGAAGATGGATCATGACTCTCATTCAGATGAAATTCTTTGAGAGAGCTTTATTTTTGAAGTAAGGATTTTCGTCAAAATAAAAACCTATTCTGTAACCTGATTTAATATCTTCAAATTCTGTCACTTCAGCACTGGTCAAACAATGCAGTGCCTCTTCATCCTCCTCCCAAGCAGTGCAGACGCTTGTGGATGGCTGACAAATGTTATTACCCAGAAATTGGGGATTTTGGGAATCAATTCTCATCTGCCCTGAAGAACGTGGTTGGCCGAATTTGTCTATGTTCGCTCTCCCAGTCCGCTTGCCGCTCACTTGCTAAGCCTGTTTCTGAAGCCTGTTTTGTGCTGTGCTTCCTCGTGGGCTTGGTTGCCGCTTGTTCTGTTCCTCTCTTCCTCTGGCCTCTGTCAGGGGCTGGCGCCATGTCTTCCTTTCAGGCAGGGGCAGAGACGGGTGTTTGGGGGTCATTCCGGGAGGAGAGTCTGGACCCAAGGGCCTCCTTGCTCATCAGGAAGAAGCTCATAGGACTAAGATCACATTTTTTTTTTTTTTGACATGGAGTCTCGCTCTGTCACCCAGGCTGGAGTACAGTGGCATGACCTTGGCTCATGGCAACCTCTGCCCCCATGCCCTCCAACTCCATGGTTCAAGCTGTTCTCCTGCCTCAGCCTCCTGAGTAGCTGGGACTACAGGCACCCACCACCATGCCTGGCTAATTTTTGTATTTTTAGTAGAGACGGAGTTTCGTCAAGTTGGCCAAGCTGGTCCTGAACTCCTGACCTCAGGTGATCCACCCGCCTCGGCCTCCCAAAGTGCTGGGATTACAGGTGTGAGCCACTGCGCCCGGCCCCAAATTTTTTAATCTATTCCCCCAGTCTCTACTTTTCATGTGGGACAGGTAATGCGTTTCATCTAATGTAATTACTGAAAGGTAGGGTTTATACTTGTCGATTTTGTATTTGCTTTCTGCGTCTTCTGTCTTTTTTGTTACTTTCTGCCTCAGTTAGTTTTTGTTCTTCATGGAGATGGAGTTTCACTATGTTGCCCAGGCTGGAGCGCAGTGAGTATTCATAGGCATGATCATAGTGCACCGTGGCCTTGAACTCCCGGGCTCACAGGATCCTCCCACCTCAGCCTCCTGAGTAGCTGGGACTGCAGGCGTACCACAACGCCTGACTCATTGCTTTCTTCTTTTGTGTTAGATATTTTCTAGTGTATACCATTTTAATTCCCTTGCTGTTTATTTGACTGTATTTTTTATTTGTTTTCTTGGTTGTCCTGGGGATTACAATTTAGTATATTAATTTTTGATAATGTAGTTTGTATTAATACTATATTACAATACTATATGAAATATTTATTTGGGCATAGCTTAATTTCTTTTGCCCTTCTTGTACTGTTATTGTCATACAAATTACATTACACTGTGTGCCCATCTACGCAGATTTATAGTTGCTGCTTTACGCAATTGTCTTTCAAATCATATAGGAGAAAAAACAAATTATAAATTAACAAATACATTTATACTGTCTTATGTAGCTGCTTTTATACTTTACCTGTGTAGCTGCTTTTACTGGCGCTCTTGATTGCATTCCCCTCCCCTCCCCTCTTGACAGGGTCTCGCTCTGTCACCCAGGTGGGAGTACAGTGGCACAATCATAGCACTGCAGCCTTGACCTCCTGGGCTAAAGAGATCCTCCTGCCTCAGCCTCCCGAGTAGTTGGGACTATGGGTGCGTGCCACTATTCCCTGCTGATTTTTAATTTTTTTTTTGTAGAGATGGGGTCTCACTGTGTTGCCCAGGCTGGTCTCCAACTCCTGGTCTTAGAAGATCCCTCCTACTTGAGTCTTCCAAGGTGTTGCGGTTGCAGGCATGAGCCACCGTGCCTGGCCTTG